>NC_000016.10:635000-1260000 GCF_000001405.40 Homo sapiens
TTCCCAGAGAGCCTGGGACAGACTTGCAGGCTGGGGTTTGGAGAATGAAAGGGCACCCCCTCCCTGTCCCCAAGAGGGAGTCAGCCAAGGCCAGCCTGGTGGGCAAGGGGGTAGGGAGGCTGGCAGATGACCCAGGGAGGGGTACAGACTGGAAGTGGAGGGGAGGCCGTGCTGGTGGCTGGGCGGGGGGCAGGGAGCCCAGGAGGGAGGACTCTCAGCAGGGCAGGAGACAGCAGCTAGGACTGGGAGCGGGAGGCCCGCCGTGGACAGGCCCACTCACCCCGTAGGTGATGAGCAGGGCCCTGGGTTTGAGCAGGTGTCCTGCTGCTCTGAAGAGCCCCTGGTGAGTAGGAACAGGACGGCAGTGAGGTGCTGCCCCCAACAGAAGCCAGGCCCTGAGGCTGGAGACCCTCACCCCGACTGTGATGGGGGAGGCTGGAGACCCTCACCCCGACTGTGATGGGGGAGGCTGGAGACCCTCACCCCGACTGTGATGGGGGAGGCTGGAGACCCTCACCCCGACTGTGATGGGGGCAAATCTGGCATCCCAGCTGCCCCCATGCAGGGTGAGTGGTGCCACGGCAGACACCCATGCTGGGCTCCCCACAGACCTCCGTGCAGCGCAGGGGGCTGACATGGGCCATGTTGATGCAGAGCAACAGGTCCAGCGACTGTGGCAGGATCCCGCCCCAGTGCTCCCAGCCCCACGTCACGTCCAGGTGTAGCGGGGCCTTCACGTTGGTCAGGCCCTGGGCTTGCGTGGTGGCCGCGATGCTGCAGGAGGCGAACGCTTGGGTGGGGGCCGAGTCCTGTGCACCCGCCTTTCCGACGCCCCCACAGAATTTCTTAGGGGAGGCTGGGGGGCACGTTGAGGAGCGGAGACCAAAGCGGCTGGGAAGGGGGACCCCGAGGTCCACCCACTTCCGCAGCCGCGGGGGCCGCACAGCTAGGGCCTGCCCCGGGGGCACCCCCAGGCTCCCACCCCGCACCCTCAGAGCCCGAGCCGCATCCTTTTCCTCCGGGGCTGCGGGCCGTGGGCTCTTGAGGCCCCGGACCGCCGCACCGATAGAAGTGGCCGCCCCGGGGGCCGCACCTGTCCAGGCAGCGCTGGTCCACGTCCGACGGCTGCCACTCGGCCAGGGGGAAGGCCCGCGCGAAGTGCGCTGCGTGCTGGCCGGAGCCCGAGGCCACCTCGAGGACGCGGACGCCACGCTGGGCCGGATCCAGGTACTGCCGCAGCACGTGCAAGATGGGATCCTTGTTCCGCTCCGCGGCCGCCGCCACCAGCATCGCGGCAGCAACAACTCCCCGCCGCGGACGCGGCGCGGGTCGCGTCGGGGGCGGTGGCCGGGCTTCCGCGGGGCACGTCGGGAGCTGTAGTCCAGATACCGCGGGGCACGTCGGAAGCTGATAAACTACAACTCCCAGGAGCACGCGCGCCTCCTGTTAAAGGACCAGCAGTCGCCAGAGGCACGGTGGGGAGCGGCTCAGCGGTGTGTGGCGGTCCCAGGCAGGGGACTGAACGGCGAGCTTGGCTTGCTGGTTTACAGGCGCCTCAGCTCAGGCACCCTGTCGCCCATGGCCGTCCAGGGTTTTCAGGGCACCTGTGTCACTCTCCGAAATTTGTGTCAGCGCTGCGCCAGACTGGGCGCCTTCCCTTGGTTTCGGGTTTTCTCTACTTTTAAATTTCTGGCGTTAGCGAGAGTTCGATGTTCAAATGGGAAAAAAAACTAAGTGCGCCGCCCGGGAATCGAACCCGGGTCGCAAGAATGGGAATCTTGCATGATACCACTACACCAGCGGCGCTGTCTAAGACAGTTGCTGCCCGCGGAGACAAGAGACTGTGACGCGGGAAGTCCTCCGGGCGTGCGCCGCCGCTGGCGCCGGGCTCAGCGCAAGGGAGCTGGCGACTGCATAGGAGGACCCAGCTGGCGGGACCGCGAGGGTAAGAGTCTCGCGGTGCCCCCCAGTGCCGGAGGGGAAGGAGCGGGCGTGAAGGACGCGAGCTGGAGGACAGTCTCGATTCGGGCCTGAGCCGTGGAAGCCGTTGGCCTTCGTGAGCCGATGGGGGCGAGGCCCTGTCGGGGCGGGGCTGGGGAGAGGGCGGGGCTGGGCTGGGGCCCCCTGTTGGTCCGAGTTTAGGGCGGGGTTGCCGGAGGGGCGGGGCCATATCGGGGCGGGTCCGAGAGGGGAGGCGGGGCTGGGGGGCGGGACATGAGTGTGGACTGGCGGGTTGGGGCGGGGCCAGAGCGGGGTTGCGGCAGGGGCGGCAGGGGCGGCAGGGGCGGCAGGGGCGGCAGAGGGCGGGGCGGGCGGTCCCAGCCTGCAGAACTGGGCGGTCTGCGGGAGGGGCACGAATAATGCCCCAGGGTTTCTCTGTGACACTGGGGTAACAGCACCAGCTCAGGGCCCACGGATAGCGTGAGGGGTCGGTCGGTGACCCCCGAAATCAAGTCACAGGCCGCGATTTATGTGCGCCCGAGGGTTGGGGTCCCAGCCTCAGAGCCGGGCTCTTCTCCAGAAAGTGCCAAGCGCCTGGCTCTGCATTCAGGACTGGCTTAGCGCCTTTGCTGAGCCGTTTTTCACCAATGGGAACCCCATATCGCTCTGGCTAGGGCAAGGACGTTGGAAGGGGTAAACCAGGGAGGGCCAGTCACGTGGCTCAGGGTAGGAGAGTGGCTTACAGGCTGCCAGTCTGGGACTGGGAACGCGGGCCATGGGGGGCTCAGGGAGTCAGGGGTCAGGGACAACCCTGCCAGGAGATGTTGGTGTCCGCCGTGGTGGTGACTGGCCAGACCCTGCAGCAGGCTCTGCGGCCCAAGCCCACGCTTTCCTCGCCTGACTGGCCGCCTCCATCTCTCTTTCTGTGGGCTGAGCACTTTCCCTGCGCCTCCTTCAATGCGCACCCTGCCCCCAACCCCCACCTCGAGGAGAGCCCCAGGAGGAGGGACCTATGATGACCAGTGGTTCTCCTGGGGCCCATGCACCTCTCCTCACCCAGATTTCACCTGGGCTTCCCTAGGCACAGGAAAGAGGAGCCCGAGATCAGTCTCTCTGCGCCTCCCTGCTTCCCCCCTTGAATGGAGCTGCGTTCAGGAGCTGCCTACAGTGCCCAGCGCATGGCAGGTTTAGTGTTGCCTGACTTCAGATATGGCCTATTGTTGGGGCTGGATGTTTGGGCCTCGTGGCTTGACCACCAATGGCTGAAGCAAACGCTAGCTCTGCTGAGCTCTGGGCCAGCCCAGCTTGTCCTTGCCGCCTGCAGTGGGCCCCAAAGGTGGGGGGCCGCCTTCGGGAGCCTGTGTGAGCTCGGGTTATGCCCTTCCCCACATGGGGCTTCCCTCCCCAGCACCGCCCTCACTCTAACTCAGCTGGTCCTTGCTGCCAGGTCTTCCACAGGAGCATATGCCCTCAGGCTGTGCACAGGCCCCCCAGCACCCCGTCCTGCCTCCCTGGCCTGTGTGAGTGATTGCGCTGAAGGCCACTGGGAGAAGCCAGGGCAGGACGCAGGCTGCACAGATGACGGGGATCACACTGGCCTTCCTTGAAGGACACGATGCCCGATGCTGGTGGGGGGAGGGCAGAGCCAGGTGGGGGGAGGGGAACTGGGGGAGTGGGGAAGGTGGGGGCAGGGGTGGGGGTGGGAGGTAGAAAAGAGTCCGTGAGGAGTCCTTCCTAGGGGGCGTCTCAGGCTTGGCCTCCCTGGCTGTGGCTTGCCATCTCCTTTGCCCTCTGAGGGCCACAGGCCTGGCCCAACCCTGCAGAGAAGGCAGCTGGGGATGGAAACCTCTTTCCTTCCGCTCTTCAGCCATGCTGAGGAGGGGTACAGGGCCAAGAGACACCTGGGTCAGAAGCTTCCCTGAGGGCCTCCCAGTAAGTCTGGAGCTCCCAGAAGGGAGGAGAAGCAGGGCCAGTGCATGGGGTGGGGGCTCCTCGGGCTGGCCCCCCACCACCAAGGGCCTCCCCTCACCCCTCCATGTGGTGCATGTTGCTTGCCTGGAAATTTAGACAGGAAGACTCTGGGCCCTGCCGCCCACCCGCCACAGCTCCGTTTTCAGCCACAGCATCCCTGACCTCTCCTTGGAGAATGTGGGGGCCACTGGACACGCCAGGCCCTGATGCCGGCACAGGCAGCCTCCTCTTGTTCCTGGACCAAACTGAGAGTCGGGCTGCTATTTCTCGTGGCCCAGTAACGAGATGCAGATGAACTGGTGAGGAAGAGGGTTTTTATTTCTGCAGCCGGTTACAAGGAGAAGGCCTGGAAATTATCACCAGAACAAGTCAAATTACAAAGTTTTCCAGAGGTTATGTACCTTCCAACCTAGATGTCTGTGTGTAAGTGTGCATTCATCTGAAGACATAAGTGGTTAACTTTTTTCTTTTTTCTTTTTTTTGAGACGGAGTCTTGCTCTGTTGCCCAGGCTGGAGTGCAGTGGCACGATCTTGGGCTCACTATTTTTAGTAGAGACGGGGTTTCCCCGTGTTAGCCAGGATGGTCTCGATTTCCTGACCTCGTGATCCGCCCGCCTCGGCCTCCCAAAGTGCTGGGATTACAGGCGTGAGCCACCGTGCCCGGCCAAGTGATTAACTTCTTTTAATCTATAATTAAGGCCTGAGTCCTGAAGACCTTCCCCTGGAGCCTCAGTAAACTGACTTAATCTTGTTTCCTGCTAAATCATGAAGGTTTGGGGAGTTCCTTCGGGCTCCCAATAAACTTGTCTGTGGAGGCCTGGAGAGTTTCTTCAGACCTCCAATAAACTTGTTTAATCCTAAACGGGTCCTATTAAGAATTCCTTCGTTATCTTGTCGCGCTTCAAGGCCCAGGAGAGGCCTGGGCACAGCTCTTGGTGGGCTTTTGTTACATTCCAGCCTTTGAAGAAGGGCACTGGCTTTTCTTCTTTAGAGTCCTGCTCTGTCGCCCAGGCTGGAGTGCAGTGATGTGATCTCAGCTCACTGCAACCTCCACCTCCTGGGTTCAAGTGATTCTCCTGTCTCAGCCTCCCGAGTAGCTGGGACTACAGGTGTGTGCCACCACACCCGGCATTTTTTTTTTTTTTTTTTTGAGACGGAGTCTCACTCTTTTGCCCAGGCTGGAGTGTAGTGGCACGATCTTGGCTCACTGCAACCTCTGTCTCCCAGGTTCAAGTGATTCTCCTGCCTCAGCCTCTGGAGTAGCTGGGATTATAGGCACCTGCCACCATGCCTGGCTAATTTTTTTTTTTTTTTTTTTTTTGTATTTTTAGTAGAGATGGGGTTTCACTAAATTGGCTGGGCTGGTCTCGAACTCCTGACCTTAGGTCATCCACCTGCCTGGGCCTCCCAAAGTGCTGGGATTACAGGTGTAAACCACCGATCCTGGACAGCTTTTTAAGCTTTTAATATTGAACTAACCACTCTGCACTGAAATAATTGTTATGGAGGCCTGCGTTAGTGAGACCTGGCCTGCCACACTCTCACATCTGTGGGGCGGGTACAGGAGCCCCAGGGGCCGAAGAGGCACACGTCGGGCCTCTGGGTGCACCTCAGCCTGGGGGCCAGGACGTGGGGCAGAGTGCAGCCAGGGTTCTGACTCCTGGGGTGGAAGGGAGACTCCCAGGGCATCATGTCTCTACCCAAGTCCAGGGGGATGAGCCGCTTTTTCTCTTCTTAGACCCAGTCCCAAGACCCAAGCCAAGGGTGACCCTTCACACTGGCCCAGGCCTCTGCAGGCACCTTGGCTGAGGCTCCCCAAGTATGAATGGTAAATCCTTGCCTCCAGCCTCGGCACAGAGGAGCCCAGCACAGACGCCCCCAGCACAGAGTCCCCCAGCACACAGCCCCCAACACAGAGCTCCCCTGCACACAGCCCCCCTGCACAGACACCCCCAGCACAGAGTCCCCCAGTACAGAGCCCCCAGCGCAGATACCCCCCATAGCACAGAGCCCCCAGAACAGAGACCCACAGCACAGAGTAGCCCCCCAGCACAGGGCCCCCCGGCACAGGGATCCCCAAGCACAGGGACCCCCCCAGCACAGGGATCCCCCCAGCACAGGGCCCCTCAGCACAGGGCCCCCCAGCACAGGGACCCCCCCAGCCCAGGGATCCCCCCAGCACAGGGCCCCCCAGCACAGGGCCCCCAGCACAGGGATCCCCCCAGCACAGGGCCCGCAGCACAGGGATCCAGCACAGGGACTCCTCCCCAGTACAGGGATCCCCCCAAGCACAGAGACCTCCAGCACAGGGATCCCCCCAGCACAGGGCCCCCCAATACAGGGATCCCCCCAGCACAGGGATGCCCCCAGCACAGGGCCCGCAGCACAGAGCCCCCCAGCACAGGCACAGGGACCCCCCCCCAGTACAGGGATCCCCCCAGCAGAGAGACCTCCAGCACAGGGATGCCCCCAGCACAGGGCCCCCCAGCACAGGGATCCCCCCAGCACAGGGATGCCCCCGGCACAGGGCCCGCAGCACAGAGCCCCCCAGCACAGGCACAGGGACCCCCCCACAGTACAGGGATCCCGCCAGCACAGAGACCTCCAGCACAGGGATGCCCCCAGCACAGGGACCCCCAGCACAGGTTCTCCTCCAGCGCTTGTCAAAGGTGGGCCCTGGGGCTCCGAGGACCCTGCTCGCACATCGCCGCTGACCCCGCAGGGCCCCTGGGTCCTCGCCGCCAGCAGTCTGAGTGCGGTGCCCCGACACTGACATGGCCTCCAGGCAGCAACGGCCTTCCCGGGCAGCAGGGCGCCTCGTCCGCCTTGGCCTCGGGCCTCCGGGGGCTGGGGCGGGGTTGCTGGCGGCTCCGCCCCCGCCTGCCAGTTTCCCAAAGGGCGCAAGCGCCGCCTCCGCCGCGTGTCCGGGGTCAGCCCGAGCCCGTGCGGGCCCTTTAAGGGCCGGGGGCGTGTAGCGGGCCCGCCCCCTCCCCGCGGCGCCCGCAGTCCGTTAAGTGCGAGCCCCGGCGCAGGGGCCGGATCTGGCCGGGGGCCGGCGGCGGTGTGGGAGCGGCGCGTCATGTACACCATCACCAAGGGGCCCAGCAAGCTGGTCGCGCAGCGCCGCACAGGTGCGCACGGGCCGGGGAACGGGAACGGGGACGGGGCGGGGCGCGGCGGCGGCTGACCGCCCCCCGGTGCCCGCAGGTCCCACGCAGCAGCAGGTGGAGGGCCGGCTCGGCGAGCTCCTGAAATGCCGGCAGCCCGCGCCGCCGACCTCGCAGCCCCCGCGGGCGCAGCCCTTTGCGCAGCCGCCGGGACCCTGGCCCCTGTCGAGGTGAGACGCGCGCGGCCCCGGCCCGGCCCGGCCCGGCTTCCCCTCCCCCGCCGGCCGCCCTAGAGCGGAGGGTGACCTTGGGGAAATGTTAGTGAGGTCCGGCCACGTGCTGCAGGCGGGGCGGGCGCTCCGGGCGCGGGGGGTGCGCGGGTCCTGCCCACTACGCGCCCGCGGGCCTGCGCCTCGCACTTCCGCCTCACCTGGCCGGGCCCGGGCCCCCAGCGGGGAGAAAGCCGGCCAGTTCCTGGGTCGCAGGGGCCTCCAGCGTCCGAGGTCGGTGCTTCGGGCGACCTTGGGTTGCTGCTGGAACCCTGACGTGCAGCAGGCCCAGGCCACGGTTCGCGGAGAGCGTCGGGCGCTGGTCCTCAAGATCTCCCGGCTCTGCCCTTGCAGAGCTCAGTGGGGGAGACGTGCGTGCGCTTCCCTCGGGCAGGGCCGCTGCCCTCCTCCGCCCTTCACCCCAGACACCCTGGGGCAGTGGGGCCTCCCCCCATCCGGTTGCTTCTGCTTTTCCTAACCCAGTTAGGAAACTCCGAGACCACAGGAGCCTCAGTCCGGCCACTGTGGCCTCCCCGTGACCATGACCCAGAGGTTGGACAGCCCCGCAGGGCTGGACGTTTGACTTTGGCTCAGTTCCTCCACCGTTCCCTTCATTTATCCTGTGCCTCTCCCAGGCCTGTGGATTTTGCTGTGGCCCCAAGCCGGCCCGAAGGCTCCTGGAGGTGGTAGGGTCATGGCCTGAGGCGGTGCTGGGGAGGAGAGCTCGGGCCAGGAGTTCAGGGCAGCTACAGGTGGGGGGGTGCCGAGCCACCCTCAGCCTGCCCCCTGCCTACCTCTCAGAAAGGTGTGGAGGTTCCAGCGGGGCGGGGGCTCTCTGGGGCTCCATCCTAGTGAGGTAAGTGCCCTCTACCAGAGGCGCCTTCTGGCGGGAGGTGAGTGGGCCCCTAGGTGCTTCCAGCATCCCAGCTCTGCTGGGACGCTCCGCGGACATCACCCTTGGTCCTCGTGGCCGCTCTACTTCCCAGGGGAGGAAACCGAGGCACACCTGTAGCCACCACCTGGTCCCCAGGCAGGGAGCATGAGGCTGGAGTGGCCCAGGGTGACGCCGTCTCTCTTAACCTGGGGAAACCACCTTTCTTCTCTCTCCAAGACCCCACTGCTAGGGAGGGCAGGGGTAAGGCTGTGGCACAGTTAGGAGGAGTTAGGGAAGAAGATGGAAATGCTTCCCAGAGTTCTCCATGGGACCCCAAGGGTCCCAGTGGGCAACACCAGGCCCACTGGCTGTTGTCTCTTTTTTTTTTTTTTTTTTTTTGGAGACAGAGTCTCCATCTGTCGCCCAGGCTGGAGTGCAGTGGCGCAATCTCAGCTCACTGCAACCTCTGCCTCCCGGGTTCAAGCGATTCTCCTGCCTCAGTCTCTTCAGTAGCTGGGACTACAGGTGCGTGCCACCATGCCCGGCTAATTTTATATTTTTGTATTTCACCATGTTGGCCAGGATGGGCTCGATCTCCTGACCTCATGATCCACCCGCCTCAGCCCCCCAAAGTGCTGGGATTACAAGTGTGAGCTACCGCGCCCGGCCTGTTTTCTTAAAGTCCCCATGTGAGGTCCTCTGTCAGCCAGTGGGACCTGTGGGAGTTGAGTGGGCTTCACCCCGTGTGCAGTGGGGCTAGAGGAGCCCTGGGCAGGGCAGGATGTGTGCTGCCCTCTCCTCCCTGGGGTCACCCACCTTCCCACCCCCAGGCCCCAGCGCTGGGAGCTTCTGGCAGCAGTGGGATCTCTGCATGAAGCCCCCATCCTGCTCCTGCACCTTCTTGGGGCAACCACCTTCCCTCTGTTTCTTTTTTTTTGAAATGGAGTTTTGCTCTGTTGCCCAGGCTGGAGTGCAATGGCAGGATCTCCGCTCACCGCAACCTCTGCCTCCTGGGTTCAAGCGATCCTCCTGCCTCAGCCTCCCGAATAGCTGGGATTACAGGCGTGCACTGCCACACCCAGCTAATCTTGTATTTTTAGTAGAGTCAGGGTTTCTCCATGTTGGTCAGGCTGGTCTCAAACTCCCTACCTCCGGTGATGCGCCCACCTCGGCCTCCCAGAGTGCTGGGATTACAGGCGTGAACCACCGTGCTTGGCCAACCACCTTCCCTCTGAACCACCCCACCCCATGCTGCCACCCACCTCGCTGTTTTTTACTTCATTTAATTTTTTTCTTTTTGAGACAAGGTCTTGCTCTGTCACCCAGGCCGGGGTGCAGTGGTGCAATCATGGCTCACTGCAGCCTCAACCTCCCAGGTTCAAGTGATCCTCCCACCTCTCGACTTCCTGAGTAGCTGGGATGACAGGCGAGCACCACACCTGGCTCATTTTTAACTTTTATGTAGACAGGTCTCACTATGTGGCCCAGGGTAGTATTCAATTCCTGGGCTCGAGCAATTCTCCCGCCTTGGCCTGTGGAAGCGTTGGGGTTATAGGTGTGGGCCACCGCGCCCGGCCCTGCCCTGCCTTTTCTTCTCCTTGGTGCTTTTTGCTACTCCTCATCTCTCACTGACTGGGCGCGGGAGGGGGGTGTCGGGGTCCCTGCACATCTCCTGGTGCACCCAGAGGGTCAAGGCTTGTCACCCATGATGTATGCTGGCTCTGGTTCCTGCCAGGCATGGGTCTGGGCACTGCCCACGACAGTGACAGACCAGATAAACCTTGGTTTGTTTTTTTAATTTTTATTTTTATTCTGAGATGGAGTCTCGCTCTGTAGCCCAGGCTGGAGTGCAGTGGTGTGATCTCAGCTCACTACAAGCTTCACCTTCCGGGTTCAGGCCATTCTCCTGCCTCAGCCTCCCGAGCAGCTGGGACTACAGGCGCCCTCCACCACACCCGGCTAATTTTTTTGTGTTTATAGTAGAGACGGGGTTTCACCGTGTTAGCCAGGATGGTCTCGATCTCCTGACCTCGTGATCCACCCACCTCGGCCTCCCAAAGTGCTGGGATTACAGGTGTGAGTCACCGCGCCCGGCCACCTTTGTTTGTTTTTGAGACAGAGTCTTGCTCTGTTGCCAGGCTGGAGTACAGTGGCGTGATCTTGGCTCACTGCAACCTCCGCCTCCCAGGTTCAAGTGAGTCTCCCACCCCAGCCTCCGGAGTAGCTGGTATTACAGGTGCCCGCCACCATGCCCGGCTAATTTTTAGTATTTTTAGTAGAGACAGAGTTTCACCACGTATGCTAGGCTGATCTTGAACTCCTGACCTCAGGCGACCCACCCGCCTCGGCCTCCCAAAGTGCTGGGATTACAGGCATGAGCCACCACGCCCAGCCCAGATACACCTTTGACAAGTTCTTCCTCCTGGTGGGAGATGGATAGGGGAGGCAGTAAGATAAACTGAGGCGATATAAGTAATAAGATGAAACGGGGCCATGTGATCACCCGACCCCAGGGCAGATGGAGGGTGTGGGGACCGCCACAGGAAGGGACAATGGAATGAACCCCACAGGGCGAGAAGGGGCAGCCTGCAAGAGACGGGGGTGGGGAGGCCCAGTGAGGGCAGGCTGAGGGGCTGGCTTGGGGGCTGTACTGGGTCAGGGCCATGGACTCTGTTGTTGGATTTGCTATGATATCCTGGTGCTGCCCCCACCCAGCATGTAATATGCTCAGGTGGATTCTCTCCCAAGCCCAGCTTCATGGGCTGAAAAAGGGATGGGCTGTGGAGGGGAGAGGAGAGGATGCACTCCACAGCCTTCACCTCCCTGGGCTGAAGTTTGCCCGGAGCAGTGTCCCTGGAAGTGGGAGAGGTTGGCGGTGATCCATAGGTGCTCGCCGGGCCGGTGCCCTTTCCCCCAGAGAGCAGCAGCCTTACGTAACCAGAGCCCCTGGGGCGGTGCCTGCCTCCTGGGGCCCATCTCTGCCCGAGAGCCGCCACCTCCGCCCTTCGATTCACAGCCCCTGGCAATGTTCTTGTCTTCTTAGACATTGATAATCCAACCTCCAAGCTTTCTTGGAGTTTCTGGCTTTCCGAGGTGGGAGTGGGTTGCAGGCAAGGGGGCTTTCCAAGTGGACAAACTTTATTCCCTGTGGTTTGTGCAGAAACTCAGGCAGCGGGCAGGCCTGGGAGGTGCCCCTGCCCCTGTCCCATCTCCACCTGCACGTTTTAAGATCCTCTGTGGCCACCAGACCCTGCCAGCCCTGGGGCCGGCAGGACCCTGCGCCCCTCAAGACACTCCTCTTTATTTTAGTGCCCCTCTCAGCTGAGGAGGAACCGAGAGCGGCGCTGGGGCACCTGAGCCCAGGAAGGCAACAGGCCGGCCGGGACCGCGAGTGCCTGGCGGAGCAGGCGCAGCCCAGGACTCCCGGCTCCCACCTCCGGCTGTAGGTGCGGCCCCATTCCCTCCACGGCCCTGTCCCGGGCTTTGTGTGCTCAGGGCTCGGCCAGCTGGGGCCGCTCATCCCTGCCCTGGGCCCGGCTGGCCGGGACGGGCCCAGGGGCCCACCAGACGTTGCGTGCGGCACTGCGGGAGCCATCTCCTTTGGCATCGCCCCTTGTCTCGGGCCGGTGGGGAGTGGGCGAGGGTTATAGTCACTCTCCCGACTCAGGGACTGCCCATCCCGGCACCCAGTCCTCATCCCATGGGACGTGGGGGCAGCCAGGGAGAGGGCAAAGGCCCCCGTTCCCGTCCAGGTCCATCCGTCCATGGAGGGAAACATCGTGGAGATGGAGGTGCTTCTGTGGGGCGAGAATGTGGCCTAGAACTACACCCAGAGTGGGGGGGTTGGGGCAGAGAGACATGGTCATGGACTGGGTCGTGGCTCAGGTCAGAATCTGGGCTGCTGATGGGATGCAGGTGGCAGCATGGGCACCTGCAAGACCCTCGGGGAGGGGTACTGAGTGGGGCCCGACCAAAGGTTTGGGACACTCTAAGACTGAGGCCCCCACCCTACAGTCACTCACTTCCCTCAGGACACAGGGCTGCAGGTGTGAGCTGAGCTGCCGATGGCTTGGGGACTGCAAGAGAGGCCTGGGCCACCGGCTGCTGTGGGTGGCTGCTCTCTCTGGTTCAGGAAGTGCCTAGGCTGGCCAAGTCTGGGGAAAGTGGGCTGGCCCGGGGCTGCTCCTGAGTTCTGCCAGGCAGCACCGCACCTGGGATGGGCACCAACCATGTCCGTCTCCTCCCTTCCTGCAGTCCAGGGCCAAGGCTTGTGTTCAATCGTGTGAATGGCCGGCGGGCCCCCTCCACGTCCCCATCCTTCGAGGGGACCCAGGAGACCTACACAGTGGCCCACGAGGAGAATGTCCGCTTTGTGTCCGAAGGTAGCGAGCGGGGCCAGAGGGTGCGGCATAGGCTGCTGGGTCGCAAAACCATGGACCCGGGATGGCCCCACTTCAAGCTGACCCACAGCCGCTGCATGGCTGTGCTTTTCCTTGGCACTCTGCCCTTGTGTCCTGTGACCAGCCCTGTGTGGGGCTGGAGTCCAGGGTGACCATCAGGCCCTGGGTGGGCGATGGGGTGCCTGGGACCTGGCTCAGCCCGACTGCCCTCCTCCCACAGCCTGGCAGCAGGTGCAACAGCAGCTGGATGGTGGCCCAGCCGGTGAGGGCGGGCCAAGGCCTGTGCAGTACGTGGAGAGGACCCCCAATCCCCGGCTGCAGAGTGAGCCCCCCAACCCTGTCCCCCCAGGAGAGACCCCCCAGCCCCTCTGATCCTGACCCAGGCCCTGCCAGGTTCCCACCCCAGGGGATGAGGGAGGGGACTCTTGTGCAGAAACCCCTTCTTCCCAGCGCCTGCCGCACTCGGAGTCCGGGTGAGCGGCTTGTGGTTAGCTCCAGGGGAGACTTGCCGGCTGGCCTGGGAGGCAGCATCACTGCCCAGCCTTCTCTGCCCACAGACTTTGTGCCCATTGACCTAGACGAGTGGTGGGCGCAGCAGTTCCTGGCGAGAATCACCAGCTGTTCCTAGTGGCTGCTGGGAGGGGGCGCTGCTACACGGCCGACCTGTCGCCAGGAGAGAAGCATGGCGCCCTGCCCACCCACTGCGCCTGGCTGGGTGCCGGCCACACCTGAAGTGCCAGCATTTGGACTTTTGCACCTTTTTTTCCCTTGGCCCGGCTGTCCCAACCAAGCTGCCATGGCCAAGGGCCGAACCCGTCTGACCTCAGCCCTGCTCACTGTGCCCAGGGACCAGCGACCAGCCCCTGGGGCTGGCAGGGAGGAGCTCCAGGCTAATAAAGTGGAGAAACTGTCTTTTTGGAGTGTCTTTGACTTGGGAGGGTGTAGGGGGGGTTCTCATGTCCAGTTCCAGTCCACAGCCTGGGACGCCAGGCCCAGCACAAACTCCCCTTGTAGCCCTGTTCCTTCAAGCCGTTAGCTTCTCACCCAGCTGCCCTGCGACAGGTAGGAGGGACGTTAGCCAGCCCACCTTGCTTGGAAGTCTGGGGACCCCACTTGGTTCCTCTTTCCTCTCCCGTTGGCGTTGACTGGGACCGAAGCCGAGACTCAAGGCCTAAAGACATTAAATGGCCCCGGAGTGCAGTCCACCACCCCCCACTACCGGCACTGGGGCTGTGTCTCAGAACGCCAGGTCCCATTCTGAATCCGCCGGGCCCGGCCGCAGGACACTGGGCGAAGGAGTACGTGGGGAACCTGATAGGACGAACGTGGGAACCAGCCCCTCCGCGGGCGCCCGCACTACCTTCCCTGATGGACGGGGATGACCCAGCCCACCTGAGTCAGGACCCAGGGTACCCAGGTGTGGAGCAGGGGCCTCTGGACGGCGAGAGAGCGGCAGGGTGAGGCCCGGCCGTCCGTGGCATGGCCAGGCCTCAGCGCGACCTCGCCTCGCTGCTTGCATGCGGCGGGAGCCCCGGCCGGCCGAGGCGCTGACAGGTGGGCGCGGCGGAGGATCCGCAACCGGCGCGGGCTTCGAAGCCGGTCGGGCTAACAGGGGGCTGCCTTGGGAGGCCCGCGGGGCAAAGGGCAGCGGGATTCGCGGCTGGAGCAACCCTGGAGGCCGCTGACGTGAGCGGGGTACTCCCACCGGGGAGGTCACGTGGCCAGGGCGCCGCCATGACGGCGGAAGTAATGGCGGAAGTGGCACCGTTGCCAGGCAGCCGTTGCCTGGCGTCGCGGGGCGTACTCTGCGCTGGGCGCGCGGAGGCCTAGGCGGGAAGCTCGAGCGGCGGCGCCATGGCCCGAGGTAGCGCGCGGCTGGCGGGGGTCCCGAGGATCCCGGGTTCCGGGGTTCCGGGGTCCAGGGTCGGCGGCCGGAGCGCTCAGGGCCCCCGCCTAGGCCCTGAGGCCAGAGTCCCCGCTCAGGCAGGGTCCCGTCTGCCGGGCGCCCACCCTCGGGCTCCCGGAGCTTGGCTTCCCTCGGGCGCCCGGCCTCGTCCCGCCAGCCTAGCTGGCGTTGGCGTCGCCGGGGAAGGCGCGGAGAGCCCCGGCTCCTGCCTGGTCCCCGAGGCCCGGCCCAGCCCCGCAGTGGCCCCGGCTCGCGTGGCCGAGTCCCCTGACGCCCGGCGCCCGCTCCCCGCAGCGTGGCAGCACCCGTTCCTCAACGTCTTCAGACACTTCCGGGTGGACGAGTGGAAGCGCTCCGCCAAGCAGGGGGACGTGGCCGTGGTCACGGTAGGCGGCCGGGGGCTCGCCCGGAGCCCACACCCCTGCCCTGCCCCCAGGAGAGCTGCCCCGCCCCCGAGGGCCCCCTCGCCCCCGCTGCACTTCTTCTGGGTGCTGTCGGTGATGCGGGCTCCCGCTTCTCCAGGACAAGACCCTGAAGGGCGCCGTGTATCGCATTCGGGGCTCAGTCTCTGCCGCCAACTACATCCAGCTCCCTAAGAGCAGCACCCAGTCTCTGGGGCTGACGGGACGATACCTGTATGTGCTCTTTCGGCCCCTGCCCAGCAAGCACTTCGTCATCCACCTCGATGTGTCCTCCAAGGTACGGAGCCCGCGGCTGGGGGCTGCGTGGGAGCCCCGGCACCCCTGCGGCCCCTGTCTCCTCACGGCCCTGCTCCGTCCCCACAGGACAACCAAGTCATCCGTGTGTCTTTCTCCAACCTCTTCAAGGAGTTTAAGTCTACGGCCACGTGGCTCCAGTTTCCCTTGGTCCTGGAGGCCAGGACACCTCAGAGAGGTGACACCAAGATGGGGTGTGGATGATCCAGGACAGGTGGCTGGAGGGAGTTGGTGCAGGCCCAGTGAGGCTCCTCTGCGGCCTGGAGGACAACCTGGCGGGGGCACAAGCTCACAGTTCTGGGAGTCGCGGGCTGTCAGGAGGGTGGGCGCTGACCCTGAGTGCCCATCCTGCAGATCTGGTGGGTTTGGCCCCCTCCGGAGCCCGCTGGACCTGCCTGCAGCTCGATCTGCAGGACGTTCTCCTGGTCTACCTGAACCGGTGCTACGGCCATCTCAAGAGCATCAGGCTGTGCGCCAGCCTGCTGGTCAGGAACCTGTACACCAGTGACCTGTGCTTTGAGCCTGGTGAGGGCCGCACCTGCACTCCCCACTCCATATCTCACCCATGCTCTCAGCCCTGGAGAGGCCCAAGTCCAGGGTGCTTGGGAAAATACAGTGCTCGAGCTGTGCTGTCTCTGAGCTCTGGCCAGAACCCATCCCAGAGGCAGCCCTGGGGTCAGAACCCATCCCAGAGGCAGCCCTGGGGTGGGGCGGTGGCTGGGCTGGTGGCGTGGCAGTGCCTTGGCGGGTGCCCTGTGTTCAGGTGGCTAAACAGCCTCCCTTGACCTGGAACAACCCTGCTCCTTGTAGCCATCTCTGGGGCCCAGTGGGCAAAGCTGCCCGTGACTCCTATGCCTCGGGAAATGGCATTCCCTGTGCCCAAGGGAGAGAGCTGGCATGACCGCTACATCCACGTCCGGTGAGTGGTTCTGCTTCTTTCGAGGGAGGCCTCGGTGGTGGGAGGGTGGGTGGCCCTTGGGCCCCCAGACACTGACTCTCCCTCTGCCTGCCAAGGTTTCCAAGTGAGAGCTTGAAAGTGCCTTCCAAGCCGATTGAGAAGAGCTGTTCCCCTCCTGAGGCAGGTGGGTCTGGGGGGTCAGCGGGGACCCAGGTTAAGGCCTGTAGGGTGCGTGGGGCTCGGTAGGAGAGGGCAGGGCTGGGAAAGGACCCAGTGGTGTGCTGGCTGCAGCTGGTGCAGGGACCCAGGGAAGCCCGTAGGTTGTCCGAGTTCCCAGAACCACGAGGGTGGGAAGTCTGTGTGAGGGGTACCCGGGGGCCCCAAGCTTTCTAGCTGGAAGAGGAGACTTTCAGGGCCTAGGGTGGAAGTGGGGATACTGGCTGTGGGTCCTGCAGAGCCGGTGAGGCTGGGCCACTTGCTGCTGCCCTCCCCAGGCGTCACCCTCACCAGGCATCTGCACAGCTGGCCCCTGGGTCACTGGGGTTCTTTGCTCTGTTCTAGTCCTCCTGGGGCCGGGGCCACAGCCTCTCCCTTGCCCGGTGGCCTCCAGCAAACCTGTGCGGTTCAGTGTGTCTCCAGTGGTCCAGACGCCCAGCCCCACAGCCGTGAGTACCCCCTTCGCCCTATGAGATGGGGTTGGGGTGTGATGGCCCAGGACGCTGATGGGCACTTGTCCCCCAGCAGTCCGGCCGGGCCGCCTTGGCACCCAGGCCCTTCCCGGAGGTCAGCCTGTCCCAAGAGCGCTCAGACGCCTCCAACGCGGATGGCCCCGGTTTCCATAGCCTTGAGCCCTGGGCCCAGCTGGAGGCCTCTGACATCCACACGGCTGCTGCCGGCACCCACGTGTTGACTCACGAGTCGG
Organism: Homo sapiens; assembly: GCF_000001405.40. Lineage (NCBI taxonomy): Eukaryota > Metazoa > Chordata > Mammalia > Primates > Hominidae > Homo > Homo sapiens. The sequence continues at coordinate 652,005 of NC_000016.10, forward strand.
CTGAGGTGCCCGTGGCCCGCACCGGCTCCTGCGAAGTGAGTGCCCATCCCACAGCAGGCGGGGCCTGGTGAGGTGTGGGCTGGGGCAGCTGGTAGCCCGCCCCGAGATGCATTCAGAACGGATGTGCCTCCAACGGTCTCCTCTTGTTCAGCCTCCTGGCAAGGAGCAGAGCTGGCGGGAGGCGGCTTTGGGGAAGAATCTCTGTCCACAAAGAGTAAGGCAGGGCTTCTGCTCACCCCCAATGCGTCAGCCCCAGGTGGTCTGTGGGGGACCCTCGAAGGTCTGGCAGTGCAACTGGAGTCCCAGCTTCCACCTTACCACAGCCAGCAGGAGCCACCCAGGACCAGGGCAGTCTTCTTGAGAGGCAGGACCCAGCTAGGGGTTGGCGGGGCTCGGAGTTGGTCGGGCATTCTGGGGACCTGGCTGAGCCTCCCAGGACTTTGATGCGAATGGCTGTTTCAGGGCTTCCTCCCAGACCCAGTCCTGAGGCTCAAGGGCGTCATCGGCTTTGGGGGCCACGGCACCAGACAGGTGAGGCTCCTGCGGCTGTGTCCAGAGCAGCTCTCGTTGGCCGGCTCGAGCGCTGAGTACAGAACGGGGAGAGAGGAGAGACCTATGTCCTGTGGTGGCTGTGTGTGGGCTCCCGAGCCCCCCTGGCACAGCGGTCCCGTCCCCCTGCAGTCCGCTGCTTCCCGCGTGCTCAGGCATCTGCCCCGCCCACAGCTGCTGTCACCTCCTGGTGCCCGGGGGCTCTCAGGGTCACGGGCATCTCTTACTCACTGGCTGGGCTAAGTGCTCCCCCCGAAGACCCAGAGCTCTCACGTCTTTAGAGCTCTGATGATCCAGACCAGCAGTGTGGGGCCAGGCTGTGGGCACAACCTGTAGGTCCCTCATGGGTGACGTGGGCCTTCTAGGAGAGGAGCCCCATGGCAGAGGAGGTGGCCTTCCCCTCTGCCTCAGTGGCCTTGGGCCCTTGTCAGGCCCTGCTGGGTGCCTGCTCTGAGTGTTTGGGGGCCCTTTGGCCTTTTGTTACCCCCACCCCGGAGTTTCTTGCACTGGAGGCGGGGCTTAGAGGACAGGCGTCTGTGCATGTGTGTACACGTGTCTGCTTGAGTGTTCCAGCTGTTCTTTTGACACATGCAGCCTGTGACTCGTGTATGTAGTGTGTGCAGGGTGTGTGTTCTCTCTTGCCCCTGGGTGGCTGTGTGCCCAGGTGTGTGTGCCAGGCCTGCCACCCCCTCTCCCTGGGCTGGAGTGGGAGGTGAGGCTGACCTCCCGGCAGCCAGGAGGGGCCTGGCGTAGCACCGGTCCTCAGCCCCCCGCCCCCTTGTGCCAGGCCCTGTGGACCCCAGACGGGGCGGCTGTCGTGTACCCCTGCCATGCGGTCATCGTCGTCCTGCTCGTGGACACGGGGGAGCAGCGCTTCTTCCTTGGCCACACAGACAAGGTGGGTGCTGCCCGGGCCTGGGGCAGCTCACACCTGCAGCCCCTACACCCTCCCTCACCCTTCTGCCTCCTAGGTCTCCGCCCTGGCGCTGGATGGCAGCAGCTCACTATTGGCCTCGGCCCAGGCAAGGGCCCCTAGTGTGATGCGGCTCTGGGACTTCCAGACCGGGCGGTGCTTGTGCCTGTTCCGGAGCCCAATGCACGTTGTCTGCTCTCTCAGGTGAGCACAGGTCTGCCCCATGCAGGGGGAGGGGGTCAGCCCAGGCGACAATGACCACCTCCTCCCTGTTCACAGCTTCTCTGACAGCGGGGCCCTTCTCTGCGGGGTTGGCAAGGACCACCACGGGAGGACGGTAACAGGGCCCTGGCTGCGGGTTGGGGTGGGGCTGTCCTGATGCACGCAGACAGCTGGAAGGGTCTTGGTTTTCTGAAACTCCAGCTTCATGTGACCCTGGGTCCCTGCTCTGTGTCCTCCCTGTGGTGGGGCTCCCTGCACTCTGGTGTTCATGCCGCCCCCGTGCCCTGCACAAAAACCACCACCAGCAGCTCACATTTCACGTCTCGGCTTTTCGGCCATCGGAGTCGGTTTAAGCCAGCGTTTACACACCTCGCCTCGTTCTCTCTGCTGGTGATGCGGTTGTAAGATTTTCACGTGGCAGAGCCCCTGCAGCTGACCCACGCTTGGGCATCAATGGCACCTCCACACAGCCGAAGCACCCGGCATCTTGGTGGGGGCACCTTTTTAAACATTTTTTTTTTGAGAGAGAGCCTTGTTCTGTCACCTAGGCTGGAATGCAGTGGTGCAATCATAGCTCACTGCAGCCTTGACCCCCTCCCTGACCTCCCCGCCAGCTGGACTCCAGCCATCCTCCTGCCTCAGCTTCCCAGATAGCTGGGCCACAGGCGTGTGCCACCACACCTGGCTAACTTTTTTTTTTTTTTTTTTTTGAGATGGCATCTTGCTCTGTCGCCCAGGATGGAGTGCAGTGGCGCGATCTTAGCTCACTGCAAGCTCCGCCTCCCAGGTTCACACCATTCTCCTGCCTCAGCCTCCCCAGTAGCTGGGACTACAGGCGCCTGCCAACATGCCTGGCTAATTTTTTTTTTTTGTATTTTTAGTAGAGATAGGCTTTCACCTTGTTAGCCAGGATGGTCTCACGTTTTGTTTTTTTAACTTTTTGTAGAGATAGGGTTTCATTACATTGCTCAGGCTGGTCTCAAACTCCAGGGCTCAAGCAGTCCTCCCACCTCAGCCTCCCAAAGTGCTGGGATCACAGGCATGAGCCACTGTGCCCAGCCACGAGCTGCTTTTTATCCACCTTCCGGCTTGCGGGGGGGTTTGTACTTCTCTGCGAATGGGTTGCAGTGCTCAGCATTGCGGGTCTCTGTAGAAGTCCCAAAGCTTCAGGATGAGAAGATGGAGGGGCTGGTTTCCTTCCACTCTCCACGGCCGCACGCTCAGAGGCTGGTCTCCGCATGAGAGAAAAGCCACCTCCGGGTGGGGCTCGGCTGGGCCTTGCAGAATCGAGGTGGCCCCGACTGGCCCTGCCGTGCGGGCTCAGCCTGGGCTTGTTGCAGATGGTGGTGGCCTGGGGCACCGGCCAGGTGGGCCTCGGTGGCGAGGTGGTCGTTCTGGCAAAGGCGCACACTGACTTTGACGTCCAGGCCTTCCGGGTCACCTTTTTTGATGAAACCAGGTGATGCAGCCGCCCATCCACGATGTTGGGAGAGGGTCTGGGCCCGGAGTGGGGGCCGAGGCCCGAGCACCTCCCCCTGGCTTGGCTGTGCGTCTCTGCGTCTCCCGGTGGGTCAGGGCGCTGCGAGCTGCGGCAGTGCTCAGTCCTCATTCCTTGCAGGATGGCGTCGTGCGGGCAGGGCAGTGTGCGGCTCTGGCGGCTGCGTGGCGGGGTGCTGCGTTCCTGCCCCGTGGACTTAGGGGAGCACCACGCGCTGCAGTTCACCGACCTGGCCTTCAAGCAGGCCCGGGACGGCTGCCCGGAGCCCTCGGCTGCCATGCTGTGAGTCCCTGCCCTTCCCCACGGCCTGCCCCGGCATGGGGGCCCTGGTGCCTGGGCCTCCCCTTCCCTGAGGGCCTCACCTTCCCTGCCGCCTCCTCGGGCAGCTTCGTGTGCAGCCGCAGTGGCCACATCTTGGAGATTGACTGTCAGCGCATGGTCGTGCGGCATGCCCGCCGCCTGCTCCCCACACGGACTCCAGGCGGTCCCCACCCACAGAAGCAGACCTTCAGCTCAGGTAAGAGGGCGCCCACCACGTGGCCAGGGTGGCAGGGACACCGAGGCACTGACGCCTCCCTGCCCCCAGGCCCCGGCATTGCCATCAGCAGCCTCAGCGTCTCCCCGGCCATGTGTGCTGTGGGCTCTGAGGACGGCTTCTTGCGGCTCTGGCCCCTGGACTTCTCCTCGGTGCTCCTGGAGGCAGGTGATGCTGTGGGCACGCTCTCCCAACTCCGGGAGAGCCTCGCCTGGATGCTGGGGCGGGGAAGGCCCAGTCCCCGGGGCTCTGCTGTCAGCCGCCCTGGCTCCTGGCTGCACAGGGTGCCACGGGGCCAAGTGGCATATCCAGAGCCCTGGGGCGGCTGATGCCAGGGCGGCCCGCGGGGCAGCCTCACGGAAGGGCCCGGTGGGACGTGGGTAGTGTGTGAAGCCCCTCAGCCTGGGTCCCGCCTAGCCTAAGAGTGGTGGCCTCGAGGGAGCTGCATCTTGCAGCCGTGTGGAGCCTGGGACTTTGAGCAGCAGGGAGTGCATTTGCTGGGGTGTCGGGGACCCGAAGCCTGAGCATGCGGCTCACCCCGGGGTGGCCCTGGAGGCCCCTGACCCCACCCCACCCACAGAGCACGAGGGCCCCGTCAGCTCAGTCTGTGTCAGCCCCGATGGCCTCCGTGTGCTGTCTGCCACCTCCTCGGGCCACCTGGGCTTCCTGGACACGCTGTCCCGGGTGTACCACATGCTGGCTCGCTCCCACACCGCCCCGGTGTTGGCCCTCGCCATGGAGCAGAGGCGGGGACAGCTGGCCACCGTGTCCCAGGACCGTACCGTCCGCATCTGGGACCTGGCCACCCTGCAGCAGGTGGGGTTTGGCAGGGGCAGCACGGCAGGGAGGGCCGGGAGGTCCTGAAGCTGGGGTTTGTCAGCGGGGGTGAGAGGGGCCTATAGGGACCTGGACTTTCCAGCCTGTGTCGGCCCCATGGGTTTGGGCCGCCTGGAGAGCCCCTGGGCCCTTGAGATCCCTGCCCTCCCCTCAGCACGGCCCCTGTCCCACAGCTATACGACTTCACATCATCAGAGGACGCCCCGTGCGCTGTCACCTTCCACCCCACAAGGCCAACCTTTTTCTGTGGCTTTAGCAGTGGGGCCGTGCGCTCCTTCAGCCTGGAGGCCGCTGAGGTCCTGGTGGAACACACGTAAGTGCCCAGCTGGCCACCAGCCCCACGGAGACCCCACGGTGGAAGCTGGGGTGGCCAGGTGGGGGTCATGTGCAGGATGGCCAGTGCTGGCTGGAGCCCCACCCTTTGCTGCCCCATGGGGACTTCCATGGCCAGGCTGGTTGGCTGGAGGTCGAGGGAACCCATGGTACCTGGGCTTCGGGGCTAGGGCCAGCGGGGTCCCTGTGTGTGCTGCAGGTGCCACCGAGGAGCTGTCACCGGCCTGACCGCCACCCCTGACGGCCGCCTGCTCTTCAGCTCCTGCTCCCAGGGCTCCCTGGCCCAGTACAGCTGTGCGGACCCCCAGTGGCATGTCCTCCGAGTGGCAGGTTGGGCCCCCTGCAGCCACTCTGGGGGACTCCTCAGGGCGGGGGAGGCCTGGATCTGGTGCAGGCCCACACCTGGACACACATGCCGGTTTCCTGGTGCACCGACTGGGTCCTGTGGGGGGGCGTGGCCGCCTCAGTAACCTTGTCAAGGCCCTGAGGAGACTGTGGTTTAGCGTTCACTGGACCCCAAGGCCAGAGGTCAGCTCGGGTCTGTGCCCAGGAGGCGGCAGGCAGCCCAAGCTCCAGGTCAGCAGCTGGAGTCAGACCCAGGCATGGGCACCTGCCCTGTCCTGCGGCCACCATAACTTGGGCCCCCTGAGTGGTCACTTATGACTACTGCTGGCCCACGGGGACTCCCAGCTCCCCTGGCAGCGCCTGGCGCCCACTGGCACCTTGGCAATCCTCTGCCGGTGTGATGCGTCTGTGCTCCGGGGCTGGTGTTTCCCGAAAGTGGGGGCAGGGGCGGCGGCCTCCTCGGGCCCTGGCCACGCGCACCCCGGCACTCCCCACCCAGCTGACCCCTGCCCCGTGTGGCCACAGCGGACATGGTATGCCCGGATGCCCCCGCGAGCCCCAGCGCCCTGGCAGTCAGCAGGGATGGCCGCCTGCTGGCCTTTGTGGGACCCTCCAGGTGCACAGTGACAGTCATGGGCTCGGCCTCCCTTGATGAGGTGAGTCCGCAGCCCTCCTGGGTCCAGGGAGACTGGGCCATGAGAGGCTGGCTGCAGGGGCAGGAGGGAGGTCACGGCCACTCGGGAGCAGGACCCAGGCCCTGTCCCGCCTCCTGTCGCAGAGTACACATCAGCCATGTGGGGCCCACGTGCGGCCAGGTTCCTGTGCAGGGCAGGTGCTGCCTGGGTGCCGAGTGCGTGTCCCCGGGACCTCCCTCCCGAGCCTGACCCTGGGTGGCACCGGCTCTGCCCAGGGGCCCTGACTGTCGGCCACTTACCACTACCCCCAGCTGCTGCGAGTTGACATCGGCACTCTGGACCTGGCCAGCAGCCGCCTGGACTCAGCCATGGCTGTGTGCTTTGGCCCTGCAGCTCTGGGCCACCTGCTGGTGTCCACCTCGTCCAACAGAGTCGTGGTGCTGGATGCTGTGTCGGGCCGCATCATCCGGGAGGTGAGCCTCAGGGCTGTGGCCCGCCGACCTGGCCCTCCCTGTGCTGTCCAGGCCTGGCCTCTGTGCCTGCAGCCTCTCCAGCTGGGTGGGGGGCCGTCGCCACACCCACAACGAAGGGAGGCCCCAGGCTGCTGGCCACTCTCCTGAGACACGGCATTTCCCAAGAGCACTGTGTTCCAGCTGCCCGGTGTCCACCCTGAGCCCTGCCCCTCCTTGACGCTCAGTGAGGACGCCCGCTTCCTGCTGATTGCCGCCGGCCGGACCATCAAGGTGTGGGACTACGCCACACAGGCCAGCCCAGGCCCCCAGGTGTGTGCGTGGGGAGGCAGGTGGCTTTGGCGGTCAGGAGCCTCCTCAGGTGGCCCTGGAGACCCCTGCAGGTGTGGGTGGGGGCAGGGAGAGCAGAAGGTGAGGGGTGAGAGTGACCCCCCAAGGATCCTCTGTGCCTCCGGGGCCTCACACTGTGTGGGGCTCACCGTCCCTGGGGACTGGGCACACGGCAGCATCCATGCCCCGCCTCGGGGTCCTGCATGTGACGCCGCTACCCCTAGGTGTACATCGGCCACTCGGAACCCGTGCAGGCTGTGGCCTTCTCTCCTGACCAGCAGCAGGTCCTCAGCGCAGGGGACGCCGTCTTCCTCTGGGATGTCCTGGCCCCTACTGAGAGGCAAGTGCCTACTCTCAGCTGTGTCTGCCTAGGCCCCCCAGGCCCTCCTGAAACCCTCTCTCCTCCCTCTCCAGCGACCAAAGCTTCCCCGGGGCCCCCCCAGCCTGCAAGACAGGTGAGTGGCTGTGCTCAGCTGGGGTGCAGGTGCTGCGCTGACTCTGGGGCCCGTCCTGTGTCTGCCTAGTGGCCCTTCCTCTTCCTTCCCAAACATCACAGGGCTGCTTCTTCCCCAGGCCCGGGCGCAGGACCGCTGGAGGACGCAGCGTCCAGGGCCAGCGAGCTCCCCCGGCAGCAGGTCCCCAAGCCATGTCAGGCATCTCCACCACGGCTGGGCGTCTGTGCCAGGCCTCCCGAAGGTGGCGATGGTGAGCAGCAGGGGTCCTGGAGGAGTGGGGGGATTCGGGGGTCTGAGAGGGCACAGGCCCAGTGGCAGCAGGTACTCACGCACGTCCAGCTCTGGGGTGCAGGTGCCATCGCTGCTCATCAGGTGGAACACAGTGGGGTCGGGGTGGGGGCAGCTTTTCCTCTCCTCCTTAGCCTCATCAGGTGGAACACGGTGGGGTCGGGATGGGGGCAGCTTTTCCTCTCCCCCTTGGCCCCAGGCACCTTGTCCCCGTCAGATGAGGAAGGACCCTGTGAGGAGAGCTGTGACCCCGAGGGGCTTGGGCAGGCCTCAGGCCCACCTGTGCTCACGGAGGAGGAGGCTGGCAGGGCTGGAGACGGGGCCTGGGCTGCGGCAGTGGGCTCCTGGGGGCTTGCCCTGCCTCCCCGTTCCCCCGGCCAACCCCGTGAGCAGTGGAGGGCAGGGCAGGGACGCTGGTGCCGGTGCAGGGGCCTGAGGACGGTCGGTGAGTCCCCCGTGTGACGAGGCAAGGTCACCTGCAGTGGGACACGGTTTGCCTGCGTCTGTGGCTCCGGCCTGTGCCCCGCCGTGCAGTTCTCACTGTGTGGTAGACCAGGGGCTTGTGGGGAGACTGCGTGTAGTGTGGGGTCTCTGAAGAGCTCAGGGCAGTGTAATGCCACAAGCTCTGCCTCCTCCCTGCCAGGCGCCAGGGACACCAGGAATTCGGGGGCCCCACGCACCACCTACCTGGCTTCCTGCAAGGCCTTCACGCCTGCCAGGGTCAGCTGCAGCCCCCACTCTGCCAAGGTGGGGAGTGGTTTCTGGGAGCCCTCTTTATCCCCAGCAAGCACAGAGGCCCCCCGCAGGGCTCCCCAGCACCTCCTCAGGGTTGCTTTTGGTCGCCAAAGGTGATGGCTCTGGCCCTTGGGCGCCTGTCCCCTGGAGGCAACTTCATCCCACACCCCCACCCCTGCCCTCCGCTGGCCTCCAGACGGGACTCTGTGGTGGCCTCCTGCTGACCTGCCTTCCCCTCTCACCCAGCAGCTGCCCTTGATGAGAGCCCCACGGGCCTGTGCCCCTCCTGGCCCTGGCACAGTGCCCACAGCTCCCACACCTCCTACCCCAGCTTCCCCGTCTGCCCCTGGGTGTCCTCTGCAGCTGGCCTGGGTGTGCCCCAACACAGCCTCCCATGTGCAGGCTTTGGGGCACAGGTGGCCATGCTGGGCCCCAGCAGCATCCGGGTCTCCTTCCTCGCAGGGCACTTGCCCGCCTCCCGCCAGCGGTGGGTGGCTGCGTCTGAAGGCTGTCGTCGGTTACAGCGGGAATGGGCGGGCCAACATGGTCTGGAGGCCGGACACAGGTGGGGGCCAAGAGCCTACCCCCACCCCCAGCCAAGATGCGGCCGCGCGTGGTCCAGCCGTCTCCACCCCAAGGCCAGGACCTGGTGGCAAATGAGCGCCAGCCATCAGTGTGGGGCTCTGTTCTCCCGGTAGCGCCTCCTGGCGCTCCAGCCGAGGTCCTGTGAAGCACTTTGGCTACTGGACGCTGGGGAGGGCGCAGCTGGGACGATGCTAACCCCTTGGCCCCGCCCCACGGCTCGGCCCAGGCCCCGCCCCCTGTTCGGCCCCTCCCCAGGCCCCTCCCCGCCCCCCCCCCCCCCCGGCCCGGCCTCAGGCCCCGCCCTCTCTGCGCACAGGCTTCTTTGCCTACACGTGCGGCCGCCTGGTGGTGGTGGAGGACCTGCACTCTGGCGCCCAGCAGCACTGGTCCGGCCACTCTGCGGAGATCTCCACGCTGGCCCTCAGCCACAGTGCCCAGGTGCCCGCCTGCATCGCCCTCCTCCTCTCCCAGGGCCACCGTGCCCGGCAGAACCCAGCTCCCGGACCGGTGCGGGTTCTCACCACCAAAGACGGAGCAGACGGCCACCCCAGCCTCCACTCCAGCCAGCCACGGCCTCCCCACTCACGCCTGGCCTCTTGCCTGCCAGGTCCTGGCCTCTGCCTCGGGCCGAAGCAGCACGACCGCCCATTGTCAGATCCGCGTCTGGGACGTGTCTGGCGGCCTCTGCCAGCATCTCATTTTCCCCCATAGCACCACCGTGCTGGCCCTGGCCTTCTCACCAGATGACAGGCTTCTTGTCACACTGGGTCAGTGGGAGGGAGGGTGGAGGCCAGGGGCTTCCCTAGACCCCGGGGGGGGCTGCATCTGTGCACCTGACGTGGCTGCTCTGTGTCCTTCCCAGGGGACCACGATGGCCGCACCCTCGCCCTGTGGGGCACGGCCACCTATGACCTCGTGTCCTCCACCCGCCTCCCGGAGCCGGTGCATGGTGTGGCCTTCAACCCCTGGGACGCCGGCGAGCTCACCTGTGTGGGCCAGGGCACTGTCACCTTCTGGCTCCTTCAGCAGCGTGGGGCAGACATCAGCCTTCAGGTGCCACCCGTTCAGCGTTTGGGCCCAGGGGTTGTTTTGTGGGGTGGAATCTGCCTGGGCCCCGGGACACTGCTGACCCATGGCCACTCTCATACTTTGCCAGGTGCGTCGAGAGCCAGTCCCAGAGGCAGTGGGGGCTGGAGAGCTGACCTCGCTCTGCTACGGGGCACCTCCCCTGCTCTATTGTGGCACCAGCTCTGGCCAGGTCTGTGTCTGGGACACGCGTGCCGGCCGCTGCTTCTTGTCCTGGGAGGCGGATGACGGTGGCATTGGTGAGTGCCCCGCAGAAGCCCTGTGGCCCTCAGGACCCCTACCTGGGATCCTCAGAGCTGGGGCAGAGGCCTCATCTGTAGCCCTGGCGTCCGGGCAGCCTTGTGACCCAGGGCCTCTGGGAAGGCAGCCGTGGCCCCTTATGGCTCCTCCTGCCCCTAGGGCTGTTGCTGTTCTCGGGTTCTCGATTGGTCAGCGGCAGCAGCACGGGGCGGCTGCGCCTGTGGGCCGTGGGGGCTGTGTCGGAGCTGAGGTGCAAGGGCTCAGGCGCCAGGTGAGCTGTTCACCCCTACGTGTTTTGGCTGCACGTGGGTGTTGGTGTCCCTGACTGGGGCTTGCAGCCAGTGCCCCGCCCCCGCAAAGGCCGCCCTGCAGACCGGCCGCCTGCTAGCCCCTCCAAGGGACAGGCTTGGGTGTGGCCTGGGCCTCACTGGCTGCTGTCGAGTACGGGCATGGGCCCAGAAGCCCCAGCTCCATGGGCTTTCTCTTCTTCCACCGGGAGGGCACAGCCAGGTCCTGAGATGCAATGCTGAGGGCCCTGCCTCGGCTGGGGACCCAGCTGGCTCTTGTCATCGGCCTTGAGACCCATTGTTCTCTCCTTCCCTGCACCCTGAGGTCCAGTTCTGTGTTCATGGAACACGAGCTGGTGCTGGACGGGGCTGTGGTGAGTGCCAGCTTCGATGACAGCGTGGACATGGGCGTCGTGGGCACCACGGCGGGCACGCTGTGGTTTGTCAGCTGGGCCGAGGGCACCAGCACACGTCTCATCAGTGGCCACAGGAGCAAGGTGAGGGACTTCCAGCCTGGGCAGAGGCGGGGCAGCCGAACCTGGTGCCCTCCCTGCCTGCCGGCTCCATCTCCACCAGCCCAGATGATTCCAAGTCCTGCCGTCACTGGCTCGCAGCGGCCGCCTTGGGGTTCCCAGCGGGGAAGTCTTGGGTGTGCACGTCCCCTCAAAGCCGTCCCGGTTGTGTCTGCACAAGCGAGCCGCCTGGCAGGCCTTGCAGGTCTTCTCAAACTGTCCTTTCCCTGCTATTGCTTTGCGTTTTTTTGTTTGTTTGTTTTTTGTTTTTTGTAATTGTCAAAGAAATCACATCAGTCCGGGCGTGGTGGTTCATGCCTGTGATCCCAGCACTCTGGGAGGCCAAGGCAGGTGGATCACCTGAGGTCAGGAGTTCGAGACCAGCCTGGTCAACATGGCGAAATCCCATCTCTACTGAAAATACAAAAATTAGCCGGGCCTCTTGATGTATACCTGTAATCCCAGCTACTCTGGAGGCTGAGACAAGAGAATCGCTTGAACCCAGGAGGCAGAGGTTGCAGTGAACCAAGATTGCACCACTGCACTCCAGCCTGGGCGACAGAGACTCCATCTCAAAGGAAAAAAAAAAGATGAAAAACCCCACATCGTCTGTCCCTGCACCTCCCATAGACTGGCTTTGCTGACTCAGTCTCATGGGATTGTTCTCTGAGGCTCAAGAGGTCAGGAGGCCCAGGTAGCTACTGGGTCAAGTTCTGCTCTCTCTGGGTCAGGTCTGTTCAGGTTCTGGTTGGTGTTGGGTCTAGTCCTGTAAGGCCCAGCTCTGGCCTGCAGCCTCCTGGTGCTGGAGCTGCGTCTCCAAGAAGTACACAGCACTCATCTCTCTGGGACCTCCTGGTCTGGAAGCTCTGTGGCCTCATGGGGTTGGGACAGCCACCGTGTCGCCCCCTCACCCGCCAGCTGCAGCCTTAGGAGAGGTGGCCTCCTGGGCGGAATTGGGGCGGCAGGACAGGTGCCATTCCTTCCCCTGCTGGACCAGGTTCCTGGCGTGGCGTTGGTCTAGCAGCTGTGGCCATGGGCTTCCTCCTGTGGGTGTAAGAGCTCTGCGTGTGGTCAGCTGGGCCCCACGGGATTGATTTTTCCTTGATGCTGAGTCCCATCATCCAGTTGCCCCTGGGTTGTTTCTTTAGAAACCTGTCTTTAGTATTTGGAGATGACGATAGCCAGCAAAGAAAGTTGAGTTTGAGACAGGTGAGGGTTGTTTACTTTTCTGGAAGCAGGTTTGCTGAGGTGTAGTCGTCACAGCACAAGCTCCGTGTGTTTCAGGGGGTGGCTTTTGGCATATTCAGCAGCTTTGGAAACCCCGTGCGTGCCTAGAGGAAACCCCGTGCGTGCCTGTTCCTCGGTCGCTCCCTGCTTCCCGCCTCCCCAGCCCCTGGCGACCGTTGAGTGGCTTTCTGTGTCTGGGTCTTCCCATTCAGGATATTCTGTAGGAACTGGCTCACCTGGCTTCTCACCCTGAGCATGGTTTCCAGGGTCATCCCAGCCGCTGTGTGTGCCAAGCCAGTCATCCCTCTTGATGGCCAAATACTGTTCCATTGTACGGATAGATCATGTGTGTGTCCATCCACCAGGGCTGGGAAATTCGGGTCCTGAGACCGTGACCTGAGCCCGTGGTCACTGGTGGCCTTCCTGTGATGTGGAAGTGCGAGGAATTCTGGGCCCCGCCTGTGTGGTTCTGCCTGGGCGGTTCTGCCTGGGCCTGGACTTTGCCGTTTCCTTGTAGGGCCCAGGGCCCTCCCGGGGAGATGGACTGAGCTGTCCTGGTCTGAGTCCCTGCAGTCCCTCATTGCTCAGCTGAACTGAATTTTTTTTTTTTTTTTGAGACGGAGTTTCTTGTCGCCCAGGCTGGAGTGCAGTGGCATGATCTTGGCTCACTGCAAGCTCCGCCTCCCGGGTTCACACCATTCTCCTGTCTCAGCCTCCCAAGTAGCTGGGACTACAGGCACCCGCCACCACGCCCGACTAATTTTTTGTATTTTTAGTAGAGTCGGGGTTTCACCGTGTTAGCCAGGATGGTCTCGAACTCCTGACCCCGTGATCCGCCCACCTTGGCCTCCCAAAGGGCTGGGATTACAGGCATGAGCCACCGCGCCCGGCTGAACTGATTTTTTTTTAATGAAGTGCATCGTGTTCCCACTTGCACTTAAAGTTCACATTTGGTGCCAGGCTGTATTGCTTCTTCTCACTGGTGAGTGGCAGCTGTGTCTCCTTTCTGCCAGTCCAGCAGTCCCAGCTGTCAGTGGCACCTGCATAATGACACGTCTGCATTTCCCCCCAATCAGCGTGCAGCGGTTTTGGGAGGAGGAATGCGACTGCATGGCGCGCTCGCTGCAACCTCAGTCTGCAGCCTGCTAGGGACGCACGGCCACACTCCTGTCTTTCAGCCTCAGTCTGCAGCCTGCTAGGGACGCACGGCCACACTCCTGTCTTTCAGCCTCAGTCTGCAGCCTGCTAGGGACGCACGGCCACACTCCTGTCTTTCAGCCTCAGTCTGTAGCCTGCTAGGGATGCACGGCCACGCTCCTGTCTTTGAGGTGCTGTCAGAACAGCTTTCTCCTCGGTATCCCGCCGGGTTTGACTGGCTAGTGGGCTTGCTTTGGTTTGGACTCACCCAGATCTAGTGCAGGGACACACACGGGGGCCGGCATTGCTCCTTTCCGCCATGTGGAGTTGGCCGGGGCCAGAGGCACATGCTCTGGTTTGGACAGCCCGGCCCTGGGGGCTGGAATAGGAAATGCCTGCGTCCCTTTACCCTGCCCAGGGGCCAACACCCCCAGCCTAGCTACGGCTTCCCCCAGGTGAACGAGGTGGTCTTCAGCCCCGGGGAGTCCCACTGCGCCACATGCAGTGAGGATGGGAGTGTGCGGGTGTGGGCCTTGGCCAGCATGGAGCTTGTGATCCAGTTCCAGGTGCTGAACCAGGTGTGTGGGGAGTGCCCGGGCCGGGGGCGGGATGGGGGCCTGCTCAGTGGGGGGCCTGGCATGGGCGGGGCCGCCTCCTCCCTCTGGCCTGGGTGTGTGTCCTCAGGGCCCCTGTGAGTGCTGAAGTTTCCCCACTGTGGGTCCCCAGAGCTGCCTCTGCCTGGCATGGAGCCCCCCGTGCTGTGGCCGCCCTGAGCAGCAGCGGCTAGCGGCTGGCTACGGTGACGGCTCCCTGCGCATCTTCAGCGTCTCCCGCACGGCCATGGAGCTCAAGATGCACCCCCACCCGGTGGCGCTGACCACTGTTGCCTTCTCCACCGATGGTGAGGAGTTGGGTGTGTTGGGGATGGTGCCGTCCTGACCTGGCCCAGGTCCAGTCTCCGGGCTGGGGGCTCACAGGGTGACGGCATGGTCCCAGGTCAGACTGTCCTCTCTGGAGACAAGGATGGGCTCGTGGCTGTGAGCCACCCCTGCACAGGGACAACCTTCCGTGTGCTGAGTGACCACCAGGGCGCCCCAATCTCTACCATCTGTGTCACGTGCAAAGAGGTAAAGCAGCCCCAAGAGCTGGGGAGAGGGGGCCTGGGTGCTGGTGGGGGCAGGCACCATCTTGGCAGAAGGCACCTGTCGGCCCTCACCCACTCCATTCCCAGTGTGAAGACTTAGGGGTGGAGGGCACAGACCTATGGCTGGCTGCCAGTGGGGACCAGCGGGTCAGCGTCTGGGCCTCCGACTGGCTGCGGAACCACTGTGAGCTTGTGGACTGGTTGAGTTTCCCAATGCCTGCCACCACGGAGGTAAACCATGCTCCTGGCACTGTGGGTGGGGCCGGTACCCATCCACCCCACCGCAGCATGCTGCGCCTTTGCAGACTCAGGGCCACCTGCCACCCTCCCTCGCTGCCTTCTGCCCTTGGGATGGGGCGCTCCTGATGTACGTGGGCCCCGGTGTTTACAAGGAGGTGATCATCTACAACCTCTGCCAGAAGCAGGTACACGCAGCTGCCCGCGTGTCACTGGGAGCCCCAGGGATCCAGGGTGGTGGGTGGGGCCTGGCTGAGCCCTGAGCCCACAGGCCTGGAGCCTCACGCTGGCTGCTCACAGGTGGTGGAGAAGATACCACTGCCCTTTTTTGCCATGTCCCTGAGCCTGTCCCCCGGGACCCACCTCCTGGCTGTTGGCTTTGCTGGTGAGTGCTGGTGGATGCAGTTTGGGCCTGTCTTAGGTGGGGGCCAAGTGGGCTGACTGGTGCCCTGTTCCAAGACAGGTGCCTCACCTGTGCCCCGGGCTCCTCGTCTCTGGGGTGGGGTGAGGACATCTGCCCTAGAGAGGGTCCTGGAGTCAGGAGATGATGAGGCAGGTGAGGAACCAGGCACAGCGCCCAGCACAGGGCCTGAATGCACGGGTGGCAGCGACTTTTAAGGAGGGAACTGGCCCAGCTGCAGGCCGACAGCCTGGCAGTGATGGACCCCCTAGTCCCAGTGGCACGTGGAGGGCACAGCCAGGAGCCCTTTTAGCACCAGCTCCCCCGACCAGCATCATGCCCAGTGGGGACAGTCTGGGTGGGTTGGGGGAGCCCTCTGAGTGCTGCCTGGTCCTGGCCCTGGCCCACCTGCACCGTCTACCCACAGAGTGCATGCTGAGGCTGGTAGACTGTGCCATGGGGACTGCCCAAGACTTTGCCGGCCACGACAACGCAGTGCACCTGTGCAGGTTTACACCGTCCGCCAGGCTGCTCTTCACGGCCGCCCGCAACGAGATCCTTGTGTGGGAGGTCCCCGGCCTCTGAGATGCAGCAGGGACTGTGGTGGTGGGCATCACGCCTGGTCATGCCAGGCACCTGGACACAGGCTTGGCAGAGGCGCCAGGTTGTCAATGGCCTCATGCTGGGACAGGCCAGGATTCACGTAAATCGCCTGGAGCAAGCTGTTGTAAATTTGGCGCCCTGTGAATACTTTCATACCTGTTGCCCTTTTGCCTAAGAAATCTTTAATGTTTCTATCTTGTAATAAACATGGGCATTTATTGCATTATTGCTGCATTGTTGCACTGGCTGTCTCTGGTCACTCCTGGCCTGAGCTCAGCCTCTGCCCGTCCCTTAATCGGCTGTTTGTCAAGGCCCCTGTGGTGCCGTGAAGCAATGGCCGCTCGGCCTGCCAGGGCGCCAGGACCCTGCGCTGTCCGCCGTGGCCGGCGCGTCCACACGGTGGCGCGCCGCACAGCCTGTCCGCTCTGGCCCGCCCGGCTCGCTGGTGCGGCTGTGCGGGCGGGGCCGGAAGTGTGGGGACAGCGCGGGGCCGAGAACCGGAAGTGCGGGGCGGGCGCGGGGGCAGAGCGAAAGGCTTGAGGACCAGGTCGGGGCCGGGTTCCGGGTCGGGGAGCGGCTCCGGGCGGCAGCTATGAGGCGGGACGTGCGCATCCTGTTACTGGGCGAGGGTAGGCGCCGGCCCGGGGGTCTCGGAGCTGCGGCGGCCGTGAGGCGGGGTGAGGGTCTCGGGGGTCGGGGGGCGCCGTGACCTTGGCCCTCGCGCTGACCGCCTCGCCCCGCGCAGCCCAGGTGGGGAAGACGTCGCTGATCCTGTCCCTGGTGGGCGAGGAGTTCCCCGAGGAGGTAAGGGGCACGCCCGCCGCGGGGGTGGGAGCGGGCCCAGCCGGGGGTCCCTGGTGAGCGCGCGGGTCCCTTGCAGGTCCCTCCCCGCGCGGAGGAGATCACCATCCCCGCGGACGTCACCCCGGAGAAGGTGCCCACCCACATCGTGGACTACTCAGGTAGCGGCCGTAGCCTCCCGGGGGCCCGGCCCGCAGCGGTCCGGCGGGCCTGCTGGGTCCGCAGTGGAGTCTCTTTGTCCCCCTAGAAGCCGAGCAGACGGACGAGGAGCTGCGGGAGGAGATCCACAAGGTACCCGTGGTGCGCGGGACGAGGGAGGGGCTGGGCGCGGGCTCGGCCTAATCCGCTTCGCAGCCTGGGGGATTGGACCGAGGTGCTCCGGGTGTCCTTGGCCCTGATAATTCTGTGACCTCCGCACTGAGGGTTGTCGGGGCCCCTACAGCGCACCCCGCTGGGAGCCGGCACCGCTCAGTCCAGTGGTGCTCCAGGGATAACAGGACCCTTCCCCGCGGGCTCTCCCTCCCTCCTGCCGGGGTGGCAGCAGCGTTTGCTCTTCCTGTGGGCTCTGTGTGCGCCACGTCCCCGTGCTGTGTGCTCCAGCCCACCGTCCCGGCCTCCGGGCACCCGGAGCTCCCAGTACCAGAGCACGTGTGCCGGGGACATCTCCAGGCAAGGGCACAGGCCACAGCCACCCAGGGCAGCCCC
Organism: Homo sapiens; assembly: GCF_000001405.40. Classification (NCBI taxonomy): domain Eukaryota; kingdom Metazoa; phylum Chordata; class Mammalia; order Primates; family Hominidae; genus Homo; species Homo sapiens. Next base: position 669,114 of record NC_000016.10, read on the forward strand.
TGCTGTTGGCACCCCTCACTGCGGTCCTGTCACTCTGTCTGTAGCGAGGGGGGAGGCAGGGGCCAAGGCGGCGGCTGTCTTGCAGGGTGTTGGGTTGCAGGTGTGGCCGTGTCTGTCCTGAGCCCTCTGCTCCAAGGGTCTTGCTGACCACAGTTATGCTTCTGGGGCCTGGTGTCCCTGCACTGGCAGTGGGCGGGGAAGAGGCTTCTCTGAGGGTTCAGCAGCAGCTCCCAGTGTGACACTGGGGAGTGCCTGCTCTGCCAACACCAGGCTGGAGGCAGGTTTTAGGGAAGGCTGGGCTTTCCCGGCCTCAGAGCTGCACCCATGCTACCTGTGAGCTTCTGGGGCCTCCTGGAGCCTCGAGATGGCGTGGAACGGCCAGGGTCGTCGGTGGTGAGCCAGCAGCCCTGTCACCCACACCTCATCACTGTTCCCTCAGGCAAACGTGGTGTGTGTGGTGTATGACGTCTCTGAGGAGGCCACCATTGAGAAGGTGAGCCCTCAGTGCAGACCCCAACAGCAGAGACACAGTGGCCGGTGGTGGCCCAGGTGGACCTTCACCCAACCCGTGGCCAGTGCCATCGCTCACAGCATTTTGGGGAGCCTGACGTGGAGTTGCCTGACGTGGAGTCACCCGGCCCTCTCCTGTGATCCCACTTCCCCTGAGAGGGTCTGGGGCGTCCCGCAGTCTGAGCCATTGAGGCCGGCAGTCCTCTTTCTTCCCCAGTTTCCAAACCCCCGGGGGGGGACCCGCAGAGGGCCTGCGTTGGGGGCGGCCCTAGGCTTGGGCCCCAGTGACTTGGGGGTGTTTGGGAGCCATTGGGGTCAGACAGATGAGGCTGCACCTGCTGCCTGCCTTCTCCCACCAGCTTTGTTCCTGTGGCCGGGACTTGGGCCCTCAGTGGGCCTTGACCTCCCCCTTCTGCTCTCCCCCAGCCAGGCTCATGCTCCAGCTGGGAGCCATGTGCCCGCGGGCAGCCTCACTTCACAGCCAGGCTTTGCTTTTCAGATTCGAACTAAGTGGATCCCACTGGTGAATGGGGGGACCACGCAGGGGCCCAGGTAATGAGGGGATGTGGAAGGGGCTGGGACCCCTGGCTCCCCTGCCCCTGGTGACCATGGGCCTTCAACCCAGGGTGCCCATCATCCTAGTGGGCAACAAGTCAGACCTGCGGTCGGGGAGCTCCATGGAGGCCGTGCTCCCCATCATGAGCCAGTTTCCCGAGATTGAGACCTGCGTGGAGGTGAGTAGGTCCCAGGCAGGGCCGCCTCCTTCATTCCTTGTGTTCTCAGTCGGTGCCCTCCTCGGGGCACTTCCCTGAGGCTGTTCCCACTTTCCCAGTGTTCGGCCAAGAACCTGAGGAACATCTCAGAGCTGTTCTACTACGCCCAGAAGGCCGTCCTGCATCCCACAGCCCCCCTCTATGACCCTGAGGCCAAGCAGGTGAGCATCGGCTGGGGCCCCGCACGCTGGTTCCCCAGGGGCCCAGGGGGTGCTGGGTGGGGCGGTGTGGCAGGTCGGCGTGGGTCACCTGAGGGTGCTGAGCCAACATCCCCACAGTTGAGGCCCGCGTGCGCCCAGGCGCTGACGCGCATCTTCAGGCTCTCAGATCAGGACCTGGACCAGGCGCTCAGTGACGAAGAGCTCAACGCTTTCCAGGTGTGCCCCTGCCCCACCCTCGGTGCCCAGCCCCCTTGAACCTCCGCTGCCGTTAGTGACTGGAACGGGTCGTCTCCGGGTGGCTGGCTGACTCCCAACAACGTTCTCTCGGAAGCAGAAATCCTGCTTTGGGCACCCCCTGGCCCCGCAGGCCCTGGAGGACGTGAAGACGGTGGTGTGCAGGAACGTGGCGGGCGGCGTGCGGGAGGACCGGCTGACCCTGGATGGTGAGGCCGGGTGCCCGCCTGTGCCTGGGGAGTGTGGGGAGGGGGCTGTGCCTGGTGCTCCCCCTGCTTTGTCTCGGTGCAGGTTTCCTCTTCCTGAACACGCTCTTCATCCAGCGCGGCCGGCACGAGACCACCTGGACCATCCTGCGGCGCTTCGGCTACAGCGATGCCCTGGAGCTGACTGCGGACTATCTCTCCCCTCTGTGAGTGATGCCGGGGCTTGAGGCCTGCCCTCCCCGAGGGTCAGGAGCTGACTGCCGACTATCTCTCCCCTCCATGAGTGACGCTGGGGTTTGAGGCCTGCCCTCCCTGAGGGTCAGTGAAGGTCTCGCTCAGCAGGCCATCTGGGGTCGTGCCCTTGCCTGGCTGTGCCCTGAACCCCTCAGCATCCACAGAGCTCTGAGTCGGGGGGTGGGGGGGCTGGCCCTTTGCCAACCCCGCTCGCGTGGCTTGTTTACCCTGCTGGGGTCGGCAGCTTGGGGTGTGGCCTGTGGGCCTCAGCCAGGCCTCCCACGTGCTGGAGCCAGGTGGGCACCCTCCTCCCCTATCGCAGCTGCAAGGTCGGGGGCGTACAGGAGCCTCTGGGTCCTGTAGGGAGGGTCCGGCTGCACCGATGGGGCTGGCAGGGTGACAGATGGGCTGAGCGTGGTGCTGCAGAGTCTCCTGGGAGCTAGACGGGCTGTGGCCTCCCTGCAGGATCCACGTGCCCCCCGGCTGCAGCACGGAGCTCAACCACCTTGGCTACCAGTTTGTGCAGAGAGTGTTTGAGAAGCACGACCAGGTGAGAGCATGGCGAGTCCCCTGCCCCTGCCCCCGCCCCCTCCCCGGCACACACATCACCACATCCCTCCTTCTGCAGGACCGCGACGGCGCCCTCTCGCCCGTGGAGCTGCAAAGCCTTTTCAGTGTGTTCCCAGCAGCGCCCTGGGGCCCCGAGCTCCCACGCACAGTCCGCACAGAGGCCGGCCGGTTGCCCCTGCACGGATACCTCTGCCAGTGGACGTAAGTGCGGCCCACACCATGCCCGCCTGCCGCACCACCCTCCCCACCATAACACTGTGCCTGCCTCCCGCCCACCCCCAGCCTGGTGACCTACCTGGACGTCCGGAGCTGCCTTGGACACCTAGGCTACCTGGGCTACCCCACCCTCTGTGAGCAGGACCAGGCCCATGCCATCACAGGTAGGCACCCACCCTCCCTGGGCCTGGGCCCAGTATCCTGGCAGCTGCCCTAACCCGTGTCTATCCTCACAGTCACTCGTGAGAAGAGGCTGGACCAGGAGAAGGGACAGACGCAGCGGAGCGTCCTCCTGTGCAAGGTGGTAGGGGCCCGTGGAGTGGGCAAGTCTGCCTTCCTGCAGGCCTTTCTCGGCCGCGGCCTGGGGGTAAGCACCCTAGACTCCCCCACCACCCCAGGGGCTCCAGGGGCAGGGCAGGGCAATCTGGGGGGCACTGCAGCCAGCGAGTGTCAGGACTTCACCTCCCTCAGCACCAGGACACGAGGGAGCAGCCTCCCGGCTACGCCATCGACACGGTGCAGGTCAATGGACAGGAGAAGTACTTGATCGTGAGTGCTGGGGCGGCGCGGCCTGTGCCCGAGGGTGGACCCGGGGACACCCAGGCCTGCCTGGCAGATCTGGCCCAGCATGGCCCTAGGGGGACCGAGCCCCAGGGACCCTTCCTAAGGCCGCTGTCTGTCCCAGCTCTGTGAGGTGGGCACAGATGGTCTGCTGGCCACATCGCTGGACGCCACCTGTGACGTTGCCTGCTTGATGTTTGATGGCAGTGACCCAAAGTCCTTTGCACATTGTGCCAGCGTCTACAAGGTGGGGCCCTGCAGGGGCCACGTGGCCATGGGGCAGGGTCTGTCCCTCCAGCTGTGCCTCGGCCACCCCAGGACTGTACCTCATACCACTCTCTGCCCACAGCACCATTACATGGACGGGCAGACCCCCTGCCTCTTTGTCTCCTCCAAGGCCGACCTGCCCGAAGGTGTCGCGGTGTCTGGCCCATCACCGGCCGAGTTTTGCCGCAAGCACCGGCTACCCGCTCCCGTGCCGTTCTCCTGTGCTGGCCCAGCCGAGCCCAGCACCACCATCTTCACCCAGCTCGCCACCATGGCCGCCTTCCCGTGGGTACCCAGTAGCGCAGCCCTGGGGACTAGCAGTGTCTGTCATCCGAGCAGTGGGCAGCGGTGGTGTCAGGCCTGGAACTGGGGACTAGCAGTGTCTGTCATCCGAGCAGTGGGCAGCAGTGGCGTCAGGCCTGGAACTGGGGCCAGAGTGGCGGGGTGGAGCTTTGTGTGGCAGAGGGAGGCAGTGCCCAGGCATGTCCCTCCAGGGCCTGGCCTCCACCGGCTGTGCCTCTGGTCTGGGATCCCCGCCTGTGGGGCCCTGTGAGTCCAGGACATGGGAGGGTGCCCAGCAGCAAGCTGGGGGCATGTGCCTGAGGTATCTGCAGATGATTCTTCTCTCTTGCAGACATTTGGTCCACGCAGAGCTGCATCCCTCTTCCTTCTGGCTCCGGGGGCTGCTGGGGGTTGTCGGGGCCGCCGTGGCCGCAGTCCTCAGCTTCTCACTCTACAGGGTCCTGGTGAAGAGCCAGTGAGGCCCCTGGTACCCAAGCCCCCTCCCCTGACCTGGGTGTGCCTCGCTGCTGGGGCTCTGCAGGGGCAGCACAGCTGGGGTGCAGGCCAGGCTGCCACTCCGGGAACGCCTTTGCGCCGGGACTTTTTGTTTCTGAAGGCAGTCGATCTGCAGCGGGGCCTTATGCTGCCATGCACTGCCCTGGCTCCTGCCGGACCCCCAGGGTGGGCCGTGGCAGGTGGCTGAGCAGGAGCTCCCAAGTGCCGGCCACCGCTGTCAGGGATTGCCCACCCCTGGGCATCATGTGTGTGGGGCCGGGGAGCACAGGTGTGGGAGCTGGTGACCCCAGACCCAGAATTCTCAGGGCTCTACCCCCCTTTCCTGGTCCTAGGTGGCCAGTGGGTATGAGGAGGGCTGGAAGGCAGAGCTTTGGGCCAAAAGCAGGCGTTGGGGGGTCCCCCCTCAAGTTTGGAGCCGTTTCCGTGGTTGTAGCAGAGGACCGGAGGTTGGGTTCCTGATTAAACTTCACTGTGTGTTTTCTATCTCGGATCCCAGTCTCTGAAGACAACTTGCTTTGATTCAACCTAGAATGTGTTGTTTGTCTTTATGTGGGCTGGAAACGCCACCCCTCCTTTCATTCCTGGGTCACTGTTCTGAGGTCTCAGGCGTGTGCATATGGCCTCTGGAAGGTCCACTCTGGGCTGCTGTGGCCTGGGAGCCCAGTGTCCTTGGAGGTCCTGCGGTCTGGGAGTGGGAGCCCACTGCGGGAGGACGGTGCGCGCCCGGCATGGACTGGGGGGCGCCGGTGCCTGAGATGTTTCCCCGGTGACTGACCCCTTCTCAGGGTCCAGTGTGCCCTGGCACTGCCCACTCACTCCCCAGAGCGTCCTGCCAGCCTGGCTGAGCTGCGCCGAGAACCTGGGCTTGTGTGACCAGATGTGGTCACTGCCTGCCACAGAACGGGGTGACCCTGGGGCCCTGACCTGAGGGAAGCAGGATGGGCCAGAGGGAGGGACGGGCTGGGAGTTGAGCCCAGATGCCTGCTTCTCGGGACCCAGGGCGTGGCCTTCCCAAGGTCACCCGGACAAGTATCAGAAGGCCTGGTCCCCCCCCTCCCATGTCTGCCTTTAGGGAGTGGCAGGTGGGGCCCCTTCCCAAGTCCTGGCCCACACGGGCCCTGCCTTGGAGCTTGTGGCATTGGCCCCTGAGGTCCCTCCCGACTGATGGTATTTGAGCCCGCTGTACCCCCACGGCCTGTCTTCTGGGACTACTGCAACCCTAGGAGAAGCCCTCTGAGTGGCCCTTGCAGGGGCTGCCATAGTCACACGTGTCTTATCTGTCACCTCCATTGTGGAGGGGTTGGCCCGCCTTCCCAGGAGCAGGTCCCCTCATCCCAACTGCAGCCCTGCCCCCTGGGGGTTCTGCTCTGTGTTGGAATGCCCCTTGTGCCCAGCCCTGGCGCCGCCTTAGGGCGGGAGGTTTTGCTGTCCTGCATGGAGTTGCAAGAGTGGTCAGGGGCCTCCAGCCCAGGGTGTGGACGAGTGGGCTGGGCTTGGTCGTCAGAGCCAAGGCGGCTGCAGCAGCGTCTTCCTCCTCCTAAGAGGCGGCTGTAGTGGCCATGCGGGACGAGGGACTTCCTTGCTGCTGCGCTCGGTGGGGGGTTGCGGGGGGAGGGGGTGTGTCTGCTGCAAGCAGGGAGCTCCAGCCGGTGGCAACATGAACCGCAGGGAGTACTGGGTCAGCCTGGAGGGGGAGCAAGCAGTGGTCAGGGAAGGCTTCCTGGAAGAGGTGGCATCCTCACAGGCCTGAGCCCGGGAAGGCTGTGAGAGGGCGAACGGTCTTGCATGGGGGGTTTTAGGTGCCCCCCATCCCCGTGACTCCATTTACCAGCGGCTGCCGTGGAGGTAGTCCAGTGTGCTGGAGCTGCGCCAGAGCGGGGGTGGGGGCCGGCGCTGAGACGCGGTGCTAGCTGGAGGCGGTTCCTGTCCGGGGTGTGCGTCCGCGTGCAGGGTGCGCGCGTGTCTTGGCCGCGCGTGGCGGCGTGTGCGGCAGGGGCGGGCAGGCGGGCGACTCGGTGACGCGGCCCAAGCGCGGCGCCGAGCGGAGCGGGCGGAGCGGGCCGGCTGGGGCGGAGCGGAGTCGTCCGCAGAGCAGCCCCTCCCGGCCGCGGCCGCCGACCCCGGACCCCGGCCCCCGGCCAGGCTCTATGGACAGGAGCTCGCTGCTGCAGCTCATCCAGGAGCAGGTGCGTCGGGGGGTGGTCTGGGGAGCTGGCACCGCCCCCAATGCGGCCCTCCTGCCGCTGAGCTGAGCTTGTGCGGGACCGAGCTCCCCGAAAGCCCCGCTCGGTACCTACCTCATCCCTCCACGACCTTGGTCCGTGTGTCTGGGACCCCAGGAGAGGACTGACTGGACCAGAGCTCCTGGCTGGAGAAGGGAGAGTCGGGGGGAGGGAGGGAGGGAGGGAGGGAGGGCGGGCAGCTGGCTGGTCTTGGACCTTGGCCCTCGCTTTCCAGGATGGGTAGGGTGGAAGACGGGGGAACAACTGAGGAGCTGGAGGACTGGGACCCAGGCACCAGTGCCCTGCCAGCTCCTGGGATCAAGCAGGGTCCCAGGGAACAGACAGGCACGGGGCCCCTGTCCCAAAAGTGCTGGGAGCCTGAGCCTGATGCTCCCAGCCAGCCTGGCCCAGCCCTTTGGTCCAGGGGTCGGGCCCGCACTCAGGCCTTGGCTGGCGGCTCCTCACTGCAGCAGCTGGACCCCGAGAACACAGGCTTCATCGGTGCGGACACCTTCACTGGCCTGGTGCACAGCCATGAGCTGCCCCTGGACCCGGCCAAGCTGGACATGCTGGTGGCCCTGGCTCAGAGCAACGAGCAGGGCCAGGTCTGCTACCAGGAGCTGGTGGACCTGGTCAGTGCCACGGTGGGCAGGCGGCAGGGGCACGGTGTCCTGGCCAGAGGAGGCGGGCAGGCAGCTCCTCACGGCGGTGGGTGGGGGGCTTGTGGATGCGGGGAGCTGGGTGAGCCTCACAGGCAGGGGTGCCATGGGGAGGTCCGTGGCCCACACTCAGGCCCCTGCCCCCAGATCAGCAGCAAGCGCTCCAGCAGTTTCAAGCGGGCCATTGCTAACGGACAGCGGGCACTGCCCCGGGACGGGCCGCTGGATGAGCCAGGCCTAGGTGTCTACAAGCGGTTTGTGCGTTACGTGGCCTACGAGATCCTGCCTTGTGAGGTGGACCGCCGCTGGTACTTCTACCGTCACCGCAGCTGCCCACCCCCCGTGTTCATGGCCTCGGTCACTCTTGCCCAGGTGGGCCCCCCGGCCGCTGCCCCGGGAGCCTCCCGCGCTCCTGGCCATGACCAGCCTAACACTCGTGTCCCCAGATCATCGTGTTCCTGTGTTACGGGGCCCGCCTCAACAAGTGGGTGCTGCAGACCTACCACCCCGAGTACATGAAGAGCCCCCTTGTGTACCACCCCGGGCACCGTGCCCGCGCCTGGCGCTTCCTCACCTACATGTTCATGCACGTTGGGTGAGTAGCACTGCTGCCCGGTGAGCCCCGCCCCAACCTGCCATTACATCAGAAAGGCTTAGCCGCAAGGCAGGTGCGGCAACTTGAGGTGACGGCTGGGGGTGGGGCCGGATGGCTGACCCCACCCTTCGTACCCGTTTGCTTCCCTGTGGCCAGGCTGGAGCAGCTGGGGTTCAACGCCCTCCTGCAGCTGATGATCGGGGTGCCCCTGGAGATGGTGCACGGCCTGCTCCGCATCAGCCTGCTCTACCTGGCAGGCGTGCTGGCAGGTGAGGCAGGCGCGCACCCCCGCCCCCTGCCCTGGCCGGCTGCACCCTCACCCGCCGCTTGCTCACACAGGCTCCCTAACCGTCTCCATCACCGACATGCGGGCCCCGGTGGTGGGAGGCTCCGGCGGGGTCTACGCCCTGTGCTCGGCACACCTGGCCAACGTTGTCATGGTAACGGGCCTGCCCGGTGGGGGGCGTGGGGAGGGGCCCCAGGTGAGCCTCACCACTTCTCGTCTGCACACACCCATAGAACTGGGCTGGGATGAGATGTCCCTACAAGTTGCTGAGGATGGTGCTGGCCTTGGTGTGCAGTGAGTAGGGGCCGGGGGGAGGGCCGGGGGGCCTCTCAGCCTGCAGCCAGGGCACCTCCCACCTGCCGCGTCCCTCTGCAGTGAGCTCCGAGGTGGGCCGGGCCGTGTGGCTGCGCTTCTCCCCGCCGCTGCCCGCCTCGGGCCCACAGCCCAGCTTCATGGCGCACCTGGCAGGCGCGGTGGTGGGGGTGAGCATGGGCCTGACCATCCTGCGGAGCTACGAGGAGCGCCTGCGGGACCAGTGCGGCTGGTGGGTGGTGCTGCTGGCCTACGGCACCTTCCTGCTCTTCGCCGTCTTCTGGAACGTCTTCGCCTACGACCTGCTGGGCGCCCACATCCCCCCACCGCCCTGACCGGCTACCTGAGGCTGCACAGGCCAGGGCTCGGGCATGTGGTGGCCGCCCACCAGGGGCCTTCACGTCTGCCCTTTGTGAACGGACGTCTCAGGGCTGCTGTGCCCCTTGGGTGTGGGTGGCCTCAAAGGAGGCCCTGTCCCAGCCACCCACCCCCCACTCCCAGGACTTGCGGTCTGAGCCTTTTTGGATAATTAATAAATATTTTACACAGCACCAGGGGGCTGTCCCGGGCTCTGGAGACTCGTCAGGGCCCCCACACCTGCTGCACAGACCGCGACGGCCCTCCCCACCACGGGGGCCTGGACTTCCCTCCTTGTGCATCTCTGCACCTGGGGTCAGGCGTGGGAGTTGTTCCTGGGCCACAGGTGCTGTGTCTGTGGGAGCTGGGGGCACGCGGGATGGCTGGGGGCCGGGCGTGTGGTCAGGCCAGGTGTGTGGTCAGGCCGGGTGTGTGATCAGGCGTGAGTTTGGGAAGTGTTTATTGAGCTCCCGTAGTGGCCAGCCTCCTCTTCAGCCTCCCTGCCGTCCAGTGAGACCCGGAGGCCTGAGGTTCTGTGGCAGGTGAGCAGGCCTGGGCCATGGCCAAGTTTACTCGGCCTGGGTTCCATGCTTCTTGGCTGGCCTAGCATCCTCGTGGGTGGCCAGGCTGGGGCCAAGGTTGGGCAGCAGGTCTGGGCACAGCCTCTGCCCCACAGCCCAGGTCCACAGTGCTGTCTCCACTAGGTAGGGAGTCCACTGTCCTGAGGCACTGGCTAGGGAGGGGCACACGGACTCAGGCCCAGGGGCACGGGCCACCCCAACCTGCCCACACACAGTTCATTCCCCTTGGCTCAGAGCTGTGGCCCGCTCTTGAACCTGGCCCAGGTACAGCAGGTAGTACCTGAGGGTGTACTGTGGGGCCGGCCAGCCGGGCACTGTGGCCACCGCCTCATCTGACATGAAGGCCTCCATCTCTGGAGCTCCAGCTGCCAGGACTGCTGTGAACAGCGAGGAGAAGCAGCCAGACACACCCCATCAGGACAAGCTCTGGGAGACCCTGCTCCCAGCAGCCCAGGGCCCTATGGTTCCTGCTCCTAGCGACACGCAAGGGCCCAGACTGCCCGCTTCACAGACAAGAACGCCTATGTACCCAAGTCGTGCCCACCCAACTCACCCGAGGCTGTGGTGGGCCCACACCGCAGAGGGCACACAGCTCGGTGACTGCAGCCCCCACATCTGGCAGGAGGCAGAAGGTGGCGGTCGAACAGTGCACAACCAGCTCAGGGGGATTGGTGGCCACCAGCTGCTGCAGACGTGGCCGGAAGCGCCCCTCTGTGGGAGGCCAGGTCAGGGTGCCTGGGGTGCTGGACCCACCAGGGAGGCCCCGCCCCCACTGGAGACACCCGCCCCGCCGATGCCACGCCCCAATGAAGACCCGCGCTACGGAGGCCCTGCCCTCGGGGCGGGCCGCCCTTCACAGTCAAGCTGCCAGGCCAGCAGCCGCTCCAGCTCCCTGTCACATGCTTCTCTGCTCTGCCCCTGATGGCCGCTGGCAACTCTTCCCGATACCTGAGGAAGGGCGGTGAGGGGAGGACTGGCCACGGAGGACGCTCGCCCCACCGATCTCTATCCCCTTCCACTCTACCAACAGTCCGGGGCTTCCAGCCGCCCTCGGGGGCTCGCGCTCGCCCGTAGCACCTCTCGTGGCGCTCCAGAATGGCAGCCCAGCGACTGGGGTCCTCACACCCCACAGCGCGTGGGAAGCCGCTACGTTCACGCGCAGGGGCGGGAGGCGGCGGCTGGGGGCGGGGCCTCTGCTGATGGGGCCGGGTGCTGGGGGCGGGGCCTCTGGATTGGGCGGTTGCTGGGGGCGGGGCCTCTGCGGATGGGGCTGGGGGCGGGGCCTCTGCTGATGGGGCCGGCGGCTGGGGGCGGGGCCTCTGGATTGGGCGGCTGCTGGGGGCGGGGCCTCTGCGGATGGGGCCGGCTGCTGGGGGCGGGGCCTCTGGATGGGGCCGGCTGCCGGGGGAGGGGTCTCTGCGCGTTGGGACAGGGGCGGAACCCCAGGTGGTCGGGACAGGCTGTTGCGGGAGCGCGCCCTCAGCGAAGCAAGTGAGGCATCTCACTGGGAAAGTCGAATGTGTGTGGCGGCCGCCGCCGAGGCGGGTTCCGAAGAGACCTCAGCAGGGCAGGCCAGGGCCTACGCGAACGCCCACCCTTAAGAGCGCGGGGACAGGGAACTGGAGCGTTCCTCCCAGCCCCCGACGTCGCGGGCCCAGTGTCCCCGTCCAGGCTGGTTGGGCGCACGCGCGGCCCCACTCGCCCCCACGCGTGCGTCCCCGCTGGTCCCGCCCCCGGCCGGAAGTTCCGGCGGCGGAGCTGGGCCGGGCCCGAGCGGATCGCGGGCTCGGGCTGCGGGGCTCCGGCTGCGGGCGCTGGGCCGCGAGGCGCGGAGCTTGGGAGCGGAGCCCAGGCCGTGCCGCGCGGCGCCATGAAGGGCAAGGAGGAGAAGGAGGGCGGCGCACGGCTGGGCGCTGGCGGCGGAAGCCCCGAGAAGAGCCCGAGCGCGCAGGAGCTCAAGGAGCAGGGCAATCGTCTGTTCGTGGGCCGAAAGTACCCGGAGGCGGCGGCCTGCTACGGCCGCGCGATCGTGAGTGCGCCCGCGCGGGGAGGGCGGCGGCGGTGGCACCGGGGAGGGCCGGGCCCGGGCCCGGCCGGCCCCACCGAGGGTCTGGCTCCTCTTCGGGGCGTGTCCTCGGCTCCCAAAGCCCAGCCGTGGTTCTCGAGCCCAGCGCCGGGTGCCGGAGAACGAGGGTGCGATGCTGGATGGAGGCCGGCCGGGTGGGGGGAGGGCAGGGGCCCTCGACCCTTGAGGACCCCAGGTCCTAAGCCCGGACTCTCCAAAGATTTGGAAAACTTTACAAAACCAAGTGGAATCAAGCGGATAGGCTCAGCCAGTACTCCACTGTGCACAGATCCTTGGACCCAGGGGCTTTGACAACTGAGAAACCTAGTTTCTTGATTCTAGCCAGAGCGCAGAAGCTGGGACGGGCCGTGGGTCAGAGTGGGCACGCTGAGCCTACGCCCTCATGCGGCTGGCCCGGCCTTGGTCCCTAGACCCGGAACCCGCTGGTGGCCGTGTATTACACCAACCGGGCCTTGTGCTACCTGAAGATGCAGCAGCACGAGCAGGCCCTGGCCGACTGCCGGCGCGCCCTGGAGCTGGACGGGCAGTCTGTGAAGGCGCACTTCTTCCTGGGGCAGTGCCAGCTGGAGATGGAGAGCTATGATGAGGCCATCGCCAATCTGCAGCGAGGTTGGCTGACAAGCTGCCCGGTTGTGGGGCCTCTGGGGCCAGGCGGGTGGACTGGCCAGAGAGTGACGTGAAGCCCCCGTTCCCCAGCTTACAGCCTGGCCAAGGAGCAGCGGCTGAACTTCGGGGACGACATCCCCAGCGCTCTTCGAATCGCGAAGAAGAAGCGCTGGAACAGCATTGAGGAGCGGCGCATCCACCAGGAGAGCGAGCTGCACTCCTACCTCTCCAGGCTCATTGCCGCGGAGCGTGAGAGGTGGGACCCTCACCCCAGGCCGCCCTGTCTTGGGATAATTCTGAATCACCGACTCCCGACACAAGCGTTTATCGAAGGCTTTACTGGCAAGCAGGAAATGTGGGGAAGTGTGGATGTTAGCTCTGAGATTGGGGTGTGGTCAGACATCTGGCCAGGTCCATCTCTGACCGGCTCCTGGTCAACCCCCAGGGAGCTGGAAGAGTGCCAGCGAAACCACGAGGGTGATGAGGACGACAGCCACGTCCGGGCCCAGCAGGCCTGCATTGAGGCCAAGCACGTGAGGGTGCCCCCCACCCACATGTGGGTCTGTGTGTGTGCACGTGGCGTGGGAGCATCCCCGCCTTGTGTTGGGTCTGTGCCCCATGGAGGAGGGAGGTGGGGTGTCTCCCCCAAGCACAGCACTCAACTCTTCACAGGACAAGTACATGGCGGACATGGACGAGCTTTTTTCTCAGGTGGATGAGAAGAGGAAGGTGAGTGTGTGTCGCTTGCTGCCGATGGCTGGCAGGTGCTCGTGCAGTGCCCCTTTTCAGCCTCTGACCGTGTGCCCCTGTGCCACAGAAGCGAGACATCCCCGACTACCTGTGTGGCAAGATCAGCTTTGAGCTGATGCGGGAGCCGTGCATCACGCCCAGTGGCATCACCTACGACCGCAAGGACATCGAGGAGCACCTGCAGGTGAGGCCTGCGGCTGGGGGAGCAGGGCCAGTGGCATGGTCCTGGGCCCCATGACTGCCCTCTGCCCTTCTTGTCACTGCAGCGTGTGGGTCATTTTGACCCCGTGACCCGGAGCCCCCTGACCCAGGAACAGCTCATCCCCAACTTGGCTATGAAGGAGGTTATTGACGCATTCATCTCTGAGAATGGCTGGGTGGAGGACTACTGAGGTTCCCTGCCCTACCTGGCGTCCTGGTCCAGGGGAGCCCTGGGCAGAAGCCCCCGGCCCCTATACATAGTTTATGTTCCTGGCCACCCCGACCGCTTCCCCCAAGTTCTGCTGTTGGACTCTGGACTGTTTCCCCTCTCAGCATCGCTTTTGCTGGGCCGTGATCGTCCCCCTTTGTGGGCTGGAAAAGCAGGTGAGGGTGGGCTGGGCTGAGGCCATTGCCGCCACTATCTGTGTAATAAAATCCGTGAGCACGAGGTGGGACGTGCTGGTGTGTGACCGGCAGTCCTGCCAGCTGTTTTGGCTAGCCGAGGAAGGTGGAGATGAAGACGCTGGTGTCAAGGTTGAGCGTAGCATGCCACCAGCGGTCGGGGAAGTACAGCACCTGGTGGAGGAAGGGGGTGCAGCAGAGATTAGCTGCGGGCCTCTAGCCTGGCCTGGCCCTCTCCTGCCAGCCACTGACCTCACCAGCCCGGATGGTACACTCCAGGGGCCGTGCAGACGGTGGCAGGGCTGGGTATGTGTCCCGGAGCCAGGCCAGCGTGGTCTTGTTGGGGTGGAACTCTGGCGTCTTCTCAGGTGGGTAAAGGAACCAGCGCTGGGGGCATGAGCAGCAGTGTCACCCTTGCCCGTTTTGGTCAGCGAGTCCCAAGCCTCAACCCCCACCCCGTGCTGACCTTACGACCGTAGATCACTTCTGAGTACCCGGGTCCATGCCAGTGGAAGGGCACCCCCGAGCCAGCTCCTGTGGGGTTATGAGCACCTGGTGACCAACCCATTTTGTACTCACCGACAGAAGCCTCAGTCCTTCCCAGTCCCAAGAAGCACCCACCTGCGATTCCAAAGCTGTAAGCTGGAGCGGTTCCCAGCAGGCCAAATGGGGGTGGGGAGTAGTGCCGAAAGAGAGAGGCCCACTCGGTGAAGTTGTTGTCCCCGAAGAAGTACAGGGTGTCTGCCAACAGAGACGGCGGGGACAGGGATCCTGGCACCTGGAGACTCCAAGCGTCCCCACCCCCTACCGCCGCCTAGGGCTGCCTCACCATTGCCCAGGGAGGTGGGGTCCTGGGGGTGCAGCAGCTGCTCCACATACTCCTGGAAGGGCAAGTCCACTGCAGGAAAGAGACGGGTCAGGACCGTCTGGTCCAGCCGCCCCGGTGTTGGCAAATGGGCGGGCCCCAGGGGTGAGGCCGCGTACCTTTGTGGTAGGAGTAGGTGTTGGCGGTGCTCAGCCGGACCACTCTGTCCCCAAACGAAGCCAGCAACCTGTCGCGGGAGCACAGGGCCCGGAACCTCTGCGGGGGCGGGGAGGGGACTTAGTGGCCGGGCCCAGCACGGGCGAGAGTGGCCGGGGACGGACGGGCACGCGCTCACCGAGTTGTCCGTGAGTCCCTGCAGGATGACGGGCCTGACGAAGGCGTACCTGGAAAGAAGGGCAGAGTCGCGGCCAGGCCGGACCGCCAGCCTCGCCGCCCCAGCCCCACGCGTGCGCGCGAGGTCAGGGGAAGGCGGCCTTGGGCGGTCGGGGCAGACGGGCCGGTGAACAGGACGCGACCTCCGCGATCAGGGGCGCACGTACTGCTGCACGAACTCCGCGTAGGTGAGGTCGGCCCGACGCTCCACCGTGCAGCGCTCCTCCTCCGCCACGGCCCCCGGCCCGCCCGGGCGCCTGCGGGCACAGCTGGGTCAGCCCGCGCCCCGCCCGCCGCACGTGACCCCACCGCCCGGCCCCTCCCGGGCCGCTCACCACCCGCCGTCGCCCTCCGCCCCGGAGCCGGGTAGAGCCACAGCCGCCAGCGCCCAGAGCGCGAGCAACCGCGACGCCGGCGCCATGAGCCTGCCGCCCTCAGGCAGCCGCGCTGCACGCCGGGAACCTTGGGCCCATCCGCCAGCCATTGGCCGGCAGCTTCGTCGTCGTGGCAACGGCCGGGAACCGGGACGGACCCCGGAAGTGACCTCCTTTGGCCCGCCCCGGAAGAGGCCTCTACGGGAGGCACTGGGAAGGCCGCCCCGAGAGCGACTATGGGCGCCGCCGGTTACCATGGCGACAACCCCGCCGAAAGCCCCCGCCCGCCAGCTGCCCCGCGGGCCTACGGCGAGCCCGCCGCGCTATGGGGTGACACGCAGTGCCGACAGCGGCTCTACTTCCTTTATTGAGGTCTCAAGTTCCAGCCTCCGCCCGTCTCGGGCACAAGACCAGGCGGGGTTCTGCACGCGGCCGCCCGGGCAAGCCCAGCAGATGCCCCGTCAGGAGTACTCGCAGAGGTGGCCGCAGCCTGCGGGACAGTGGGAGCTGCCTTCCAGCCACTTCATGATGTGCTGCAGGTGGCCGCCGTGGCTGCAGCCCTGGCACCACACGAAGAGACCCTTGACTACGTGGTGGCAGACGGCACACATGCTGGCGCAGCGGTGGCACCTGGGGGCGGGCGGGAGGGAGGGTGCCTCAGCGGGGGCTGCTGCGCTGCCTGCAGGCCCCTGCCCCACCTCCCGACCCCACTGCCCCACCTGTCGCAGACCCAGCCCCGGCTGCTCATGGGCCGCTTGCAGTGGCTGCAGTTGACGTGCAGGGTGGTGGAGGCCTGGTTGAGGCAGCTGACGGCGCGGCTGGTGCTCAGCTTGACCACCTCGTTGGACACGTTCCAGAGGCGGAAGCGCTGCAGCAGGTCGATGTAGGAAGTGTACCAGTGCTCCTGGGGGAGGGAGCGCCCGGCAGTCAGGATCTGGGTGCCAGGGGCGGCGCTGCAGGGGGGAGGCCCCGCCCACCACACACCTGGGTCTGCTCGTCGATGTCCTTGCGCACCCGTTCACCCAGGACGATGAGCACAGACACAGCCATCTGCACGTCGCCCTGCTCAGCGTAGAAGTGCAGCATGTCGCGCACCAGCACGCCGAAGAAGTCGGGCGGCAGGCGGCTGTCGTAGAGCGCGTGTGAGACAGACAGGAGCGAGAAGGAGGAGTCCACGGGGGCCAGGGAGGCCACATCCGCCTCGCTGCCGCTCACGTGCGGGGAGTCGGCCTTGTCCTGCAGGTGCTCGGGCCCGGGAGGCGTGTCCACGATCTCGTGGCGCAGCGGAAAGGCCTCCTGCGGCAGCACGCACTCAGGGTCCTCGGCTGGAAGGCAGGGACCAGCGGAGGCTCTGAGTCTGTCCTCCATCCGCCTCTGAACCCCACCCTGCCCGGACCCCCACTCACGGTGCGCGTGTTCCGGATCCAGCAGGTACAGCTCGTCCTCCTCACCTTCCACGTCACCCAGCAGGTAGTCGGCAGGTACGTCGCTGCCCTCGGTTTCCTCGTTATCTGCCCGACAATGGGGCGGGCATTCAGGGTCGTCTGGGACACCCCCACCCCTCTCCCATCAGCACCCCTACCCACCCCAGCCTACCCTCATTGGTGATGAGTGTGGCCGAGGAGTCGAGCAGAACTGTGTCGCTCCGTGCATCTCCTTTGCTGCGGTCCAGCCGCGTCTCACTGCCCAACCCTGGGGCCATATCCTTCAGGTTGAAACTGGGGGCAGGAAGGGCCCATGGGTGGGTGGGCTCGAGCAGCCCCAGCCCCTGGGGAGAGCTGCCCCCGGCATCTACCTGTTCATGAGCGGGAGGCCACAGGAGCCACCCTTGCCCACACTGTGGTTGAGGTTTGCAGTGGGCACTAGGCCAGGGCTGCAGTAGATGATCCGCAGCATGGTCCACGTTTGCGCCACCTAGGGGCGGGCACTGGTCACTTGTGGGCGTCCTGGACACCCAGCACCCCATGCAGGTCCCTCTCTGCCTGGACAGTCACAAGCCCTCAGCATTCAGCTGCCCTCAGTACCCAATGTCCAGGCCCACCCCAGGTAGGAAAGCTGAGGCTCATGGGAAAGACAAAAACCCCGGTCCCCGCCCTACAGCAGCACAGAGGAAAACAGAATTGGGCAGTGGGGACTTGCGGGGCAGCTAGAGATGGGCATGGGAACGGCAGCTCACGGCTCCACCGCTGCTGGTGCCTGGAGAGCTCCAGAAGCAAGGGGGGAAGAACAGAGAGCTTGAGCCACACGACTCCCGAGACCCCCGCCCCTCAGAGGACAGTCCTGGGTCTGGCCCACCCTGGAGCCCTGGCCCTGTGTGATCCTGACACCCTCAGCTACCAAGGCAAGGCCTGTTGGTGCGACTGGCTGGAGTCCATTGCGGAGCTTGAGGTGGGGTGAGCGCAGCTGACGGAGGAACCAGCCCCTGCCCTGAGGTCGTGGCCCAGGGACCCCCAGGCTCAGCACCTACCTACCTGGTTGCGGCCAAGCTCTCGAGCCACCTTTGCGTTGTGGTCACAGAGCTCGGCCAGTGGCCGGCCAGCCAGCGCATAACGCTCAGCTGTGTCCACAAACCAGCGCATGCCGCCGCCACCTGGCTCCGTCTCAAAGACACTGAGGGCACTGGAGGCGAGGCCTGCGAAGGGCTCGGCAGGGTCCAGCTTGCGCTTAAAGAAGATGGGGTGGCGCCGGTCGCCAGTGTAGGGCTTGCGCCCCGACTCGGCAGCCACGAGGCTCTCCTTGGCGGCGAAGGCCAGGTCCCCGAAGAGGCCGTAGCAGAGGCCCTCAGGGTTGGCGCGCTCGACGGGCTGGCTGGCGTCGCGGAACAGGTGCTGGCACAGCGAGCTGTCCTTGGAGCCAGACAGCAGGAAGGAGGGGTCGTGGGGGTGGCGCCAGGCAATTCCCGTGGTGACGTCTCGGTGTTCCTCAAACATGGCAGCTGGCACGAAGGGCCGGCGCACGTCCCAAACATAGATGTTGTGGTCCACCATCATGGAGCACGTGGCCAGGTGGTGGCGGCACTCTGGCCGCCACTTCACACGGGCCACCGAGGCGATGGTCTGCACACAGTGCATCTCCTTGGCACGGTGCGTGGTCATGTCCCAGACCTTCACCATCTTGTCGCGCCCTCCAGTGGCCAACCAGCCCCTGTGGGAAGAAGGTCCACCCAAACCCTCAGTGGCCTTTCCTGCAGAGAGGGGACCCCCCCGCTCTGCTGCTCCGGACTGTCTCATGGATCTGAGGCAGTGAGAGCTTACTGTCAACCTACTGCCCCTGCACCCCCATGCCACACCTGTCCTCGGGGTGCCAGTCGCAGCAGAAGACGGGTCCGTTGTGGGCTGTGAACATCCTCTCGCACCGGTCGGGACGCCGGATGTCCCAGAGCTGCACATTGCCGTTCTCAAAGGTGGAGGCGAAGGTGAAGTAGTCCCGGATACTGAACTGCACGTCCCGCACGCTCTCCGACTGGCCTGCAGGCAGGAGGTCGATGCAGGGGAAGTGACGGGGCTGGCCCATGAGGTGCGCCCTCAGAACAGCTGTGGCATGGTGTCACACACCTGCCTGTGGCCCAGAACAGAGGCCCAGAGGGTAGAGTGGACATCCCCAAGATCTGCCCAAGGAAGCAGCCACACAGAGTCGCCACAAGAGCCTGGGCCCGGGAGCAGGACACCACGTGATTTGTAACACATACTCCCGGGCGTCATTTGCCGTAGATTCTGCATCCTGCATCGGTCCATGAGCAAAGCTGTGGTGCAGCCTCAGGATGCGGCAGCTGAGCACTGGGAGAATAGGAACGCACCCAGCCATCGCCCACTCCCGTGGCCCTGTGGGAGGCCCAAGGAGGTGCTGAGGAGGGTGCCCCAGCCTTGGCCCAGTCCCTTCACCTGGAGCTGGAACTGCCTGGTCAGCCCCAAAGGACTGGATGACTCAGGGCCCAGGTCCACCCTAGGGGACCACCACACCAAGAAACTTCAAGGGCGGTACCCAACCTTCCTCCAGGGCCCTGCAGGGGAGGCAGCTCAGGATCTGTCTTTTTAGACGGAGTCTCCCTCTGTCACCCAGGCTGGAGTGCAAGTGGCACGATCTGGGCTCACTGCAACCTCCACCTCCCGGGTTCAAGCAATTCTCCTGCCCCAACCTCCCAAGTAGCTAGGATTACAGGCGCGTGCCACTGCGCCCAGCTAATTTTTTGTTTTGTATTTTTAGTGGATATGGGGTTTCCCTGTGTTAGCCAGGAGGGTCTCAATCTCCTGACCTCGTGATCGGCCTGCCTCGGCCTCCCAAAGTGCTGGGATTACAGGCATGAGCCACCGCGCCCTGCCAGGATCTGTCTTAAGTGGCCTGAAAATTCTCTGAGGCCCCTGAGGGCTCCGCCTTGTGCTTCATACCTAGTCTCCTCCAGGTGAACAAGGGAGAGCTGGCTCAGGGCAGCCATCGGGGAGCTGGGCCTGTTAGGAAAAGGGCCCCAGGGCACTGGACAGCAAACCCACCTCCTCTGCCTCCCTGGGCCAGGAAACCTGGAAGTCCTGGCAGACCTCCTGCTATGAGGCAGCCTCTGTAGCTCCGACATGAGGGAAGGGAGTCAGTGGCTCTCTGCTCACCACCCAGGCTGGCTGGGAGACCGCTGGGGCTCTGCCCTCCCTCACCCCACACCTAGCCTCAATTTCTGCTGGTCTCATCTCTTGCCTCTTCCCACTTGACTGCCCTGGCTCACATGCCGTCCAGCCCAACTTGCCCCATCCCTCCCCTGCCGATTCCCTTTCCCCCTGAGGAAGCCCTCTGGGAGTGATCCTGAGGGCCTCTGATGCACGGAGCCCTTTTCCGCCTGCATGGACAGGCTGGGCACCGGCAGAGACGCCCACCTGCCCTGACCTGCCTCTGTGGCCTCACCCGAGAAGGTGCTGACAGAGTCCTTTCTGCGGAGGTCAAAGCACTTCATGAAGCCATCCTGGGAGCCACTGAGCAGCACGTGGGCTTCGGTGGGGTGGAAGCAGACTTTGTTTACCGTGCGCTTGTGTTCTGTGAACAGCTGGTCCTGCTTGTTGCGGGATGGCCGGCCCAGGTTCCACGTGACCACCACGCCATTGGTGGCTGCTGTGGCCAGCAGGTTCTCATCCATCTGGTGCCAGACCACGTCAGCACAGCTCAGGTTAAGCGAAGGCTTGCGCCCCACACGCAGGTTCAGCTTTTCCACGAACTGTTCCTCCTCGATGGCATAGATCTTGAAGATGCTACGGCCTGCCACGACCACCTGGGCTGCGTCGCGGCACACACTGATGGCATTGGCGGGAGCATCCAGGTGGCAGTGCATGGTGCGGCCTGTCAGCACGCTGCCACCCAGGGCTGTGGTCACACGGGACATCTTCTCCATGGCTGCACAGGTGATGAGGTCAGGGGTCAGGAGGTCAGTGAGGTGGGCTGGCCTGGTCAGCCTGGGTGGGTCATCAGTTCAGACCTTCCACCCAGGTTGGGACCCCAGAACTGCTTGGTCCCGGGCTGGTCAGTCTTAGTGAGCCAATCCAGGGCTGTCTATCAGCCAATCAGCCTGACAGGCAAGCTCAAATTCACTGGAGTCTGTCAGTCCAGCCCATCACCCTGGCTGAGCGGTGAGGGGACTTCCTAGCTTCCCTTAGGCCTGTCAGTTTCATGTCTGACTTCCACGGAAGACTCTAGCTGGACATTCCCGGCCCAGGCCACCTCTCGGTACCCCCATCAGCCAGATCTGGGCAGTCACTAAACGCTCGGTCAGTCAATCCCAGCAGGGGAGCGAGGAGACTCCCGCCGTCCACACTGTCAGCCCTGAGGGCGGCGGGGCTCTAGGGAGGAACAAAAGAGGGGAGGGAACAGAGGGCTAGAGGGGCCCGGGGACTCAGGCGATAGACGCGGGAAGGGCCCAGAGGGACGTCAAGGACCGAGCTACTTAAGGAGCTCGAGGTGTCTGGCGGGACCGGAGGCAGGAGAGAAGCCGGCGACCCCGGAGTACAGGGTTCCTGGGAGCGGCGCAGTGGCGCGGGGGAGCGGACGCTGCGGGACGAGAACCAGAGGGCCCGGGGCAGCCCTTCTCCCCCGCGCGAACCCCAATCTTTTACTAAAAGCGCACGGTTGTCCGGAACCGCCGCGCCGGAAGCCGCTGTCTTTCCCGTCCCTCGCCGGAAGTGGTCCTCTTCTTACCCATCCCTCTCAGGAAGTGGGCACAAACTCTCGCCCGACACCACGAAAGTTCCGGGTCAGGGAGCTGCGTTGGCAGAGGCCAGGAGGGGCCCGGGATTGGGGTCTGCGGGCCGCCCTGGGCGTTGCCATTGCGCTGCGGTGCTGTGCTTGTGTGATTGGTTTATTTATTTATTTATTTAAACGGAGTCTCGCTCTGTCGCCCAGGCTGGAGTACAGTGGCGCGACCTTGGCTCATTGCAACCTCCACCTCCCAGGTTCAAGCGATTCTCCCGCCTCAGCCTCCCAAGTAGCTGGCACTACAGGCGCCCGCCACCACGCCCGGCTAATTTGGCTAATTTTGTATTTTTGGTAGACACGGGGTTTCACCGTGTTGGCCAGGCTGGTCTTAAAACTACTGAACTCAAGCGATCCTCTGGCGTCAGCCTCCTGAAGTGCTGGGAATGCAGGTGTGAGCCACCGCGCCTGGCCTGTTTTTTAAGTCTCAATTTCAGTATTTTAATGCCATCACCTATTTTAATCCCCAGGTCCATCATGACATCTGGTCATCCCTAGACAAGTTCCGAGTGCCCCCAGTCTTCCCCTCCTTCCTCACTCCTCGACCTCGGGAGCAGCCTCCCAACGGCTTTCCTGGGTCCGTCTTTCCCCTTTGATCAGAAACCCGCACAGAAGTCAGGCACCAGGTCTTCTGCCTGAGGCCTCTGGCAGCTCCCACTATGCTGTGAATGAACCCCAACTCCTGGCCTCCGCCTTCCCCTGCCCACCTCCAGCCATGGCAGCCTCCACCCCCATTCCCAGCCCACCAAGCCCTTTCCTGCCTCAGGGACATTGTACGTGCGTGCGATGCCTCCTCCACAGAGCGGACCTCCCTGACCACTGCCCTAATGGGCTTCTCCATCACTGTGGCCTCCACGGCACTTGTCACCACCCATTCGTTTGTTTACTGGTTGTTGTCGGTCACATACGAGTGTGAATTCCACCAAGGCAGGAATCACATTCTGGCTCAATCCCCACCGAATGCCCAGTGCCTGACACACCTGTTCAACCAGTTGCTCTCGTTCTTTTTTTTAAAAAACTTTTTGAGACGGAGTTTCGCTCTTGTTGCCCAGGCTGGAGTGCAATGGTGCAATCTTGGCTCACCGCAACCTCCGCCTCCTGGGTTCAAGCGATTCTCCTGCCTCAGCTTCCCGAGTAGCTGGGATTACAGGCATGGGCCACCATACTGGGCTAATTTTGTATTTTTAGTAGAGATGGAGTTTTTCCATGTTGGTCAGGCTGGTCTCGAACTCCCAACCTCAGGTGATCCACTCGCCTTGGCCTCCCAAAGTGCTAGGATTACAGGTGTGAGCCACCGCACCCGGTCTCTTTAAAATTTTTTGAGACGGAGTTTTGCTCTTTCGCCCAGGTTGGAGTGAGGTGGCGCAGTCTCGGCTCATAGCAACCTCCACCCCCTAGGTTCAAGCGATTCAGCCTCAGCCTCCCTAGTAGCTGGGATTATAGGCAACCACCACCACACCCTGTTAATTTTTTGTATTTTTAGTAGAGACAGGGTTTCACCATGTTGGCCAGGCTGGTCTTGAACGCCTGACCTCAGGTGATCCACCCGCTTCGGCCTAAGTGCTAGGATTACAGGCGTGAGCCACTGTGCCCAGCCTCAGTTGCCTTTTTCGACCTCTCTGTCTCTCCTGGGTGTGAGCCATTGTCTGCTATTGGTGCATTTTGTAATCTTTTGCGACATCCTTGTCCTTGCCTGTTACTGTGTATAGAACAGGGTTTATTTCTGCCTCTCTGGAAGGGTGGGCTAGAGTCTGGATATGTTGGAGGGAATATTATGTGTAGTGACTTCAGTGTTGTCTCTCCCTTTAAGGAATGGGAGGTCCTCTGCCTTCCATGTAGTCACTGCTGTTTCCATTCTACCATGTCGGCATCCAGCCTCTACCCCTTTGTTGCAAGAAAGAATAAATCTGATAAGAGGTACAGGAGAATCCCGAGACCTGGGATGCGCAGGGCAGATATGCCCACCTACACCGCTGTCTGGGGACCTAAAAACAACTCAGACACATGTTTTTACAACTTTTTTAATATATATTTTTATAAACAGGTCACGTGATAAAATAGCACAAGAAACACTTACCAAATATAAGGTTATATCTTCCGCATATACAGGAGAATGAGGTCGTTATGTACAATAAGAAAATGATTTTAGGGGTTGGTTGGTTTTGTTTTCCTCTCTCCCCTTAATTTTTCCTCCTACAGTCGTTGGAAATATCACAGCTTCAGTTGCATTAATACTTTGGGCAAATGGACAGCTGCCCCTCCCCACTAGGGGTTGTGGGGAGGAGGGGCTGGAGAAACTGGCTCCTGACCACTCAGCCCTGGAGCTTCCTGGGGCTGGCACTCCAGGGACAGGAAAATCTTTGGGCTGTTGATCTGTTTCTGATTCAACAGCATCTCTCTCTCTCTTTCTCTCTCTCTCTCACTCTCTTTCTCTCTCTCACTCTCTGGCTCTCTGGAAACTGGTTACTCTCTTCCAACCAGATAGGGAGTGTCCCAAGATTGGGTGTGGGCGCGGTATCTCCTGGGGCTCAAGGTTGGGATGGGAAGGGGTCCCAGCCCCCTCCTCAGCAACAGCTGAGATTTGCCAGCATCCCCCAGGACTTCCAAATGTCTCGGGCCGACAGAGCACGGTCAGAGCCCATTTGGGCAGACAGAAGTTTGGGAAGCTGGGGAGGGGTGAAGTGGGGGTGGGGGGGCAGGCTAGAAAGGAGCCCTCCCTCCTCGGGGTGTCTAGGGTGTGCTGGCCACTGGAAGATTGGAGTCGCTGACCCAGTGCTGACCCTGACCCTTGGCTGGGTCCACTCTGCAGACTCCACCTGAGGAGACCCACCCAGGGTGAAGCTCGGTGCCCAGGCCTGAACTGAGCCCGGCCGGGTGCAAGGGCTGAGGTGTGAGGTCGGCCCAGGCCTCTTCCCAGGCCTGAGGGTGGCTACAGCTCGAGGCTTGCAAGGTGCCTGCGCCACCCCTGGGTTGAGGCCGACCGGAGTCAGCTGGGATCACGTTAATGACTCCAAGCGATCGCCAGCCCTTCCGCCCTCTCCCTGCCCAATTCTCTCAGCCTGGCCAGGGACCAAGGCCGGGTTTTGGGGCGGACAGGGGACTGCCCCACACAGCGGCAAGGAGGAGGAGAGGCCGCGTGGGTCAGGCTGGATGGGTGAGGAGGTGCGGGTGGGGCCTGGGCTCTCGGCGGCGGGCCATGGCTTTGGCGGTGGCCTGTTTCCCCTGACACCCCTCGGAGGGCTCCAGGTATGGTGCGGTGGAAGATGCAGGAAGCCCGTGGGGCTCTTCTGGGCCCGTGTCCTGGGGGACCCAGCCCCCTCAATCCCACTGGGCCCTGCCCGGGATGGGGGGGACAGTGGGAAGACAGAGCGGGTGTGGCGGGGAAGGCGGTAAGGGCACAGTCTGGAGAGCTCAAAGCCCCCCCAAGGACCGAGCCCCGCCCCCCAAGCGGGAGGGCGAGCGAGTGATGGCGGCGGCTGTGGCTGTGGCGTGGCGGAGGGCGGCGTGCAGTGCGGGCACGAGGGGCATGCACAAAGTCCCCGAGTGTGCGTGCGTGCGTGGGGCGGGCCCACCCGCCGCCCCCCTGCCCGGGGCGGGGCTGGGAGGGCGGAGGGACCGAAGGTCGGGGAGGGGCTTTCCCTCGGCTCGCCCCGCCTCCCGCGCTGGGCCGGGGGCGCGGGGGCTCCCCCGAGCGCAAGGCGGGAAGAGGGGGCTCGGCGGCGCCCCGCGCCCCCGCCCAGGTCATGGCCGGGTTCCCGCGACCGGGGCGGGGGCCTCGCGCTACTCAATGACGAGGCAGCGGGGCAGGTGCTGCGAGAAATACTTGAAGAGCTCGGGGGTGGCCCCGGGGCAGTTGGTCAGCTCCAGCTCCTCCAGCTCCTGCAGCTGCACCAGGCCCGACAGCCCGGTGGTGGTGAGCAGCGGGCAGCCTGCGGCGGGGTCAGAGGGCGGCTCAGTGCGCGCGGCCCAGGGCTCGGGCGGGGACGGCCGGGCCGCGCCTCCCTCCTCCTCCGCCTCGGACCCGGGACTGTGTGTCCGCGCCGGGTGTGAGTTTGCACAAGGACCGGGCAGGTTGGGCGGGTGGACTAAGTGGGGGTGGGTGGTCACTGCCAGCGTCAGAGCAGAAACGGGGGTCTCACCTGCCAGAGACAGGAGGCGCAAACTCCCCAGGGCCAGGAGGTGCTTCAGCCCGAAGTCTTGCACCTGTCGGGAGTGGAGGAGCGACTTAACGATTTCCGCTCGCACCGAGGCGGAGGGCACCCTGGGGTCCATGGAGGGCTAGGCGGGTTCAAGCCCGGGGTTCCTCCGTCCCCCCCGGAGCCGGGAGGCGGCTGGGAAGTGCTCGTGGGGGCCGCCGGGACCCCTGCGTTCCGCTTAGGTCGGCTGCTGGATAGGGAGGGGCCCCAGACTCTCCCAGGATCTGAGTGGGGCCGGGAGCTCTCCCCGCGCCCCCACCTCCCCGCCGATCCCCCAATCCCGGGGCGTGAGAGCCGGTACCTGGCAGCACCATCGCAGGTAGAGGCTGCGGAGGGACGACATGGTGGACAGATAGCTGAGGCCAGTGTCCGTGATGCGTACACACCTGTGGTTGCACCAGAGGGGACCCCCACCTTCAAATCACCTGGCCCCGGCCATCCCTCGTCTTCCTGGGAGTGCCCCTGGCGTGAATCCCTTCCTGCCCCACCCGGAGCAGCCGCTGGCCCCTCCTCGCTCCCACCCACCGGGAAGGACGGGGGTCCAGCCAACCCGTGCTGCGGTTCTGCGGTTCCCACTCCCCAGGCTCCGAGGGCTCTGCCCGCCGCGCCACAGCCCCAGCCCCGCCGGAAGCCCCCGCCCCCGGCCCCGTGCAGCCCCGCCCCGCCCCGCCCCGTGCAGCCCCGCCCGGCCCAGCCCCGCCCGGCGCGGCCCGGGGGCGCGCACCTGTCGAGCACGAGCTCCTCTAGGCGGTGCAGGTCGCAGGCCACGTACTCCAGCGCCATGTCGGTGATGCGTGGGCACCACGAGAGGTCAAGGCTGCGCAGCTTGCGCAGGTTCTCGGCCACGAGCTCCACGCCGTCGTCGGTGACCTTGGAGCAGCCCGAGAGGCTGAGCGCGGTGAGGTTGGGCAGGCTGTGCACCACGTTGACCACGCCGTGGTTGGTGATCTCCCAGCAGGAGAGCAGGCGCAGCGTGTGCGTGCTGTGGCCCTGGCGCGCCGTGAAGTAGGCCAGCGCCGTGTCCGTCACGTGGTAGGCCTGCAGGCTCAGCTCCGCCAGGTTGGGCAGCAGCTGCGAGATGGCCGCGATGGCGTCGTCGGCCACGTTGATGCAGTCACTCACGCTCAGCGAGGTGATGCGCGCGCTCAGGCTGGACCACAGCCCGGCCTCGGTGAAGTCGTTGCAGCCCGACAGCTCCAGACGCACCACGCCCTGCATCTGTTCAAGCATAACCTGCAGGCGGGCGGGCGCCGGGTCAGGATTGCAGGAGAAGGGGTGGAGCCCGCAGGGAGGAAGCAGTAGGGTGTAAACATGCAGGGAGCTGAACCCTGAAAACATTTGGCAGTGTGTGAGGAGGCGGGGCATCGGGACGAGAGCCCAGGGCCTGGCCAGGGCAGGTGCTGGGGGCGTTGGCACCAGCGTTACAATTAGACTCCAGACCCGGCTGCCAGGCGGCTCCTCTGACCTCTACTCCTGGGGGATCCTTTCCCAGC
This sequence comes from Homo sapiens, assembly GCF_000001405.40. Taxonomy (NCBI): domain Eukaryota; kingdom Metazoa; phylum Chordata; class Mammalia; order Primates; family Hominidae; genus Homo; species Homo sapiens. The sequence continues at coordinate 696,184 of NC_000016.10, forward strand.
TGCCCCTCAGCTCCCCCTCGCATCCTCCCCACACTGCATTTGTATTTATTTATTTATTTATTTATTCATTCATTCATTCAATCATTTTGAGACAGAGCCTTACTCTGTTGCCCAGGTCCCAGGCTGGAGTGCAGTGGCATGATCTCAGCTCACTGTACCCCCCGCCTCCCGGGTTCAAGCGATTCTCCTGCCTCAGTGTCCTCCCAAGTAGCTGGGACTACAGGTGCCCACCACCAGGCCTGGCTAATTTCTGCATTTTTAATAGAAATAGAGTTTCACCATGTTGACCAGGCTGGTCATGAACGCCTAACCTCAAGTGAGTGGCCTGCCTCGGCCTCCCATAGTGCCGGGATGACAGGCTTGAGCCACCGGGCCTGGGCCCTGCATTTAATCCACTGCCCTGCTGCTGCCATCTTGAAAATCTTGAGTGTCTTTGAACAAGGGACCCACATTTTCGCTTTGCGCGAGGTCCCCTGTAGTCAGTCCTTCTTTCCTCCCACCCCAAAGCCACCATCCGCTCCCACCTCCATAGGGTTGCTGCTGCCCGCCCCTGCCCCCCAGCCCTGTCCCCCCCGAGCCTGGTGCACACCTCGAGGCCTGCGTCCGTGATGGTGGAGCGCTTGAGGCTCATGGCTTTGACACCCTTCTTGGAGAGCGCATAGTTGTCAATGAACTCACAGATGTCCAGGTCGGAGACGCCAACCAGGCAGAAGCCCTCGAAGCCTCTGGCGGCAAAACCCTGCAGGTTCACGAACTCCTTCTCGCCACCAGGCAGCACGTTGTAGAGCTCCTTGGCATGCAGCACCGGCGTGAGGCCTGCCCAGAACTTGGGCTGGTACAGCACGCGCCGCCAGGCCTTGCACACCTGGGCCAGCACACACTTCTCGCAGGCCGAGAAATACCAGAAGAGCCCATTGAGGATCTTCTCGTCCGTGGCCAGCGGCGGCCGCTCCGCTGGGTGCCCAGGTGCCAAGGCTGAGGCTGGTCCACCTGCCGGGGTGCACGGGCCCCCAGCCAGGGCAGCCCGGGACAGTGGAGCAGCCAGGCTGGGTGGTGGGAGGGTGGGTGGGGGTGGTGGCTGGCAGGGGCGGTTCTTGGTGGCTGGCGTGCCCTTGGTGATGCTGGCCGCACCCAGGCCGTTGGGCTGGCCCGGCAGCTTCACCAGACCGTTTCGAGGCAAGCATGGAGGCTTGGGGTCGCCGTCGATGCCCGGGCTCGACATCTTCCTGGCACGCTCTGTGGATGAGGGCCGGGAGGGGGAGTGAGTCTGTTGCTGAGTCTGGAAGGCCGGGGTTGGGGGCGGGTGCAGTGGGGCTCCTTCCCTCCTTGGGCGTCCCTATGGTGCTCCCAGAACCACCAGACAGAGAGGATGGGAGTGCCTGCTTCTCCCTCCCAGACTGTGAGCAGCAACAGGAAGCCAACCATGGCCACTGGCAGCACTCACTGGGCACCTACGGTATGCACTGAGCCCAACCTTCATTGCCCATGGACACCCTCTTTTTCTTTTGTTTTTTTTCTTTTTGAAACAGAGTTCCGGCCGGGCGCGGTGGCTCATGCCTGTAATCCCAGCACTTTGGGAGGCCGAGGCGGGTGGATCATGAGGTCAGGAGATCGAGACCATCCTGGCTAACACAGTGAAACACCATCTCTTCTAAAAATACAAAAAATTAGCTGGGCATGGTGGCAGGCGCCTGTAGTACCAGCTACTTGGGAGGCTGCAGCAGGAGAATGACGTGAACCCGGGAGGCGGAGCTTGCAGTGAGCCGAGATTGCGCCACTGCACTCCAGCCTGGGCAACTGAGCAAGACTCTGTCTCAAAAAAAAAAAAAAGAAACAGTTTCACTCTTGTTGCCTGGAGCGCAGACTGGAGTGCAGAGACAGGATCTTGGCTCCCCGCAACCTCTCTGCCTCGTAGGTTCAAGTGATTCTCCTGCCTCAGCCTCCCGTGTAGCTGGGAATTCGGGCGCCCACCACCACACCCGGCTAATTTTGTATTTTTAGTAGAGATGGGGTTTCTCCATGTTGGTCAGGCTGGTCTCAAACTCCTGACCTCAAGTGATCCACCCGCCTCAGCCTCCCAAAGTCCTGGGATTATGGGAATGAGCCACCGTGCCTGACCGGAAACCTTTTTGTTTGCCCAGTGAGGCGAAGAAACGCCGACACTTTTTAGCACTTAGGTACCATGATGGCCATTTTACAGAGAAGAAAATGGAGGTGGACCTGGTGAGGCCAGGACTGCTCTCTTGACCTCTCTGCTGTGCCGTCCACTGTAGGTACCCACCAGGCCCACCCCTCTGGGCAGGCCAGGGGAACTGAAGGGAAGGGTCTGGGGTGGCCTCTGGCCCCTCCCCTGCAGGGTGACTGCACAGCGCTCAGGAGGGGCTCTGGTGCTGACTCTGCAGCCACCCTCCACATGCACAGGAGCTTCCCTGGCTCAGAATCTACCCAAGGGGCTGGGTGCAGTGGCTGATGCCTGTAATTCTAGCACTTTGGGAGGCTGAGGTGGGTGGATTACAAGGTCAGGGGTTTGAGACCACCTGGCCAACATGGTGAAACCCCTTCTCTACTAAAAATACAAAAATTAGCCGGGCTTGGTGGCAGGCTCCTGTAATCCCAGCTACTTGGGAGGCTGAGGCAGGAGAATCACTTGAATCCAGGAGGCGGAGGTTGCAGCGAGCCGAGATCACACCACTGTACTCCAGCCTGGGGAACAGAGTGAGACTTTGTCTCAAAAAAAAAAAAAAAAAAAGAAAGAAAGAAAGAAAAAGAAAAAAAGAAAAGAAAAAGAAAAAAGAATCCATGCAAAGAAAGGGCGGGCATCTTCCCAGGGTGTGCTGTGGTGCCAGCATGGTTAGCCCTGGACACAAGCTGTCGCTTTAATCTTCTGCCCAATGAGAACGATGCTGTGATAGCTGTACCCACTGCACAGATGAGGAAACTGAGGCCAAGGCTGGGCAAACTGCCTGCCCGAGGTCATGGCCAGATAAGTGGTGAAGCCAAAGTTCGGGCAGAGCTGGCTGAGGAAGGCCATGCGGAGGTTATCTTCAGGCCAGCGACATCCACGCACAGGGTGGAGTGGGAGCAGTCCCGGGCACCCTCCTCAGGCCTCCAGTCTGTAAGTGGGTGGCAGGGGGCACTGGGCACAGCCACGGAAAGAAGCAGAGGTGGGACCCTCACTGTGCCACCATCTGCTCCACAGTTCGGATCTCCTGCCGCCCCCACCCCGACATCCGGGGAGGAGGTAGAGCCCCTGGGGTCACACGCCCTGGACTTGAAATGGGCCCCACCCTGGCTCTGTGGTCTTGGCAAGCCACTTCCCTTCTCTGAGCCTCAATTTCCTCACCTTGAAGCCTGGGGAGGTGACGGTACCTGCTCCCTTGGGGCATTGCAAAGTGAACGAGCTCAGTGCGTGGCTCATAGCAAGGTCTGGGAGAGTGATGTCTGAGCCCCACGGCCACACTCCAGGGCAAAGCAAGATGCATCTTCCCCGGTCTTAGGTGACTCCAGGACTAAGCCTGGAGCCTCATGCAGGTCCTGCCTTCCTGCCCCAAAATCTCAGAGGAGGGGCCAAAGCCTCTCCCAGCCCACCCTGCCCCCTCCTGCCACAGCCTCACTGGAAGGTCTCTTGGAGCCACCAAGGGGGTGTCTGAGAGTCTCCCACGAAGATTCCAACGCTTGGGGTGGGCCCTGCAATATGCAGACTCTCAGGAAGAGGATGGCTCACATCTTTTTGGCTGAGTGTCCCTTCTGGGGCTACAGGGCCTGGCCTGCTCCACCACAGAGAGTGGCGGGGTCTCGGACGGCACTGCAACCCCAAGGCCCGCAGCCCATTCCCCATAATCTGGTCAGGGGGGAGGGGAGGCAGGGAGGCAGGGAGGCAGTGGGAGGTCCTGCCCCGCTCTTCCCAGCAGCAGGTCCCCACACTGGCTTCCAAGCCCCAGACAGGGCCAGCCTTGCCACCGGTCCACATCTGGGGAGGGGGTGTAGACCGGAGCCGGGACCAGGGGTCTCGCCAGAACACGTGGCCCTCGTGGCTGAGAACCCAGCTTTGGGTTTAAAGTCCTTCCTGCCCTAATGGCAGGAGCCCCAGCTCCACCCTCTGTACCATCTCCCCCTCCCCAGAGTATCATTCGGGTCCTGGAAGGTGAGGCCGGGCCCTCCACAGAGGAGGCACCCACAGCCGGTGACCCCCATCATGTGCCCATGATCAGAAGGCGCGGCCTCCGGAGGCCGACATCACAACGTTTGCAAGGGCCGGCTGGGGTCGGCACATGATTCGACCTCACGGCCGCCCTTAGGGGTGGAGGGGTCGCTACCTCAGGTTTGGGGAAGGAACACGAGGCTCTGAGGAGCGAATTTGCCCCAGGTGTCCGGGGAGGCCTGGCGCGGGGCTGCCTCGGTTCCCTCCCAGAGCCGGGGAGAGGGGATATCGCAGGATGCCGGCGCCCGAGGCGGCAGCACCAGGCCCACGGGCGCCCCAGTCTAAATATCCTCCGTGCCCCTAGAGCGGGGACCCTCGCTCCCCAGACCCGGAAGCGCCGCCTTCCCCGCCAGGGACGCCTGGGCCTCCGCAGACCCCGCCGGCCGGCGCGCCACCCGCGCCAGCACCATGGACAGCGGCCGCCCCAGCCGCGCGCTCAGGGCCAGGCCCGGGCTGGCTTCCACCGCGGACGGCTGCGGGGTCGGGGCAGCCCCGCAATCCCAAATCCCGGCAGCCCCCGCTCAGCAGGGAGGGGCCCCGGGGGCGAAGAGTGGGGGAGAAGCCGGGAAGGATCCGGAGGAGGCGGCGGGGGCGGCGCCAGGGGAGGAATAATCCCGGCGCAGTGCCGATTTAGGTTGAAAACGCTCCCAGTCATGGGCCTGCACGTGGAGCGCCGGGGCTGGGGGAGGCATTCGCGGGGCTCCTTTCCCGCCCCGCTCGGGAGCTCACGTTTGCCGGCGCCCACAGTCCCGTCCCCACCTCCAGGCCTCAGGGTCGAGATGGAGAAACCAAGCCGCACTTTGAGAGCCCACAGGAGGGAGGGGACAGGCTGAGGAGCGGCCGTCTGGGTATGGGTCCGGGGCCTGGCTTCCCTCATCCACACCCGCAGCGCTGCCAGAAGGCGCTGCTCTGCCTGTGGTCAGCCCTCGACCCGTGTGCTTGGTGGGAGCTGCATCCCCGCACAGGCAGCCCCACTGCTCCCCAATCTCGCGTCCACGTTCCTGCCGGCCCCCGCTGCTCCTCACACTCCCGGCTTGACTGACTCAGCCCGAATATCCCCCACCCCGTAGCTCAAAAATGCAAACAGCCACACACTTTGGCCCAGGCATGGGCGCTGCGGGAGAAAGCTGAGCTCAACTGGAGACTGGGGTCTCTCTGCCCGTTCAGCGAGAAGTCCCTGGGGGCTCACACAAGGGCCCCTCTGCTTGGCCCTGGGCCCGGCCCCACCCACCCAGCCAGACGGTCACCAAGGAGCCGGTTCCCATGGCTCACAGAGCCCCCTTTCCTGCTTGGCGACTGTGAGAGCCCTCGTTCCACCCAGAGGGGCTCGGACGACCTGCGTGGGCTGCTAGGGACTGCCTCTCCCTTTAGGGACAAGCAGCCCGGGTGCTAATACGGGGAAGAGACTTGTTAAAAAGGTGGCCATGCCTGCACCATCCTCAGCCTCAGCCCCTGTGGTGCTGGCTCAGCTTGAAGTGGAATCCTGTCAAGGCTCCGGGGCTCACCCCAGGGGAAAGAGAGAGAGGTGGCCCCACCTCAGCTGTCTTGTCCTCAGCAGCCTGAGCCTGGCCTGGGAGCTGCTGGGGAGAGGTGGCCGTGGCCTCTGTGTCCTCCCCAGGGGACGCAGTGTGAAGCGTGTGGCCAGAGTGAGCCTAGGGAGCACGGTGGGGCCTGGGTGCTCCTGGGGGTCCCCACATGTACATGTACAGCATCCAGGCTGACCATTCCCAGACGGCCATGTGGGGGCCCCGCAGGAGCTGCCTCTTCTGCGAATCAAGTCACTGAGCCCGGAGACCTCAGCTCCGGCCCCTTCCCAGCCCTGATGCCACAGCCCAGCCATGCCATTCCTCCTCCCCTGCTCCTCTGCCTGGGCACACGCCGTTCCCCCTGCTTGCCTGGCAGGGTTTCCCTGCCTTAGCCCTGCAAGCTCTTCTCCTCCATCCCTCAGTTCCTGGTGCGAGGTCGCCCCTGCCTCCTGCTCCGGGACCCCCAGCTCTTGAGAAAGCGTCTCCAGGGTCTTGCAATCACATGGGTTATCATCACTGTCCACCTGGTGTCTCTCCTCCTGGCCTGAGGACTCTTGAGGACAGACAGCACCAACGTGCATGGCCTCTGCATGTTCGCGGAATGAATGAATTAGGGAACGAATGAATGAATGCGGAATGTGGCTCCGCTAGCTCAGTCACGCAGAAAGGGGTGCAGCTGCCAAGGCCCCCGGAGGGCTGATGGAGGATTGGTCAAATTTAGGAAGAGGCCGGTCAGCGGGGAAGGCACAGCTCGGGAAATTAACCCGGATCGTGCCATGGCCAGTGTCCGCGGGGAGAGTGGCCTCTGGGGTTGGGACTAGGTTGGTACCTGAGTCACTGAGAGGGCTCCCAAGACCCCAGGGCTGGGGTGGGCCTTGCAATACACAGAGCCTTCGGATGAGGAGGGCCCATCTCCTTTTCAGCTGGCTCTCTCTTCAGGAGCTGCAGGGCTGAGGAAGTGGCTGCCCGTCCTCCACCATCTGGCCTGAGCCAAGAGAGGGAAGGGGGTCCTCCTGCCCCGCTCTCCCTGGCACCACACGCACCCCTCCTCTGACCGGCCAGAGTCCTTCCTTCACACACTGCCTAACTAGGAGTGGGGAAGCAGAGCTTGCAGACGGATTTTCCAGAAGTTACATAGAGCTAGGATTGGCTCCAAAAGCCCCGGGGCTGGCTGATTCCCTCTACCTGGGTCCTGCCAGGTGTACCTCACAGGGTCCTCGCTCTGCCCTGTTCTGCCTCATGGGGTCTCGATGCCTTCCTGCTGGGCCCTGGGCTAGTGGTCTCTCCAAGTACTGCCCTCATCCTGCAGGGTCCCTGCCACGGCGCTGCATTCCTTGCAGAGGCTGCACACCGCGTGCCCACCCCTGGGACATCCTTTTGGACACATGCCTGGGAAACCTCCTCACCCCTCAGCGCCCCCAGTTTGAAGGTCTCTTCCCCCATCTCTGGTGCCCCCATCTCTGTCAGCACCAGACTGGGGCACAGCCTAACCAACCACTCAGCCCTCATAGAACCTCAGGGACCATTGAGCCCTGCCTGCAGAGGGCCTTAGAGCTGGGCAGGGCCCTGGTGGCCAGAGAAATGCACATCGGGCTCCATCTGCAGTGGCAGCCCCAGAGCCTGGCTGACAGCTGGGGTGGCTGGGGATTGGGGACAGGGTGCAGACTGACACATTCCGTGGCAGCCCCGTGACGCAGGCACACCCGCGTCCCTGCCACTTGGCACGTGGCACAGCGGCAGAGCTCCTCTCCCGCCCCCAGTTTGAGATGCTTCTGGGGGTGCACCAGGGGCTCTGAGGAGGGGCACCATGGCGCAGCAGGCACGTGGCCTCAAGAGAAACCCGTGTTGCTGCCCCAGCAGACTGAGGGCCCATGGTCAAGCCCAGGGCAGCTCAGCCTTGAAAGCTGGACACCCTGGGGAGTGGGTGCTGGGATCCAGGCCTCATCTCAGCCCCTGCTCGGAAGAGCATGAGCACCCTCAGAGGCGAGGCCTGGGCCCCTAGTGCCTACTGCTCCAGGCAGCTGCCACTAACCATCACCCCTCTTTCCTGCCCAGTGAAGGAATGAGGCCTGAACCCACACATTGCAGCCAGTTTGGCCGTTGACTCCTCCTGCACCACTGGTGGGGAAGGCTCAGTCACCTGCTCACCCACAGAGCTCCCTTCACTGCCAATCCAGTCATGGGAGGCACAGCAGTGGGTGCCCACATGCAAGGAGATGGGGTCTTCGGGTGGCTGAACAGTGCCACCTGGGTGGGAGATCCCTAACTCTCAGCAACACAAGGCTTCCTGGGTCCATGTCCAGCTGGTTCAAGGGCCCCGTGCCTCCCACACAGGAAGCTGTTTGTGTCCTTCTCATCAGTGGGAGGTAGGACTCGTCCAGCCGCCCCGGAAGTGGGTGTGAGCTGGAGGCAGTGAGTCTGTCGATGGAGGGGCTGAACTCAAGGGTCTGGCCCCAGATGAGGGGCAGTTGGGGTGGCAGGGGGCAGGGAGTGGGGCAAGTGAGTCCTAGGGTTCCCCCACACAGCGATGTTTGCAGCTGGGCCTTGAATTTCCCTCCCCTCCAGGCGGCTCCAGGTCCAGCCCTGTGTCCACCTCTGGCCAGACCAGCCAGGTTCCACTAGGCCTCTGCCCTGGTCCGGGAGACAGAAAACCCTTCAGTCTCCTGGCCTGACCCAGGCCTATCTGCTCCAAGGCTGCTGTCCAGCACCCCACAGAGGGGGTGGGCTGGGAGACGGCCCTGTGTCCAGGGAGGCCTGAGCTGCCCCTGGCCATTGGGCCCTCGGATGCACGGGTGTGGGGGAAGGGCCTGAAGGAAGAGGCAGGTGAGGTGGCCTCCGCCATCTGCTCCTCCTGCGGAGGGCAGGCTGCCCGAACAGAGCCTGGAGCCTGGGAAGGGCCTGGAGTGGCCGCTGGGCCGTCAGTTCCTGAAGCTGCCACCGCAGCCCTCTCTCCTGAGGTGATGGGTGGGGAACGCTCTCCACCCACCTAATCCCCAGGAGGACACCGGACCCCTCCCGAGCAGGTCTGAAGGTGCCGTTTCCCTTCTGAGGCCCTCCAACCTTGGCCAAGGCCCGGTCCCGCCTCCAGAACCAGGAAGGTGCCAGCCTCCCCCCACCCTCCTCCTCCCGCGGGCAGTAGCTCAGCGCAGGCCCCGGGTCCAGAAGCCGCCCGCCCGGGGAGGGCCGCCCCTCAGGCCGCACATCCACGCGACCCCCATGCAGTTTAACGGTCTCTGGCCTGTCACTTCGGTCCGGGGGCGCCCTCTGAGCCGACCAGGCGCCCGGGGTGGAGGCCGGGGGCCTACAATTCCTCCTTTCGGCGTCCCAGGAGGCACGGACCCCCAGCCCCGGCCGAGTGGCCAGTGGGGAGCGGCCCTCTTCCGGGCCAGGGGCCGGGGCGCGGGGCTGCGGGAAGGCCAGGCAGGGACCGAGGCCCAGCGGCCGCGGGGGAGGTGGGGAAGGGGCTGCCGTTACGTAAGCCCTTCCCGGGCGGCGGCGGCGCGGCCCCCACCCCCACCCCGCCCCCTCCTCATTGTGGCCGCCGCGGAGGTGCGGCCTGGCCCCCTCCCGGCCCCGCAGCCCGGCCGCACGCGCACCTTACCTCGGCCCGGGCTCCTGGCTCATGCCACGCTGTCCGCCGGGCGACCTCCCGTCATGGGGAGCCCGGCATGGGCGTCGGCGCGCGGGGGCCGCCGGGGTGCTGGACTGGCCGGCAGGGCCCGGCCGCGCCCTGCGCCCCGCGTCCCGTCCTGGCCGGGCCCCCTCGGCAGCGCACGGAAAGGAGCTCCCCGGTGGGAGAGGATCGGCCGCCCCAAGCCTCCCACCGGGGAGGCTGAGGCTGTGCCCAGATAAATAAGGCCGCTTTGCAGGGAACCAGGCGGGCGCCTCCTCCTCCCCTCGCCCTCCCCGCGCTCCTCCGTGGCCGCCGCCGGCGCCGCGCGCGCCCCCCGCCCGGCACCAAACGCCGCGCCCTCGCGCGCTCCCGGCGTGGCGAGCCAATCCGGGTTCGCGAGCCCGGGCGGGGGCGCCGAGAATGCCGAGCCCCGCCCCCGCCCCGCCCCGGCCCCCGCGCGCGGCGCGCTCCCGGCACGGCGTCCACGAGCACGCGCCAGGCCCGGCACGCGCCCCCGCCCCGCTCGCCGCGGGCACCCGCACAATAACAAACCCCGGCGCGCGGCGGGCGGGGAGGGCGCGGGAGGCAGAAGGGAGGGCGAGGGGAGGCGGGAGAGCAGGCGCCGGCGGGTGGCCCAGGGGTCCGGGGTCCTATGGGGACCGGGGCGGCACCGCGCGTCCCGGCCCTTGGCCACCACTTGGGGAGGCGAGGAAGGCGAGACCCGGCCCAGAGGAGACAGGGTGGTCAGACCCCCGTCTCTGGACCCTCCCGCCCAGCCCACGGCAAGGACCCTTCACAGCCCTCACACCCCCCGCGCACCTGCTGCGTGCCCGGCCGGAAGCCCCTCATTGGAGACCCTGGCACACCCGCAGAGCGCGAAAACAAGTGACTGCACGGATCAGTTCAGACAGTGACAGTGAAAGCACCCGAGGGCTTGCGGTGGTGACTTCTGGCGGGGGCTTCCTGAGGGTGCCCCACTGGAGCTGAGACCCCCCCACGGCGCGAGGGAGGGATGGCTCGGGAATGGGGGTGCAAAGATCCGAGGAGCCTGGCAAGTTCCCTCGGGAATAAACTGGAGGCTGGAGGCGGCGGCGGCTGCTGCAGCCCGGGGCAGGGGTGGGGCGTGCTAGGTTAGGTGGAGGACTCGGTGGGGACCGCTGGAGACCCCAGACGCCCCAGCAGGCTCAGGGCAGGAGAATGGAGGCCAATGGCGCCCTATCCTGGGGTCTCCTGGGAGCAGGGCCGGGGGAGGGAGCAGGTGTGGGGAGAGCAGAGGGGTTCTTTGCACCGGGAAAGAGCTACAGGGCTGAATGGGGCTCCTGAGAGTATCTCAATAGGAGTGAAACCAGCTGCTGTTCCCAGCGTCCTGATGGGAAGCCTGGCCGAAGGGGCCGGTGTGAGGCCTGGGGTCAGCGGGAAGGAGGGTCAGACTGACGGCACCCTGGCTGGGTCCCGGGGTGGGGTGGTTCTGTGCTTGCTGTGGGGGCGCCACTGGGTCTACCTGGGGTGAGCGCAGCAGCTCTTCTGCGTAAGTCTTGCCCGGTACCTGGATACTGACCAAAGAAGGTGCCCGGAGTGGGGCAGACAGGACGAGCCCCGTGAAGACAGTTGGGGCAACAGGGGAGCGGCGGTCCAACCTATCTGGGTGTCTCCGGTGCATGGTCTGGCAGGCTGGCCCTCTGGCAGCAGCTTCCACCCCAGGCGTGGACTGCTCCCGGTAGGAGGGTTTCACCTCGTGCCTGGGGCTCTCACCACAGCAGGTGCCAGGGCCTCAGGCAGAGAACAAGCTGTGCTTGTGTTGAGTCCCAGCTGGGGCTGGAGCCGGACACACCCCAAGCGCACAGGGCAGGCTGGACACACCCCAAGTGCATAGGGTGGGCTGGACACACCCCAAGTGCATAGGGTGAGCGTGGGAGTCAGGCATTTGGGTCATGCAACCCTGGCGAGGCCCAAGAAGCTAGCCCTGCCTGTGGGGAATCTGAGCAGGGAAGAGTGTGTGGAAGATCATCACAGAAAGGCCAACCGTGCTCCTCCAAAGCGGTGACCCACCTGCCCTCCACCTCTGTGACCAGCTGTGACCCACCTACCCCCCACCTCTGTCACCAGCTGTGACCCACCTACCCTCCACCTCTGTCACCAGCTGTGACCCACCTACCCTCCACCTCTGTCACCAGCTGTGACCCACCTACCCTCCACCTCTGTCACCAGCTGTGACCCACCTACCCTCCACCTCTGTCACCAGCTGTGACCCACCTACCCTCCACCTCTGTCACCAGCTGTGACCCACCTACCCTCCACCTCTGTGACCCCACCTGTGCCGGGCAACTTTGTCTGTCTCCACCATGGCTGGTGGCAGCTACTTCCCCATTGGTCTCTCCACCCCTCTCCCATCTCCTTTTCTCCCCAGGGTGCAGCGGGGCCATTTTGCCGTGCAGACATGGTCCTGTTCTTCCCAGGGCCCTGTTCATTCTTTGCTGAAGACTGCACAGCCCTGAGTGCCTGGCACGGCTGGCCCACAGCCTCGCTCTATACCTGGCCCCTTGAGGATGAAGCTTCAGCCACACTGGCCTTCTTCTGGGGCCAGGAGAGTGCCCCATCCCTAACCTGGTGTGCCCCTCCCTTCACCTGGAGCACCCTTCACCTGGGGCACCCCTCACCTGGAGCACCCCTCCCTTCACCTGGAGCTCCCCTGCAGCACCCCTCCCCTGGAGCACCCCTTCCTGGAGCATTTCCTCATGTGGAGCACCCCTCCCTTAGAGCACCTCTCGCCTGGAGCACTCCTCTCCTGGCCCCTTGCCTGGAGCACTCCCTTGCCACCTGTACCTGGGTGACTACTTGCCTTTCAGACCTTGGCTAATGTATTCTCCCCTAGGTGCCCTCCCTCAGGAGGACAGGGCCACAGACCCGTGTCCTCACCTCCCCAGCACCAAGGACCTTCTTTTCTCAGCCTGTGTCTGCCTGGTGTCTGATGGTGCATTTGATGAGCTATTGGCTGACTGTGCCTGCTGAGGGCCAGGGTGCGGTCTTCTTCCCCACCACCCTGTCCCTGGGCACTGAGCCTCCATCTCAGTACGTCACAGGTGCATGGCAAATTTGGCGAATGAGGGAGACAGCGATGCGTCAGCAGCATGAAAGGTGACTGGCACCAGCAGTTTGGATCGCCTCCTGTGGCGGGAGGCCCTTGTAGAGGATACCTTTGGAGAACAGCTCACACCCCAGAGGGAAGTGGCTTGGACAAAGGGGGCTGCTCAGCAGACTTCGATCTCCTCTGGGGGATGTGGATACCGCTCAGGCCCGCACCCCTCCATTGGTCCTGGAGACTGATATGGGAGGCGGTATGTGCCTTGGCTCCGGAGGGCACCTGGAGCACCCCTCACCTGGAGAACCCTCATCCAGAGCACTCCTTTCCTGGAGCACCCCTCACCTGAAGCACCCTCAGTTGGAGCATCCTCTCACCTAGAGAACCCTCACCTGGAGCACCCTGTTACCCGGGGCACCCTCACCTGGAAAACCCTCATCTGGAGCACCTTCTCACCTGGAGAACCGTCACCTGGAGCACCCTGTTACCTGGAGCACCCTGTTACCCGGAGCACCCTCATCTGGAGCACCCCCTCACCTGGAGCACCCCTCACCTGGAGCACCCCTCACCTGGAGAGCCCCTCTCCTGCAGAACCCCTACCAGGAGCATACTTCACCGGGACCACCCCTTGCCTTGATGCCTCAGCACTGAGGAGTCTCCCATCTAGGTGGCTGGGAGGGCACTCTGGAGCCATGGGGATGAGGACCAGAGGCTGCTGGTACATCTTGCCCTGAGACTTTGGAGGACTGCAAGGGGACCCACATTCACTTCAGCTCTGCACCTGTGGTGATATCCCCACACTGGAGAGCAAAGTGATTGCTCCGGGGGCCAGATGGCCACGCCACCATCCCCCCACACACTGCCCCTGCCCCCTGCCTGGAGCACAGCCCGAGAGCACCCAGGATCATCCATGTGAAGCAGCAGGCTGTGGGTATGTTTGGCCGTCCCGACCCCTCCACAGCCAGAATGGGCACCCATAGGCATGAGAACCTCACAGCCATTAGGGGTGCCCTGAGTGCCATGGGCGGTGGGATTTCTCTGATGCCCCCCAGCTCTGCTCCCTGCCTGGCTCGCCCCCTATCAAGGCTAAGGATGACTCAGGGCCCAGCCATCACCATAGCAACACGCGTCGCCTAGCAATGGCGGTCTCCCGGCAACGGTTGTCTCCTAGCAATGGGATATTTTCCTGGGCCCTGGCTGGAGCCCGGCAGTTATTTTTAGCTCCACAGCAAATCAGTCGGCAGCTGCATTTTCGGCTCCTTGAAGAGAGGCAAGGTGTGGGGGGGTGGGTCTCTCGGCAAAGGGAGGAAAGCATCCCCAAGATAGGAATCTTGCTGCCGTGGGCCCGGAGGTGCAGGCCTGTGGGTGGGCGAGGCCGGATCCTGCCTGTGCAGGGGGGCAGGTGGCCGGTGGAGGGGAGCCAGGGGTTGTGCAGGCTGCCTGGATGAGTCGGCAGCTAGGACTATGTCCTTGATGGGCCCCCAAGCACCCTGAGCCTCATAGGTCGGCTGGGTAGAGGGGACGCAGGCCAGTGCTCACAGCTGCACTATCAGAGCATGTTTCTGGGTGGCCCAGGGTCTGGCAGGCTCTTGGCACCCAGTGCCCCTCAGCTGTGGGAGCCATCTTCACTGTCCCAGACCCCAGCTCCACCCAGGGAGGGGGCAGCAGGGCGGCCGCAGAGCAGCACATTTGGCCAATCCCGTGCAGGGCTCAGCTGGGGACACAGGAGGCGCTGGCTTCAGGTCAGCCCACACCTCTCTCCTCGCTCCGCTGCCAGTGAACAGAGACACAGGCGGGGGTCTTGGCCTACGATCTGGCCCTTCTCTCTAGGCTTCCTCCCCATTTCCTGGGGGATCCTGTTCACCGGTGCGTCCAAACTCCCCAACTCCCTCAGGGCAGATGGGCTGGGTGGGGCCGGCCTTACCCGCCTCCCCTTTGCAGCAGGTCAAAGGCTCTGAGGCAGATGGAGCTTCAAGCAAACAAGGAGCCCCCAGGGCTCACCCTCTGTGGTTCCTGGTTTACTCGAAGTTCTGTCTGCCTCAGGGCCTTTGCCCCTCTTCTCCCCAGGGTTGGGGCTCCCTTCCTGCCCCCCCATCAACTCCCCTCGTCCTTGATGTTGCTCCCCCAGGGCCCCAGCCAGCCAGCTCCTGCCCTGGCCGTGACAGCTGCTATTCTGTGCCCGGCACTGTGGTGTCCCCAGCGGGTTGTTCGGCACTCCGTGGCGCAGCCACCTGTCCGCAGCCGCTCCCCTGCGGGACGTGGGCTGCCTGTGCCACGCACTGCTGGGGCCCAGCTCATGGCAAATGCAGCACTGGTGTCCTCCACGGGCCGGAACCTGTGTCTGGGGGGAGAACGCAGTGGCCGAAGGTGGGAACCATGTGGCAGTGACCAGGGTCTCGACCGCCCCCACCCCAGCACCCCCTCAGGCTGCAGCTCCAAGGGCCCTCTGGGCAAGACAGGAACAGAAACCAAGTCTCAGGCTTCGGGACAAGCTGTGAGGCTGGCCGCCCTGCCTTGGGCTGAGGGGCCTTGTGATATGGCGTCTGTGTTTGGCCACGGCCAGGCTGACCCGCAGGCGGGAGAGATGATTGTCCCAGACTCTGCACTCTCCAGGGGTGGCCTCACGCGCTAGGCCCAAGGTTTCTGAAACAAAGCCTCAGGGAAGTTCTTCCTTTTGTCTGACTTGAGTATGTCTTGCTGCTGTCGCGTTCTGACTTGGGTGGAAATGGAGAGAGGCCCCTTCTGGGGTTTCAGGGCACTCAAGGGTCTGGGGCTTGGGGCACTTGAGGGGGCCCCCAAACAGCACAGACAGCCACGGCATCACCTAAGCTTGGGGATGCCTTCCAGGCACTCCTCCGCCCAGCCACCCCCCACTTAGTCTGCTGGTATTTACTGAGCACCAGCACCCTGGCAAGTCGGGTCCTGTACCCATAGCAACTGAGGACAGACTCGGCCTTCCAGGCCCCTCCTGTAGGCAGCACAGCACTCACTGATGCCAGGTGCTTTCCTGGGTGGGGCCGGGGGCTGTGAGGAAAAGGGGTGTGTGTCCAGGGCTTCTCCTGTGGGTGGCTGCATTGGCACCGGATCCCCGGAGATGAGGCTGGGGAGGAGGCAGGGACGCCCGGGGTTGAGGCGTCAACTCGGGGCCAGGCATGTGCCATTCCAGACCAGGTCACCCCAGGAACCCCTCCCTCCAACCACAGACACTGGCCCCTCTCTGGAGGAGGCCTGGGGAGAAGTCCGGGGCCCAGGCTGTCAGGAGGGTGTCTGGGGCTGACCCTCACGCCGCCACCAGAGGGCGCCTGGAGCCCACCGTGCTGACCCGGGGACCGCCAAGCGGCAGCAGCCCTGGACGGCTGGGTGGCTGCAGCGGCCGACCCGTGTGCCTCTCCCCACCTCTGCGAGCACCTCATGTGCTCAGCCCCAGGCCGAGTCTACCCTTTAACCTTTACGATTTTTATATTTTATTTATTTATTTTTTAATTTTTATTGAGACAGGGTCTCTTCTGTCGCCCTGGTTGGAGTGCAGTGGTGCAATCACAGCTCACTGCAGCCTCACCCTCCTGGGCTTAAGCAATCCTCCTGCCACAGCCTCCCAAAGTGCTAAGACTACATGCATGAGCTGCTGCACCCAGCTAATTTTTGTAGTTTTAGTGGAGTTGGGGTTTCAACATGTTGGCCAGGCTGGTCTTGAACTCCTGATGTCAAGCGATCATCCTGCCTCAGCCTCCCAAAGTGCTGAGATTACAGGCAGGAGCTGCCACACCCGGCCTTAATTTTTATGTAATTAATTAATTAATTTTTATGAGACAGACTCTCACTCTGTCACCCAGGCTGGAGTGCAGTGGCCTGATCTCAGCTCACTGCAACCTCCACCTCCCGGGTTCAAGCGGTTCTCCTGTCTCAGCCTCCCAAGTAGCTAGGACTGCAGGCGTGCGCCACCACGTCCAGCTAATTTTTGTATTTTTAGTAGAGATGGGGTTTCACCATGTTGGCCAGGCTGGTCTCGAACTCCCGACCTTGTGATCTCCCTGCCTTGGCCTCCCAAACTGCTGAAATTACAGGTGGGAGCCGCTGCGCCTTGACAATTTTTATTTTTAATTGTAAGATATACATCATAACATCTACCATTTTACCCATTTTAAAGTGTGCAGTTCCGTACTGTTGAGTACATTTGTGTTGTGTAATCAAGCTCCTGAATTCTGTCCCCATTAAGCTCCAATCCCTCATTCCCCTCCCCAGCCCCTGCTCCACTTTCTGTCCTCATGACCGTGACTACTCTAAGGTGACTCACAGAAGTGGAATCCAACAGTGTTTGTCCTTTTGTCTCTGGCTTATTTTGCTCAGCGCATAAGCCTCCAGGCTCATCCAGGCTGTAGCGGGTGTCAAGGGACCAGAACTTCATTCCTTTTTATGGCTTAATAATGGACCCACCGCCAGGGGGTGCCGTGGCTCATGCCTGTAATCCCAACACTTTGGGAGGCTGAGGTGGGCGGATCACCTGAGGTCGGGAGTTCAAGACCAGCCTGACCAGCATGGAGAAACCTCGTCTCTACTAAAAATACAAAATTAGCCGGCATGATGGCACATGCCTGTAATCCCAGCTGCTCGGGAGGCTGACGCAGGAGAATCGCTTGAACCCAGGAGGTGGAGGTTGCAGTGAGCCAAGATCGCGCCATTGCACTCCAGACTGGGCAAAGAGCGAAACTCCATCTCAAAAAAAAAAAAAAAAAAAAAAAAAAAAAAGAGGCCGGGCGCGGTGGCTCACATCTGTAATCCCAGCACTTTGGGAGGCCAAGGCGGGCAGATCACGAGGTCAGGAGATCGAGACCATCCTGGCTAACACGGTGAAACACCCTCTCTACTAAAAAAAGAAAAAATACAAAAATTTAGCCGGGTGTGGTGGCGGGCGCCTGTAGTCTCAGCTGCTCGGGAGGCTGAGGCAGGAGAATGGCATGAACCCAGGAGGCAGAGGTTGCAGTGAGCCGAGATCGAGCCACTGCACTCCAGCCTGGGCGACAGAACGAGATTCCGTCTCAAAAAAAAAAAAAAAAATGGACCCACTGCACTTGCTTGTCCACTCAGCTGCAGACAGGCCTTTGGGAGTCTTCCACCTTTTGGGGATTGTGATGGCTACTTCTGACCTGCACCTCGCCCAGAGCAAGGGGCTGGCCGAGCCCAGTAGGCGCCTTGTTCCTGTTTGGCCTGGGAGGGCCCTGGGGTTGAGGGAGGGCCTGGTCAGTGGGATCCAGCCTCCCACTGCCACTGAGCCATCTGGCCTCATCTGTCCGACTGCCACTGGTGAACTCATCTGTCCACCATGAGTTTCGAGCGCCGGGTGGCAGGAGGTTTGGGGGCAGGGGACGGAATGTTCACATCTTCAGGCTGCACAGTCTATGCTGGTCCTTGCAGTCCCCGGCTAAAGCTTCTGTCGTCCGTAAGGGGTTCAGTATGTAGTGGGACCCCTTTGCTTGTGCCTTAGGCCTTCTGTGATCTGACCTGTCGTCCCCACCCACCACCCATGCCCTGGGGTTTCACTGGGCTGCCAAGAGCTCCTTCCTCAGGCCCTTGACCCAGGCTGTCTGCTCTCCCCCATTCTCTTCCTGTCCACCTGGCCAGCCACTGCCCACTTCCTCCCATCAGGCCAACTCAGCAGTCCCGGATGCTGGGAATCCCACACTGCTCCAGCCTGAGGCTACAGTGTGTTTGCGAATCGCCTGTTTCTGCTTGTTTCATCTTGGTGGGGGCTGCTCCTGTGGCCCAGGGGTGTCCTCCCAGCTCCTGTGTCTCCACGTGCTGCAGGCCTGCAGGGGTGCCCGTGGCTGCTCCATTCACGCCCCTCCAGGAGCCCCGTCTGGCCCGGGGTCGGTCATCCGGCAACTATGGGGTGCCGCTAGGTCTGAGGAAAGGGGCCTAAGCCTGCGGGCTGCGCGCTCTTCAGCAGGACCCCCTCCTGCAGACGGCCTTACCAAAACCCGAGGCCTGGCCCCGCTCCAAGGCGCAGCCCCCAGGCCAGGCCTTCCCCGCCTCTGGAGTCATGACCCCTCTCCTCTGGGGCTCCACCGGCCTCTGGTCAGCAGGACCGGACCTGGTTGGGAGGGATGTGGCCAACAGGCCCAGGTCCCAGTGTTAGGAAGGAGCAGGCCCGGCCGCCCGCGAGGCGGAACCACCAGGTGGGCCACCTTCCCTACCGCCACCCCGAGGTTCCAGTGGACATCAAAACCTCGGCTCCATCAGAGGCTCCAGGACTCCGATCGGGACAGCGCGGGGGGCGAGGCCAGGGTGAGGGCGCGGCGAAGGAGAGACGCACAGCGCGGGGCGGGCAAGGAGCCTCCCTTCCGCGCCAAGGCCCCCCCCAACCCTCGAGGCGCTTGGACCGTGGGATAGTCCTCCGGCGGCGCCCGAGCTCCGGCCCCGCCCCCGCTCCGCCCCGCGCCTGCTATTGGCGGAAAGTTCCGGGCCGCGCCGCGACTGGCCGACACGCCGCAGGCCCCGCCCCCTTCCCGACCCGCTCCAAGGCGGCCCCGGCGCTGGGGCTGCGCGGCAGGCGGAGCGGCCGCGGGCTTGGGGGCTTCGCCGGGGCCGGGCGGCCGGCGCCCCCGGCTGCTCCCGCCGCCGCCCGGACCCGCGCCCCGCCGGGGCAGCGGTGGTGAGAGCCCCGACTCCCCGGACGCCGCCCGCCGTGCCATGGGGTTCCCGGCCGCGGCGCTGCTCTGCGCGCTGTGCTGCGGCCTCCTGGCCCCGGCTGCCCGCGCCGGCTACTCCGAGGAGCGCTGCAGCTGGAGGGGCAGGTACGGTCCGGGGGGCTGTCCCCGCACTTAGGACGGGGTGCGCTGCGGCTAGGACCCCCCAGGCGCCCCTCGGAGCGCGCAGAGCGCTGGGCCGGTTTCCCCATCCGCGAGGCGGCCTCGGGAGGGAGCGGGGGCTGCGCCGGGCGGGGACCCGCCCCCGTCTCAGCGCCCCGTCCCGTCCTGTCCCCAGCGGCCTCACCCAGGAGCCCGGCAGCGTGGGGCAGCTGGCCCTGGCCTGTGCGGAGGGCGCGGTTGAGTGGCTGTACCCGGCTGGGGCGCTGCGCCTGACCCTGGGCGGCCCCGATCCCAGAGCGCGGCCCGGCATCGCCTGTCTGCGGCCGGTGCGGCCCTTCGCGGGCGCCCAGGTCTTCGCGGAGCGCGCAGGGGGCGCCCTGGAGCTGCTGCTGGCCGAGGGCCCGGGCCCGGCAGGGGGCCGCTGCGTGCGCTGGGGTCCCCGCGAGCGCCGGGCCCTCTTCCTGCAGGCCACGCCGCACCAGGACATCAGCCGCCGCGTGGCCGCCTTCCGCTTTGAGCTGCGCGAGGACGGGCGCCCCGAGCTGCCCCCGCAGGCCCACGGTCTCGGCGTAGACGGTGAGTGGCGGTCTGGTTGGGACAGGGTGGGAGTCCCGAAGTCTTACCCTGCCTGGGCTTGGCGGGAATGTGCCTTGTCGGCCCCACTGCAGAAGGAAAAAGTGAGCTACAAGGGTTGGATGGGCTTGTCAGGCCACACAGCCTGGGACTGCTGGGGAGGGATGGCCTCCCCGCCCTCCCTTCCCGATTCATCTCTGGAAAGAGCTGGCAGGGGCAGAGTGGAGGGAAGGGGAGGCCGGGCCCAGCAATCCTGGGCCTCTGGTCCCTGAACGGTTGGGGGAAGAGATGGTGGGGACAGAATCGAAGCCTCCGGCCAAAGCTGTCCGGGGCTCCCTGGCCCAGCGGTGACCTCTCTCCCCTCCCCCAGCCCAACCAACAAAAGTCCAGTGTGCAGCCCGGTCACCATGGAGACGCCGCTCGCCTCCCTGCAGGGCACCAGGCCCAGCTCTTGCTTGGCTCTCCTGGAGCTTGGCGCCTGACCCTGAAAGGGATGGGCTCTCGCTATTCTGCCCCCTGGCCCTGGGCCAGGGACCCCAGACCACCCTTCCTCTGCCCCCACTTCCTATCACCCTAGCTGGGCTGCTGCTCTTCAGACCTCAGATCCGGGAAACTAGAGGGGTCCCAGATGCTGGGGTGCATATGTCAGATGGGAGTGCAGGAGGGCGGCCCAGGACAGCTGATCGCTAGGCATGGCCCCCAGGCCCACGTCTGTGTGCATTCCTGCCTTGGAGGTACGCGCCTGCAAGTGTGTTTCCTGAGTACAGGTGTCGCCGAGGGCGTGCACATCTGCTGTGTAGCTCTCTGGGACCCCCAGGTGCCATCAGGCCCTGAGCGTGGGCTCTGCTCATTTGCCTGCTGCCTCCTGCCGCTTGTGCGGACAAGGGACGGGGCCTGGGGTGATGCCGGGAGAGGGCAGGGCCTCTCCTCACCACCCCCTCTGCATGCCAGGTGCCTGCAGGCCCTGCAGCGACGCTGAGCTGCTCCTGGCCGCATGCACCAGCGACTTCGGTGAGTGTCCCCGCCATGGGGGGAGCCTGGAGCCTGCCTTCCCCTGAATGCCTACCGCAGCCACATGCCTCCCCACAGTAATTCACGGGATCATCCATGGGGTCACCCATGACGTGGAGCTGCAGGAGTCTGTCATCACTGTGGTGGCCGCCCGTGTCCTCCGCCAGACACCGCCGCTGTTCCAGGCGGGGCGATCCGGGGACCAGGGGCTGACCTCCATTCGTACCCCACTGCGCTGTGGCGTCCACCCGGGCCCAGGCACCTTCCTCTTCATGGGCTGGAGCCGCTTTGGGGAGGCCCGGCTGGGCTGTGCCCCACGATTCCAGGAGTTCCGCCGTGCCTACGAGGCTGCCCGTGCTGCCCACCTCCACCCCTGCGAGGTGGCGCTGCACTGAGGGGCTGGGTGCTGGGGAGGGGCTGGTAGGAGGGAGGGTGGGCCCACTGCTTTGGAGGTGATGGGACTATCAATAAGAACTCTGTTCACGCAAGCTGCTGTGGACCTGGTCTCCTGTGTCCAGCCCAGCCTTGGGCCTGCCTCGCAGCTGTGAGGATGGCTCCAATTCCTGCCTCCTGGCGGGAGACTGAGGCTCAGGGGAATGGTATCTTGTTCAAGACCATTTGGCAACTGAGAGGGAGAGCAGATGTCAGGAGGAGCTACACCCACATTCCGGGGAGGGGCCGCTGCTGGGTGGGGGGCACGTGGGGACCTGCACTCATGCAAGCTTCTGCTCTGCTGCACCCACCAGCCCCGTCCTTGCCCGCACCCTTGCCTGCTTCCCTGGCTGGCTCCCACTTGCCTCCCGTGCCAGGTGCTTCTGGGGCTCAGCAGGAGAGGAAAGGGGCAGAGGGGCATAGGGTCCCTCGGGTACGGTGGGGGCAGGCGGGCGCACAGCGCTCCGGCTCTGAGCCAGGCCTGTGAGGGAAGGGGCTGCAGGCTGGCAGGGTGCCGACTTCCCCCATGGCTGCTGTGAGCCCGCAGAGTCATCCTTGGCCCCGTCCCGCCCTTGGGGAAGAATGGGCCCCTCTGTCCTCAGGCCCCTTCGACGTGCTGAGCATCCAGACGTGGCGAGGAGCCCGAAGGGTGTGGGGTCCCCTCTGCAGGGTCCTGCTTGTTGCCTGTTTCCGGCGGGCGGGGTGCACAATGGGGTCTCTAAGGACCGTTTCCCGCCACTGGCCCCATTGTCACTGTCTCCGCCTTCCTCCTCGGCCTTTCAGCCGCATAAAGGGCCAGTGAGGTTTGGGACAGCCACAGCCCAAGGCTCCGAGGCTAAAAGCCCCTGGGTGGGGGTGTTCCAGGACACCTGGCCCTGTGTGAGCTGCCTCCTCTCACCCCAACCCCTCGGATCCTGGGAAAGAGACAGCCATGGCTCAAGGGCCAGGGACCCCTGGGCTGAGCCCCAGAAATGGCTTTCCATTCTCGCCTGGGCCGGGGTGGGGGTGGAGGCCAGAGGCCCTGCCCAGGCAGATGAAGCCCCCAGCTTTCAAGGGGGAAACTGAGGCTGTGTGAGGGACACAGCTGTGCAGGGCCCACAAACACGGTCCTTTCTCTAGGTTAGCGGATGCAGATGCCTGATGAGTGCCATGCCCTCTGTGGACACCTGGGGAGGGGGGTCACCTCCAGCGCCGCCCTGGGACTTCCACTGCACGTGCAAGAGACTTACCCTTTCACACAGATCACCTGCCTGCCGCAGGGCTGATGAGGATGGGTGAGGAGCGCAGCCACTGGGTGTCATGCACTGTGGGGGTTCTCCCACCTTCTGCCCCTCCTCAGGTTCCTTGCTGCTTCTCTCCTCTCCCAACTGTGGCACGCTGAGGGCTCAGGCACAGGACCGCTCCTCTGGGGCAGCCTCCAATAACCCTTGGACAACCTCCACTTTTTCATCTTCAGCCCTGACCACTCCCTGGGGCCCATAGCCTTACATCCATCTGCCCCCAGCCCAAACACTTCTGCAAACACTAGAAAAGGAGGTAGCCCGTGTGCCCTCCTGCACCGCCTCCTCCACTCCTGTCTTGGAGAGGCTTTCCCGTGGGCCGAGCAACCCCCTTACCTTTGGCACTTGCCCTGATTCTCTGGCCAGCTTCCTACAACCTCTCCTTTTCAGCCACACCCAAGTCCACCTGTTCACAAACACCCTGGGCTGGGCCCTGGCCGAACCCTGGCTTCTACCTACCTGTCTCAGGAAGTGCCTGAGCCTTGCACCTACAGACCCTCCCAGAGAAAGCCCTGGCTTTGCAACCAGCTGTCTTCTCATGAGACACAGGGCCACAGGAGCACCACGGTGCCCAAATGGGTCTTGGAGCATTAGACCAGGGGCTTCATGCCTGCCCTGGGGACAGGTGGCCAAAGTGGCATGGGAGATAGGGAGACAGTGTGGGTGAGCAGGTGGGCAGGAGCTACAGGAGCCTGGGGCCTGTGGATCACAGACACCGCCAGGCAAGTGCCAGTTCACACAGGTACAGGTGGCTGCAGAGTGCCCAAAGGCCAAGCAGCAGAGTGCCTGGTGTGGACGGGAGAGGAGTGGGGAGGTTGGGCGCAGTGGCTCACGCCTGTAATCCCAACACTTTGGGAGGCCCAGGCAAGCAGATCATGAGGTCAGGAGATGGAGACCATCCTGGCCAACATGGTGAAACCGTCTCTAATAAAACACAAAAAATTAGCCAGACATGGTGGCATGCATCTGTAATCCCAGCTACTCAAAAGGCTGAGGCAGAGGAATCACTTGAACCTGGAAGGCAGAGGTTGCAGTGAGCCAAGACTGCGCCACTGCACTCCAACCTGGGCGAAAGAGCGAGACTCAAGTCTCAAAAAAAAAAAAAAAAAAAAAAAAAAAAAAAAAAGAAGAGTGGAGAGTGCACGCTAGAGTCCAATTAGGTGCATTCATCCAGTAAGCCTCCTAGGTAACTGCTCTAGGTGCAGGGAATAATGCAGGCAGCAGGACAGGAATGGGCGCTGTCAGCTCCCCCTAGAGCTCAGTGTACATACACCCTTCCTTTCCTGGGAGGGCCGTTCCAGGCCCCCAGGAGACAGGACACGCTGAGCTGGGTGGGGCTGGGGCCAACGTGGGCAGGCCTGTGAGACTCTGCACTTGGGAGCTGGGGGCTGTGGTCTGCGGCATACCCATGTCTGGAAGCAGCCTCTGTCCCTGCAGGGGCTCTAGACCCCAGCCACGGATGGCTAAGGAGGAGCTAGGCCAGGGCACGCATAGACAACCCCCGACATTCACGGGTGTTCAGCCCTACCCTGGGTGTGGAGGTCGTGGCCCAGCTGCCTGACCCAGAGCTCGGCTCTTCCACTTGCGCTTCCCACCCCCAGCTTCACAAGGTCACCTCCAGGAACTCAGTCTTTTTGTGTGTTGTTTTCTGGAGAAGGAAGGTGATCTCCCCACTCCCGGGGCTGTCTGCCTTCCCTGTAGCTGGCAGGTGCCAGAGGCCCCCGCCTGTGACATCCGGCTTTCCTCCCACCACACTCGCCTGAGAGCCAGCATCTGTCTTCTTGGGCCTGCTCAAGCTCTCCTCCGTGTCAGCCCCTCCTCCATGCCCTTCTCCCTCAGACCCCACCCCCCATCCCTTCACCGCCCACTGGGGCTCATCGCTCAGGCTGTAGGAGGGAAATGGAAGGATGTCCTCCCGGGCTCTGGCTGGCGCTGGGTGTCCGAGTCAGCGGAGCGCCCCCAGCAGTCTCCCCGAGGCAGAGTCATGGGGGTGCTGGCGCCTGGACGCTGTCTCATCCCGGGGAGCCGCTTTCCCACCGGCTCCCTGGGCTCCAGCCGCCCCACGCGAGCCCCCGGCTGGTTCTGGGGCCAGGACCGCCCCTCTCCAAGGCAGACTTCCCTTCATTCCACGACAAAGACGCGCAGCCCCGTTTCCCTGGGGCTCTAGCCCGTGAGATCGCCGGGTGTATCCCGACTCCCGCCGGCACGTGCGCTCCCCCAGGGCAGGGCCTGCCTGTCCCCTTCCGCGGGTCGCCAGCAGCCAGCACAGGCCGCAAACGGCGGTCCGCAGAGCGGACCAACGGAGCCGACCCTCGCAGGCTTGGAGCCGGACGCGGCGGGGCAGAGCCCCCGAGGCTGCAGCTCGCCGGAACCCGCGGGAGGGCAGCCGGGCTGGGCGGAGCGCACAGCGCCACGGACCGACCGCGCAGGCTCTGCCGGCCACTTCCGGTGTCGCGCGGCGGCTCCCGGCAGGAGGCAGAGGGCACACCGCCAGCCCCAGGCCAGGCTGCGAGGGCCGCGGACCCGAGCCGGGAAGGACCTTGGGCGGACGAGCCGCGCGTCCCGCAGCCATGGAGCAGGACGACCCGGTCGAGGCGCTGACGGAGCTGCGCGAGCGGCGGCTGGGCGCGCTGGAGCTGCTGCAGGCGGCGGCCGGCTCGGGCTTGGCAGCCTACGCGGTGTGGGCGCTGCTGCTCCAGCCCGGCTTCCGGCGCGTGCCGCTGCGGCTGCAGGTGCGGGGCGGGGCCAGGCCGGGCAGGGGAGCTCGGCTGCCGCTCAGGGTCTCAAGGTCTGGGCGTGGCCGGGGTGAGCTCCGCCCCGCCGTGTGGTAGTTCGGGCCGGGCTGCGGGCGGGGCGGGAGCGGCCAGTGGACTCTCGCCGCCACCCGGTCCAGGTGCCCTACGTCGGCGCGAGCGCGCGGCAGGTGGAGCACGTGTTGTCGCTGCTGCGAGGACGCCCCGGAAAAACGGTGGATCTGGGCTCTGGCGACGGCAGGATCGTAAGTGCCTGCGTCTGGGTCTTCGCCGCCCCACACCGCCCACCTGCTGGCGGGCGCCCCTGCCCACATCCTGGTTCCCACACTCTCGGTGCCCACAGGTGCTGGCGGCCCACAGGTGCGGCCTCCGCCCGGCCGTGGGCTACGAGCTGAACCCCTGGCTGGTGGCGCTGGCGCGGCTGCACGCCTGGAGGGCCGGCTGTGCCGGCAGCGTCTGCTATCGCCGCAAGGATCTCTGGAAGGTAACCTGGGGATCCCTGGCCACCCGCTGACAGCCCAAGGTGCGGCTGACACCTGCGAGGGCTGGGGGCCGGGACTCGGAAGCTGCGATGACCCGGTGCCCACCAGGCCTCTCCCCGGCCGGGGCGACTTCTCTTCCGGCAGGTGAGCCTGAGGGACTGCCGCAACGTGTCTGTGTTCCTGGCCCCTAGCGTGGTAGGTGCGGGGTTGCCAGCCCCGCTGGGAAGCCCCAGCCACACCCCAGGGTGTTTGCTGCTCTGAGGCCTGGGCCTGCCTGGTGGGTGCTAGGCTTGGGGCTAGGGGGGTGAGCGCGGCTGTTTTCTACCGGCCCCGCCCCCGCCCCCTCTACTCTGCTGTTCTCTCCCTCAGCTCCCGCTGCTGGAGGACAAGCTGCGGACAGAGCTGCCTGCTGGGGCCCGCGTGGTGTCTGGGCGCTTCCCACTCCCCACCTGGCAGCCTGTGACCGCGGTTGGCGAGGGCCTGGACCGAGTATGGGCTTATGATGTTCCTGAGGGTGGGCAGGCTGGGGAGGCCGCCTCCTCGCGGATACCCATCCAGGCTGCCCCCGGACCTAGTTCTGCCCCCATCCCGGGGGGCCTTATTTCTCAGGCCAGCTGAGTATTAGACACGATAAAGACTCTGTGGGTTCTATCCTGACTCATGTTTTATGGGGGGCTGGGTGGGAGGGTTCTGTGCTGGCTGAGGAGCTCTGCTCTGCTCTGCTCCTTGGGAGACGGCCTAGTGGCTGCCGGTCCTTGGATGCTGGGGCTTGGCTGGAGGCACAGCCCCCACTTTCCAGGGGTCCCCTGCACCTGCCAGCTTCCTCAGCCTCAGGATTTCGTGCTTGTACCTGCTCAGAGGAACCATGCTTAAGTGACTTGCCCAGCTGTGGACAGGTCTGCTTTTAGCGCCTGAGGCAGCCATCATCCTTCATTCCAACCAGACCAGGGCCCTGGGGTCACACCCAGCTCCCTCTGCCCACCTGCCCAGGTGCTGGTCCACGTACTCCTGTAGCTCAGAAAGTTGCTCTTCAGCCATCGTGGCCCGGACCAGCAGCTGTGCCCGCTCCCGTTCCAGCTCTGCCTGGCATGGGGATGTAAGCCATGAGCTGGGGCATGGCGTGAGGATGGGCCTGGGCCAGCCCTTGCCTCCTACCTGGGTGCTGCGGGAGAAGTCCCGGAGCTTCTGGTGGATCTGGGCCCAGGATGCAGCGTCCAGGCCCCTGTGAGGGGAGAGGAAAGGAGGAGTGGTTTTGAGAGCTGGCATGGTGACACAGGGACAGACGTGACCGTGCTGAGTCAGGTTCCCAGAGCCGGGAGGGGACACCTGGGAGTGAGTGAGGGAGGCATGGGCCCCCCCCGTGCTCCTGTGGCGCCCCCCCCAGGCCTTGGAGCCATCCGTGTATAGGGACAGCCCGGGCCCAGGGGGTCTGCTGGCTGCTGGGGGAGGGCTAAACCACAAGGCCAGCCCAGACAGTGACTCCAGCATCAACAGGGATGCCACCCCCACACGGGTGTGCCCTAAACCCCAGGAAATGGTCCTTGGGGAGCCCTGCCCATTGTACAGCTGGGAACATGGAGGCCCAGAGGCAAGGGCTGGCCCGGTCACCAGGCGCCCTGCTCCCACCCCTCGCGTCCTCCAGGTCTCAGCGGAAACCTCCCTCAGGTGTGCTCTCCCTGATCCTCCGTGTTCAAGGCCAGCTCCACCTGCAGCAGCCCCTCTTCTCTTTCCTGTGATTATCAGTGTCGCCGGGACCCACGGAGGGACCCCAGGGTGGGGATGTGCCACTGAGTGCATTGCTGTGACCAGACCCTGTCTGGCGGGGGCTTGGTGGAGCAACTGGGGGCCCCAGGGTGCAGGCGTTGTGCTCTCTGCTCATCCCCCACAGGCCTCCCCCACACCCATGAGGGCACTCACTGTGGCTCTGATGTTCCCCCCTGGGAGGCTCCACCGGGTCTCTTTTTTGGGGATGAGAGCAGTGCCCCAGGCCCGCCGTGCTACAGAGGTTTGTGGTGGGGACGTTTCAGTTGGCTGAACAAGGCAAGCCCCTCAGAGGCCCGGGGCTGAGGTCTCTGTTGAGCCCAGGATGAGGCCTGGGGCCAGTGTGGGGCAGTGGGTGGGTGGGGGGCACCCGGGCCTGGAGCTTCTGGGGGTCTCTAGCCTCACCTGGTCCTCCCGATGGCTGAAGTCAGTGACCAGGGGCACGGGCAATGGTTCCAGGTCCAAGCTGGCTATGTCAAAAATAGCTTGGGGGTTCCCAGGTGCCCTGTCAGGGTAGGCTAGTGTCTGTCTGGGGCCACTCCTGCTGCACACCAAGCCTTTGAGGCACAGAGGCTTAGAGACCCACAGATGCCTGACACCTCCCATCCCAGCGGGGCCCACCTGTAGGCAACCAGTAGCTCTTCATGCCTGCGGCTCAGATCCACCAGCCTCTTGTGGTAGCTGCGGGCAGCCCGGGCCAGCTGCTGCTCACGGCTGCGGTGCGCTGCCCGGATGTCCTCCAGAGTCGCCTCCAGGAATGTCCGGAGGGCCGTGGTGGCTGGCGCTTGGCCTGCACCATCTGCGTGCTCCTGGAGGCGGCGGGCTGGGTCCGCATGGGGCCCACCCCCCATCTTTTCCAACCATCCCCCCACCCCAGCAGGCTGAGCAGTGCCGGGGCCCTGGGGTCTCCCTGAAGCTATCCAGCACACCCAGGCCAGGCTTGGGCTCCCTAGGCCTCAGGGTGCTCCTGCAGGGCTCACCACTGCCTGCCAGGCGCAGTGTTGCAGCCGTAGGACGTACTCATCCTTCAGTTTCTTGAGCTGCAGCTGCAGCCGGGCATTTTCAGCCTCTGCCTGACGGAGCTGGCCTTGGCAGCTGCACAGCACCTGGGGTGGAAGCAGCCCTCCACCTGTGCCCTGAGAGTGGACCCCGGCTGAGCTTCTGGGGCCCCCACCCTCCAGGTCTCCAAGCAGTCAGGGCAGAGCCTCACCACAGCCTGTGTGGCCAGTCGCTGCCCGGCTGCCCTGGCCTCCTCTCGGGCTCCCTGCAGCTGCCGGCCCAGGGTTGCCCTGAAGACACGGGGGTGAGGCTCAGCAGGCCCACGATCAGGGGTTCTCTCTGCTCCAGGATGGGGCCCCAGGTGAGATGGCCACTCACACACGCGTCACCAGTGCCTGCTGCCGGGCCTCCTGATGCTCCAGCGCCCACTTCACTTCCCCCTGCAGCTGTGGGGCACACAGGGCTGGCTGGATGAGACCCTAGGCTTGGGGTCTCTGGTGCTGCCCTCTCCCCTGAGCTAGGTGGCTGCACACTCACGCCGCTCCCCAGCCTGTGCTGCTCATTCTCGGGGTTCATGGTGTTCTTGGGCTGCACCTGAATGGAAGGGAGGGCAGGGAAAGCTAAGGGGTGGGTGAGCCCCAGTTTCACTGAGGCCCCTGCTGAGGCTTCCCTCTGGCCTTTCCCAGCCAGGCTCTCCATATGCTCATGGTAACCTGGAATCTGTGGTCATCAGAGTGTCCAGGCACCTGGGCTTTGTGTCTGAGCTCTTGGGCTGCTGCCCGGGGATGCCTGGGGTCAGACTCCACTGGGACTGCACAGCCCTGGCTGGTGCCATCTCCTCGCAGCTCCAGCTCCAGTACCCGGCTCTCCAGCCGAAGGATCTGTGGGACAACTGGCATGAGCAGGTGCACCTGCCCGCGGGCCACCTGGGGTAGGTGAACATTCACCCGGTGCACGCTCAGGGGCGCGCAGCACTCAGAGGCAGGCTGAGACCCACAGATGCCATGTGCGTGTGCATGCCCATGCAGGGCACGTGTCCTGGGCCTGCACCCCCCGTCCCCCATGCACTGAGGCTGGTTCACACGGCTGCTCACCTCACTCTTCAGCTGGAAGATTTCAGCCTCATGCTGCTCATGTAGGTGGTGGGTTGTGATCTGAATGTCGACCAGCTCCTTGGAGATCTGTGGGTGGCCAGGTGAGAGGTGGCGTCTGTGGGCCCTGCTGGCACCCTCCCTCCTCACGAGCACGCTGGGGCCCCACACCCACCTGCAGCTGCTGCTCCTTATTGAGCGCTAGATCTGGTGGGACCTCTGCTTCCAAGCTGGTGGCCCACACTGCGGTGCCCCCAGGAGCTCCTGGCAGCCAGTCCTTGGCTCGTAGCACAACCTGGGGAGGTACCGCCACCCATTCCCCAGGTGGGTCCCAGGCTGGGCTGTGGCCCCACTCCCATGCAGTCACCAGTCCCGCCTCCCTGCCTGGCTGAGCTGTAAAAGTCCCTCTCCTGGCTGAAATTAGGCCCAGGGTGCAGGAACCTGCACCCTCCTGGCCTTTGGGGGAACGGGCAGACTTCAACCCCATGGCAGGAGCGGCAAGTCCCAGAGGACTCACATTCTCCACCCGCCGAGAGGGAGGTCCAGGCCTGGGGCCTGTGGTGGCTGCGTGCTCCATAGGCTAGGGAACCCTGGCCAGCTCCGAGCCCGGTGCTGCCTCCACGCCCGGCTTCCCCATGGCTGCTGCTGCCACTGGCACTGCTAAGTGCGTTGCCAAGGCCTCTGTTGGTCCCAGGTGACTCCCAGGGCACCGCCCACAGGGGCCGGCCAGACCGGTGGTTGCTGAGGAGGGAGGATAGCTCTTCCTCTCTCCATGCCTCCGTTTCCCCATCTGGGGAATGCGGCCCAGCGCCCCCTGCACATACCCTGTGCAGATGGAACCAGGTGCGTGAAAGCGCCCAGCCTGGGCGCAGCGGACGAGCACGCGGAACGGAGCGGCAGCCCGCCCGCAGGATGCCCTGAGCTACACTCGCTGGACACCTTCTGTGTACCTAGCAGTGCTGGCTGAGCCCCGGGACGGGGGAAGTATATCTCTGCACCTCTGGCCTGAGAAGAGGGGCGCAGACGTCCCCATCAGGGGCCGGAGAACTCGGAAACGACTGGCTCAGCCGGGGCGTCGGGAGGGCTTCCTGGAGGAGGTGCCAGCGCCGGGCGCGGCGGGGTCGGAGCGTGCGCGTGGCGCCCCACCGGGCACGCGCACCGCCGGCGGGCCTTGTGGTCTCATCGCGCGCAGGATCCGGGCCGGGCGGGGGCGGGGGCGGGGCGCGTCCGCGGAGGGGGGCGGTTGGCGGCTCCCGAGCCCAGCGCCGCGCTCAGTCCGGACCCCGTGACCGGCGGCCGAGGCCCCGCCTCCGTCAGTCTGTCCTTCGGGTCCTCAGCACAGCCGTGCCGGTGAGGCGGGCGGCGGGGGAACGCGGCTGTCCCGGGTCAGGGGTCTTGCGGCGGCAGGGCGGGGGGCCGAGGGGCGGGGCCTGGGAGGAAGGCGTGGCCTTTGGGGACTGGGGCTCGGACTGGGGGCGGAGCCGGGGCTGGTTGGGGACCGGCCGGGTTCCGCTCCTGCTGGAGCCCGGTGCGTGGAATTCCACGCGAGTGCCGGGGAGTTCCTGGGGAGCCGGGCTTCTCTTTTGGCCCCCAGCGTGTTGACCGAGCCCGCTTCGCACAGCCCTTCCTAGGGTGTGGAGAGCGGGCCCCGCCCTGAAGGGGCACCGTGGGCTGGGGGGCCTGTTTTGGAGCAGGCACCGGTGGCCGAGCTCCGTGACCATGAAGGTCAAGGTCATCCCCGTGCTCGAGGACAACTACATGTACCTGGTCATCGAGGAGCTCACGCGCGAGGCGGTGGCCGTGGACGTGGCTGTGCCCAAGAGGGTGAGGGCAGGCCGCGGGCCGCAGGGACCCGGCCGTGTCCCCCGAGAGCCTCCCCGACCCCCCTGGTAGGAGCGAGCCCCCACGTGCTCTGCTCTCCGGAAGTCATTGGCGGCTGGGGTTCCTTGTTTATCTTGGGGCTCCCTGAAGTTACGGCACCTCTGGCCTCCGCCCTTTCGCTGCTGCCTGGCGGTCCCTGCACGCGCTGGGCGCAGTCACCGCCCGCTGGGTCCCCGCTCCCCGGCGCTCCCCGGGGCTCTGGCCGGCCTGGGGCAGTGAGCGCGGCGGATCCCGATATGGAGGGAGTGGGCCACCGGGACCGTCTGTGTTACCGTCACTCCCGTCCCTTTCAGCTGCTGGAGATCGTGGGCCGGGAGGGGGTGTCTCTGACCGCTGTGCTGACCACCCACCATCACTGGTGAGCGCCGGCGGGGCGCGGGGAGGCACGAGGACGCCGCCTTGTCCCAACCCGACCTAACCCGGCCCCCGCCCGCCCGCCCGCAGGGACCACGCGCGGGGAAACCCGGAGCTGGCGCGGCTTCGTCCCGGGCTGGCGGTGCTGGGCGCGGACGAGCGCATCTTCTCGCTGACGCGCAGGCTGGCGCACGGCGAGGAGCTGCGGGTGAGCGCGCGCTCCCGGGAGGGGCGGGGAGGGCGCCCCGGGTCCACCCGCCCTCACAGGTCCGCCTGCTCCTCCGCCGCAGTTCGGGGCCATCCACGTGCGTTGCCTCCTGACGCCCGGCCACACCGCCGGCCACATGAGCTACTTCCTGTGGGAGGACGATTGCCCGGACCCACCCGCCCTGTTCTCGGGTACCCGCAGCGCGGAGCGCGCCCACCCCGCCTCCCGCCGGCCCCGCCCCATCTGCTCTGACCCGCCCTCCCCCGCCAGGCGACGCGCTGTCGGTGGCCGGCTGCGGCTCGTGCCTGGAGGGCAGCGCCCAGCAGATGTACCAGAGCCTGGCCGAGCTGGGTACCCTGCCCCCCGAGACGGTGAGCGGGCCTGGGCCCTCCCCTCTTCTCCCGTGGGCACAGCCCCCACGCTCCGCACCCTCACTGTGCTAGGGGTGCAGAGTGAATGCCCACCTGAGGGCAGACCGGGCAGGGGAGGCCAGGCCCCCGGCGCAAGCACTTTCCCCGCTTCCTGGCCGCGTGCGCGCTCACCGAGCGCTCTTCCTCCAGAAGGTGTTCTGCGGCCACGAGCACACGCTTAGCAACCTGGAGTTTGCCCAGAAAGTGGAGCCCTGCAACGACCACGTGAGAGCCAAGCTGTCCTGGGCTAAGGCACGGCCCCTTTCCCGCCGCGGCAAGAGGGTGGGGGGGGAGGGAACAGGCTTCGGGGTGGGGGGGGCTCTCAGACAAGGCCTAATGGTGACCGGGGCCTGTGGTCACTCCAGAAGAGGGATGAGGATGACGTGCCCACTGTGCCGTCGACTCTGGGCGAGGAGCGCCTCTACAACCCCTTCCTGCGGGTGGCGTGAGTATGGCTGTTGTCCCGGGGCCTCCACCGTTACGTGGACCCTTAGGAAGGCATCTGGGGACTGCGTGTTGGGCTGAGTGAGCATCTCTGGCTTGGGGGAGGCTGCTCATTAAGTGCCTGCCTGCCCGCCCACCCCTCGGCGCCATGCTCCCGCGTGGGCAGCGGGCCCTGCGCCTCACTGCACCCCTCCCTGCAGAGAGGAGCCGGTGCGCAAGTTCACGGGCAAGGCGGTCCCCGCCGACGTCCTGGAGGCGCTATGCAAGGAGCGGGCGCGCTTCGAACAGGCGGGCGAGCCGCGGCAGCCACAGGCGCGGGCCCTCCTTGCGCTGCAGTGGGGGCTCCTGAGTGCAGCCCCACACGACTGAGCCACCCAGACCCTCACAGGGCTGGGGCCTGCGTCCCTCCTCGTGACCTCGGCCAGCTGGACCCACATGAGGGCCACCTCTGGAACCTTCTTCGAGGCCCTGGCCAGCCATCTGCCCAGCCTCGGAGGGTGGGCAACCTGGTGCTTCCCGGGTGGACACACAGGACCACTCAGTGGGGCCTGTGTGGGCGCCGAGACCTGGGTGTCTGGGAAGTGGGGCACACGGGGCCTCCGAACTATGAATAAAGCTTTGAAAGGCCGTTGTCAGTGTTGGCAGATGTGCCAGGAGAGGAGCTGTTTTCGTAGGCGTGTTTTAGGAGGGGTGCGTTTATTAGACAAACGCTGGGAGACAGGCCTGGTGGGGACCTGGCTGGGGGATGATGCAGCCCGCGATGGCTGCTGCTTCGTACTTGGCTTGCCCCGGACCACAGCCTCGTAACGGTAACCCCTGCTTTCCAGGGGCCTGGCACCCCCCCCTGCCAGGGTCCACACGCAGGGTTGTGGCGGGACCACCCCTGCAGGTCCAGCTCTGTCTCCCACCTTTTGCACAGAGCTTCAAGGGAAGCCTCCAGAAGTCAGGGGTGAGAACCCGTCTTGCTCTGCCTCAGGCAACCCCGGGACAGGCTGAAGCCCCTCACGCACTTGGGTGCCCGACCAGCAGCAGCAAGGGCAGCACCTGTGGGCCTCGGCCCAGGGCCAACGGAACAGGCTCTGGGACCTCAGGGAACCTTCTGCTGCCTGGGCCACCCCACCCCACCTGGGCAGAGCCAGTGGGAACCCAGAGGCACCCAACTGGAGGTGACGAGGCGGCTGCGGGTCCTGGCTAGTCCTAGCTCCTACTCGGGTCCCAGCACACCCTGCAGCTCACTCAGAATTTTGGGGGAAGCCCTGGGGTCTTGGGGCATGTGGTTCTGCTGTCACACATGGACACGGCCTCCTGGGAGTCCTGGTCCTGCAGCCCCTACCACCGGATGCCCAGGCCAGTGCTGGCCTTCTCCACGGCGTGGTACTGCGTATGCAGCAAGCGACCTGCACACTCCGAGTCCGTGCCCTGCAGCCAGTGTGTGTACAGCTCCTGAACCCCAGGCGCGTCCTCGGGCGCCTCAGCCCGGACCATGCCGTACAGTCTCTCCACGTGCTGGAGGAGCTCTCTGCTGGGCCTGTCTGGGGCCTGGAGCTGGCCCCCGCCGTTCAGGCAGCCTATGGGAGAGCAGACGGGACAGGGGTCACAGCCTGCGCCCCAGCCAAGCTTCCTGACCACCAGGGAGCAGGGAGGTGACCGGGCCCCCTCTGTGCCCCACTTCCTCCCACTCCCAGCCTGGTGGATGGTGGCCCACAGCTCTGCTCCCAGAAGGGGTCCTCGTGTCCTGTCCCTTGCAGGAGCTACCTGAGGGGCAGGCCATGACCTCCACGTAGTGGTAGGGGCAGCGCCCTCGTTTGAGCCTCTGCACCAGGTTCTGGATGTTGCGGAAGCCGTACGCCATTGCGAAGTGCAGCAGCACCTGGCCCTCCTTCTCCAGTGTCACCTCCTGGAAGTCTTTGTTCCTGGGGGGCACAGGCGGGGTTTGTCTACATGGCACACCCACCAGGCTCCTGCCTGCCTGGAAGGGGAGGCCTGCTGGGCTTCAGGGGATGACCGGGTACCTCCCAGGGCTCTCTCCCTCTCTCCTGGGCAGAGGGAAGGACAAGAACGGAGAGAGAGGGTGGAAGGCTCACTTCCTTGAGTCCAGCAGGGGACCTCACCTCCAGCCTCGGGCTGTCTGTGAAACAGGCCTCCCTCCCCAGGGATGTCTGTGAGGCCCTGGCCCTCCCTCCTGGGATGTGGTCGCGTGCCTGCGCCAGGCACCCATCACCTTTGCCCATGCTGGCCTCTCGGGCTCAGGGTCACCATCCCCCACAATGGGCCGACTGAGGCCTGGAGTGCTTAGGTGCCTTCACACCCTGAGCCCGCCAGGAGGGCCCTGCCTGGCCCCAGGGTCCCCTCCAAACCCTGCAGGCTGCCCTCCACCCAGCCCACCTCTGTGGGAGGACCCCAGGGGAGGCAGCAGCCCGAGGAAGGCTGGGGGCTGTGTGGCCGCTCTGCCCAGAGATCTGGCCCATCCCACTGACCTCAGGGGTTTGTAGGTAACCTCAGCCACATGGATTCCAAAGAGCTCTCGGGCCGCGTGCCGGAACACGTGCTCCAGGTAGCCCCCCGAGCCCCCTCCCCGATGGCTGGTGGGCTCCTCTGCAGAGGCACCGCTGCACCTGGCAAGGAGGGAGGGGCCTCAGCACAGCTGGGGCTGCTGCCTGCCAACCTCCCGAGCAGGGCCTCTGTCCCTCACACATGAGCGTTTGCATTTCCAGGTGGGAGACAAGTCACAGACACAGAGGAACAGCTCCTGTGTCACCAGCCATCACAGGGGCCCAGCCACTTCTTGTTTTTTTTTTTGAGACGGAGTCTTGCTCTGTCGCCCAGGCTGGAGTGCAGTGGCGTGATCTTGGCTCACTGCAAGCTCCGCCTCCTGGGTTCAAGCAATTCTCATGCCTCAACCTCCCAAGTAGCTGGGATTACAGGGCCTGGCATGGATTACCACCATGTCTGGCTAAATTTTGTATTTTTAGTAGAGATGAGGTTTCACCATGTTGGCCGAGCTGGTCTCGAACTCCTGACCTCAGGTGATCTGCCCACCTTGGCCTCCCAAAGTGCTGGGGTGACAGGCGTGAGCTACTGCGCCTGGCTATCCAGCCACTTCTGTGGACGCCAAGATGGGCTGCGGGGAGGCAAGCCCAGAGCAGGGGGATGCTATCCTCAGAGGCAGCGTTAGAAGCTAAAATAACAGTTCTTGGTGGCAGACATACGTACAGGCTGTCCAGAGGGGCTGGTTCCAGGTCGGGGAGGGAGACGCCCTCTTCCTCCAGCAACCTGAAAACTTCTCCTGCAAAGAAGCCACAGCGCAGACACTCTTTAGCGGAGATCCCAGCAACAAAGTCAGAGAACATCCAAGCCACCTGCATCCCCAGCAGTCTGCACTTTGGCCCCAGAAGGCCCCAAATGTCCACCCTAGCCCGTGGTGGGGAGGCCAGGCCCGGTCACTCCTGAAGCCCCTCTGGAGGCTGCCTGGTCCTGCCCAGGGAGGTGTGCCAGCGGCCAGGCCACTCTGCTCACCCAGTGTCCATCTGTCCATCCTCTTAGGCAGTCTGCTTTTCTTTTTTTTTTGAGACGGAGTCTCACTCTGCCGCCCAGGCTGGAGTGCAATGGTACGATCTCGGCTCACTACGACCTCTGCCCCCCGGGATCAAGTGACTCTCCTGCCTCAGCCTCCCGAGTAGCTGGGATTACAGGAGCACCACCACTACTCCCGGCTAATTTTCGTATTTTTAGTAGACATGGGGTTTCATCATCTCGGCCAGGCTGGTCTTGAACTCCTGACCTCGTGATCCACCCACCTCTGCCTCCCAAAGTGCTGGGATTACAGGCGTGAGCCACCATGCCCGGCCACAGTTTGCTTTTCTGCCTCACATTTGGGAGACTGTGGGGCTGCTCGACTCAGGAATGGGGTGACTCATGGGAGCTGAAGAGGCTGCATTCGAGAATCTCTGCCCACCTCCAAAGACTCATTTCAGAGCCAACAAGGAGGTATTACTGAGCGCCACCTGGCTGCAGGTCCCCAAGACAGGCCAGCTGCAAATGGGCCCACCTGGCTCCAAGGGGAGAGACGAAGGTACGTGCACGCATGCGAGCCCCCACACTCCAGCCAGGGCCCCCACAGGCAGGATCCTGGGCAGTCGCCACCTGTGCCCAGGGCTCAGGAATCAGACCAGGAGGCTTGAGGGCTCAGGGCCGCACGGCGTGACCGCACCTGTTGTGAGGACACAGTCCACATCCCGTGTCTGGTGCTCCTGGTTGAAAAAGTCGGGTCTGGAGGCTTCCAGCTTTTTGTCATAGCAGGGCATCACTGTGACGTGGTAGATCTTGTCAGGGGTCAAGTGCTACAAGGAGAAACAAACACTTGTCTCCCCAATCCCAGCAGTAAGGTGGCTGAGACGGGACCTGGAACTCAGCCATCCTGCAGCCAGGCCGGACCCCGAGGGACAGTGAGCCTCACTCCATTTCCCAGCAAGCCTCCTGCCGGCTCTGCGGATGTGTCCCTGGACAGGACGGGCCCTGGCTGTGACAGAAAATGACACTGACCCATTCCCAGTGTGCCTGCGCTCCCTAACAGCCAAGTCCAGCGGAGGAGAAGTGGCCTTCCCACGGCTCGGGCCGTCTCACTGCACAGCAGCCGGGGAAACGGATGTCACGGGGGAACCAACCAGCTCCAGCCCCGGGTGAAAATCCGCGTGCAGTCAGGCAAGAGGTGCCGCAGGGGACATGGGCGCTCGAGGCCCAGGCACCACCGGGGCCGCCCTCGCCCTCTCCCGCCCCCTGCTGGCTGAGTGTCTTCAGGCTTCTATCCCGCTGGGCCTCAGGTGGGGGTCGTGCTGGGCATCCTCGTGGACCTGGTGGCCGGAGGGGTGGGCTCCAGGCCCGGACTGCCCAGGGCCTCCTGCTCCCTCAGCCTCAGGCCTGGCTGCCTCTGGGTGAGCAGTGAGCACCTCTGGATCAGAACGAAGCCCTCTGCTGCAGAAGAGGAAGGGCCTGAACCAGGAGGGAACAAGGGTGGAGGTGTGCTGGGGAAGGCCGCACAGCACAGCGAGGACTCTGTTTCCTGCAGCCTCATGGCAAGAGGCCAGCAAAGTCACTTCTGGCCGCTCCCCAGCCTGAGTCTGGGGCTGGCCCAACGCCGTTACCTGCTGCTGGGCGAAGAAGTCCTTGACCAGGGAGCCCATGACCTGCTGCGGGGACCGGGCGGTGC
Organism: Homo sapiens; assembly: GCF_000001405.40. Classification (NCBI taxonomy): domain Eukaryota; kingdom Metazoa; phylum Chordata; class Mammalia; order Primates; family Hominidae; genus Homo; species Homo sapiens. The sequence goes on from NC_000016.10 coordinate 734,294, forward strand.
TGATGTGGGGGAGGATGAAGCTGCCGTGAGTCTTCTCGGCATAGCAGATCCAGCCTGAGGTGACAGGGGGCACACGGGGCTGGCGGGGGCGCACGGCGGCCCCCGCACCCACAGGCAGCAGCACGACATTCTGGGGGCGGGCCCGCTCATACAGGAGATCATGATGACATTAAAGAGTGCTCATTCCTGTTCTCCCCACCACCACGCGGAGCTCGGCGTGCAGGCGACACCGCCTAGGGACCTGAGGTGACTGCGCGTGGCTCCCACGGGAGGGCAGCCTCTTCTCCAGAAAAGGCCATTTGTGCCAACATTTCCAACCCGTCCCGCAAAACCTGCTTGCGTCTCCACCCCCCATGCCCCCGCCTTGTCATTTGTGTCCATATCACCTCACGTTTCAACTGCACTTGAACTTGACTCTCCCACCACCCGCACCATGAGCACACCTGGGCAGGCAGAGGCCAGCAGGGGCAGCGCCTGTCTGCAGTCGGCCTGTCCTCGGAATCGCCGCACAAACTCTCGCTGGCTCTCCAGGAGGCTGAAGTGCCTTGAGAAGGCGGTGTCGAAGACGAAGTGCACCCCTGGAAGGTGAAGGTGGGTGCCTGGTTAACCCCATGCGGGACGCCCACACGAGCACACGCCGGCGTGTGGACCACCATGGTGCTGCCAGGGCACGTGTGTCGCACCTGCTTGCCGTGCCAAAGCCCCGGCCCCACCGTGGGGACCTCCTAAAGCCACGTTGCGCCAAAGCCCCAGCCCCACTGTGGGGACCTCCTAAAGCCACGTTGCCTCGGCATCCCCTGTGAACCCAGGCCTTGGTTTCCCACCCCAGAGGCAGCCACCCAGCAGCTCAGTCCTCCACCCTCCCAGCTCTTCAGCGTGGCTGGTCCAGGGAATTGCCACGTGCGCTGCTCCCGGTGACCCTCCCTAGGGCACAGCTGGACGCAGCCTGCTGGACTGGCCCCTCGGACCCTGACTGTGCAGACCTACCATAGTGGCCACCCCTCACACACAGCAGGACTCCTGGAACACGCCAGCCAGCTCCAAGCCCAGCCATTAGAACTGCTCAGTAAACCTGCCTGATCGTGCCCTGGACCCAGCAGAGGCACCCGCGTGTGGGTCCCTCTCTCTCTGCCTGACTTGTCATTCCTCCCTCGCGTAACCCGTGGTCGGAGGACTCGCTGTGCCCCACTTGCCCGTCATCATCATCTCTAAGTAAAAATCTTTGAACTTGCTTCCTATTCTGGTGGGGACGAAATCCACACCTTCCATCTGGAGAACCATGGGCTGCCCCAGGCCAGGTTTTCCCTGGGACACCAGGTCAGGCTCCCAGTGCCAGAGCACTGCTCAGGCACCAACTGGATATGGGTCAGACAGGAGCCATGGGGCACCTGCCAGTGTCACCAGGTTTCCAGTGTGAGGGACCTGGGACACAGCTGGATGACAGGCAGTCTGCTGGTTACAAGGCGCACAGGCCTGCCTCACTGGGAATGAAGGGACTGGACATGGTGGTTACCTGTGAAAGGCACACAGTAACCATGAGGTCCAGCCCCTTCATTCCCAGTGAGACACCAGGCACTGGAGCCTAGTTAGCTGGGGGCTCTCAAGACACCCAGATCCTCCCCAAGCCCAGCTCCAGGCACATAACCAAAGTCAGCAGAAGCTGACCTTGGCTGAACCCAACAGAGCCCCGGAGAGAGTGCCTTAATATTATCAGCTAAAAAGTACAAGGAGTTGGTCAGCCCCAGCTTAGAGAAAGTGCACAGTCAGAATGCAGACGTGTTCTGTGAGAAGGCCCTGCTCTCAAATGTCAAATCAAAACTTCAGGCTGAGGTCACAGAGGGAATAAAGTTTCTGTAGCGCTGAAGTTCAGGGCTGGGTAGCGTGTCAGTGACTCAGAGGCGCGAGGGGCCTGGGCTTACTCAGACGCCCCCTTGATTTGGAGCGGCAGTGTTACCCCAGGTTCAAAGCCTACCTATTTTTTTAAAGAATGAGGTTAATTTCCTGGCAGTATCTGTAGGATTCAGCTGAAACCGTGCAGCCAGCGATGCTCTAGACTGTGGTGAGACCGAAACTACAACCAGCCTCTGCTGACTGGGTGCCGCCATCTGCAAAGCAAGGGGAAGACGCTGCTTACTCTGCTGGCCTTATGCTGATTCCTGGTGGCCAGAGCCGCACGGTGAGATGCTGTCAGCTGTGGAGAGGGCAGGCCAGCTCCATCAAGAGTCTTTTTTTTTTTTTTAACACAGAGTCTCACTCTGTTGCCCAGGCTGGAGTGCAGTGGTGCGATCGGAGCTCACTGCATGCAACCTCCGCCTCCCAGGTTCAGCCTCCTGGGTAGATGGGATTACAGGCGTGAACCACCGTGCCTGGCCAAGGGTATCGTTTTTTTTTGATGGAGTCTCACTCTATCACCAGGCTGGTGTGTAATGGCGCAATCTCGGCTCACTGCAACCTCTGTCTCCTGGGTTCAAGCGATTCTCCTGCCTCAGCCTCTCTAGTAGCTTGGATTACAGGCATGTGCCACCACACCTGGCTAATTCTTGTATTTTTAGTAGAGACGGGGTTTCACCATGTTGGCCACGGTGGTCTCGAACTCCTGACCTCAGGTGATCCACCCGGCTCAGCCTCCCAAAGTGCTGGTATGACAGGCGTGAGCCCCCGCGCCCAGTAGGGGTGTCATTTTGATGTATATTTAGAACCTGAAGTTTGGGGCCTGACACGTTCACCACTGGAGCCCACTGACAAATCACCAAGATTCCAAGCCTCAAAAAGGCAGGCGCCACCCGCACGACGGACGTCGGCACCACACGAGCTGCCCTTGGCAAAACGCGTTGTCGGCTGCTGGGATGGATTTCAGGTTAAAGCAGAGTCACCAGGCCGACCACTGCTTACCTTGTTAGCATCTAGAACCTTCTTCAGCTCCTCGTGGCTCTGCTGGGTGATAAGCACGGTCTCTGCGGAGGTGATGCAGCCGCTGCACGCCAGGCAGTCGTTTAGCGAGACCTTGGCCTTCTCCAGCCTCCGGGTCCCGCCGTCCTACAAGGGAGAAGAACCCGGTGCACAGGGGCCCCCTCTGCACGAGGACATGGAGACAGAGGATAGTGGAGTCCAGCTCATAACCGACAACCAACATGGCTGCTGGCTGGGCTTGTGTGCCGCTGAATTTTTAAAAATTAGGTATGTATTACAAAAATGCACACGCACGCTCTACAGTTTCATAATGCCGTCAAGTCTGCTTCTTGGTACCACTTGGTTAGTGCATCCGAATCACAGGACTAAGGCTTGCCACTGGTATCTCAGCAAAGCAGCAGCCACCCCACTCACCCATGGGGCCCTGGACGGGGTGCTGGCCCCGGTGCACACTCACAGGGCTGTAGGGCAGGAAAATGCCGAAGGTGGGCTCTGAAAGGAGGAGGCGGGAAAGCTGAGGACAAAGGAGGAAAGGACGAAGGCACAGGAAGAGGAGAGCAGAGGGAGGAAGCCTGGGAGCCTGGCCTCCGGTGGGCGGGGCAGAAACAACCGTCAGACTCGCCAAACAGATGCAGGAACAAGGTGTTCCAGTCGGGGGCCTCCGGGACATGCCTCAGCAACTTTTCTTACATGCAAAACGCACCCAGCTCGAGCTCCCCCAACTTCTCCTGCAAAGGCAGGAATGGTTTGAGCAGGGCCAGGGGTGCTGCAGTGGCCCGGAATACAGCCAGAGGAGTAAGGCGACTGGGTGGGAACTGTGTGGGAACCCCTCGCAGCCCAGCTCTCTGCTAGGCCTGTGTATCACAATCTGAGCTCGCCTTGTATTCCTACGTTGGTTCTGCCCCAAGGCACAAAGCCTTGCCTGCCACAGGGTGCTGGGCAGAGGCTGACAGGCTCCTCCAAACCAACTGCCACTGCACCGACAGCCACGCCTACCAGCACCCCAGCACCTTCCAGGGGTTCCCTTCGTTTGTGGGCTGGGCCCCCAGTGCTGGGCTGGAAATCGTCTCTTGGTGCAGTGGTTCATGAGATCAGGCAGACGTTTTTTAGAGTCCAAATGGCAGACAGGTGAATTTTAATAGTTTCTTTTTTTTTTTTTTTTTGAGATGGAGTCTCGCTCTGTCACCCAGGCTAGAGTGCAGTGGTGCGATCTCGGCTCACTGCAAACTCCGCCTCCCAGGCTCACGCCATTCTCCTGCCTCAGCTTCCCGGTAGCTGGGACTACAGGCGCCGGCCACCACGCCCAGCTAATTTTTTTTTTTGTATTTTTAGTAGAGACGGGGTTTCACCGTGTTAGCCAGGATGGTCTCGATCTCCTGACCTCGTGATCCACCCGCCTCGGCCTCCCAAAGTGCTGGGATTACAGGCCTGAGCCACCGCGCCAGGCCCAGTTTCTTTATTTTTTTGAGATGGAGTCTCTGTCTCTCAGGCTGGAGTGCAGTGGAGCAATCTTGGTTCACTGCAGTCCCTATCTCCCAGGTTCAAGTGATTCTCCTGCCTCACCCTCTTGAGTAGCTGGGATTACAGGCATGCGCCACGACACCCAACTAATTTTTGTATTTTTAGTACAGATGGGGGTTGGCCAGGCTGGTCTCGAACTCCTGACCTCAGGTGATCCGCCCCCCCTACCCTGGCCTCCCAAAGTGCTGGGATTACAAGCGTGAGCCACCGCGCCCAGCCTGAATTTTAACAGTTTCATCAGGATCTTATCACTTAGAGAGGAAGTACTATTCTTTAAGAATGAGGGGTCTGGGCTGGGCGCGGTGGCTCACGCCTGTAATCCCAGCACTTTGGGAGGCCAAGGCGGGTGGATCACGAGGTCAGGAGATTGAGACCATCCTGGCTAACACGGTGAAACCCCGTCTCTACTAAAAATACAAAAAACATTAGCTGGGCGTGGTGGTGGCCGCCTGTAGTCCCAGCTACTCGGGAGGCTGAGGCAGGAGAATGGTGTGAACCTGGGAGGCAGAGCTTGCAGTGAGCCGAGATCATGCCACTGCACTCCAGCCTGGGCCATCGAGGGAGACTCTGTATCAAACAAACAAACAAACAAACAAACAAAAGAACGAGGGGTCTGAATTAGAAAATCTTACATGGTTAGAACTAGGGGGAACAGGCAGACGCAGACAGGATCCACCATCTCTGCAAATAGCCCCTCTGCTGAGCAGATCAAGCTGTTTGGCCTGGGTGCTGCTCATTCACCTGCCCCAGGCACCCTGACCCCCAGCCTCCCAGATGGCAGGTGAATTCGACCAGTGGGAAAAGACTGGTGAGACCTGGAGTGTCTCGGGGTCACCGCTCTGTGACGGGAGGAAGCAGAGAAAAGTGTTTCGGATCAGCCGGGCAGGAGAGATGGTGGAGCAGCCTCCTGTGCCTTACTTGGTTAATTTGGAAGTAGCTCCCGTCATCTTCAATGCGAATCTTGGCCACGCCACTTCCCGCCCTTTTTTCCACTTTGACAGGCTTGATGCACTCCTAGAGCAGGAAGAGACCCCAAATCAGCCCCTGTGAGTGGGCGGAGGTTCCCTGGGAGGCCAGGCCTCAAGGATGGCTGCCCAGCCGCACAGCCTGAAGGCTCTGCCAGGAGCCATGCACTCAGGGACTGAGGCTGGTCCCACCGTCTTCTTCCTGCCCCACTGCTCTCACCCAGGGATCGGGTTCCCAACATCCTGCGGCACTGAAGTTCCCAGTGTGCAGGAAGGCCAGTGCTAACAGCGCCTGCAAACTACCCACCTGCGGAGACACCACCAACACTGACCTTCACCCTTCACGTGAACAGGGGGCGTGACCACCACAGAGACCAGAGTTGCACTGCCCATCGAGAGGACGTGTGCTTGGATCTGTTTGGAGACCACCTCCTGCTCAGTGCCCGGGAAACAAGTGGATTTCTCTCTCTTCTCCTTGAGAACCCTGGCAGCCCAGAAAGCCGCCTCCCAGCTCATCCCTGCCGGAAGCGCTCCCAGCAGCCCGCCTCTCGCCCTGCTCAGCTCTGGCCCCGCGGGGCTGTTGGACATGGACAGGCAGGTGCACCCAGAAAAGGGCGCCTGCAGCCTCCCGGGTTCAAGGGTAGCTGTCCGGCCCACCAGGGCGACGTTAAGGACAGCTCTACTGAGGAGCCACTGCGGGGCGTCTAGCGGGCCGCCCCTACTGCCCTCAAATGAGGTGGGGTCCCCACCGCACCCGTTTATGCAGATGCAAAGGCTGTGGCTTGGGGGTCCTGAGGCCTGACAAGGCGTCCTGCGCAGGGGAAGGGGAAGAGGCCCCGGCCCGGGCCCCGCCGCCCTCCAGCTGCGACCCAGGGGTCGGGTTAGGGTTAGGGATGTGTGGGAGCCGCCTCTGCTGCCTCCTCTGGGTTGGGCAGGCCGGCGCGAGCCCGCGACCACGGGACCCTCCCACGCAGCCCGCCCGGACACCATGGGGCACAGGAGCGGGTTGGGGGGCGCCGCCCTCCCTGGCCTCAGTTTCCTTGTTGGTAAGAAGCGGGCCTCAGTGTCTGAGGCCCCGCGCCCGGGTCGATAGAGTCCCTGACGGCCCAGACCGGGCTCCCGGGATTCGGATCTCATTCCTCAGGGGAGGAAGTGGGGCGCAGAGCAATTTCCCTCCGCGCGACAGGGCACCGAGCGCAGCCTCGACCCCGCCCGCCCAGGCCGGCCCACCTGAGACGGCCCGATGAAGTCATCCAGGTCCGTCAGCTGCAGCGCCCCGCTGAAGGGCGACGCCATGACGGCCGCACTGCCGCCGCGCGCAGGTGTCGCTAAACGGCGCGAAACGAAGTGGCTGGTTCCGCCACGCTGCCGGAAAGCGCCCCCAGGACGCATGCGCACCTCGTCCCGGGGCCGGCGCCCTCTGCTGACGAGCCCCGGCGCTGCGGCTCCCCGCCCACCTCGCGGGAACCCGGGACCTACCGCTTCGTCCACCTCCCGCGCGCCCCAGGCCCCGGGTTGGGGTGCAGGGGGCGCAGGGGTTGGTCGGGCCAGCGCCGCAGCTCCGGCCCCGGAGTCTCTCCGCCTTCACAAGGAAGCGGAGGGGATCTGGCTCCGTCCATTTCCTCATCCTCTGCGTACCTGCGGACCAGGTGCTCCCGGATGCAACCCAAGAACCCGGAACGCGCCTGGCACACAGGAGGCGCTCAGCTCGTGTTGGGGAATTCAGGCAGGGAAGAAAGCATGGATAGGCACGAGGTCTCCCCTTCCTGGGGAGCCGCTCCCAGGGCCTCCAGCCCCTTTTTCTGTTATCTTGGAGACCAGTCTGGAAAAGTCCATGCCCCTGGGAGACCCTGAAACAGGACCCTGTGGGCCGACTCGCTTTTCGTTTTTTTCTTTTTTTGAGACAGAGTCTCGCTCTGTCGTCCAGGCTGGAGTGCAATGGCGCGATCTCGGCTCACTGCAAGCTCTACCTCCTGGGTTCAAGCGATTCTCCTGCCTCAGCCTCCCGAGTAGCTGGGACTACAGGCGCCCACCACCACGCCCGGCTAATTTTTTGTATTTTTAGTAGAGACGGGGTTTCACCGTGTTAGCCAGGATGGTCTCGAACTCCTGACCTCGTGATCTGCCCGCCTCAGCTTCCCAAAGTGCTGGGATTACAGGCGTGAGCCACCGCGCCCGACCCCGACTCACTTTTTTTTTTTTCTTTTTTGAGACAGAGTCTCACTCTGTTGCCCAGGCTGGAGTGCAGTGGCGCGATCTCGGCTCACTGCAACCTCTGCCGCCTGGGTTCAAGCAATTCTCCTGCCTCAGCTTCCCGAGTAGCTGGGATTACAGTCACCTGCCATTGCATCCGGCTAATGTTTGTAGTTTTAATTAGAGACTGGGTTTCACCATGTTGGCCAGGCTGGTCTTGAACTCCTTACCTAGTGATCCACCCACCTCAGCCTCCCAAAGCGCTGGGATTACGGGCATGAGCCACCGCGCCTGGCCAGTTACATGTATATCTGGCATCATATGGCCAGTTACATGTCTAATGGCCAGTTTTATGGGGACTTTTCAGGAAACTCCTGGATCGAGGCTGGCATCTTTCCGGCCCAAGCAGGCTCAGCCCATGGAGATCTCACAGTGGCAACATCCTAGGTCCCAGCCTGCGCCGCACCCTCCCCAGGGTTCTAGGCCCTGATTCTGACCACATGTCCCCACCTGGATGCGGCCTGGGCACTCCTGCACCTGCCTGTGGGGTTTGGGCCACCAGCCTGTGTGGCCTTCTCCATCACCTGCAGCTGCTCCTCTCGGCCAGACAGGACTTTCTTCTGCTGCTGCACGGAGGAGCTTTCCCCAGCACCTGGGCCAGGTGAGCTTCCAGGTCCCAGCCATCCCGCCACCTGGCAATACCTGGCCGAGCTTGGAGATTAGGGGCTGAAATATCTTCTATTAAAAATAGAACAGGGGGTCGGGTGCGGTGGCTCACCAGCGCTTTGGGAGGCCCAGGTGGGTGGATCACCCGAGGTCAGGAGTTTGTGACCAGCCCAGCCAACATGGTGAAACCCCGTCTACTAAAAATACAAAAATTAGGCTGGGCGCGGTGGCTCACGCCTGTAATCCCAGCACATTGTGGGGCTGAGGCAGGTGGATCATTTGAGGTCAGGAGTTCAAGACCACCCTGGCCAACATGGTGAAACCCCATCTCTACTAAAAATATAAAAATTAGCCCAGCATGGTGGTTTGTGCCTGGAATCCCAGGTACTAAGGAGGGTGAGGCAGGAGAATCGCTTGAGCCTGGGAGGTGGAGGTTGTGGTGAGCTGAGATAGCACCATTGCACTCTAGCCTGAGCAACAGACTAAGACACTGTCTCAAAAAAAAAAAACTTATCAGGCGTGGTGGCACGTGCCTGTAGTCCTAGCTACTCGGGAGTTTGAGACAGGAGAATCACTTGAACCCAGGAGGCAGAGGTTGCAGTGAGCTGAGATCGCACCATTGTACTCCAGCCTGGGCGACTGAGCGAGACTCCATCTAAAAGAAGAAAGAAAAACAAAACACGAGGCCGGGTGCGATGGCTCACGCCTGTAATCCCAGCACTTCGGGAGGCCGAGGCCGGCAGATCATGAGGTCAGGAGATCAAGACCATCCTGGCTAACACAGTGAAACCCTGTCTCTACTAAAAATATAAAAAAAAAAAAATTATCCGGGTGTAGTGGCGGGCGCCTGTAGTCCCAGCTACTGGGGAGGCTGAGGCAGGAGAATGGTGTGAACCCGGGAGGCGGAGCTTGCAGTGAGCCGAGACGGCACCACTGCACTCCAGCCTGGGCGACAGGGCGAGACCCCGTCTCAAAAAAAAAAAAAAAGAAAAAAAATACGAAAGAAACTTAGTGCCACTGAAATGCAGTGGAGTGGGTTTACAGAAAATGTGAGAGTGAGGAGGGCTGTTGGGATAAGGGAAGGGTCTTTAGGTGAGCTTCCTCTTGCTGCTCCGGGTGGAGCTGGGGCGGGGTTCTTCATTAACTCACAGACATTTCCCTGGAGCCCCTGAGCTCTAGTGCCAACCTCGTGCCTCTGGGGTCCCTGCTTTCTGTTTTGCAGATTGTTTAATCATCGTCATTAGCGAGTATTTACCATGCACTTCCCACGTGCTAGTCCCTGAGCCAGGGCCAGGGAACCCAGGGAGGGCACGGGGGGACACGAGGGCCGGCTGGGGACATAGGGCGAGGCCGGCCGGACCCCAGGTTGCTGTGATGCTGTGACTGTGTATGGGCACCCCCTTTCCCTGGGCTGGAAGGGATGCCTGGTGGAGGCGTCTGCTCTGCGGGCACCCACAGGACCCCCCTTTGCCTACAGCCGCCCCCGGTGGTTGGGTGGGAGGTTGCATGCTAGCATCCTCTTGCTGGTCCGGGGTCATGATACTGGTAGAGCCACCTGGTCCCCTCTCCTGGGTTGGTGTCAGAGCTTCACCCTCGGAAGGGATCATCCTGTGCCTGTCTCCTGAGGCTCCCGTAACAAATGACAACACGCCGGGGTGAAAGCAACAGAGATGCGTCCCCTACTAGCTGTGGAGGCCACACATCTGAGGTCATGGTGTCATTCACCGTGCTCCCTCTGGAGGCTGCAGGGAGGACCCTTCCTGCTTTCTCCAGCTTCCAGGGGCTCCAGTTGTCCTTGGTCTGTGACTGTGTCGCTCCAGCACATTTTTTTTTTCTTGATACAGTGTCTTGCTCTCTTCCCAGGCTGGAGTGCAGTGGTGTGATCACAGCTCACTATAGCCTCAGCCTCCCGGGCTCAAGAGATCCTCCGGCCTCAGCCTCCCAAGTAGCTGGGACTACAGGTGTGCGCCACCATGCCTGGCTATTTTTACTGTTATTATTATTATTATTATTCTTTTGAGATGGAGTCTCACTCTGTTGCCCAGGCTGGAGTGCAGTGGCACCATCTCAGCTCACTGCAAGCCCCACCTCCTGGGTTCACGCCATTCTCCTCTCTCAGCTTCCCGAGTAGCTGGTACTACAGGCGCCCACCACCACACGTGGCTAATTTTTTTGTATTTTTACTAGAGACGGGGTTTCACCATGTGTTAGCCAAGATGGGCACAATCTTCTGACCTCGTGATCTGCCGGCCTCGGCCTCCCAAAGTGCTGGGATTATAGGCATGAGTATTATTATTATTTTTTGAGACAGAGTCTCACTCTGTCACCCAGGCTGGAATGCAGTGGCACAAGCTTGGCTCACTGCAACCTCTGCCTTCCGGGTTCAAGCAATTCTGCCTCAGCCTCCCAAGTAGTTGGGATTACAGGCTCCTGCCACCACGCCTGGCTAATTTTTGTATTTTCAGTAGAAATGGGGTTTCACCATGTTAGCCAGGATGGTCTTGATCTCCTGACCTCATGATTTGCCCACCTCAGCCTTCCAAAGTGCGGGGATTACAGGCGTGAGCCACTGCACCCGGCCTTTATTATTATTTTTTTTTGAGACGGAGTTTCGCTCTTGTTGCCCAGACTGGAGTACAGTGGCAGGATCTTGGCTCACTGCAGCCTCTGCCTGCAGGATTCAAGCGATTCTCCTGCCTCAGCCTCCTGAGCAGCTGGTACTACAGGAGTCCATCACCAGGCCTAGCTAATTTTTATATTTTTATTAAAGACGGGGCTGGGCGCGTTGGCTCACACCTGTAATCCCAGCACTTTGGGAGGCCGAGGCCGGCGGATCACAAGGTCAGGAGATCGAGACCATCCTGGCTAACGCGGTGAAACCCCGTCTCTACTGAAAATAGAAAAAATTAGCTGGGCGTGGTGGCGGGTGCCTGTAGTCCCAGCTACTCAGGAGGCTGAGGCAGGAGAATGGCGTGAACCTGGGAGGTGGAGCTTGCAATGAGCTGAGATCGCACCACTGCACTGCAGCCTGGGCAACAGAGTGAGACTCTGTCTCAAAAAAAAAAAAAGACAGGGTTTCACCATGTTGGCCAGGCTGGTCTCGAACTCCTGGGCTCAAGTGATCCTTCCACCTCGGCCCCCCAGTGCTGGGATTACAGCGTGAGCCACTGGGCCTGGCCTGGTTGTATCTTTTGGGAGGCTGCCCTTCAGCCACCACAGCCCTCATTTCAGGTTCTTGTGGGACCCTCGACAAAGAGATGCTTTCCACCTCCTAACCGGGTATGTGGCTCAGGGAGGCTGTGTGGGGGCTGGGCTGGCCCGCAAGGGGCGGGCGGGGTGGAGGTGGGGCCTGTGAGTCCGGTGGACGGGATGCAGCCCAGGTTGGCTGAGGGCCGGCAGGTGGTGCTGCGGAGCCCACGGGGGCCGGCAGGTGCCACAACCCCGTAAAGGGGGAATAAACCCCCCTCAGGTCAGGAGTTCCTGGGGAGGAGAGCTGAGTTTTCCAAAATTAACTAATTTTTCCTGAACGTCTGATTTCAAAACGTTTACTGAGCTTTCCTGTGTTCCATCAAGGCCTCTGCTTCCAGGAACTGGGAAAGGAGAGGTGGGGTCACTGCGGGTCTGTCTGGCTGGGTGGCAGGAGGGGAGAGGTGGGGTCACTGCGGGTCTGCAGGGCTGCAGGAGGGGAGAGGTGGGTTCACTGCGGGTCTGCCTGGCTGGGCAGCAGGAGAGGAGGTGGGTTCACTGCGGGTCTGCCTGGCTGGGCAGCAGGAGAGGAGGTGGGTTCACTGCAGGTCTGTCTGGCTGGGCAGCAGGAGGGGAGAGGTGGGGTCACTGCGGGTCTGCAGGGCTGCAGGAGGGGAGAGGTGGGGTCACTGCAGGTCTGTCTGGCTGGGCAGCAGGAGAGGAGGTGGGTTCACTGCAGGTCTGTCTGGGCGGGCTGCAGGAGAGGAGGTGGGGTCACTGCGGGTCTGTCTGGGCGGGCTGCAGGAGAGGAGGTGGGTTCACTGCAGGTCTGTCTGGCTGGGCAGCAGGAGAGGAGGTGGGTTCACTGCAGGTCTGTCTGGCTGGGCAGCAGGAGGGGAGAGGTGGGGTCACTGCGGGTCTGTCTGGCTGGGCAGCAGGAGGGGAGGTGGGTTCACTGCGGGTCTGCCTGGCTGGGCAGCAGGAGAGGAGGTGGGTTCATTGCGGGTCTGTCTGGCCGGGCTGCAGGACGTGCACTCAGACTCAGCCCGTGTGGTTTCCAAGGCCCGAAGGACACACCAGGCCAGATGCCCCCATCACACACAGGGCTAGGGAGCAGCAACTGGGGTCCACGGTGGTTCCGCCCCACCCCACCCCGCAGGGCCACCCTCCGAGAGCAGTGCTATTGTTGGTTCTCGCCATAGAACCTGGGTTTAGGTTTGGGGGCCCAGGGGCTGCCTGGTGGGGGGGTGGGGTGATATGGTTTGGTTCTGTGTCCTCACACAAATCTCATCTCGAACTGTAATCCCTGTGTCGAGGGAGGGAGGTGATTGGATCATGGAGGAGGGTTTCCACATGCTGTTCTCGTGATGGTGAGTTCTCACGGGGGCTGCTGGTTTATAAGTGGCAGCTCCCCCTCCACTCTCTCGCCTCCTGCCACGTGAGACGTGCCTGCGTCCTTCACCTTCCGCCATGATCGTAAGTTTCCTGAGGCCTCCCCAGCCCTGTGGAACTGGGAGTTAATTAAACCTCTTTCTTTTATTTTTATATTTTTTATTTTTGAGGCAGAGTCTCACTCTTGTTGCCCAGGCTGGAGTGCAGTGGCGCAATCTCAGCTCACTGCAACCTCTGCCTCCTGAGTTCAAGCGATTCTCCTGCCTCAACCTCCGAGTAGCTGGGACTACAGGTGCCCACCACCACACCCGGCTAATTTTTGTATGTTTAGTTGAGACAAGGTTTCACCATGTTGGCCAGGCTAGTCTTGAACTTCTGACATCAGGTGATCCGCCCGCCTCGGCCTCCCAAAGTGCTGGGATTACAGGTGTGAGCCACTGCGTCCGGCCAGACCTCTTTGTTTATAAATTACCCAGTCTCAGGCAGTGTCTTTATAGCAGTGTGGGAATGAACTCACATAAGTGGGGAAGGTGAATCCTCCAACTCCCCCACCTGTGTGGCCACTGATGTGCAGGACACCAGGATGAGCTTCCCAGAGGGCCAGAGCCAGGCAACAGAGTGCAGGGTAGGCCAGCATGGCCTTGGGGCGGCGTGGTACCCAACAGGAATGTGGAGATGAGGCCCGAGGTGGCGGCTCACACTGGTAATGGCAACACTTCGGGAGACTAAGGTGGGAGGATCGCTTGAGCCCAGGAGTTTGAGAGCAGCCTGGGCAACATATTGAGACCTCGTTCCTACAAAATAATGAGTCGGTGCAGTGATGCATGCCTGTGGTCCTAGCTACTCAGGAGGCTGAGGTAGGAGAATTGCCTGGACCCGGGAGGTCGAGGCTGTAGTGAGCCGTTATTGCACCACTGCACTCCGGCCTGGGCAACAGAGCAAGACCCCATCTCAAATAACAGTACAAAATAAGTATGGAGATGCTGGCTCCTGTGGGAAGCTGGGTGGACGTGGGGGGCACACCCTCCAGTCTGCAGAAACTTCCCGCCGCTCGGGCTGATGTGCTCGAGGGCTCCCGAGGCCCTGCCTCCCGGGTGGCAGAGGGAACATGGGAAAGGCTGCCGGGCCCCGGGCTCGCCGGTGGGTGGCCCCGTGCAGCCTGTTATTCATAAAACTTGGAGAGAAAGTGCCTTTTTGTAGGAAAGTGTGGGGTGCTGGCGGCCATTTCCACCTGTGGTTGGACCCAGACTGCCTCCCCGCGTGTGGCCCATGCCCCACCCCACACGCACCCCCGCCCTCTGTCAAGCAGGACTCGGGCTCTCCGTTGGCCGAGCAGACGTTTTATTTGTGGAACGGAATTGCTGTCGGGATGGGCGTGGGGTCGTTAGCAGCATAATCAACACCCACATCCACCCTGGGGGCAGCCACGTCTTGTCAACAGGTGGAGGCCGTGACATGCTGCAATTAGCAGCTAATGAGGAGGCCTGTGTGACCCACGCCTCCGTCACAGGTGCGCAGTGAGCTGTGGAAACGCCGACAATTTAAAATAGTCGAACAGGGCCGGGCGTGGTGTCTCAGGCCTGTAGTCCCAGCACTTTGGGAGGCCAAGGTGGGAGGATCACCTGAGGTCAAGTGTTCGAGACCAGCCTGGCAACATGGCGAAACCCTGTCTTGACTAAAATACAAAAAAATTAGCCGGGCGTGATGGTGCACGCCTGTAATCCCAGCTACTCGGGAGGCCGAGGCAGGAGAATCGCTTGAACCCGGGAGGCGGAGGTTGCAGTGAGCCGAGATTGCGCCACTGCACTCCAGCCTAGGCAACAGAGCGGGACTCCATCTCAAAACATAAAAATAAAGTAGTGGAAAAAAACTATAGGAAAAAGAAAAGAAAAAGCTAAAAAGAAAATTTAACATGTGAAAAAGCGTACTGGCCGGGTACAGTGGCTCAGGCCTGTAATCCCAACACTTTCAGAGGCCCAGGCGGGCGGGATCTCTTGAGCCCAGGAGTTTGAGACCAGCCTGGGCAACATGGTGAGATTCCATCTCTATTTTAAAAAAAAAAAAAAAAATCATGTTACAGGAATTCTAGGAATGGACTGTGGGCAGTTGCATGGAGATGGCCTGTAAGAGCTGGCCAACTTTCACAACCTTCAGCTTTATTTTGAAATCTTGCATTGAGATGAATAACCGCTTTTCTTTCTTTTAGGACATAGCTAACCCCAGAGAATATGTTCACATTCATTTTCCATGTGGCACTGCTTCGGTTGAAATTTTTTTTTTTTCTTGAGATGGAGTCTTGCTCTGTCGCCCAGGCTGGAGTGCAGTGGTGCGATCTCAGCTCACTGCAACCTCTGCCTCCTGGGTTGAAGCGATTCTCCTGCCTCAGCCTCCCGAGTAGCTGAGATTACAGGCATGTGCCACCATGCCCAGCTAATTTTTGTATTTTTAATAGAGACAGGGTTTCACTATGTTGGCCAGGATGGTCTCGATCTTCTGACCTCGTGATCCACCTGCCTCGGCCTTCCAAAGTGTTGGGATTACAGGCGTGAGCCACTGCACCCAGCCATTGTCGAAACTTTTCTTTTTCTTTTGAGACAGAGTTTTGTTCTTGTTGCCCAAGCTGGAGTGCAATGTCAGGATCTTTGCTCACTGCAACCTCTGCCTCCCGGGTTCAAGCGATTCTCCTGCCTCAGCCTCCCGAGTAGCTTGTATTACAGGCGTCTGCCACCAAGCCCGGTTAATTTTTGTATTTTTAGTAGAGACAGGCTTTCGCCATGATGGCCAGGCTGGTCTGTAACTCCTGACCTCGTGATCCGCTCGCCTTGGCCTCACAAAGTGCTGGGATTACAGGCATGAGCCACCATGCCCCGTGAGACAAGTTTATTAGAAATGACTCTGGGCTGGGCGTGGTGGCAGGCACCTGTAATCCCAGCTACTTGGGAGGTTGAGGCAGGAGAATCGTGGGAACCTGGGAGGTGGAGGTTGCAGTGAGCGGAGATTGTGCCATTGCACCCCAGCCTGGGCCACTAGAGTGAAACTCCGCCTCAAAAAAACAAAAGAAGAGGCCGAGCACGGTGGCTCATGCCTGTAATCCCAGCACTTTGGGAGGCCGAGGCAGGCAGATCATGAGGTCAGGAGATCAAGACCATCCTGGCTAACACAGTGAAACCCCGTCTCTACTAAAAATATAAAAAATTAGCTGGGCATGGTGACCGGGGCCTGTGGTCCCAGCTACTCGGGAGGCTGAGGCAGGAGAATGGTGTGAACCCGGGAGGCAGAGCTTGTAGTGAGCCAAGATCGCGCCACTGCACTCCAGCCTGGGCGACAGAGCGAGACTCCGTCTCAAAAAAAAAAACAACGAATGATTCTATTACAAAGCGGACGTGCTCAGAGAGCAGGAAGAACTCGCTGTCCTTTGTTAGTGTTTCTGCTTATAAGAAACTACAAGGAATCTCTACACGTAGACCTGAATGTGCAGCTGTGCTCACCGAAGGTTGGGGCTGCTGGTGTTCCCGGTGACCAATCACCTTCAGCCTCAGCCTGCTCACTGGCGCTTTCTCAGTGAAGTGGGCTGCACTCTCCGGAGGTCTGGACATTCTCAGGCCTGCTGGGAAATGTCCTGTATGGCCATAACTATTTTGCAGCTATTTGCATAACTATTTTGCAGTCATAGTTGGTGGTCAGCTTGGGACATAGCTGTTTTCAGCCCCTAAGCATGAACTTTATACTTGCCTTGTGAGTGCCAAGCTAGGGACTATGAGATGGAGTCACTCTGGTCGTGTTTTATGAGGGTGGAGGCCTGGAAAAGGCAGAGCTTCCTCCATCATAACCATCGTGGTGCCCCTGTCTGGGCCGGCTGTGTGCCAGCATCACAGCCCCCGGACCAAGTACTGCTCCATGCACCGATGTCTGTTTTGCAGAATTGGAATCTCAGCTTCCGGAACCGCCCACTCCACCATCAGCCAAGCCGGGACCACTCCATAGTGCCTGGCCCCTGAGCTGTGCCCATGCTCCTGTGTTGAAGACCTGGTTCCCGTGAGGGACCTGGCCCCTCATTTGAACTCTCGGCACCTCATTTCTCTCCTCTGTAAAACGGGGATAGAAGGCCACCTCCCACAGCCCTGACTGCACAGGACATCCTGCTCTGGCCTGGCGGGTGGAGGAAACAGTGGCCGAGCGAGAGGCGCTGACCTCCCAGAGTCGGGAAGCCTGGGCCAACCAGGGAAGACTTCCTGGAAGAGGTGACCGGGGCGGAGACCCAGTGATGCGTCTGCTCCAGGCTAGGGGCTCGGTCCTCTTTTCTGTTTTGACCTCATGGGGGATGGAATTTAGAGCGATGGGAGCAGAAGCCAGCCTCTGAGCTCAGAGCATGGCTACTGCTCTCTGCGAGTGGGTCCTGCTGAGGGATCCTCTGTGGATTATCGGATTAACGTTCAATGCGTCCACACCAGAGGCTGAGCTAGCAAAGCCGGACATCTCTATTTACTCAACTTCTTAAACGCGACGGCCAGTACCCTGACGATTTGGCCATGTGAAAACCAAAGAGAAGAGGTATTTTTTTTTTAAATATGTAGAACAAACAACACCAAAGTTATTTTATTCATTCAAAGTGTGAAAAGGCCAACAATAGCCTGGGGTGGGTGGGGGTGAAGGCACCCTGGCAGCCACCTTCCCTGGCGTCCCTGGCACGGAGCGGTGTCCCTGGCACGGAGCAGCGTCCCTGGCATGGAGCAGCGTGGAGTGGGGTGGGTGTAGGGAGGGGTAAGGTGAGCACGGAAGCGAGGCGCCTGTGAGCGTAGCCAAACGAGGCGCAGAGGAGACCAGAAGGAAAGCCACCCACGGGCTGCGAGATCGCGCAGGGGCGGTGGGAACCAGGGCAGCCTCTTCTCTCCAGGCCTGTTCCCTCCAGGTTCCAGCGTCCCTCTCACCGCAGCCCTTCCTTCTGCTCACGCAAAGCTCCTTGTTCTAATTTGAATTTCAATGGATGTACAAAGGTCAGACCTCAAACCCCTCCTGGTGAACCAGTCACCCAGTCGCTCCCCTGAGCTGGTGGCTTCTCCCTCGGCCCCTGCTTTTCTCCCTCTCCCTCGGCCCCTGCTTTTCCCCCACGTTGGCTGTTTCTCTGGTTTTGGACGTCCCTGCTGCTCGCTGTGCCGTGGACTCTTTCAGGTGCTGGGAAATGTCTTCTGTGTGTTTGTTTGACATCTGCCTCTCAGCTGCCAGTTGGTTCATTCAGTAGAAATCCCCTTCTTTCAGATGAAGTCAGATTTACCAATGCTTTGCAGTGTAGTTTGGTCCCAGGGCCTCGGGGATCTTGCTCCGTTCCCTTTTTTGGTTTCCTCCCCATCTCCACTTTTTCTTTTTTTTTTTTCCCCCGAGATGGAGTCTCCCTCTGTCACCCAGGCTGGAGTGAAGTGGCATGATCTCGGCTCACTGCAACCTCCACCTCCTGGGTTCAAGCGGTTTCCAGCTAATTTTTGTATTTTTGACAGAGACGGGGTTTCGCCATGTTGGCCAGGCTGGTCTCAAACTCCTGACCACAAGTGATCCACCTGACTCGGCCTTCCAGAGTGCTGGGATTACAGGCCTGAGCCACCACGCCCGGCTTTCGTCGCTTTTAAGTGCGTAATTCAGTGGCATTATGTACATTCAGAATGCTGTATAACCATCACCGCTACCCATTTCTAGAAATTTCTCACCTCACACAGACACTGTCCCCATTAAACAATAATTCTCCACTGCTCTGGCTCCCGGTCGCTGCTGTTTTCTTTCCGTCTGTGTCTTCACCTGTTCTGAATGTTTCAAATAAACAGGCTCATACGTTTGCACCCCTCACCCCCGCAATTTTTTTTTTTTTTTTTTTTAGAAAATCTCGCTCTGTTGCCCAGGCTGGAGTGCAATGGCGTGATCTCAACTCACTGCAACCTTCACCTCCTGGGTTCAAGCGATTCTCCTGCCTCAGCCTCCTGAGTAGCTGGGACTACAGGCATGAGCCACTGTGTCTGGTTAATTTTTGTATTTTTAGTAGAGATGGGGTTTCACCACATTGGCCAGGCTGGTCTCGAACTCCTGACCTCAAGTGATCCACTCTCCTGGGCCTCCCAAAGTGCTGGAATTACAGATGTGAGCTGCCGCGCCCATCGGATGTGAGCTGCCGCGCCCGTCCGGCCGGCAAAGTGTTCTCGGGGTTCATCCACATTGTAGCACGTGTCAGAATGTTACTCCCTTTTAGGGCTGAATGATATTTCATTGAATAACTAAAAATAAAATCCTAAGTCCCACACCAACTGAAAGGACCCCCATTTGGCCAAGGGGACCCCAAAGAAAACCTTAAAACAGAGTTCCCAAGCATGATGGGAAGGGAGTCGGGCAGCCTCCTTGTACCCCTCCCTTCTGGAGTTGAGGCTTAACGACCACCCGGCATTCATGTTAAAGTACAGATCGCAAGACTGACAAAGAGACTCTGGCAATAAGATACCAAATTATAAAGGAGGCCTAAGGCCCTGCCGGGCAGAGGTTAGGTCACGCCTGCTTCTCGCCCTCCTGCTACATGGGTCACTGTGACCCAGTGGAGGGGGCGGACTCTGACACAGCGTCCTTACGTGACCTTACACCTTCCTTTTTGGTGGTTCCGAGTTTTAGAGCCTGACTCCTTTAACCAATTACAAGTTAAAGAGAATCTGAATACACCTGGAACACACTCCCCACCCCACTTTGAGATATCCCACCTTTAGCCGGGCACGGTGGCTCACGCCTGTCCTCTCAGCACTTTGGGAGGCCAAGGTGGGCAGATCACCTGAGGTCAGGAGTTCGAGACCAGCCTGGCCAACATGGTGAAACCCCGTCTCTACTAAAAATACAAAAATTAGCCGGGCGTGGTGGCAGGTGCCTGTAATCCCAGCTACTCGGGAGGCTGAGGCAGAAGAATTGCTTGAACCCAGGAGGCAGAGGTTGCAGTGAGCCAAGACTGTGCCATTGCACTCCAGCCTGGGCAACAGAGCAAAACTCCATCTCAAAAAAAAAAAAAAAAAAAGATTGCTCATCTTTTAGGGCTGAACTGATGTACACTGACTTATGTATTTTATGTCTGCCTATAACTGCTGCCTCCCTGGCATGTACAAAACCAAATTTCTAACCTGACAGCTTCAGAATCATACACTTGAGGCTTCCTGGGCTTGTTTTCCCTGGGCTGCAGTTACTCATATTGGCTCAGAAGAAACCTCTTTGAAATATTTCACAGAGGCGGGGCGCAGTGGCTCACGCCTGTATCCCAGCGCTTTGGGAGGCCGAGGCGGGCGGATCACCTGAGGTCAGGAGTTCAAGACCAGCCTGACCAATATGGTGAAACCCTGTCTCTAGTAAAAATACAAAATTAGCCGGGCGTGGTGGTGGGCGCCTGTAATCCCAGCTACTCAGGAGGCTGAGGCAGGAGAATCGCTTGAGCCTGGAAGGCTGAGGAGGCAGTGAGCTGAGATGGTGCCATTGCCCTCCAGCCTGGGTGACAGAGCAAGACCCCGTCTCAAAAAAAATTTTTTTTCCATAGTCTGTTTTTTTCCATGAATAATTGTATGGATGGACCACATTGTGTTTATCTGTCTATCAGTTGATGGACAGGGGTTGTTTCTGCCTTGGCCGTTATGAATAATGCTGCTGGGAACATGGGTGTGTGAGGATCTGTTCAAGTTCCCGTTTTTTATTCTTTTGTTTTGCGGGAATTGCTGGGTCATGTGGTCATTCTATGTTTAACTTTTTGCAGAACCACCAAGCTGTTCTCCACGGAGGCCACACCCTCTAACCTGCTCACCGGCAGCACACGGGGGTTCCTGTCCCGCAGAACCACCAAGCTGTTCTCCACGGAGGCCACACCCTCTAACGTGCTCACCGGCAGCACACGGGGGTTCCTGTCCCTCCACATCCTCATCACAGCTTGTTAAGCTACTAATTTTTATTTTTTGAGATGGAGTCTCGCTCTGTCACCCAGGCTGGAGGGCAGTGGCACCATCTTGGCTCACTGCAACCTCCGCTTCCCGGGTTCAAGCGATTCTCCTGACTCAGCGTCCTGAGTAGCTGGGATTATAGGTGCACGCCACCATACCTGGCTAATTTTTGTATTATTAGTAGAGATGGGATTTTATCATGTTGGCCGGGCTGGTCTCAAACTCCTGACCTCAAGTGATCCGCCCGCCTCAGCCTTCCGAAGTGCTGGGATGACAGGCATGAACTACTGTGCCTAGCCTAATTTTTGTATTTTTAGTAGAGACAGGGTTTTGCCATGTTGGTCAGGCTGGTCTCAAACTCCTGACCTCAGGTGATCTGCCCGCCTCAGCCTCCCAAAGTGCTGGGATTACAGGCATGAGCCACCGGGCCTAGCTGCTATTAATTTTTATATCAGTTTTATTGTGTTAAACTTATGTACAATAAATGCATCCATTTACAGTATACAATTTCAGGCTGGATGCGCTGGCTCACATCTATAATCCCAGCACTTTGCGAGGCCAAGATGGGTGTATCGTTTGAGCCCAGGAGTTCAAGACCAGCCTGGGCAACATAGCGAGACCCCATCTCTACAAAAATTAGCCGGGTACAGTGGCACGCACCTGCAGTCCCAGCTACTTAGGTGGAGGTGGGAGGATCACCTGAGCCCTGGAGGTTGAAGCTACAGTGAGCCGTGATTGTGCCATTGCACTCCAGCCTGGGCGACAGAGCAAGACGCTGCCTCCAAAGAAGAAAATAAAGCATATAATTCAAACAGTCCTGGAAGTTATACACACCCACGAATCCATCACCACAGTCAAGACACAGAGCATTTTCCTCACCTTCCAGAGACTTCCTAGAGTCTCTGCAGTCTGCTCCTCTCTCCTGCTCTTGTTGAGTAGGAATCCTTCATTCTGATGAAGTTGCCCAGCACAGGCAACCACTGATCTGCTTCTTGTCAGAATAGATTAGCTTGCCTTTTAAATTTTTATGTAAGAGGAATCATACCTTATGTACTCTGAGTCTGCCTCTTTCATTGAGCATAATGATTTTGAAATTCATTTATTTTTTTCGTATATGAGATGGTATTGCCCTTTTTATCATTGGGCAGTACACCATAGTGTTAATATGCCATACTTTGTTCATCTATTGATGGAAGTGTGTGTGTATATATATATATATTTTTTTTTTTTAAACCATTTTTGGCTATTGTGAATGGAGCTGCTGTAGATATTCATGCATAAGTCTTTGTGTGAACACGTTTTCATTTCTCTCGGGACATTCCTTAGGAGTGGAATAGCTAAGTGGCATGGTTGGGTATAAGTTTAACTTCTTAATAAAGTGCCAAACAAAACTGCCTGTATCCATTTGCACTCCCACCAGCAGCCTCTGAGAGTTCCAGTTGCTCCACTTCCTTGCCAACACTTGTCATTGTTGGTCCTTAATTTAGTCATTTTAGTGGGTGTGTAATGCGCAGTGTTGCACTGTGGATTTCTCACTGCGGATGGAATTTGCATTTCCTTAATGAGTAATGTCTAGTGGGTGTGTAGTGAGTGGTATCTCCTTGTGGATTTCATTTGCATTTAGTGAGCGGTGATGACGATGAGCCTCTTTTCACATTCAGATTGATCGTGTGTTGTGTATTTTTTGAGACAGGGTTTTCACCCAGGGTGTGGTTATAGCTCACTGCAGCCTCAAACTGGCCTCAAGCTATCCTCCCACCTCCTCCTCCCAAGTAGATGGGACTTCAGGCCTGCGTCACCATGCCTGGCTAGTTTTTAAATTTTTTGCAGAGATGGGGTCCCATTATGTCACCCAGGTTGGCGTGCAGTGGCGTGGTCATAGCTCGCTGCAGCCTCAAACTCCTGGGTCAAGTGATCCTCCCACCTCAGCCTAAAGTGCTGGGACTACAGGCATGCACCATCACACCTGGCTTTTGTATCTTTTTGTGTGTGTGTGCAGTGTCTGTTTAAATCTTTTGCCCATTTTTAAATAACAGCTTTACTGAGAGATAATCCACACTATACAGCTCACCCATTTACCCATTGGAAGTACCGTTCGGGCCCAGTGTGGTGGCTGCAGCCTGAAATCCTAGCATTGGG
This sequence comes from Homo sapiens, assembly GCF_000001405.40. NCBI lineage: Eukaryota > Metazoa > Chordata > Mammalia > Primates > Hominidae > Homo > Homo sapiens. The sequence continues at coordinate 757,203 of NC_000016.10, forward strand.
AGGTCAAGGTGGGCGGATCGCCTGAGGTCAGGAGTTCAAGACCAGTCTGATCAACATGGTGAAACCCCGTCTCTACTAAAAATACAAAAATTAGCTGGGCGTGGTGGCACACGCCTGTAATCCCAGCACTTTGGGAGGCCAAGGCGGGCTGATCACTTGAGGTCAGGAGTTTGAGACCAGCCTGGCCAACATGGTGAAACCCCGTCTCTACTAAAAATACAAAAATTAGCCGGGCGTGGTGGCGGGCGCCTGTAATCCCAGCTACTCCGGTGGCTGAGGCAGAAGAATCGCTTGAACCTGGGAGGCGGAGCTTGCAGTGAGCCGAGATCGAGCCACTGCACTCCATCCTGAGCGACAGAGGGAGACTCATCTCAAAAAAGAAAAGGAAAGAAACTCCATACCCCTTAGAAGTCAGTCCTCCTGACTGGTCTCCCTCCCGCGGGTCTTACGAAACCACTCATCTACTTCCTGTCTCTCTAAATTGACCCACTCTGGACGTTTCATCTAAAGGGACTCGTACGACGTGTCCGTGTTTCCAGGCTCAGCCGCGTTGCAGCACATATGGCCTGGGTTTTACGGGATTGTCTGTCTTATCATTGAACTGCAAATGTTCCTTGTCAATTCTGGGTATATGTCATGCAAATATTTCTCTTATTCTGTGGCTTGGCTCTTTATTTTCTTCACGGCATCATTCAAAGAGCAGCAGTGTCAGTCATGGTTTCTGCCTTCTTTCTTCCATCTAACAGGTCTTTGCCTGTTCCAAGCCCACAAACACTTCCTCTTGAATTTCCTTCTAATGGTTTTATAGTTTCAGCCTTTATACTCAGGCCTATGGTTGGCTTTGAGTAAATTTTGCATATAATATGAGGTAGGAATCTACGTTCTTTCAATCACATAGACACATAGATATGGCCGGGCATGGTGGCTCATGCCTGTAATCCCAGCACTTTGGGAGGCCGAGGTGGGCGGATCACGAGGTCAGGAGATCGAGACCATCCCAGCTAACACGGTGAAACTCCATCTCTACTTAAAAAAAAAAGCCAGGCATGGTGGCGGGCGCTTGTAGTTCCAGCTACTCAGGAGGCCGAGGCAGGAGAATGGCATGAACCTGGGAGGCGGAGGTTGCAGTGAGCGGAGATCGCGCCACTGCACTCCAGCCTGGGCGACAGAGCAAGACTCCGTCTCAGAAAAAAAAAAAATCACACAGATATTCTTATTTTTCTTCTTTCTTTCTTTCTTTTTTTTTTCAGTAGAGACGGGGTTTCATCATGTTGGCCAGGATGGTCTTGATCTCTTGACCTCATGATCCACCTCGGCCTCCCAAAGTGCTGGGATTACAGGCGTGAGCCACCACGCCTGGGCTTTTTTTTTTTTTTTTTTTTTTTTGAGATGGAGTCTCGCTCTGTTGCCCAGGCTGGAGTGCAGTGGTGCCATCTCGGCTCACTGTAAGCTCTGCCTCCCGGGTTCACGCCATTCTCCTGCCTCAGCCTCCCGAGTAGCTGGGACTACAGGCGCCCGCCACCACGCCCGGCTAATTTTTTGTATTTTTAGTAGAGACGGGGTTTCACCGTGTTAGCCAAGATGGTCTCGATCTCCTGACCTCATGATCTGCCTGCCTCGGCCTCCAAAAGTGCTGGGATTACAGGCGTGAGTCACTGCGCCCGGCATTTTTTTTTTTTTTTTTTTTTTTTTTGAGACAGGGTCTTGCTCTGTTGCCCAGGCTGGAGTGCAGTGGCGTGATCTCGACTCACTGCAACCCCTACCTCCTGGGTTCAAGTGATTCTTCTGCCTCAGCCTCCTGAGTAACTAGGATTACAGGCATGTGCCACCACGCCCAGTTAATTTTCATATTTTTAGTAGAAACGGGGTTCCTCCATGTTGGCCAGGCTGGTCTCGAACTCCTGACCTCAGGTGATCCGCCCACCTCGGCCTACCAAAGTGCTGGGATGACAGGCGTGCGCCACCACACAGGGCCTCATTTAAAGATTCTTTATAGAGATGAGGTGTCACTACGTTGCCCAGGCTGGTCTTGAACTTCTGGCCTCAACGGACCCTCCCGCATCGGCCTCCCACGGTGCTGGCTGAAGGGTGAGCCCAGGCTGGCCACAGCGCGTTTTCATCATTGTCCGCAGCTTGCAGTCGGCTGGTTCAGAGCTTAGCCGGGCACATGGGCCCCTCTGAGGCTCCTGTTCAGGGCTCAGCCGTGTCTACGGGGCCCTCCGAGCTCTTCCTGGACCCTCCTCGGCTCCTTCAGTTCAGGGCTCAGCTGGGCACGTGGGCGCCTCCTTGGCTCCTCCGGCTCAGGCCTCTCCTCGAGCTCTGGGCCCTGAGTATTCTGGGCTCCTTCCTTGGTTTCCTTTGGCCTTTGGCCGGGAAAGTTGTGGGTGTCCGTGGCAGCCTGGGCCACTTCACAGCCCCGCAGCCAACCTGCGGCTCCTTCAGAGCAAAGCTGTGTGGACACAAAGGGAACGCCACTCGGAGCTGGCCTCTCCCTTTACCTGTGAGTTCCCGCCCAAGCCGGCTGCCTTCTGTCCCCTCCCCAGAGCCCTTGGGTAACTGGTTTGCTACAAGAGTGTCTGGAATTTTTCAGTTGTTCTCTGCGGAAGGGAGTTTTTAAAAGGCCCTTAATCCCTTCTTGACATTTGTAAGTTGACGCTTACACCTGGCAGCCTTGCTGAATTCTGTGTGCGTGAAGGTCCGATTCCACCGCGAGTCACGATAGAAAACCCACTCTGTGGAGAGACCAGAGATGACCGCCGCGCACACCTCCGTTCAGCACACAAACCTTTGCAGGTGTTCATAGCGGAGGCAGATTCCGTACTGGGGATAAGAGCTCACGACATGCTGGGAGGGGTTTCAGGGGCAGGGAGGGGGCTTCTGTGGCCCCAGGTCAGGAGGAGCAGCTCTTCCATCAGCAGCAGGCAGCCAGCCCAGATGCGTAGGGAAGACAGCTCCCACTTCGCCAGGCCAGAGAGCGCCCGGGGGCAGCTCTGTTCCAGTCGACCCTGCGAGAAAGGGGTGTGCGTGTGCCTGGAGCTGGGCCCCGTCCTGCCTCCCTGACCTGTGTGCTCCCACAGCCCTGAGACGGACGGCTCACAGCCTTGCGAGGCCCACACTGCACTGGGGGTCAGGCTTGTGCTCCCGGGAGTCCTGTCTGGGCTGCGTGGCCACCATCCAGAGCCTGCTGACCTGCGACTGGGGGGGCCAGTGCTCCCTGGGTTTCAGCACCTGAGAATCAGAGTGGGATCCCGTGAAACCTGGGCCCAGGCTCCCACCCACGCCCCACACCCACCCAGGGAAGCCATGAAACCTGGGCCCGGGCTCCTACACATGCCCCACACCCACCCAGGGCAGCCGTGAAACCTGGGCCCGGGCTCCCACCCTCGCCCACCGAGGGCAGCTTTGCCTTCCTGGGCATCCCTCCTCCCCCAGGCCTGGCCCGCTGCCTGTCCAAGGCTCCTGTGCGGGGTCTCCACCCACACATTCCTGGGGCGTGAGGCGCCACCACTCCCTGCTGCCCCGGGCAAAGCCGTCATTTGTTCCCTTTGACGGCCCGGGAGGCTGCCAGGCTCTCCACCCCCACTTCCCAATTGAGGAAACCGAGGCAGAGGAGGCTCAGGTGTGGCCAATCACCCTGCACATCAGAGTTACCCTGGGCAGGGCCCACTGAGACCTGGGAGGGGCCACTCGGGACCTGGAGGGCTGGGGGCTGCCCGGGCGTTAGGGGTAAAGCTCCCTACCCAACTGCGCAGAAGGCCTCAGAGGCCTGGGGGCTGGGCTTCCCCTTTCACATCGCCCTTTAGAGGCCCACGTGTGGGCATTGGCCCGCGATCTGAAAGGGGCTGTCCTGTTCCTCATGGGCGCTGCCAGCGCCACGCACTCCTCTTTCTGCCTGGCCGGCCACTCCCGTCTGCTGTGACGCGCGGACAGAGAGCTACCGGTGGACCCACGGTGCCTCCCTCCCTGGGATCTGTAAGTAACAACCTTTGAGCTCTTCCTGTTGTGGTGTGGATGGAATCTGCACCTTCCATCTGGAGAACTGGGGCCGCCCCAGGCCGGGCTTCCAGCACCAGAGCGATGGTCAGGCTTCAGCTGGACGCAGATTTCACCCCGCAGGGCACACGCAGACCCATTTGTTTGGAAGCGGCAGTCCTAAGGCAGTGCAGGTGCCTCCACGGCCCCAGCCCAGCTCTCCTGCAGGTGTAAAGGATGCAGATTCCAGGGCCCCCCATGGCCTGCAGAGGCCCCTCAGAGCAGGAAGGGCCGGGCTCTCGGGGAGCCCCCATCCCAGGTGCTGAGGTCCTTGGGTCACATGGAGCTGGGGTGGGGAGTGCCCAGGTCCCCTGTGATCCGATGGCCACGTTTCCCTCCTGGCTTCACGCACCCCAAGGGCTGGGGGTCCCACTCACTGCCCATTTTCTGGCTGTGGGGGGGGTCTGTTTTCTTCCACCTTCTCAAGGTGTTCAGAGCCTCAGGGGCCTCCCCACTTCCTCTGGGGCCTGGGGGAGTAGAGTCTGTCACCCGGAGGCTGTGTGCCTCCCCGCGACATTCCCCAGTGGCCGGGCCGACCAGGCAGGCTCTGCCTGTGGATGGGGCTGCTGAGCATGAGCGTGTGACCCCCATTTCTGAGCTGTGGGTGGACCCACCGGGCCTGGGCCAAGGTTTTCAGGAGGCAGCTCTATTCTACTCCGCCATGGTGGCCTCCCTGAAAGGGGTGAGTGTAGAAGCCAGTTCCCTCTTCTGCGAGCCCCACCCCTACCCCAGGAGGACAATTCTTGTTCAGGGAGGGTCTCCCCACCCACTTCCCCACCCCACAGTGGCCCACAGGCCCCACCCTAGAGAGTACAAGGGGCTCCCCAGGCTGCTCACTGGCCCAGCCCCGCCCCACCTGGACTGCACCTGAAAATGGGCTCAGAGAGGCCAAGTGGCCCAAAAAGACGCTGCTGGGTGGGAAGGGGCGGTGGCCTCTGTGCCCGCAGTGCCCCTCCTGCCTCAAGGGTGTTGTCTGCCTGGCAGAGCCTGGGGTGTTCACAAAGCCCAGGCACCTGCAGCTGAGGGCAGGGGAGAGGGAAGGGAGCCACATCCAGGCGACGGGGCTGCTCGTCCTCCTGTGCGAGAGTGGGGAGACTCAGGCCAGCCCAAGTGGGCGGCGGCCCCGGTTGCTTGATCTAAGCTCTGCTCACACTGCCCTGCCCTTCTGGGAGAGGGGTGGGCGCCAACTGACTCCTGGGCTGTCTGGGCTGGGGACCGGGATCTCAGACCCAGCCCCTCCCCTGGACAGGAGGAGCCAGTCCAGGGGACAGAGGGCTCAGTGGCTGGAGGGCAGGGCCAGGGTGCGGACACAAGCTGCAGGTACCACAGAAGTTTGCTCTGGGAGCCCCTCCTGGGCCCATGTGGCCCCAGGCTGGCCCAGGACAGAGGCGTGGGGTGGGAGCAGGGGGTCCCATCCTGAGTCACTGCCCTCCACAGACACAGACCATGGCCTTGCCAACGGCTCGACCCCTGTTGGGGTCCTGTGGGACCCCCGCCCTCGGCAGCCTCCTGTTCCTGCTCTTCAGCCTCGGTGCGTACTTGATGGGGCTGCTGGTGAGGTGGGGACGGCCCAGGGGCCTTGGGGGCCAGGCCCCCAGCAAGGCTTTGCCTGCCCCTGCCTTCTCCCTGGAGTGCCTGTGGTGGCCACGTCTCAGCAGCAGTCTCTGCCCCCAGAGGTGACTGGAGCTGGAGATCCAGCCAGGGAGTGATGGGGCTCAGGACACAGTGGGGATGTCTGTGGGATGGGTGGTCTGACCGGCCAAGCAGCCGGGTCTCAGGGAAAGATGTGGAAGGCCGGGCTCCCTGGTGGAGTCCCGACCCCTGTGCCTGGGGGACTGTGATGTCACGGGGTACATGGGCCTGAGCCACTGGCTTCTCTTTGGGGTGTGCACAGGGCTGGCTGTGGGGGCGGCCAGGCTCTGCCTCCTTCCTCCCCTGGGTCAGGGCACAGCCCAGAGGCCCGCCCCCTCCCCCAAGCTGTCCCCTCTGCCCCTTTAGGATGGGTGCAGCCCTCGAGGACCCTGGCTGGAGAGACAGGGCAGGTAAGGTCCCCTCTGGGGAAACAGGGGAGGGTCTTCAGGTCCCAGGTGGGGGTGCCATGCTGTGTTCTCTCTGTCACGTATCCACGGTGCTTGCCAGTTTCCACGGTCCTTGCTTGCAAAGGGGCACCTGGACCTGCATGTGACTGGCCTGGGAGCAGCCAGGTCCAGGGAGCGGCAGAGCTGAAATTGCAGCTGGGTCTGGGAAGTAGATGGATGAGAAGCAGCCAAGCCCATGGGTCTGAGACACAGCCAGGCCTGGGAAGTAGCTGAACTCGGGGAGTACCTGGCCCAGGGGTAGCGGGACCTGGGAACTCCTGCTCCAGAGAGCTGGTCTGAGCCATGTTCAGCAGGCCCTGTGTCCCCAGGAGGCTGCGCCCCTGGACGGAGTCCTGGCCAACCCACCTAACATTTCCAGGTGGGTCTGGGGTCCTCACAGTCCTCAAGGGTGAGGCTCGAGGGGCCCTCGGGACTGAGGGTGGGCAGGGCACCCCATCCCCCAGCATCCCCTCCCCCTTCCTCCTCTGCTCCACCTCAGATCTGACTGGGCTCAGGACTGCGGGAGGGACTGACACCCCTCAGGTGATGGCAACTCCCGGCCCTTGAGGGCGTCACCTGGTCTTGGGGGGAGGTCTGCAGGGAGCACCAGGGTCCTTTGGGGAGAGGTGGGGCTGTGGGGCTTGGGGAGCACTGGGTGGACATTGCAGGGGAGGGGCGATCGTGGGTGCCCAGCCCGACCCTTCCTGCAGCCTCTCCCCTCGCCAACTCCTTGGCTTCCCGTGTGCGGAGGTGTCCGGCCTGAGCACGGAGCGTGTCCGGGAGCTGGCTGTGGCCTTGGCACAGAAGAATGTCAAGCTCTCAACAGAGCAGGTCAGTCTCAGTTGGGCTGAGGCAGGTGGGCACAGCTGGGGCTGAGGAATTCACAGGCAGCTCTGCAGTGCCCACCTTGCCACCACGGTCCCCTCTGTCCCTGCTGCCATCTCTCCCCGGCCAGTTCTTCCCAGAGTTCCTCTGGCCACCCAAGCTGACCACTGGGGTGCCTGTCCACGTCAGGGGCTGGCTCCCCAGGAGCAAGTCTGATATGACGCTGTGTGCTGGGCCCCCTCCTGGAGCGCCGTGGGCAGCCCTCCAGGCTCTGCCCCAAGGGTGAATCTTTTTCGGGGGAGTGGGTGAGATCTGGGGAAGGGGAGCGGAGCCAGGCACGGGAGCCCCCATCCCCCAGGGCAGCGCTGCAGGCGGCCAGAGATCCACTTCCACAGATTCTCGTGGCCAGGGCAGGGGTGTGTTGTGGTGGGCAGACTGGCCAGGCGACCCTGGCCCACCATGTGAGTGGCGGCTCGAAACGCTCTGTGCTGGACTCCCTGCCCCTGCAGCTGCGCTGTCTGGCTCACCGGCTCTCTGAGCCCCCCGAGGACCTGGACGCCCTCCCATTGGACCTGCTGCTATTCCTCAAGTAGGCCCTGCCCCCTGAACCCACCCCCCCGGCTTTTGCCGCCAGCCCTCAGCCCCCAACCCCCTGCCCCTTGCCTCGGATCCCAGGCCACAGCAGAGATGTGGAGGCCGGCCGGGCTGCCTCTCAGGGTGGGGACGGGTGTGATCAGTGCGGCCTGTCCCCAGCACCCTCTCTTCACAGCCCAGATGCGTTCTCGGGGCCCCAGGCCTGCACCCGTTTCTTCTCCCGCATCACGAAGGCCAATGTGGACCTGCTCCCGAGGGGGGCTCCCGAGCGACAGCGGCTGCTGCCTGCGGCTCTGGCCTGCTGGGTAGGGGCTGGGGCCAGCGCGGGGCGGAGAGGGCTCGGCAGTTCCAAAAGCGCTGAGGCCAGCCTCTCTGCAGGGTGTGCGGGGGTCTCTGCTGAGCGAGGCTGATGTGCGGGCTCTGGGAGGCCTGGCTTGCGACCTGCCTGGGCGCTTTGTGGCCGAGTCGGCCGAAGTGCTGCTACCCCGGCTGGTGAGCTGCCCGGGACCCCTGGACCAGGACCAGCAGGAGGCAGCCAGGGCGGCTCTGCAGGGCGGGGGACCCCCCTACGGGTAAGTGAAGGTGTCTGGAACCTCGAAGGCTCACCTGGCGGCGTGGTATCAGCAGCGTGAGGACACTTGCGGCCATGCCTCAAGGCCCAGGGTCAGTCACCCCCGCCACCACCCCTGCCAATGCCCCCAGCGTCCCCTCCACAGCCAGGGGGTACGGCCTGGCCTCTTCCCTCTCTGGGGCTGCACGTGGGGGGTCCCTGAGCTGTGTCCCGTGTCTGCACAGCCCCCCGTCGACATGGTCTGTCTCCACGATGGACGCTCTGCGGGGCCTGCTGCCCGTGCTGGGCCAGCCCATCATCCGCAGCATCCCGCAGGTGAGACCCCAATCCCCAGCCCGTGGGGATGCCCGGCCACCCGAGGCTCAGCCCAGGTCCTGCTCGTCCTCAGGGCATCGTGGCCGCGTGGCGGCAACGCTCCTCTCGGGACCCATCCTGGCGGCAGCCTGAACGGACCATCCTCCGGCCGCGGTTCCGGCGGGAAGTGGAGAGTGAGTGCCGTGCCCTGCGCAGTCTGGCACCAGGCTGGGCAGCACCCCTGGGGGTGGGCATCACTTTAGGGTCTCACCTGCCCCTCCCTGGCTCTGCAGCACATCCCATTATAATCACAGAGAGTGGACAGAATCCCTGTTTGCCAGTGGGTAAACTGAGGCACAGGGAGGGTCACAAATGGCCCGAGGTCTCATCTCACAGGAGGTGTGGGAGGAAGAAGGGGTCAAACGAACTCCGGCCCTGACCCCTGACCCCTGTGCCCTGCAGAGACAGCCTGTCCTTCAGGCAAGAAGGCCCGCGAGATAGACGAGAGCCTCATCTTCTACAAGAAGTGGGAGCTGGAAGCCTGCGTGGATGCGGCCCTGCTGGCCACCCAGATGGACCGCGTGAACGCCATCCCCTTCACCTACGAGCAGCTGGACGTCCTAAAGCATAAACTGGATGAGGTAGTTCATGACTCAAGTTCCCACCGGCCTGCTGTGTCCAAGCCATCCCCAGCCCCTCTGGGAGTGACATGGGCCCTCCTGGTCTCTTGGCCTGCAGCTCTACCCACAAGGTTACCCCGAGTCTGTGATCCAGCACCTGGGCTACCTCTTCCTCAAGATGAGCCCTGAGGACATTCGCAAGTGGAATGTGACGTCCCTGGAGACCCTGAAGGCTTTGCTTGAAGTCAACAAAGGGCACGAAATGAGTCCTCAGGTGACCGTCCGGCTCGGGGGTCATGTGGCATGAGATTGGGAAGGGCTGAGGGGCAGAGTGGGGGACAAAGCCTGAGGTTGGGCGGGCCTGGGGTCAGGGGCACGGCCTGAGGTTATGCTGGTGGTGGAGGGATACATCTCTCCTTGCCACAAGGCTCCTCGGCGGCCCCTCCCACAGGTGGCCACCCTGATCGACCGCTTTGTGAAGGGAAGGGGCCAGCTAGACAAAGACACCCTAGACACCCTGACCGCCTTCTACCCTGGGTACCTGTGCTCCCTCAGCCCCGAGGAGCTGAGCTCCGTGCCCCCCAGCAGCATCTGGTGAGTCCCCAGAACTCTGCCCGGCAAGGTGGGTCCGTGTGCTGGCGCTCACTGTCCACCCACCGTGTCCCCAGGGCGGTCAGGCCCCAGGACCTGGACACGTGTGACCCAAGGCAGCTGGACGTCCTCTATCCCAAGGCCCGCCTTGCTTTCCAGAACATGAACGGGTCCGAATACTTCGTGAAGATCCAGTCCTTCCTGGGTGAGCCAGGGAGTCCCTGGCCAGGGTGGGCAACACAACGGGGGAAGCACAGACTCCACTCGGGGGTGCCAGGCCTTTGCCTCGCCGGGCCGTCTGCTGCCAGGGTAACTGGGTGGTCACCCGCCCTCTGCCCCCCGGGGTGTGTATGGCCTTAGGGGCTGTGGGTTCTGACCCCAGCTCGGGGCGCCAGCCACCTCCAGGGTCTCCCACGCCTGGGGGTCAGGCGGCTAGGCAAACCCAGGCCCTGGAATCCCTAAGGAAAAAGGGAAGCCCTGTAAGGCAAGTGGGCTTCCTGCAGCCTGTGGTCAAGGGCCTGGGGGTGTGAGGTGAGGCCTCAGCTCGGGCCCCTCTCCCGGCGGGCAGGTGGGGCCCCCACGGAGGATTTGAAGGCGCTCAGTCAGCAGAATGTGAGCATGGACTTGGCCACGTTCATGAAGCTGCGGACGGATGCGGTGCTGGTATGGCGAGCGGGAGGAGGGGCGTGTGGAGGAGGGGCCCGTGGAGGAGGGGCGAGTGGGAGGAGGGGCGCGTGGAGGGGGGGCGTGTGGGGGGGTGCGTGGAGGAGGGGCGCGTGGAGGAGGGGCGCGTGGAGGGGGGAGCGTGGGGGGCGTGGAGGAGGGGCGCGTGGAGGAGGGGCGCGTGGAGGGGGGAGCGTGGGGGGCGTGGAGGAGGGGCGCGTGGAGGGGGGAGTGTGGGGGGGCGTGGAGGAGGAGGGGCGCATGGGGGGGTGTGGAGGGGGGCGCGTGGAGGAGGGGCGCGTGGAGGGGGGAGCGTGGGGGGCGTGGAGGAGGGGCGCGTGGAGGGGGGCGCGTGGGGGGGGCGCATGGGGGGGCGTGGAGGGGGGTGCGTGGAGGAGGGGCGCGTGGAGGAGGAGGGGCGCATGGGGGGGTGTGGAGGGGGGCGCGTGGAGGGGGCACGTGGAGGGGTCGCGTGGAGGAGGGGCGCGTGGAGGGGGCCGTGTGGGGGGGCGTGGAGGGGGGCGCGTGGAGGAGGAGGGGCGCATGGGGGGGTGTGGAGGGGGGCGCGTGGAGGGGGCGCGTGGAGGAGGGGCACATGGAGGGGGGGGCAAGTGGAGAAGCCCTGGTGGAGGGGCGCATGGAGGAGGGGCCAACGGGGGGTGGGAGGGCGTGTAAGGCGGGTCTGCAGTGGGGCGAGGCCTTAGGAAGGGCAGCATCTTCCCGTGTGGTGGGGCCTAGGGAAGGGCAGCCATTGAGCTGAGGTCAGCTGGCCGGAGACCTCCGAAGTCTGGAGAGGCTGCGGTGGGCATCTGTGGGTGGGGCAGTTTGGACACAGGAGAGCCTGGCAGCCCTCTGGCGGCGCTGAGGGAAGGAGACCCTCCTTGATGGCTGCCCGGGGTCTCTGGCAGCCGTTGACTGTGGCTGAGGTGCAGAAACTTCTGGGACCCCACGTGGAGGGCCTGAAGGCGGAGGAGCGGCACCGCCCGGTGCGGGACTGGATCCTACGGCAGCGGCAGGACGACCTGGACACGCTGGGGCTGGGGCTACAGGGCGGCATCCCCAACGGCTACCTGGTCCTAGACCTCAGCATGCAAGGTGGGCGGGGCGGCCAGGCCAGGGCTGGGGGCAGAGCTGGGGGCGTGGAGGTGGGCGCTCTGAGTCACCCCTCTCTCTGTAGAGGCCCTCTCGGGGACGCCCTGCCTCCTAGGACCTGGACCTGTTCTCACCGTCCTGGCACTGCTCCTAGCCTCCACCCTGGCCTGAGGGCCCCACTCCCTTGCTGGCCCCAGCCCTGCTGGGGATCCCCGCCTGGCCAGGAGCAGGCACGGGTGGTCCCCGTTCCACCCCAAGAGAACTCGCGCTCAGTAAACGGGAACATGCCCCCTGCAGACACGTCTTGTGGCCTCCGAGGACTTTCTGTGACCCCACCAGCGTGGCCCCTCTCCCTCTGGTCTTGCGCCCCCAGGCCAGGTGGGGGCCCTTGGAGGTCTTCCTGACCCTGCTGCCACTGTGCTGAGGGCCAGGCCAGCACTCAGGGTGGCCCCAGGAGCCGGTGGTGGGAGTCCTGTGCCCCTGTCCCCACAGGCTTGGCCCCGGCTAGGACATTCCCGGGCCCCCCTGCTCAGGCCCTGAGCACAGACACAGGCAGGACCACGACCGTGGACTTTATTCATGTCCAGCAGTGAAGTCTGTGGCCCCGGCCCCGGCCCCGGCCCCGGCCCCAGCCCCAACCCCAACCCCAACCCCGGCCCCGGCCCCGGCCCCGGCCCCAGCCCCAGCCCCAGCCCCAGCCCCAGCCCTCCGCAGGGCCCGGGCAGCGTCTTCCGTGGCCCGCCTGGGCCTGTGGTTGTGCGGGAGGCACCTTCTTAGGGCCTGGTCCTCAGTCCAGCTCCCAGGGCCTGGAGGCGGGGATGGGTGGGACGGTCTAGGAGGTGGGGCTTGGGTAGGTTGGCCTGGCCTAGAGCTGGCCCGTCAGCCCAAGTGGGCGTCCAGCTGAATCTAACACCTCTGTTTTTCCTGCACCTGACCCCTGTGAACCCAGCCACCCTGAGGCAACGCTGTCCACAGAAACCAGGATGCAAGTCCCCCAGTGCAGCAGGCACAGGAGGCTGCAAGGCAGGGCCATCGCCAGGGGCAGGTACCCCAGGGGGGCCCACAGGCTGCCTGTAGATGGAACAGGGAGGCCACCATCAGTCCCACCAGACGCTACCCCCATATCCACCCCCTAGAGCCAGACAGGCCTGGGCAGTCCCTCCCTCTGGCTGGGGAGGGTGGGGACAGCCAGCGAGGACACCCACCTGCGGCTGCTCTCCTGGGACCCAACAAAGGTCTCAAAGTTTCCCCTGCTCCCACTTTCTGCTGGTCAGTGGGTTTTAGGAGAGGCAGCTGTATCTCTAACTCAGTGGTCAATGAAGGGTGAAGCAGGGTTGGCCAGCCTCATCCCAGGAGGCAATGGACAAAGCTGGTGGACAGGCCTGTGGGAGTGGCCACGAGGCGGGGACGGGTCTGAGAGGGCCCTGGGCAGAGGGGGCCAAGCCGGAGGGGTGCGGGGGCCATACCTGAGGTGGAGGCCTGGGCATCGTTCGTGGGCAGGCCCGAGGTGTGGACCAGATGGAGCACTTGGTGGGTGGTGCTGGGGGGCCCCCTGGTGCCGTGGGCTGGGCCAGTGGGGCTGGTGGGGCTGGCGTCCAGGCCGAGCTGGCCCAGGGTGGAGCTGTTGAGGCTGCGCAGCCAGGCCCTGACGGTGGGGTGGCTGCGGGCCTTCTGAAGGTCTCCCACGTTGTGGCCCAGCAGCGCAGTCACGTTGCCAACATCCAGGCTCTGCGGAGAGGGGTGGGGCAGAGGGGCCGTGGGGCCAACTTCTGGGCCAGGGGAAGACCCACAGGGTAGGGCCAGACCCAGGATGGGGCAGATGGCGGGAGTGAGGCCCAGAAACGGCCTGGAGGAGGGAAGTGGGGGTATGCTGGCTGTGACCTGTGACCTAGGGGCTCCCCTGCCTGGGACAGCCCTGCACCCCCACCCCCACCCCCACCCCCACCCCCACGGGGTAGCCCAGCCCCACCTGCAGCTCGAGGGGGTTCAGGCTGGTGAAGGTGTCGATGTCCATGGAGATGTTGGCGTGGGCCAGGTGCCGCAGCTCCTCCACCGGGGCGCCGCCTGGGGGGACGGGTGAGGGGGGCTGGGCTCCACCAGGGGAGCCGCCTGGGGGGACGGGGTGAGGGGGGCTGGGCTCCACCATGGGAGCCGCCTGGGGGGATGGGGTGAGGGGGGCTGGGCTCCACCAGGGAAGCTGCCTGGGGGGACGGGGTGAGGGGGGTGGGGCTTCTGGGGGAGGGGTGCCCACCCATGGACAGGGCTCACCGAGGTAGGGGCGCATGAGGCGGTAGTAGGCAGCTAGGGTCCCGCTGCTGCCGAAGGTCTCATGGGCCTTGGTGTAGAGCACGTCCTTCCGGCTCTGGGGGCAGGAGGAGAGGTCCAGGGCCCCGGCCAGCCTGTGGGAGGCGGGAGGCTGAGGAGTTGGTCGCCAGCCCCCCACCCTTCCAACGCTGGGCATGGCCCTCCCTTCCCAAGCCACAGCTTTCCTCTCACCCTCTGTCCTGGGGGAACAGGGTCCCCCAAATTCACATCCACCCAGAACCTCAGAATGTGACCTTGTTGGGAAACAGGGTCATTGCAGATGGGTAAGATGAGGTCAGACTGGATCAGGTGGGCCCTAAACCAATGACTGGAGGCCTTCTAAGAACAGGGAAAGCTGAGGGCTGGGTGCGGTGCTCTCACCTGTCATCCCAGCACTCTGGGAGGCCTGGGCAGGTGGATCACGAGGTCAGGAGATCGAGACCAGCCTGGCCAACATGGTGAAGCCCCGTCTCTACTAAAAATACAGAAATTAGCTGGGCGTGGTGGGCGCCTGTAGTCCCAGCTACTTGGGACGCTGAGGCAGGAGAATTGCTTGAATCCAGGAGACAAGAGAGAGGTTGCAGTGAGCCGAGATCACGCCACTTAACTCCAGCCTAGGTGGCAGAGTGAGACTCCATCTCAAAAATAAGCAAACAAACAAAAAAGGGAAATCTGAGGCTGGGCGTGGAGGCTCACGCCTGTAAATCCCAGCACTTTGGGAGGCTGAGGCAAGAGGATTGCTCTGAATCCAGGAGTTTGAGACCAGCCTGGGCAACATAGTGAGACCCTGTCTCTTAAAAAAAAAGAATACGAAATGTGGACACAGACGGGGGAGAGCGCAGCGTGAGGATGGAGGCAGAGCTGGGGTTGATGTATCCATAAGCCCAGGGGCGCCAAACCTTGTCAGCAATGCCAGAAGCTGGAGGAGGCAGGAAGGGTCCTCCCTGCAGGGTTCAGAGGGGGCGGGGACTGCCAGCACCCTGATTTCAGACCTCTGGCCTCCAGAACTGAGAGAATATATTTATCTTTAAAATTACCCAATTTGGCCAGGTGCAGTGGCTCACACCTGTTATCCCAGTGCTTTGGGAGACCGAGGAGGGTGAATCGCTTGAGGTCAGGAGTTCCAGACCAGCCTGGCCAACATGGTGAAAACTCATCTTTACTAAAAATACAAAAATTAGCCAGACATGGTGGTGGGTGCCTATAATCCCAGTTACTCGGGAGGCTGAGGTGGGAGGATTGCTTAAGCCCAGGGGGCAGAGGTGGCAGTGAGCTGAGATCGCGCCACTGCACTCCAGCCTGGGTGACATAGTGAGACTGCCTCAAAAAATAAATAAATAGGCCAGGCGCGGTGGCTCACGCCTGTAATCCCAGCACTTTGGGAGGCCGAGGCGGGCGGATCACAAGGTCAGGAGATTGAGACCATCCTGGCTAACACGGTGAAACCCCGTCTCTACTAAAAATACAAAAAATTAGCCGGGCGTGGTGGCGGGCGCCTGTAGCCCCAGCTACTCGGGAGGCTGAGGCAGGAGAATGGCGTGAACCCGGGAGGCGGAGCTTGCAGTGAGCCGAGATCATGCCACTGCACTCCAGCCTGGGTGACAGAGCGAGACTCCGTCTCAAAAAATGAATAAAGTCACCCAGTTTGTGTACTTTGCTCAAAGCTAGAGTCCAGCCAGGGCAGCCCTGGGACTAATGCACCCCTGATGGCCTGGCTGAGCTGCACTCCCTGGCCTCAGTTTCCCCTCGCGGTCCTCCTTGGCTGAGGCGGGAGCTGCCTCCGAGGCAGTGGGGGGTTGGGGTTGGGTTTGGCTCACCGGAGCTCCTGGGGATGGATGGTCTGGATCTGGTGAGGACTCATCCAGCACAGGCGGGTGCCCCCGATGGCCAGCAGCAGGGCACCGGAGACTGTGCCATTGTGCTCCAGAAACTTCTGCAGCACAGCCTGGGGGCAGAGCCCGGGTCAGTGGGGCAGGCTGGGGCCTGGGGCCACCCACCTGCCCGCCCACCCAGGTGCCCTCACCTCTGTCTGGTTCTCCAGGGCCACGTCGGAGGCCAGCAGAGCCATGACCGTGTCCTGGGAGGTGATGCTCCACTGGCCGATCTCGGTGCGGGAGTAGAGGTAGACCAGCGAGGTGATGAGCCGCAGCTGATCCTCCGGGAGGCCTTGTGGGTAGATCTGAGCAGGTGGGCAGGGCTAGGCAGGGTCAGCAGAGGTGCCGCGCCCACCGGCCTCCCTGTCCCCACAGCCCAGCCGTGCACCTGTGCGAGCTTGGCCTTGACCACATGCTGGCACTCAGTGGGCAGCAGGTGCTGCAACAGGGTGTCCAGGTTGGTTCTGAGGATGCAGCCATCCAGGCAGGACTCAAGCTCTGCACAGTCGTAGTGCACCAGGAAGAGGTCGTCCCGCAGCGTGGCGGCCGTGATGTTGCCTCAGACACAGGGTCCCCCTGGGGGGTGTGTGGGGTCCAGGCTGGTAACCGGGGCCTGGGCCAACCACCACTGCTGGCTCTGGGCGCCTTTTTTTTTTTTTTTTTTTTTTTTGTGAGAGAGTCTTGCTCTGTTGCCTAGCAGCAGGGTGCCAAAGGCTGGAGAGCAGTGGCATTGATCTCAGCTCACTGCAACCTCTGCCTCCCGGGTTCAAGTGATTCTCCTGCCTCAGCCTCCCGAGTAGCTGGGATTACAGGTATGCGCCACCATGCCAGCTAATTTTTGTATTTCTAGTAGAGACGGGGTTTCACCGTGTCGGCCAGGCTGGTCTTGAACTCCTGACCTTAAATGAATCATCCCGCCTCGGCCTCCCAAAGTGCTGGGATTACAGGCCTGAGCCACTGTGCCCAGCCCCCTTTTTTTTTTTTTTTTTTTTTAAGGCAGAGTCTCGCTCTGTCGCCCAGGCTGGAATGCAGTGGCACAATCTTGGCTCATTGCAACCTCCACCTCCCAGGTTCAAGCGATTCTCACTCCTCAGCCTCCCGAGTAGCTGGCATTACAGGCATGAGGCACCACGCCCGGCTAATTTTTGTGTTTTCAGTAGAGATGGGGTTTCCCCATGTTGGCCAGGCTGGTCTCGAACTATGGACCTCAAGTGATGTGCCTGCCTTGGCCTCCCAAAGTGCTGGGATTACAGGTGTGAGCCACCGTGCCCGGCCCAGGCCCCCTCTTTGACCCCTTCCCCTCCACTTCTGACCTTGGTCAGACCTTGGCTTTCCCTGAGTTCTAACCAAGAACTTGTCCAAACTACTTCTCTGAAGTCAGCCAGGCCCGAGGGAAAAGCTGGACCGGTGAGGTGCAGGGTCGCAGGCCTCAGTGGCCATCCTGACCTGTGCTGAGCCTGGGCCTGGAGGACACTGGTTTGGTCTTGGACTCCAGGAAGCTGGTGACGAAGCACCTGGCCTCGCGCTGGCCGAGCCTTCCCACCTGGCACGAAGCCACCACGCTGCGGAAGAAGCCCAGGCCCACGGCCTGGCGGGGCAGGTGTGGGCTGAGGTTGGTGGCCCAGGTCCCCGTGCCACGGCCCGCTTGTGCCCACCCCGGGGCCCCCTCCTACCTCCTGCACCTGCGCCCACAGGTGAGGGCTGATGTATGTGGCCAGGGGCCCCAGGGCCTGTAGCCCCTCCAGTGTCCAGGAGCCAGGGGGCCTTGTGCACAGAATGGGGCGCAGTGTTGGGTCCAGGGCAGGCCCCCCGCCCTGGGAGCCCCTGCCCCTCTGTGGACACCCAGCAGGCCGGAGGAGCACCCAGTAGGTGCTTGACCACCCAGCCCCCGACTGGCACCCACGAGAGGGATGCCCCCACCACAGCCAGCGGGACAGCACCCCAACCCTCTGCCCCCTCGGCCGCAGGACCCAGTGAGGCTGAGGCCAGAGGTCAGATGTCAGTGGGCTGCGGACATCGGTGACCTCTTGGGCCGACCCCGGGCTGCCTCCCGTCTCGTCCCCGCCTCCTTGCCCAGCCCTGTGACCCCACCCACCCGAGCGAGGTCTTCCCACCGGCCAGCAGTGAGTTAAGGGCAATGCGCTGGGCAGCGGTCAGCCGGGGGCAGCGCCGCAGGTTCTCCAGCATGTGGGGGTCTGCGGCACCGATGCTGGACGCGTCCATGTCACACACCAGGGCCCCGAGCAGTTGCTGGTCGGAGGCGCTGAGTCGCAGGCGGGCCACCCCCTGCAGGGCCAGCAGGTCGGCGCCCAGCGGGAGGCTGCCTCCAATGCACCGGGCCCATCCTGCCCAGGCGCCCACCAGACAGGCCACAGCCACCCCCCACACGCTCCGGCCCACCCCACCCAGCGCCCACCAGGCAGGCCACAGCCGCACGCCACAGGGCGACCCTCTGGTCGGGTAGATGGCTCAGC
The DNA here is from genome assembly GCF_000001405.40 of Homo sapiens. Lineage (NCBI taxonomy): Eukaryota > Metazoa > Chordata > Mammalia > Primates > Hominidae > Homo > Homo sapiens. The sequence goes on from NC_000016.10 coordinate 775,215, forward strand.
AGCTCCACGTCCCCCTGGGCGGCACGGCGGATGAAGGCCCGGCAGTCGGCTTCCCGCACCTGGCTCAGGCTACAGGTGAGTGTGAGGCTGTCAGGCCGACTGGGGGTGGGGCCGGACCTCCCAGCAGCCCTGAGATGCCCCTGGGGCTTTGAGGGCCCCCAGGACTCCTGTGGCCGGGTGGCCGGGCAGGGAGGGGCACTCACTTGTAGAAGAGCAGCAGGTTGGGTGGGTGGAGCGTGAAGTCGTCCTGGAGGCCGCACCGTGACGCCAGGTTGGCCAAGCAGCTGAGCTGGGCAGAACGGCGCTCCCTCGTGACTCTGGACTCGCCGTGGCAGCCCGTGGGCGCCCTTCCCCTCTGCGGAGGCCTCAGGCCCCAGTCCCCACCCACTTCTCGGCCCCGTTTCCCACATGTCGGGTCATCCCCACGGCCACCCGTGCCTGCCCCTCTGCCTGGAGGGGAACCCCGCACAGCAGAACAGGCCTCCAAACGGCCGCCCCCAGCCCCAAAGCCGCCTCCTCACTGACGGGGTGTTAAAGCACACGTCCGGATGCTGGGCGGGTGTAGACGATTGCCTGTCTCCACCAAGGAGGCCCCACGACGCTGGGGTTGGGGGTCTCCTCCAGCACAGCCCCTTGGCAGCTTCCCAAGTGGACTCTGGGTGGTGCCCCTCGGCTCCACCTGACAGCCTCCTCCTGGCATCGGGGCTCTGCCAGGCCCGGCCTCCACCCCCCACCCCATGCTCCCTGAGGCTCTGCTTGCCCCTCTCAGCCTATGCAGCACGCTGCCCAGCCTCAGCGCCCCCTGCCTAGGCTTGTCTAGCCTGGCCTTTGGGGTCATTTCAAGGGTTTTTAGCCCTTTGCTCAGAGGGCCCTTTGCCTGATTTTATGTCAAGCAAGCCCTTGGGACGTACGGTGCATAAGGCGAGGGGCTCCGAGGCAGACAAGGACAGCCCCAGAGTTTTGTGCGGCCCTCACCAGGGTCTCATCCCTGAGGAGGAGCCCACCCAGGGTGGGGGCTCGGGGACCCTCCTGCAGCCTGAAAGGAGCCCCGGGGAATGGAGCAGGGGCTGCCAGCCTCCTGCAGCGCAAGGTCCTCCTGGCTGAGAGGGAGGGGAAGAAAAACTCTTACCCACAAACACCCAGAACGCCTGTGAGCTGGAACAGAATGTTCAGCCTGTTTGATTATCAAAAGAAAGGCCAAAAGCAGGCCAGGTGTGGTGGCCCATGCCTGTAATCCCAGCACTTTGGGAGGCTGAGGAGGGCTGATCACTGGAGCTCAGGAGTTCGAGACCAGCCTGGCCAACATAGTGAGACCCCTGTTTCTAAAAAGAATCACAAAGTTAGGCCGGACGCCGTGGCTCATGCCTGTAATCCCAGCAGTTTGGGAGGCCGAGGCGGGCGGATCACCTGAGGCCAGTCTGAGACCAGCCTGCCCAATATGGTGAAACCTCGTCTCTAGTAAAAATACAAAAATATTAGCTGGGCGTGGTGGCGGCCGCCTGTAGTCTCAGCTACTTGGAAAGCTGAGGCAGGAGAACCACTTGAACCCGGAAGACAGAGGTTGCAGTGAGCTGAGATCGTGCCACTGCACTCCAGCCTGGGTGACAGAGAGAGACTCCATCTCAAAAAACAAAAACAAAAACAACTGTCCCAGCTACTGGGGAGGCTGAGGTGGGAGGATGGCTTGAATCTGGGAGTTGAGGTTGCAATGAGCTGAGATGGTGCCACTGCTCTCCAGTCTGGACAATAGAGTGCGATCTTATCTCAAAAAATAAGTACCATAATAAAATTTTATATGTTTTAAAGAAGAGAAAGGCCAGGTGCGGTGGCTCATGGCTGTAATCCCAGTACTTTGTGAGGCCGAGACGGGCGGGTCACTTGAGGCCAGGAGTTTGAGACCAGCCTGGGCAACATGGTGAAACCTCGTCTGTATTAAAAATTCAAAAATTAGCTGGGCGTGGTATCACGCGCCTGCAATCCCAGCTATCTGGGAGGAGGCTGAGGCAGGAGAATTGTTTGAATCCGGGAGGCAGAGGTTGCAGTGAGCCGAGATCGTGCCACTGCACTCCAGCCTGGGTGACAGAGTGAGACTCTGTCTCAAAAATAAATAAATAGGCTGGGCATGGTGGCTCAAGCCTGTAATCCCAGCACTTTGGGAGGCCGAGGTGGGCGAATCACGAGGTCAGAAGATCGAGACCATCCTGGCTAACGTCGTGAAACCTTGTCTCTACTAAAAATAGAAAAAATTAGCCGAGCGTGGTGGCGGGCGCCTGTAGTTCCAGCTACTCAGGAAGCTGAGGCAGGAGAATGGCATGAACCTGGGAGGCAGAGTTTGCAGTAAGCCGAGATCGCAGCACTGAACTCCAGCCTGGGCGACAGAGCGAGACTTTGTCTCAAAGAAAAAAAAAAATAAATAAATAAATAAATAAAAGAGAAAAAAAGACTGTGGCAATAAGATACCAAATTATAAATGAGACCTACGGCCGTGCCAGGCAGAGGGGAGGTGGTGCCTGCTGGCTGTCCCTCTGTCCCTCCTGTGGCCTCCTTGTCTGAGTTGAAAGCATTCCCTATTGCTGAGTCCATGTTTTACACAGGGCTTTATTCCTTTAACCGGTTACAAACGAAAGAGTCTCTGAATCCACCTATGACTTATAAGCCCCCAATTTGAGATATCCTGCCTTTTCAGGGAGAACGGGCTGATATCTGCCTACCCCGTGTTCCCTGCCTCTTTGCCTGTAACTCCTGCTTCCTGGATGCCTAGAAAACCAGCCTGCAACCCGCCGGCCTCAGGGCGCTCACACCTCTTGAGTCTGTTTCCTCGGGCCGGGATCACTCATACCGCTCAGATAACTCTAAACTATGTCACTGTGTGGTTTTCCCGTGAAGGGGTGGAGGTCTTTCTGCCTTTCCCTTTTCCTGGACGGCCCCGCACAGGCCAGGATCCTGCAGCCCGTGCAGGGAGAAGCCTGTGGGCTGTAAAATCCGCTCTGGGGGCCCCGAGTATGCACCCCAAGTTGGGCACCATTCCCCGCGGAGGTGGGTGGGGAGGGGAGGGTGAACCCTCGTCCTCACTGGGGACACAGTGGGGAGCATCTGCAGGCAAATTGGCTACAACGTCCTGGAATTAGATAAGCCTGGGCTGCACCCGAAAGTCACCCTGCCTCCTGGTGGACCTCCCGTCCTGGGGGGCCGCAGAGACACACTCCAGGTGGCTCTGAAGTTGGTGGGTTGGCTTCCACACAGCCCTCCTGCTCTAGGGGGCCACACACCCTGTCCCGACCGTGGTCACACTGGGTTGTGCCCCAGCTCTCGCTTAGCCGTCCTTCGCCTCTCACACCTGAGCCCATGTGCCCTTCCCTATCCGGGCCCATCCCTCAGAGCCTGGCCTCGGTCACCCGCCCACCCACTCACACTCCTTCCCGCTCACCTGCCAGGCCTGGAGGGGGACCTGCAGCAAGGCCAGCCTCTGGATTAGGGCTGAGAGCTGGTCCCGGGGCAGCTGGCTGGCCGGCTGGCACCAGAAGCCTTGCAGCAGGGAGCAGTTGGCACTGGGCAGAGAGGAGGAGACAGGGGCAGGGAGGGTCCAGGAGGGGTGGAAGCAGCTGAGGGGGGCTGCCTAGCAGAAGGGCATGGGCCGCACGCAGCCTGCAGGACCAAGGTCTGACTCCACCGCTCCCCAGCACTGAAGGAGGGAGAGTGGGAGGTGGTGCCCCGGACACAGGCAAGGTCCTGCTTCACTCACTCACTCATTCACTCATTGACTCATTCATTCATTCACTCATTCATTCACTCACTCACTCATTCACTCACTCACTCATTCACTCACTCATTCACTCATTCATTCACACACTCATTTTTACTCATTCACTCATTTTCACTCACTCATTCACTCATTCATTCACTCATTCACTCATTTTTACTCATTTTCACTCATTCACTCATTTTCACTCATTCACTCACTCTTTACTCATTTTACTCATTCATTCACTCACTCATTTTCACTTATTCATTCATTTACCCACTCACTCATTCACTCATTTTCACTCACTCGTTCACTCATTTTTCACTCATTCATTCACTCATTCATTCGGTCACTCATTCACTCATTCACTCACTCACTCATTCATTCATTCTGTCTTTCATTCATTCTCTCCAGAACACCCTGTGGGGCCAGGCTCTGGGCTGCACACAGAGCCTTATGTGTGGCCCCTGCCTAGACCCTGGGACAGCACTTCCTCCTGAGGCTGGGTCCCAGCCGGCCGGGAGCTCAGGTGGCTCCCTGAACATCCCCGCTGGCTGCTGAGGCACCTGAGGAGGAGACACCCCCACCCAGGGCTTTGGCACCTGCTGGGCAGCCCCGGGGAAGCCGTCTCCCCAGCCTTCCTTGTGGTGTGAGTCTAATCCAGTCCAACACAGAGCGGGCCTTGTGCCACTCAGGACCCCAGCCCTGCCTCACAGACGCCCTGGTTAGTCAACTGACCAGCCTGTCACTGTCACTAACTCTGAAGGATGGGGAGGAGGGCCGAGCCCAGCATGAGGTTCCAGGCAGTGCGGGGAACCAGAGTGTCCTCTGGGGTGGGCAGAGGCGGCAGGGCCTGACGGTTGAGGCCTCGGCAGTGGCTGAAGGACCCACACCCGGCTATGTAGATCCAAAGCTGGACACTGGACGCTGAGTCATCTCAGGGCCCCCCAAGGTGGAGCAAGAGATGACAGCCTCAGCGTGCAGACTGCTGGCGGCCAGCCCCAGACCCCTCCCCATCCCCTCGTCTGACCCCTCCCCTGGCCTGACCAAGAAGCAGACCCCTACTGCAGGAGGGCTGCACTCACCTGGCCCACAGGTTGGCCCCGCTGGCATCCAGCCCTCCTGGGGAAAGAACCTTGGCCTGGGGCCCAGAGCAGTGGGCAGCAAGGGACAGCAGGAGGGTGAGGCCTGAGCTCTGCAGGGCACCTGGAATAAGGTGGGCTGTGAGGGTCCCGGCGGGAGCAGGGGCCGGGGCATCCGGGTCCCAGGGTGGACCTGTGACCCCCACCATGGGGGTCTGCTTGAGGCCAGAGGACATGGAGGAACTTCTGGAGCCCCACAGCACTGGCCACCTGTGCACAGCCTGGGCCCAAGCGCAGGACGTGTCTGGTGGAGCATGCACAGGCGTGATGCTGTGGGTGCATGCAGGCACGCACATGTAGGTGACAGTGTGCACGTGTAAGTGACAGTGTGCACGGGTAGGTGACAGTATGCACAGGTATACAGCACAGGCATGAGGCTGTGGATGCGTGCGGGCACGCATGTGTAGGTGACAGTGTGCACATGTAGGTGACAGTGTGCACGGGTAGGTGACAGTGTGCACGGGTATACAGCACAGGCATGAGACTGTGGATGCGTGCAGGCACGCATGTGTAGGTGACAGTGTGCACGTGTAGGTGACAGTGTGCACAGGTAGGTGACAGCTGTGTGCACGTGTAGGTGATGGTGTGCACGGGTAGGTTACAGTGTGCATGGGTAGGTGACAGCTGTGTGCACGGGTAGGTGACAGCTGTGTGCACGGGTAGGTGACGGTGTGCACGGGTAGGTGACGGTGTGCACGGGTAGGTGACAGCTGTGTGCACGGGTAGGTGAAAGCTGTGTGCACGGGTAGGTGAAAGCTGTGTGCACAGGGAGGTGACAGTTGTGTGCACAGGGAGGTGACAGCTGTGTGCACGGGTAGGTGACAGTTATGTGCACGGGGAGGTGACAGCTGTGTGCATGGGGAGGTGACGGTGTGCAGAGGTAGGTGACAGCTGTGTGCACGGGGAGGTGACAGCTGTGTGCACGGGTAGGTGAAAGCTGTGTGCACGGGTAGGTGAAAGCTGTGTGCATGGGTAGGTGACAGTGTGCACGGGTAGGTGACAGTTGTGTGCATGACTCTGGCAGCGTGTGCGCATGTCCACCTGTGTTGCACATGTGTGAGATGGCAGGTGCATGTGTGTGAGCTCCTTCTACCTCCCTCCAGACGCCCCATGGCTCTGTGTTCTCACAGTGGAGCCCTGAGACCCCTAAGGCAGCAGAGCTGTGGGGGCAGAAGCCACCTTCAAGGGCCCCGGCTGCTCAGCTCTGCAGTGGGGGTCACGGCAGGGCCTCCCAGCAGGAACTGGGAGCCCAGCCCATGTTCCTGCTTTGGAAACCCAGCCCAGGAAGGGGGTTTGGGTGCAGGGGAGCCCCCTTATCTTGCTGGCCCTGGGGAGACCACGTGGTGAAGTCTCTTCTCCGGCAGGCGTCAAGCAGGGGTTGCCACAGCCCACACAGAAATCTGACCACGGCCTCCTGGGCTGCTGGGGCCCGGCCCACCCCTCTCAGGGAGGGTGAGGCATTGGGCAACCCTGGCCTCAGAGCCCAGCCCTGCCTGTGGCCGGACTGCCCGAGAGAACGCTGTCTCCACTCACCCCCACACCGTTTCCCCAGAAGCCATGTCCAGCTGCCTGGGCCAGGAGTGGCCCCCTCTAGCCAAACTTGCCTGCCCTGCCTCACCCTCCCAGGACCCCCATGCCTGCTGGGGAGGGCTGGGCTCACAGTGCCCTGGCAGCCCGACCCCCGTCCTGCTGCTGCTGGGCAGGGCCCACCTTCTCCTTCCTTGGCTTGGGACAGACCCTCGCTCAGGAGAATGGGGTGGCCAGGGCCCTGGGCACTCCCATGTCTACGGGATGGCTTTGCCATGAGGGCCTGGCACTCTGGAGGCCCCCTTTCTGCATGGAGGTCTCGTCTCACCCACTCTGGGGCCCACGTCTGTGCGGCGGCGTGCACTGGTCATCCTGGCTGAGACGTCCCAGGGCAGGAAGGTGCTGGGGCCAAGGGCAGTGGGTCCAGGACTAGCTGGAGAGGCGTGACAGAGGCGAGACACAGGTGAGACACACAGGTTGGCCCCGCACTGCCTCCCACCCCCTGGGGTGTGGAGAGGGAGGGTGCAGTCTAGGTTCACCCAGGGCAGCGGGGCCAGAGCTGCGCCTCTCCCACCTTCGAGGGGAAAGGATCCCATAAACAGTAAAAGGCAGGAGCAGGGAGCGGGAGCCGGGTGAAACCCTGGGGCCTTTCTTATTGCAGGTCGGGGCCTAGGGGACCCATGGGCTGCTGGGTCTCCAATGAACAGATTTCCAACAAACAGCGAGTCCCCCAGGCAGCCTCGTGCAGCCCTGGCTTCATCCCCACACCCGGCAGCCCTGGCAGCTCCCTTTCCCTCTTTGAGCCCCAGCTGTTGGGCTCTTTCGCTGACATCCAGCCCCCAGTGGCAGCTGGGGTAGCCTCAACCATGCTGGAAATGGAAGCTGCAAGGCCAGGGACCCTAGAGGAGTCCGGTACTGCTGTGGGTCACTGCCTCCTCCTGGAGCCAGCCTGATGGCTTTTGGGCACCTCTGGGCCTCCTGACTGTGGCCCAGGAGGGAGACAGGGAGGCTGCCCCATGCAGAGGCAAATGCAGAGGTTCAGGCCCAGCCACAGGTCCGGGACCGGCCCTGCGGGTGGGCTGGTGGTGGCTCCCGCCAGCGTTTCTCACCTGAGCAGAAACCCTGGGTGTGGTGGAGGGAGGTGCTGCCCAGGCTGTGGGGTGGCTGCTCCTGGCAGGGAGTTGTGGACCAGGTGATCCAGACGCAATCCCAGCCCGCCAAGTGCGTCAGCCGCTACCACTGAGCGCCCGGGTGCAGAGGCGGTGCAGGGCGGGGATGCCGGGGTCCCCGCTCACCTCCATGCCTGGCCTGGCAGGCGGCATGAGACTGCCTCGCCCCGCCCAGTCCCACTCCCACGGTGACGCCCGCCAGGCAGTCCTGTGGGGGAGGCCCGGGCTGTGCCAGGCGATGCACCGCGTCAGCCCCTGGGGACCTCAGGCACAATGGGCACCTACTCCCTTCCCCTAGAGCAAAGGCTGAGCTCACGGCTGGCAGCTGCCCAGCTCACACCCCTCCCCACCCACTGGGGCCCTGCTCTGCAGCGTCTGTGCCCCAGGGGTCATGTCGTGCGCCTGCACCTGAGTCTGCCGTGTTTGCTGGTGCCTGCGTGTGCACAGGTGCCTCTCGGGCCTCCTGGTCTGTGTGCCCGGGAGCACGGACACAGATCCACCATGTGTGCCTCTGCGGGGACATCAGGCAGACGAGTACCCAATGCGGGGGCCAGGAATGGTGACGGCTGCGGCCATTCCGTGGGTGCCGCAGCTCAGAGGTGGGCAGGCAAGAGCACCCAAGTATGCACTGTCGGGCTCCACCAGGCAGGCCAGGGCAGGAGAAGACACAGGAGGGACTTCCCAGCCCACCTGCCAGGCTTCTCCCCTCACTGGGACAGGGTGCTGGGTGACCCAGGCTGAGCCCTGGCCTGGCCCACCTACCCCAGCTCTCATCTTGGGAGAGACTCAGCCCCTGCTTGGCAGGACCTGCAGCTCAGGTTCAGCTGTGGAACCACCACCCCCTGCACCACAGCTATGCTATGGGTGCCCAACAAGCCAGCTCCATGGCCAAGCTGAGACTTGACCCCCGATCTGGGTCTTCTGGAGGCTGACGGCAGGGGAACTGGTAGGTGACTGCTCCCCAGGCCTGCACAAGCCCACAGGAACCCAGGTGCCCCTTTGAGAGCTCTAGGCTGACAACGAGGCACGGGCACCATGAGGGACGGCGCTCAGGCCTGGCTTGTTGATGAGGGTCCGGCTCAGGTCAGGCCTTGAAGGCCCCTTGGCCGGCTGTCAGCTGGGCCAGCCCAGCTGGACACAGCGGCTCCAACAGCTGCTGTTGGGGCAGTGAGGTCGGCAGCCCCCAGTCTAGAGGGGTGGGGCCCCGTGGGGCAGGGTGGGGAGACTGTCCCAGCCAGAGAGGGGAGGCGTGCCTGGCCCTGACTTGGGCTGATTCAGACAAGGACCAGGAGGAGGCCTGGAGATAAGCCAGCCCTGGGGGAGGGGAGGCCGGGGCCAGGTGCCCGAGGGTGGACACGTCCCGGGGCTGGCCAGGGAGGAGCCTCGAGAGTGATGGGCGTGCTGGCCGGGAGGGCTTTGCTGCCGCACTCTGTTGGGGTGGCCGACTGGTGCTACTTGAGGGTTATGCGGTCCCTTCGGATCTGCACCAGCCCCTTCCTTTACAGATGAGGAAACTGAGTCATGGGAGCAGCAGCAGTGAGTCCAGGGCCTGTGGCCTCACCTCAGGGACTCTGGGGCTGGAACCCACGTCTCGGCTGAGGGCACGGTGGCAGCTGCCTCCAGTCGGGCCCCGGTGGGGACTCCGGGTCTGGAACCCGCGTCTCGGCTGAGGACACGGTGGCAGCTGCCTCCGGTCTGGGCCCCGGTGGGGACTCCGGGTCTGGAACCCGCATCTCGGCTGAGGGCACGGTGGCAGCTGCCTCTGGTCCAGGCCCTGCTGCTGTCACCGCTGGGGTCGTAACCAGGGTTTCAGGGCTGGCCCCGGAGCTGGACAGTGGCAGGCAGGGGCCAGGCGGACCTGAGACCAAGTGCTGGCCCATGAGATGCCCCTTCCACAGAGCTCTGAGACTTGGGCTCTACGAAGATCCCTGGCTGGACCAGCTGGGTATTCCCATGGCTCTGGTTGTGGGGGCTGGGGGTTGTCCGGGGCCGGCCCAGGGTCTGTGCCCAGGCCAAAGCTGCACGGTGCTTGCTGTCTGCAGGAGAGGCCGATAGGAGCCTGGACCACTGCGTCTGTCCTGGGTCCTGCTGGGGCCTCAGGGCAGGGAAGAGAGCTAGGAAAGGTCTGGGTGGCCAGACCTGTCCCTTGGAAGCCCCACTTCGGACACGTTCACGGTCATCCTTGGAGCCAGTCACTGAACATTTATTTGGAGTCCCTGGAGCCCTGCTGTAGCCAGGAGCCCAGGTTGTGGCATGGGGGACAGAGGAGGTGGGACCTGGCAGACCCACAGCTCCCAAGCTGGGGTCCCGGAGGCAGAGTGACAATGCATGGCTGTGTGGGAGCCAGGCAGGCGGTGACGTGGCAGAGCTGCCAGCAGGGGCCCAAGAGACTGCAGCAGGTTGGTGCTCACAGTGGATCTGAGGGATGGGCGTGCGTGGCAGGGCCTTGGCCATGGCCCCTGACCAACCCCTGTGCACCAAACACCACACTGAGCTCAGAATCCGGGCAGAGAGGGAACCACTGGTACAGTGAGGCCAAGGCACACGCAGCCGGGCCTGCAGACTCGAGCCCAGCAGGGACCATTAGGTCTCGGGAGGAGGCAGCTGAGGGCGACAGGATCTGCACAGAGCAGTGAGGGGCAGAGGACGCAGGGACCAGATGGGTCTCCCAGGCCAGGTGAGCCCAGAACGGCCCTTCCCAGCCCCTCTAGAGGGTAGGTTGGGGGCAGTAGCTCACCAGGCCCAGGAGCAGCCCATCCTGGAGGCAAAGCCTATCCCAAAACCTGGCCCTGCCTCTTCCTGAGGTGACCTTGAGTCCGTAAAACTGACGCCCCTGGGGTGACGCTTGAGAGCCGGAAGCTGTTCCAGGAGGAGGGAGGGGCCTCGGTTTCTCCCGGGGCATGTGGGCAGGAAGGCCCTCGGGATCCCGCATCAGTCCCACGGCCGCGGTGCGGTCGTCACCTGTGATCACGGCTGCCTGGCGCCCCCTGCCGGCCCCACCTCAGCCCTTCCTCGCAGGCCTGGCCGGGGCAACCCAGTGGGCCTGATGCTGCCTGGCACCTCGAGGCCCCAGAGCCAGTGAGCAGACGCTCGCTCGCCCATCTCCCTAGAGTCCCGCTGTGCAGCTGACACCCCCTGCCCCAGCCCCACGGCTCTCAGCTGTCCGGTTCCAGCGTCCACTCCGACAGCCACTGCAGGCAGGGGCCCCGCTGTGCCTCAGTCTCAGGGGGCTTGGTTGGGGGTGGAGGAGGCCGGCCGGGCCCAGGCAGGAGTGCGGAGGGGCTGCCTGGCCTGGGGCCCCTATCCTCGGGGTCAGGGTCGGGGGTGGCCCGTAAGGCCTGCACGAGCTGGTCCAGCGACTGCAGCAGTGTGTGGGGGCTCCAGCAGGCATCCAGGGAGGGCAGGAAGGGGTCAGGCGTGCAGACCTCCACACACTCGGTGTCCGTGGGGATGCGCAGGTAGAAAGCGTGCAGCATCATTCTGAACGGCCGGTCCTCCCGGCCCGAGACTTCTCCGTAGGTCAGGTCGCCCACCACGGGGTGGCCCAGGGCACTGCAGTGCACGCGCAGCTGGTGTGTCCGGCCTGCGGGATGAGGGCGGTGCCGGATCAAGCTGGGAGCGGGGCCGATCCACACCTATCTCCCTGACCAGGACCCACCTCCCGTCATGACCCCGCTGCAGTCTTGAAGCAGCCTCTTGGGGTGGAACTCTCCCTGTCCCCTGCCATGAGTGAGGATGACAGTATTTAGGACAGAAGATTGTGTTCAGGTCACCACTGGTGAGGACAGGGCCAGGGTGGTGCTCGGTCCTGGAGAATCTAGGCCAGCCAGACCCCCAAGGAATCAGTCAGGAGCCAGCAGGGACCCTGTGTCAGGTGAGAAGCTGAGAGGCTGCAGGGCGTGGAGTTAAGAACGCAGGAGTGCTTGTTGCCAGCTCTGCCCTGATGCTCAGGGTGGCCCAACATAAGCTTCGTGGCCCTGTGCCTCAGTTTCCCTTCTGTCACCACCAGGACACCGCCCACCCCAGACACACCCGTGAGCGGCTTCAGCAGCACTTTGGAGACAGGATCGCCTGCGTACAGCCCGTGTTCCAGAACCACGAGATCTGTGAGGCTTGGCTTTGGGTTCTCACAACCTGGGGCGCAGAAGGCAGGTGTGAGGTTAGTGGGACTGACCCGGGGCCCAGGCCCACCCCAACGCACGATGCCCGCCCGGTGGGTCCCTGCCTGCCCAGGCCCACCCCAACCCACGATGCCCGCCCGGTGGGTCCCTGCCTGCCACACCCTGCGAGCCCTCGATGCACATGGTGTGGGCCCGGCCCTCCGTGCTGTTCCTGCCAATGGCATGGCTGATGGTTACCCGGCTCTCCTGGATGTGCCCCCGCAGCTGCAGGAGAGGGAGAATCGCACGCAGTTCACGGGGCAGCCCAGTGCTGCCGGGGAGCCCACCTAACACCAAGCAACCACGTAGAGCGTGGTGGGAGGCTCTGAGCCAGGGCTGCCCAAGTGGGGTGGGAATCCTGAGTCCCCACGCCCCACCCCAGGACTGACCAGGTCTTACCAATGCCAGGTAAGCCTTGGTCACGCGCCGCTCCTTGAAGCACCTGTACGCGCTGCCGGCGGCTGCCTTGTTTAGGGCCACGCACAGCGCCCCGCTGGTGGAGAAATCCAGCTGGTGGCAGAACCTGGAGTGGGACAGAGTCCAGAGTCTGAGCCACTTTCCTCCACAGACGCCACCGTGGGGCTCCGGCCGCCCCCCCTACCTGAACCCGTAGCAGGTGTCAGGGTCGGCCAGCTCGGGAAAGCGGTACCGCAGCTGCTTCTGCAGGGTCAGAGTCTCCCGCCACGCCTTGCTGTCAATGCGAACGTCCCAGTGCTTGTTGACCACCAGGAAGTCGCGGCTCCGGTACACGATGGACAGGTTCTCCACGCTGCCTGGCTCCATGGCCGGCCTGCCGAGCCACGCGTGGGTGCGTGTGCTGTGAGCACGTGGTGCGCCCCCAGCCCAGCATACAGAGGTACCCGCACCGCCCCACCCGGGCTCCGGTGCGAAGCCACCGAGCCGGGTCCGCAGCCCTACTGTGCACCTGCATCCTCAGTCCCCGAGATCAGTCCCCAGGGCGTCAGCTGGGGAGTCAAGGAGTCAGCCTGCTCCGGGCTGACCTGAAGGGCCCTGCCTGACCTAAGCCTGGAGAAAGAGCCCGTTCCAAACCTGCCCCACAGATCCTCCCCACAGACCCTCCCCTCCAGGGGATGCACGTGAATGCCTCTGCCCGACGGTGGGGGCGGGGAGGGGCTGCAGCACTACCAGGCCCGGCAGCCAGGTCTGCCCGCAGCGCGGGTTAGGGCTGGGGCCTCCTCGCTCCCCGCAGTCCGCGCAGACCCGCGCCCCGCACAGGCCCGGTGGGCAGGCCGACCCTGGCTCCGAGCCCCTCCCGCGCCCACGCCCACGCCAAGACCAACCTGCTGCCGGGCCGTGCAGTCCAGGCCCCCGATGCCGTGCCCGGCGCCGGCTCCAGCCGCGCGCCCGCGCGCTGGCGACCCAGAGACCCTGGAAGCTCCGCTCCGGACGCCTGGCAGCGCTTCCGCCCTGCACCGCTGCGCGCGCAGCCCCGCCCCCCCCCCCGGCCCGCCCCCGGCCCGCCCCCGCCGCGGAAGGGCGGCTGCGGCGGCCAATGGCGAGCTCCCCAGGACAGGACGCGGGGGCTGCGGAGCAGGAACTCGCCCCGCCCACCCCTCGCGCAGCCCCGCCTCCGCCACGCCAACCAATGGCGCGCGCCGCCGGGCACGCCGGCTGCTGATTGGCGGCGCCCGGCACGCTCGGGGCGGGCAGTGCGCGACGGCGGCGGCGGCGCGGGAGGTTCGGAGCGGGAGCTCGGGCTCGCGGACGGTATGGAGGACTACGAGCAGGAGCTGTGCGGCGTCGAGGATGATTTCCACAACCAGTTCGCGGCCGAGCTGGAGGTGCTGGCAGAGCTGGAAGGTGGGGCGCGGCCCCCGGCCGTTGGGGAGGAGCTGCGAAAGCCGGGACAGTGGCGACCTCGGGGAGGGCGTGCCGGGGGCCGAAGGGGCCTCCACGTCGCCGCTGGCGGGATCTGCTGTCTCGGGGCGGCCGCTGACAATCTCCTCTCCCAGCAGGGGCGTCGACTCCGTCGCCCTCCGGGGTCCCCCTGTTCACCGCGGGCCGACCCCCGCGGACGTTCGAGGAGGCCCTTGCCAGAGGGGACGCGGCCTCCAGTCCCGCCCCAGCCGCATCTGTGGGCAGCAGCCAGGGCGGCGCCAGGAAGAGGCAGGTGGACGCCGACCTGCAGCCGGCCGGGTCCCTGCCCCACGGTAGGTTGGCGGCATTGCCCCAGGGCCTCCGGAGTGGGCGCGAGGCTGAGGAGGCCTCTGGTTCCCTGCATGTGTCTCCCCCAGCCCCCAGGATCAAACGGCCTAGGCTGCAGGTGGTCAAGAGGCTGAACTTCAGATCGGAGGAGATGGAGGAGCCGCCCCCTCCCGACTCCTCGCCGACGGACATCACCCCGCCGCCGAGCCCTGAGGACCTCGCAGAGCTTTGGGGCCACGGGTGTGTGGCTTGGACATGGGCGTCCCATCCCATCTGTCCAGTGGGACTCAGATGGAGCCCATCCCGTGCCCTGGATGAGGCCTGGGGGGTGGGGAGGGTTCCATGGCTGAGAGCAGTCTCGGACACCCATATCCAAGGGTGACCCCACGCTTGAGTTTCTGCCACTGAGCCCCGGTCTCTCTCCAGAGTCTCAGAAGCTGCTGCCGACGTGGGTCTCACACGGGCCTCACCAGCTGCCCGCAATCCCGTCCTGAGGCGGCCCCCCATCTTGGAGGACTACGTCCACGTGACATCCACGGAGGGCGTCCGGGCTTATCTGGTGCTGCGTGCTGACCCCATGGCCCCGGGGGTGCAGGTGCGTGGCTGTGGCCTTCCTGCACGGTGGGTGGGCCAGTGCTGCTCAGGAAAGGGTCCTTGGAGCCCCTCACCCCTGCCATTTGCTTAAAGCGGGTCCTGTGCAGAGCCCCAGGGGTGCAGAGGGGGAGGCTGCGTCATGGGGCGTAGACTTAGAGGACACAGCCTCCCCACAGCAGGTTGCTGTCCAGCCTGTTTGTATGGCCTCGGGTGGAGAGGGCCTCCTTGCTTCCCCTCCTGCTTTTGCCCTTTCCTCCTTTCTCCTAAAGCTGCCCCCAATTTCCCTTTGCAGCTGACCCATCTGGATGGCTTCATTCCTTTGGCACCCCTGTCCAGTCTCCCACCCCTCACTGGCCAGCTTACTGGGGTTGTCCCACCCGGGTCCCTGAGCACTGATGGGGGCTGACGTGAATCCTGTGACCTAGGAGGGGCCCAGAGGCAATTGTCCTCCCTTCCCCACAGGGCTCTCTCCTCCACGTCCCATGGCGAGGCGGTGGCCAGCTGGACCTGCTGGGTGTGTCCTTAGCCTCCCTGAAGAAGCAGGTCGACGGCGAGGTAGGGGCTGCGGGTTTGCTGGGGGGCGGTGGCGGGGCCGCCTGAGCCCTCCTGATTCCAGCCTGTTGTTTGCACAGCGGCGGGAGCGGCTGCTTCAGGAGGCCCAGAAGCTTTCAGACACCCTGCACAGGTGACTTGGTTGGCCCTTCCGCCCTGGGGACCCTTGTTGGCTCTTGCACCAACTCCTAGCTCCTAGCGTGTGGGTTGGCATGGTCCCTGCGAGTTGTTTGTGGCTCAGGACGTGGTCCTCTCCAGTCTCAGGTCGGGGGAGGAGGAGGCAGCCCAGCCCTTGGGGGCCCCTGAGGAGGAGCCGACTGACGGTCAAGACGCCTCCAGTCACTGCCTCTGGGTGGATGAGTTTGCACCCCGCCACTACACGGAGCTGCTCAGTGATGACGTGAGGTCTTGTTCTCACTCAAGTGTGGCTGGCTTCCTCTGTTCCCAAGATGGAAGAACCTGGGCCCAGTGATTTTTGCACAGCCAATCCACTGGGCCTCGGAGACGGAGTGGGCTCTGGTTTGCCCTTTTGAGTTGTAGGTGGTGAACTGAGCACAGGGCTGTGTGCTACTGGTCCCCTGTGACCTGTGAGGCAGGCTAGGGGTCCAGGGTGTCACCTGATCCAAGTCTCTGTTCCCTTTCCTACCTTCACAGCAGCTGACACTGGAGTGCCCCTGGGGAGGGCAGGGGCCTCCCAGATGGGTTGTGGCCAGAGCCGTGGGGGTGGAGCCCCTGGTGTGAGCCTTGCGGTCACTCGCTGGCAGGAAGACGGGGGTGGCCATTCATCCTGTGGCTTGGCATCCCATGGGGCATGGGGCTCATGGTGGCAGGTGGACTGTCCGTGCCTGGAGGCGGTGCCCTCAGGCTGTGCTTCCCTTCCCGTCCTTCCCGCAGTTCACCAACCGCTGCCTGCTCAAGTGGCTGAAGTTGTGGGACCTGGTGGTGTTTGGCCACGAGAGGCCTTCCCGGAAGCCCAGGCCCAGTGTTGAGCCGGCCCGGGTCAGCAAGGAGGCCACAGCCCCAGGCAAGTGGAAGAGCCACGAACAGGTGCTGGAGGAGATGCTGGAGGCTGGGCTGGACCCGAGCCAGCGACCGAAGCAGAAGGTGAGCCCCGCTGGCTGTGCCGCCGGGAACAAGCCTGAGGCTTTGCACTCGGCGCCGGCACCCTTGCAGCCTGTTGACTTTCTCCAGGAGCCGTGGGTGTGGTGACGTGTGGGTCTTGGCGTGAAGCGCCATTAGCGTGAGTTAGAACTGGAGCGTTGCAGTAACAACTCGGGGGAAGTCGTTGTCCCTGAAGGGCTCTGCGGCTGGCCAGGATGATCTGGGTGGACGGTGGGTGGTTTCTGGGGGCCAGTCACACTGGTATCAGCTGTGTTTTGTCTGCACGAACTTTGCTTTGTGTAGGTTTTTTTTTCCGTTGCCATCTTGGTGTGTGAAAGTGCTCAATTTTGTTCTTATTTGATGGCTGGAGTGGGGTGGAGGGAGCGCCCAGCCTGTGGGACACATGTGGCAGTCCCTGGCTGCTAGGCCGGGAGCGTCCTGTAGGTGCGGTGCACACTACGCCTTCATCTACCTGGGCTGCAGGTGGCACTGCTCTGTGGGCCCCCGGGGCTGGGGAAGACCACCCTGGCACACGTGATTGCGCGTCACGCGGGGTACTCTGTGGTGGAGATGAACGCCAGGTGAGTGATGTGAGGTCCGTCTCTGGCTCGCCTTCTGTCCTGACGTGTTTGAGTTCTGGTGGCGGACCTGAAACCGGGTGTGGATGTTCCCGTCTTGAGGGTGGTGGGGGCCTGGGTGTGTGGGCCGGGAAAACGTGTCCTTCCTCGGGGTTCACGGGATCGGCAGCAGCCGCGTCATGTGACGGTCTCCACGCAAATGCGGCAGCCCCGGCCTTGGGAGGCTGCCCTGCCAGGGACGCCCACTGCCCTGACGACCCCTGACCTCCCCATTGCAGTGACGACCGTAGCCCGGAGGTCTTCCGCACACGCATCGAGGCGGCCACCCAGATGGAGTCGGTGCTGGGTGCTGGCGGGAAGCCCAACTGCCTGGTCATCGATGAGATCGACGGGGCCCCCGTGGTGGGCTCCTTGATGCCTGGGTAGGTGGGTGGGCGGGCAGGCAGGCGGGCAGCAGGGCCTGGACTCACCGTGTCCTCTGACCTCCCCCAAGGCCGCCATCAACGTCCTCCTGAGCATCCTGAACCGCAAGGGGCCACAGGAGGTGGGGCCACAGGGCCCGGCTGTGCCTTCGGGAGGCGGCCGACGGCGCCGGGCAGAGGGGGGGCTCCTCATGAGGCCCATTATCTGCATTTGCAATGACCAGTGAGTGCATGGGCGGGCGCCACAGTCAGGAGAGGCTCTGGTGCCTGGAGGGAGGGTTCCGGCCCGTCCCTGTGTCCTGGGCTGTGGTGCCAACCCTGGGGTCCCTGGCCCTGCCGCCTCTCCTCAGGTTCGCACCGTCCCTGCGGCAGCTGAAGCAGCAGGCCTTCCTGCTCCACTTCCCGCCGACTCTGCCCTCGAGGCTGGTGCAGCGGCTCCAGGAGGTCGGTGGAGCCCCAGGAGCCGTGTGGCTGATGGCGGGGTTGGGGGCGTGGCCTCGTTCTGGCCCCTGTTTCCCTGCCCCTCCCCATGGAACCCTGGTAACCCCTGAAAGGATGGGGCATACCATCGGGCCCTCCAGCAGCCCTTCTCCACCAGGTCTCCCTGCGGCAGGGCATGAGGGCCGACCCAGGGGTGCTGGCCGCCCTCTGTGAGAAAACTGACAATGACATCCGGGCCTGCATCAACACCCTGCAGGTGGGCGGCCGGCAGGCACCGGGTGGGGTGGGGTGGGGTCAGGAGTTGGCCGCTTCTCATGCCCCCGCCCTATGTCTAGTTCCTGTACAGCCGGGGCCAGCGGGAGCTGAGCGTGCGGGACGTGCAGGCCACACGCGTGGGCCTCAAGGACCAGCGCAGAGGGCTCTTCTCGGTGTGGCAGGAGGTCTTCCAGCTGCCTCGAGCCCAGAGGTAGGCGGTGGCCACAGCCTCGGCCCAGATGCTCACGGTGCCCGGACCTCAGGACGCTAGCCCTGTGTGCAGGCCAGCACTACCTTCGAGGCGGGGACTCAGTGTCCTGAGCCCGCGGTTGCCTGGTCCAGCCTCCAGGGCCCTCCTCAGCCTTTTCCTGGCTTGTTCTCGCCCCTACAGCCTTGGGGGGTCAGCTAGAGAAGCCTCCAGGGCCCCCTGTGGGAAGGACACCCCCAGTGTGGTGGGGCCTCCAGGGCGTCCCTCTCCAGGGCGCCCCTTGACTCAGCTGCTGTCCCAGTTGCACCCTCATTTTTGCCACATTTGGCCTGGGCTGTGGTCTCTGAGCCCCTGCCTGCCCACACTGCTTGGCCTCCCGTGGGCAGGAGCAGCCAGCATGTCTCTGTCCTGACGTGCCATGGGACCCCAGGGGATGCTGGCCTGGTCGTGCTGCAGGATATGGGAGACGCTGGCCTGGGCCTGTGGGATGTGCTGCTCCTGGCCTGGACCCGGAGGGGGACTTTCCCTGGGGTCCCCTAACCCCAGAGGGTCAGGGCAGGGCTCCTCTCAGAGTGGGGCTCCTCGGCTTAAGGGAATGTTTCAGGGGGTTGAGGTCCGGGCGTGTCTTTGGCTGTCTCCACCTGAGCGAGGCAGCAAGGGCCCTGCTGAGAAGAATGAAGTGGGTGGCAGCTCTGATGGGGCCTCTGAGTGTCCCGGGGAGACGGGTGGGGCTGCCTGTGCTTTTAACACGGGTCCATCTAGCTTCAGCACCCCACCTGCAGGCGCCGTGTGGGCCAGGACCCCGCCCTGCCTGCTGACACACTCCTGCTGGGTGACGGGGACGCGGGCTCCCTCACCTCCGCCTCACAGCGATTCTACCGTGTCCTGCATGCCGCTGCCTCTGCGGGCGAGCACGAGAAGGTGGTCCAGGTACCTGTCTTCCACCAAAATGCCTGCCTGGGGCCGCCTGGCTAGGACCTGGGCTGTGCCCCTGCCCCTGCCGGTCCTCCCGTATGGACGGGGAGGCGCTTTGGGGGTGCTGAGAGAGGCAGGTTCGGGAAATGGGGTGCCAGGAAGTCTCTGAGGTGGGGAGCAGGAGCCAGGAGGGTGGGAGGGGCTGCAGGGCACGGGCCGGCAGGCAAGGAGGTAGGGGCGGCCGTCTGACGGGGGAGGTCGCTCTGGTGGCTGCTTGGGACTCTCAGCGGGTTGGGGTGGAGCCCCTGCCGGACAGCCTGGCCTGGGGCTGCGAGGGGCTGGATTCTGGACTTAAGATGCACATGGGGTGGAGAGCAGTGCGGTGAGGGCTTCCTGCCGCCCTGCCCGCGGGAGTCCCCGCCTAAGCTGTCTGCTGACTCTAAGCGGCTTTGGATTAGCAGCTGGGGATCCACAACCAATCCCCAAATCCCAAAAGCCGCGATGTGGAGGGGCAGCGTGGAGCAGCGGCGGGGATAGACTCCCCCACGGAACAGGGGTGGGGACGCCACGGCCTGGACTCTGGTGGGCGGAACTTCCTCAGGCAGTCTAAGGAGGGGCTGAGTGAGGCTGGATCCCTTTGGTTCCTGGAGGCCTCCTGGTGGGTCACCCCCTCGTGTCAGTCTCTGTCAAGTCAGTCTCTGTCAAGCTGTAGCGAGGATGCTCAGGGTGGACCCTCCCCCGACCCCTTGGGCCCAGTGACCCCTTGCTGGTGTGTGCTGCTGCCTCAGACGCCCAGCGTCGTGGGGACCCTTGTGGAGGGTCTGCGAAGCCTCGTGGGGCAGGCGGCAGGCAGGAGTGGAGGGTCTGTGGCGGGAGGTGGAGGGTCCGTGGTGGTGCACCTTCCCTGGGGTGGGCAGGAGCTCAGGGGTTGCCGGCCGCCTGCAGGGCTTGTTTGACAACTTCCTGCGTCTGCGGCTGCGAGACTCCAGCCTGGGTGCTGTGTGTGTGGCCCTCGACTGGCTGGCCTTCGATGACCTGCTGGCGGGGGCTGCTCATCACAGCCAGAGCTTCCAGCTGCTGCGCTACCCACCCTTCCTGCCCGTGGCCTTCCATGTGCTGTTTGCTTCCAGCCACACACCCAGGATCACCTTCCCCAGCAGCCAGCAGGAGGTGTGCTCGTCCCTGCACCACGCCTGCCCCCGGCCCCGTGCCCGCCCCCCTGTGCTGCCCGTGTGGCTGCCCCCGGCCCCGTGCCCGCCCCCCCAAACACACTGCCCGTGTGGCTGCCCCCGGCCCCGTGCCCGCCCCCCCAAACACACTGCCCGTGTGGCTGCCCCCGGCCCCGTGCCCGCCCCCCCAAACACACTGCCCGTGTGGCTGCCCCCGGCCCCGTGCCCGCCCCCCTGTGCTGCCCGTGTGGCTGCCCTGGCCCCACCCACCATTCCCCCCTCGCCCGGGAGGCCCAGGTGACCAGGCCTTGGCTCACCCCCTGCCCCAGGCCCAGAACCGGATGAGCCAGATGAGGAACCTGATCCAGACGCTGGTGTCCGGCATCGCGCCAGCCACGCGCAGCCGGGCCACGCCCCAGGCCCTGCTCCTCGATGCCCTCTGCCTGCTCCTGGACATTCTTGCACCCAAGCTCCGCCCCGTGAGTGCCGTCCCCGGGGTGGGGGATTCCCCGCCTGCTGCCCTCCTGTCCTAGGTGAGCACACATTTGTACAGCCTGCTCAGCTCCCTGTCTGCTGCCTCCCATCCCCTAGGTGAGCACACAGCTGTACAGCACCCGTGAAAAGCAACAGCTGGCCAGCCTGGTGGGCACGATGCTCGCTTACAGCCTGACCTACCGCCAGGAGCGCACGCCCGATGGCCAGTACATCTACAGGCTGGAGCCGTGAGTCCCCCAGTGCCTGGGGTGTGCTCCAGGGTCATGCTCCCCGGCTGTGCTCCATGTTCAGGGCCCGCATGGGGCCAGGAGTCTGAAAGCACGGTCATGGCGTCTGGGGGTGGCGGGCCCCAGCTTATCTTTTGCTCAGATGTAACCGTGAAGGGGGGTCACTTCCAGCTACTTGAGATTGGCTCTGGGACCTGAGTTTTGCTGCAGAGCTGCTCCCAGCCTTAGCACCCCCACATGGAACTGGAGCCGGGGGCCCCGAGAGTGACTGCACTTTCCAACACTCCGTTTCCCGCTGTGGGATGGCCATGGGGGTGGTGGGGGTGAGGCATGGGGCAGTGGCCCCGGGGTCCTGCTGCCCCAGCGACGGCACCAACTTGCAGGACGCTGAGTCACTCTCCGTGGCAGCCATCGGCAGGTTTCATCATCATCCCACGTACACTTGCAGTTGGGGAAACTGAGGCTCGGGGCAGTTAAACCTGGCTGCCGCAGGGTTGGGGTGCGGTGGCACCAGGACTCAGCCCCACATTCCTGCTCTGGCCTTGTGGCTTTTGGGGTTTGCGGTTGGAGTGCCCGGCGGCTCTCTGGCCCTGAGCCTGGCCCCGCTGACCTGCCCTGGTGTCCCCCTGTGCTGAGCAGGAACGTGGAGGAACTCTGCCGCTTCCCTGAGCTGCCTGCCCGCAAGCCCCTCACCTACCAGACGAAGCAGCTCATCGCCCGCGAGATCGAGGTGGAGAAGATGCGGCGGGCGGAGGCTTCTGCCCGGGTAGAGAACAGCCCCCAGGTGAGCCCACCCAGGCTCTGGAGCAGGTTGCAGTCTGGGCGTGCACCATCCCCACTGTATCCCTGTGTGGCCAGATCTCACAATGCCTGCTCCCTACAGGTGGATGGGAGCCCCCCAGGGCTCGAGGGTCTGCTGGGGGGCATTGGGGAGAAAGGGGTGCACCGACCTGCCCCACGCAACCATGAGCAGCGGCTGGAGCACATCATGAGGCGAGCGGCCCGGGAGGAACAGGTGTGGAATGGGCAGCTGTGGGGGTGGGACCAGGGTACATACCTTTGGGGGTGTGGCTAGGGCAGTCATGAGGCGGGGCCAAGGCACCCATGGGGTGGGGCCAGGGTACCTTTGTGGGTGTGGCTAGGGCCCCTCATGAGGCAGGGCCAGGGTACCTTCAGGGCTGTGGCTAGGGCAGTCATGAGGCGGGGCCAGGGTATCTTTAGGGGTGGGGCCAAGGCACCCATGGGGTGGGGCCAGGGTACCTTTGGGGGTGGGGCTGAGCCACAGGAGGAGTCTGGCTGAGGGTGGGGCTGGCTCAGTGCCCTAAGGGGGGCTCTGAAGGACCAGCTCCTTACCCTCAGCATGACCAGGGTTCTACCCAGGCCTCAGTTTCCCATCTGGGCAGAAGAGTGGCTGTATTGGCTCTTCTTGATTGGCACCTGGTGGGGAGCAGATGGCAGTGAGGGGTGAGGGGCAGCTGGCCTGGGCCAGGTTCCGAAAGGTGTCTCAGAGGTGTTCTGGTCCCTCCTCCCTGGGAAGGCTCTCGGTCCTCCTGTCTTGGGTAGGGGCTGGATGGGGCATCTGTCCTATACGACTGACTAGTCCTTCCTCCCATCAGCCTGAGAAGGACTTCTTTGGACGTGTGGTCGTCAGGAGCACAGCAGTCCCGAGTGCAGGTGTGTGTGGGGGTGTTGTGGGGTTGTGGGGGGCCTGGGGGTTGTGGGGGGGCCTTACAGCTGAGGAGCAACCCTGTGGCCCCGCAGGGGACACGGCCCCGGAGCAGGACTCAGTGGAGCGGCGCATGGGCACAGCGGTGGGCAGGAGCGAGGTCTGGTTCCGCTTCAACGAGGGTGTCTCCAACGCCGTGCGGCGCAGCCTGTACATCAGGGACTTGCTCTAGTTCTCTGAGCCGCGGACATGCCCTCGCATTGCTTCCCGCAGAGTGCAGAGACAGGAAGCTGGAGATGTCTTTATAAAGTCACACCTTTACAGACTGTAATCACGTGCGAGTGGAGTGGGGTTCACAGGATGGTGGGAGTGGGGCCGGGCGTGGGCTCATAGGATGGTGTGAGTGGGGCCAGGAGTGGGGCTCACAGGATGGTGGGAGTGGGGCCAGGCGTGGTCTCACAGGATAGAGTGAGTGGGGCCGGGCGTGGTCTCACAGGATGGAGTGAATGGGGCCGGGCACAGTCTTACAAGATGTTGTGAGTGGGGCCGGGAGTGGGGCTCACAGGTTGGTGTGAGTGGGGCTGGGAGTGGGGCTCACAGGATGGAGTGAGTGGGGCCGGGAGTGGGGCTCACAGGATGGTGGGAGTGGGGCTGGGAGTGGGGCTCACAGGATGGTGGGAGTGGGGCTGGAAGTGGGGCTCACAGGATGGTGGGAGTGGGGCTGGGAGTGGGACTCACAGGATGGAGTGAATGGGGCTGGGCATAGTCTTACAAGATGGAGTGAGTGGGGCCGGGAGTGGGGCTCACAGGTTGGTGTGAGTGGGGCCGGGCATGGGCTCACAGGATGGTGGGAGTGGGGCTGGGAGTGGGACTCACAGGATGGAGTGAGTGGGGCTGGGCACAGTCTTACAAGATGGTGGGAGTGGGGCCGGGCGTGGTCTCACAGGATGGTGTGAGAGGGGCCGGGTGCGGGGCTCACAGGATGGTGCATTTGCCCTTTTCCACCCATGGGTTGTTCTTCATCAGGTCGGGGTTCAGGAAGGGGTCCTTGGGGATCCCGTCCTCGATCCACTTCAGCAGCCTGCGGGTGGGCGGGTGGCAGGTGAGTGGTGGCACCTGACCCCCGAGGGCCTCCTGCTGCACCTGCCTGTCGGCGGCGGTGGTCGTGGCTATGGAAATGAGCAGCCAGCGCAGGGCAGACAAATGAGAGGCAAATCAGGCAGGTGGGGCACTCACTCGGGGATGGTCTTGGACGCCATCTCCCGCTGGAAGGCCAGCTGGTACTTGAGGCTCTCCACCTCTTTCTTCATCTGTGGCACGTCCCACTCCTCCATGGGGTCAGGGGCTTCTGAAGCAGCCAGCCTGGGGCTGGAGGGCACAGGAGGAAGCCACAGGGCCGAGGCCACCAGCCTGTAGTCCCCACCCCCGCTGCTCCCCGCAGGCCTGAGCTGAACCCCGCAGGATGAAGCGGGGAGAGTCCACACCACTGCCTGGGCCAGTCCCCTAGGCGTTGCTAGGGTGCAGGGCACAGAGCGAGTTCCCACAAGGCCCCAGCTCCCGCCTCCTGCACTGGGACTAATTAACTGCAAGAAACTTTACATCCTCAGCTACTCCCCCATAGGCCCCCACACCTTACGAAGATCCCTTGCAGGCAGGAGAAAGGGTGCTCAGCACGGCAGGCCCCCAGCTCCTACCCTCCCACTGAGGCCCACGCAGGCTGACCCAGACCACGGTGTGAGGTGTGGGGCGAGGTCCTCAGGAGGTGGCCCCTGCCCCGCCCCGCTGTGTGCCCCTTTGCTTTGCATGGCAGAGCCCAGTCCAGAGCCAGGACTCCTGGACAGGAATGTTCTGCTGCAGTTTGCTTCTCTGGCAGGTGGGGTGTGTGCTCAGGATCTTGGGGGCTCAGGCTATACTACCCGAGTCTGGGATATGGGCTGTGGGTGGCCCCTGGGTCCCCAGTGTGTCTGGGAACCACACACGTTACCTGCGTGCTTTCTGCTTGTGGCCAGCCTGGGAAAGCCACAGGTTGACACCCCTCAGAACTGCCACAAGTTCGAGGCAAGTGGGGGTGGGTTGCCCCCTGCCTCTCCCCCTACCCACTCCAGGGGCCCAGGGAGTCCCTCACTCCGTCCCAACTCTGGCCCCCGTCCCCAAGGTTGGGAGACAGGGCTGAACCTTGGGAGGGTGGGTGGGGGTTGGCGTCAAGTTTCGGGGAGCCTGCCTCTGGCTGTGAAGGGGGCTCCTGGCCCAACAGTCTCCCCATCCTTTGGTCGTGCAGCTGCACCGGCCACCTAGGGAGGGGCCCAGGGCCTGAGGCTGGTGGGGTCCCGGTGGTGAATTGGGCAGACTCCCAGCAGCCAGCAGAGGGTCTGCCCGTAGTGGGGTGGGAGGCCGGGGAGCGAGCGGGGGCAGGTTTCTGGGGGAGTGATCAGGGTCATGCAGAGGATTCCCTCCCGGAGACTCTGGAGTTCCAGCACCCCTACCCGCCCCCATCCCCGGTGCAGGCCTTTTCTCGGAGACCCTACACTCAGCCCCGTGGGCGCAGGACTAGCTGCGTGCGGGTCCTCCCAGGCCCGGGGTGTTGGCGCCCCGCCCACAGCCCAGTCCTTGCTGCCCAGCCCTACCTTCGCGCAGCTGCCGCCAAGCCTGGCCACCCACCCCGTGCACCCCGTGGACGCCCCCAGCCACGGGACTCGGTGGGCACTGCAGGCGGCGCACGGCGCTCAGATGGACACAGCTCCCCCGCACCGCGAGAGCCGCCTCCCTGCCTGCAGCACCGGCTCGGGTTGGGTTTTGCTGCCTGCGGGGCAGCTGCCCTCGCCCCGGGAGTTAGGGTGAGCCCAGGGGACTGACCTGGGCCAGCTGAGAGTCGAGGGGCCTCCGGGCCCTCCCTAGCCCCGGGCGCCTGTTCATCGGACCTACCTTGAAAAGGTGACAGCGGAGGGACAATGACAACGGCCAGGCGACCGCGAGTGAGAGCGAGGGCCAAGTGATGTTCCGGGAGTCCGCCAGGCAGAGCCCTGGCTGTGCCCCGCCCCTCCCGCCACCTGGGCCCTGGCGCCGCCCCCACACCCTCCTCAGGGCTGGGCTGACCCCAGAGATAGCCTGTGCTGCCCCCTCCCCTGGGCTCACCCAGCGGATGGACATGCAGCCAGGGGCCAGTGTGGGGCTGGTCCATTTTCCCTGAGGGGCCAGCTTGGGCCCTGGTGGAGAGGTCTCCTTCCACTTGAGGGGGTGGGTTCCCCCTCCAGTGTCCTGGGCCAGCCGGGAGGAGTGGGGATGGGGCTGGGACCCTTTGCCCTCTGAAGCCTCTGCAGCCTGCAGGGTTCAGGTGACACTCAGCTGTGCCCCCCTGACAGAGGCATCCTGTGTGGGCCATGTGGCTCACCCTGGGATGTGAGCCTCTTACTGCTAGGGGCCCCGGGGCTCTGTGGAGCTCCCTGCTCCAGCCCGATCCCCTGTTCCCAGACCAGTGGCCGGCACGGGGCAGCTCCCGAGGGCAGGAGAGTGCCGTGCTTTTCAGTCTGATCTGAGCTGAGAGTGGCGGCCTGAGGCGTCCCCAACACCGGTCCACTGTGGGTGCTCTGGGGCACGCTGCCTCGGGAGAGGTGCCCCCAGCTGCAGCACTTGGGCTCGGGTTGTGTGACCTCAAGGCTCTGGGGAGAGGGCTTCCCTTTGGGGCTCCGCACCTGTCAGCCTGCAGAGCTGAGACTGGCCCCTTTTCCTCTGACACGTTTCCCCGTGTCTCCTCCCACCCTGCCCTTGGGTGTACCCCTTGGGCTCCTGTGGGAGCTGTGCCCTATGTACCAGCAGGTGACGTACATACCAGGCTGCATCCTAGGTGGGGGCGCCCAGGCAGCAACAGCAGCCTCTGGGGGCACAGGGCCAAGCTCCCCAAACAGTCCCTGCAGAAGCTGGGCCACCCCCGGGGAAGCGTGGGCCAGGCCCTCGGTGGGTGCTGGCAGGGCCAGGGGCCTGTGAGCAGGTCACTCTGCCTTCCCCAGTGTCACAGGGAACCGCCCGGCCTGCCTGGGGTGGCCCAGACCTCTGCAGGGGTTGTCGGGGAGAGGTGGGCCCTGTCCCTCTCAGGCGCTCAGGTCCCTGAAGTCACTCAGCAGGACTCCCTGCCAGTGTGACTCCGTGAATCGGGGCCACCTGCACCTCCCGCCCTGATGTGTGTCGGCTGGATCAGAGGCGCCTCTGGAACTGGGGCACATTAGGGAAGGGATTATTTTTATTATGGATTTGGGGGTGGGGTGGGGCAGCTTAAAGCCCAGGGCACGAGGCCTCCTCCTCAGGGCAGATGGTTGCCCCTCTTGGCATGGTGGGGGCTAGACGTCTCCCTGATCCCAGTGCCCGCCCTGCCCTGCCTGTGCCCCCTGGTGCTGTGACTTCGGATGCACCTTAGTTTCTGGGCTGCTGAGGGCTCTCCCTGTGGCTGGGGGCACCACTTTGGGCGCCAGAGAGTGGAATGGCTGTTAGGGGAGGGGTGTGTGCCACCCCAGGATGCAGGCAAGGCGGGGGGGACCCCAGGGCATGTCCCCCACGTTCCCTGGGACAGCAGGTGGCTTGGAGCCAGGGCCAGGCGGGGGAACACCCTGAGGTCCGCAGCTGAGTTGTGAGAGCTGGGGGTTCTGTGGCCACTCTCAGGACCCCAAGCGGCCTTTGCATCTGCTCATCTGGAAGGACCTAGGAGGTCTCCTAATGGGGTCGCCAAGGCTCCAGGTTCTGGCTTTTGGTCAATTCACTGGACCCAGTAAGGTCCCTGAGGGTGCCTGAGCTCTGTCCAACACGGCCAGTGCCCCCAGTGAATCAGGACACAGGTTGGAGTGTGGTGTGGGCCACCAGGACAGGTGAGACGGGCCGTGGGGTCACGTCCTGGAGTGAGCACTGCCCTGTGGTCCGGGCAGGTCCTGCCAGTCCTCAGCATCTCAGCAGAGAAGTGGCTGTGTGTACCTGCATGGTGGACCCGGCCTGCCTACCTGAGCAGGGTCTGGGTGACCCCCAAGGCCAAGGGCAGGAGGAGGTTGAGGGAAGTGGGGGCAGGGCCAGGGCAAGCTGAGGGTTTTGGGTCTGCTGCAGGCCCATGTCCCAGGCATGTGATGTGGGTCCCGTCTCTCACCCCACTTCTGTGGCGTTTCTGGTCGCTGGGGGGGCACCAGTCAGCCTCGGTGTCGTGTGGACCCCCAGAATCAGAAGCAGGTCCTGTGCTGACCTGGGTGGGTGCAGTAACCTCTGCTCCCGTGTGAGGGGCTGTGAGGTCCCATCCTCAGTAAGACGGGGGTCTTGAAGACTGACTTCGACCTTCCTACCAAGGCTGCACTCGGAAACCCCCAAACACATCCGGGCGCTGACGCCTTGAGCTGGAGTCAGCCTCGGGTCTGGAATCTGCCTCCCCCGGCCCTACAGCTGGACCCGGCTTCAGCGATTCTCATTGGGAGGAATGGCAGCCAGTCCCCCAACGGAGTGACCACAGCCTCCCGAGGCCAGGGGCTCCTTTCTGAAATTAGGCCACTAATTGGGCCGCTGGCTGAGAACACGCAGGGCTCTTTCCGCTGCCCTAGAAATAGCTGTCCCTGGCCCGAGGGGCTCTTGACCCACCAGGCGTGGGGCTGTGCCGCTGGGCCTGGCTTGGGGCAGGAGCATCGAGACCTCCCATTTACAGCCAACCAAGACCGTGGGGGAAGCACAGGAGGCCGGAGGCCCTTCACGCTGACTTTAGGGCTTGGTACCACACTGGCATAGGGGGCTCTGATCCCTTCCTAGCGGGAAGCTGCAGCAGGGTCTCCCGGGACTGGCCTCTCGCTGCGGCCTCAACTCCGAATGGGTGGGGGAGACAGCCCCCGACACCAGTCAACTCTCCGGGGAACAGAGGGATAAAGTGCTGAGCTGGGGACCAAGGACCAGTCCCATCCTCCACCCGCCTGTGCCCTAGGCTCTGCAGAGGGCTCTGGCTGTCCTAGGGGGACCCTGTGGCCTGCAGGACCCAAGCAGCCCGGGGGTGGTGGGTGAATGTGTGTGGAGGACACGCTGACTTCCCTCAGTCCCTGCAAACAAAACTGCAAGCGTGGGGCCTGGGGAAATAACGAAGGCAGCTCCTCACCAAAGAAACTCACTCCGCCTAGTTAACTGGAGCTCACGGCAACGACTTTTCTGTCATCTGTGAAAGTTTCAAAGTGATTTTCAAAAACAATTGAAGCTCTTAAACCCAAGCACAGAAAACACAACGGAAAACTTCAAGGGATGGGGTGGGGGGAGGGGGGAGGGATAGCATTAGGGGATATACCTGATGTTAAAAGACGAGTAAATGGGTGCAGCACACCAACATGGCACATGTATACATATGTAACAAAGCTGCACGTTGTGCACATGTACCCTAAAACTTAAAGTATAATAAAAAAAAAAAACAACTTCAAGGGAGTCCCGGGTGCGTGGCTGTCATCCACACCTGACCTCCATTGTGTAGTCAGGGGCCTGCTGGGGGCTTGGCCGTAGCCACGCTCGCGCTGCAGCCTCGGGGTAGCGTGCCTGCCTTAGCTCGGTTTACTCTGAACAGCTGCAGGTCAGTGCGTGGTTACAGTCGCCGGAGGTTTCCTACTTAAGAGACGCCCGTCTCCTGAAAAGCTAGGTATGTCTTTGCTAACCAGAAGCATGGCCTGAGGCAGGAGGTCCTGGAAGGACAGAAGCAGGCTGGGCGGTGGATCCCCACAGGCTCGGACGCCCTAGCTCCTGGCCTGAGGACTGGAGGTCAGTGTGTCACCAGGAGCAATGCCAGCTGGGCTCCCGGGGATGGGGTGCTGCCCCCATTCGGAACTTGAGTGTGTTTAAGGGGAACCGACGGGCAAAATAACAGCCTGCTGGGTTCAGAGGCCCCCACTGCCGGCTCCACCAAATTACGCTCTTCCAAGAGTACCAGCTCAGAAGTCGCAGATTTTCCAAAAGAGAGACACATTTGCTCAGCCGAGGGTGGTGGGAGGCCTTGAGGCGAGACCTTTCCAAGGTCTGTGGGGGAAGGGAAGGGAGAGTGAGTCGCGCCTTCTGCCCCAGGCCACCCTCCGGTGTGTCGTGGTCCCTGGGGCGGCTTTCCTAGGAGCCCGTGATCCGCAGGGTGGTGGCCAGAGCCGTGCAGCAGCCTGACAGGGCTTCTGGCTTTGGGAGAGTCCCTGCCCACACAGACGGACACTTGCTTTGGGATGACTAGGCTGGGTGCAGTGGCTCACACCTGTCATTCCAGCACTTTGGGAAGCTGAGGCTAGAGGATCCCTTGAGCCTGGAAGGTGGAGGCTGCAGTGAACTGTGATCATGCCACAGCTCACAACAGGGAGACCTTGTCTCAAAAAAAAAAAGGGATGACAAAGGTCCCGTGATTTTGCCTAAGGACACCTAGAAGTTAAGACGGTGTGTTCTGGCCTCTGGCTGTCCCCACGGCTTCATTCAAACATCCCGGGCTGGGTGGCCACCACTGTAAGTGCATCAGGGCCCAAGGACCCGCCTGTACCTCTAACCACAGGACATGCTGTGAATCCAGGTTGGCCTCTAAGACCCTGGATGGGTCACGCCACAGCCCATCAGGGATCCTGGGACCCCCAGTGCAGGGGATGGCCCTGCTGCTGCTTCCGGGGCTAGGGAAACCACAGAATGTCCAGTCTTCCAAATCTGATTGGCAAATGGGTTTGGCAGAGCCTAGCCAGATGCTAGGATGGCCCGAACTGACCAGAAGCCCCCGTGCAGAGGTGGCTGCTGGGGACAGCCAGGTCACCCCAACACGGGTGGGGCAGCTGCACACCCCACTTACCACCCCATGGGTCACAGGCCTCGAACGTGCATCCTGCTACGTGGAGACCAGACCACAGGTGGCCAAGCTCCGTCTCGGGAAATAAGCCTGGGGCCCTGGGCGGCCGGCACTCACTTCCTGGCTATCTCTACCACCCCATGGGGCAGGAAGACACCCGCCTGCATTTCTGAGCTCCCAACCAGCTCAGGAACAGCGCAGCCGCTCGCAAATGCAGTGTGCGAGGTACAGACCGTTCCAGGGCCTGGCCTGCGCCCACAGGGAACTCCTGCCATGCGGGCCCCTTCTCACAAGGGGACACCGCCCACCCCCAACCCCTGGGGCCCAGAGCAGCCCCAGAACAGACACAAGCATCCCAAAAAGGGGGTCACTGGGGTAGATGCACACATCTGGGGACCCTGTGTGTCATCCCAAGTGGGCCATAGCCCTGGGCATCTGGTCTTAGGTCCCAGGGCTTTGCCAGCAGAAGCCTCCAGGTGTGCAGGGTCTGTGCTAGAGGCCTCCAACCGGCCACCATGGGCTGTCCACCCGTGTGGCAGCACCCGGGTCCCTGCAGCGCCTGAGACTCCTCGCACTCAGTGGACAGCAGAGCGCCCCTGAGCAGCCTCGGTATCTGCAGATGCACAAGGCTGGCTGGGGCAGAAGCAGGGGAGGGAGGGGCTCTGAGGAAGGCGCCTGCGTCCCCACAGATCAATCACTTGATGTTTGACATGACCTGCAAACGTTTTATTTGCAAAATACAGAGAGTAGACGACAGGAAGTAGCGGCTTACACCTGTAATCCCAGCACTTATGGAGGCCAAGGCGGGAGGATCCCTTGAGCTCAGGAGTTGGAGACCAGCCTGGACAACAAAGTGAGACCCTGTCTCTACAAAAAAATACAAAAATTAGCTGGGTGTGGTGGTGCGCACCTGTGGTCCCAGCTATTGGAGAGGCTGAGGTGGGAGGATTGCTTGAGCCTGGGAGGTGGAAGCTGCAGTGAGCTGAGATAATGTCACTGCACTCCAGCCTGGGCAACAGAGTGAGACTCTGTCTCAAAAAAAGTTGAGGCCGGGCATGGTGGCTCACATATGTAATCCCAGCACTTTGGGAGGCCAAAGTGGGCAGACCACCTGGCCAACATGGTGGAAACCTGTCTCTACTAAAAATACAAAAATTAGCCAGGGGTGGTGGCCTGCGCGCCTGTAGTCCCAGTTACTCGGGAGGCTGAGGCAGGAGAATCACTTGAACCCAGGAGGTGGAGGTTGCAGTGAGCCGAGATCATGCCATTGCACTCCAGCCTGGGCAACAGAGGGAGACTCCATCTCAAAAAAAAAAAAAAAAAAAAAAAAAAAATGTTTGGGCCGGGGGCGGTGGCTCACGCCTGCAATCTCAGCACTTTGGGAGGCGGAGGCAGGCGGATCACGAGGTCAGGAGGTTGAGACCATCCTGGCCAACACGGTGAAACCCTGTCTCTACTAAAAAAAATATACAAAAAAATTAGCCAGGTGTGGTGGCGGGCGCCTCTAGTCCCAGGTACTCGGGAGGCTGAGGCAGGAGAATGGCGAGAACCCGGGAGGCGGAGCTTGCAGTGAGCCGTGATCGCGCCGCTACACTCCAGCTTGGGTGACAGAGCGAGACTCCGTCTCAAAAAACAAAACAAAACAAAACAAAACAAAAACAAGTTTGGAGCCACGCGGCCACAAGCCTCTTAAGGACGCCTGGAGCTCCCAGAGCCCCCAGGAGCTCAAAGAGGCAGGAAGGGTCCTCCCTATAGCCTCTGGAGGGATCGTGGCCCCCATTACCTTTTCAAAATGTCACCTCTCCCCGCGGTGTGACCCTCGAAAGCTAGACGTGCCCAGGAGGCAGCAGCCCAGGCCCCGCACCTTCCCTCCCGCTCCCTCTGGCCGCCGGGCCTCAGCCAGCGCTGCTCCCTGACCCGCCTGTGCCCTCGCCAGGGCCCCTCGCCGCCGCCTCCTGCCGCCTCCCGATATGGCCAAACACCCGGGCGCGAGCCCCGCGTGCAGGCGCCGGGCCTGGGCCCCTGTGGCCGTCCCGCCAGCGGCCGTCTTCTGTCCCTGCATTTAGAGAAGGGGGATGGCAAAGGGACCCGCCAGCGGATCCCTCTTACAGGTGGGGAAACTGAGGTAAGACGGTCAGGGCTGGCCCCAGGGCGTGGCGGGCCCTCGGGGCAGTCGCCCAGACCACCCGGACGGCCCCGCTCGCAGCCTTCGCCCGCCCCGGCCAACTTTTCAACCGACCGTCGCGCGCCGTTTACTTCCGCCTTGGGAGATAATTTCCGGGTCCCGGCAGGAAAGGGTCAGCCGCGCACGGTGGCCGCCCGCGTGACGTCAGCGCTCGTCGCAGCCATCTTGGCTCCTGGCAGCGGCTGCCCAGGCCTCGGTCGTGGGCTGGGCGGCCATGTTGGAGTCGGGCAGGGCTCTCATATCCGGTCACTCTCCACTGGCGATGATCGATTGCATTTGACGGACGCGACGCTGGTCGAGAGTCGCTCGCGTTGCTCGACGTTTTCTGCAACTCCAGGACCGTAAAATATCTCGAAGACGGCGAAAGTCGCAGACCCCTGCAGAATCAGATGATCCAGAAGGATGCCCGCTGTCTTTTTGGTCCATTTCAGTTGTAAACCAAGAAGTAGCCGGGACAGGCCTCGGTGGGCTTCGGAGCGTGGCTCGGCAAGGTCGAGGTCGCGCCTGGGGGGACAGGTCGATGCCTTTCTCCAGAGATGGTTTTGAGGCCTCCGTATTTAAAGGGGGAAAGCGGGCTGCGGGGTAAGGAAGGCTCCGGTCCTGTTTCTGAGCCCACGGTGGGAAGAGAAAAGGAGGGGCGGGGGGTGGGGGGCTGGGGTCGCCGATGATGCGTCCGCAAGATGAGGGCAATGGAGAGTGAGATCTGACCTCGCGTCTGTAGTTACCTGCCCAACAACACAGGGAGAGGCAGTAACTTGACCGGCTCCGTCTTCGGCTTCGTTCTGTCCTTTTGGCAGCCTGAATTGGGGTCCTGAGCTTTTACTTTCACACCGTCCTCCACAGTTTCCTAAATGGGATCTGGAATGCTTCTTCCCTGGCACGCCTGTGAGATCTGAGGCAGAAGCCAGTGTACAGAAACAGGTGTCGCATCAGTAGGCATTCTCCAGAGGCCGACCAATATATTGGAGAGACGGATTAATAGACGGATGATAGTGGGTTTGTCAGGGGAATTGGCCCATGCGGTTAGGGAGGCCGAGAAGTCCCGGGAGGGATGCCATCTGCAAGCCGGAGACCTGGGATGCTGGCAGCCTGGCTCGGTCCAAGTCAGGAAACGGAAGAACCAGGGGAGCTAAAGGTGTGACTCAGGCCAGGGCTGAAAGCTGAGAATCCAAGGAGCCGCTGGTGTTAAGTCCTGGAGTCCCAAGGCTGGGGGCCCTGTCCAAGGGCAGGAGGAGGAAGAGAGAGTCCCAGCGCCAGGAACAAGAGCAGAACTTCTTTTCCCTCTTTTTTTTTTTTTTTTTGACAGAGTCTCGCTCTGTCTCCTAGGCTAGAGACAGAATGCAGTGCAGTGGCACGACCTCAGCTCACTGCAGCGTTCACCTCCCAGGTTCAAGCGAGTCTCCTGCCTCAGTCTGCAGAGTAGCTGGGACTACAGGTGCATGCCACCATGCCTGGCAATTTGTTTTGTATTTTTTAGGAGAGATGGGGTATCACCATGGCCAGGCTAGTCGCGAACTCCTGACCTCAAGTGATCCGCCTGCCTCAGCCTCCCAAAGTGCTGGGATTACAGGCGTGGACCATCGTGCCCAGCCCCTTTTTGTTCTATCTGGGCCCCCAGGCGATTGATGGTATCCGCCCCCATGGAGGGTCTTCCCCTTGGTCCCCCGACCCCCAGGCAGGCTCCTCTGGAAACCCCCTCGCAGACACACCCAGAAGCAGCGCCTTATGAGGTCTCTAGGGATCCCTTCACCCAGCCAAGTAGGTGCTTGAGATGACCCACGGCAGGTCGGACATCTCCCTCCTCGTCCACTAGGACAGTGTCTGATTTGCCCTCTTTCCCTCCCTGCATAAGCTGATCCAGAGAATTGTCACAAGACAGAGTTACAAATTTAGTTTAAAGATCCTCGTGGGCTCCATTCGTGATGCTAGATTCGGGCAACCGCTTGGCTCTACAGAGAGCAGGGAGTGCCCCGGGGGGCTGAACAGAGGAGGCTGGTTTTCTAGACGGAAGGGCTGAGGAAAGCGGAAACAGAAAACACGGATCGCTCACTTCGAAGCTGCTTTTCTTGTAAGGGTGAAAGCAGAAGAGAACTCCTTATTGTACCGGCAAGGATCAGCCTGTTTGGGGATTTGGCTGTTATTACTCTCCTGGTTTCTCAGAAGTTCAGATAAACAACTTAGCTTCAGTTTGGTGACATGGAACTTTTTTTTTTTTTGTTGTTGAGATGAAGTCTCGCTCTGTCGCCCAGGCTGGAGTGCAGCGGCGTGATCTCGGGTCACTGCAAACTCCGCCTCTCCGGGTTCAAGCGATTCTCCTGCCTGAGCCTCCCAAGTGTCTGAGATTACAAGCACGTGCCACAACGCCTTGCTGATTTTTGTATTTTCAGTAGAGATGAGGGTTTGCCATGTTGGCCAGGCTGGTCTCGAACTCCTGACCTCAAGTGATCCTCCCGCCTCGGCCTCCCAAAATGCTGGGATTACAGGCGTGAGCCACCGCACCTGGCCACCAATGGCTTCCTATAGATTTCATTTAACAGAAGGAAGGGAGGGGAGAGGGAGGCTGTGGTAGAGGCTGGGGGATTTGAGGAGAGGCTGCAGAGGTTGCTGTGGGTGAGGAACGGGTCCCCTCTGGTTCCCTGAGGAGGGCTGGGAGATGCAGTGAGGTCTTTCTGATGCAATTTTCTATAAAAATGCCGCCCAAATCTGGACCCCATGGTACCTGGGCTTTGAGGGTTAGCAGAGCCTTTCATGATGTCCCAGATGGATCTTGCAGAGACCTCAGTAGAGACGGTGCAGCGGGGAGGGTGTGGGACAGGTCTGGGTGACTTGGGACATGGAGCCAACAGGATAGGGTGTTCCTGGCGGCTTCTCCCAAACAGGCCACATCAGGATGTCCCAGGGAAGTAGCACAAACCCAAACTCCGTGTGCGCCCTTGGCCCGGAACCTCTGGGTTCTGGAGCAGGCTCGGATCTATGGAGGGTTTGCCTTTGGAGCTTCCCCGGGACGTCCAGTGGGCTCTGGGCTGCCCCGGGCTGCTCTGCCCAAAAGGAGGCTCCCACACTGAGCAGCCAGTGGCTAGAGCACTGCCCTGTGGGGAGGCAGACCTGGTTCTCCGGACACTTGATGTGGACGGGGACCGGCTGGCCTCTCCCTCAGCAGGGAGGAGGTGTGGCATGGAGGGACGGCTGTCCACACGGCTGTGTTTGGCTTGGGCTCCTGGCTGGCTCTGCCACTTATTAGGTGGCTGGCATGGGTGAGTGGCCCAGCCTCTCTGAGGTCTGCTCGTTAGAGGACGGGGAGGACAGTGCTGCCCAGGGCTTTTGGGAGGGTTGACTGCAGCGCTGTGTAAAGTGTTTGCACAGTGCCCGCCAGGGGTAAGGTGGGCATCATGAAAAATAATAGAGGCTGGGGGCGGTGGCTCACGCCTGTAATCCCAGCACTTTGGGAGGCTGAGAAGGGAGGATTGCTTGAGCTCAGGAGTTCAAGGCCTGCCTGGGCAACATAGCAAAACACTATCTCTCAAAAAAAAAAAAAAAAAAAATTGGCGTGGTGGCTCACACCTGTCGTCCGGGCTACTCAGGAGGCTGAGGCAGGAGGATCTCCTGAGCCCAGGAGTTTGAGGCTGCAGTGAGCTGATTCCAGCCTGGGACACAGAGCGAGGCCTTGTCTCTAAACAAACCAAAAAACATGAATACTGGGGTATGCAAAGCGCTTAGTCATAGGTGAACTTAAATGGAAACTATTAATTGAAATCAGGGCTTTGGCCAGGCGCTGTGGCTCACACCTGTAATCCCAGCACTCTGGGAGGCTGAGGCGGGTGGATTGCTTGAGTCCAGGAGTTTGAGACCAGCCTAGGCAACATGACGAAACTCTGTCTCTACCGAAAATACAAAAATTAGCCAGTCTCTTAACCCAGTCTCAAAAAAAAAAAAAAATTAAAAAGTTAAAAAAAAATTGGAGGTTACGTGGTTCTGGATGGGATTTTTTCTGTTGCCTAGAAATTGTATCTAAGGCTTAAATGTGAAAATAGAAAGTGCAAAGTACTCCCATGACCGAGGGTGGGACGTAGCCTCAGAATGCTGGGGTCTGATACCTGCCCAGTCCCATGCGAGAGGCTGAGGCTGGCGCTGGCGAGACTCAGTGGCTGGTGGGGGCTCAAGCTCTGTGGTGAGAATTCTCACCATGGTCTTCAGTTACCCCTAGAGATGCCTGCAATGGTGTGGGCTGAGTCCCACTCCCCAGACGGGGAGGTGGAGGACCTCAGACAGCCACTGTACCCACAAGAGCAGGACAAGGAGAATGGAGTGAGCTGGCAGGGCTGGGGGTGGGGGCACCCCCGCACCTCAGGAGCAGGCGGGCAGGCTGCTAGTCTGAGAAGAGGCCACGGTCTTGCTGCTCGCAGGTGTGGGGGGTGAACATCTCAGACTTGAGACGCTCTTGTGAAGACCCAGTTCAGGGCTGGAGCACGTCGTAAGGTTGGTCAGAGACAATCCTCAAAATCCTCTGCCTGGGACCCCCGACCCCCACTCCACGAGGGCAGGTGCAGGAAAGAACAACCAAATATATTCCAGCATCGGAGGACATGCAGGCTGCACACAAGCGGTCAGCCCACAGAGCAGCACGTCGGGGGTTGCAGCCAAGGAATAACGTGAAGGGGGTCTTGAAAGAGCTGTGTTTACAGTTCCCAAGGAGATAAATGAGGGAAGAACAACAAAGAAGCAAGAACAGGGAAACATGCAAAAAGAACAAGGAGCCACCTTCACATGAAAAAACATAATTGTGGCCGGGCACAGTGGCTCACGCCTATAGTCCCAGCACTTGGGGAAGCTGAGGCGGGCAGATCACCTGAGGTTGGGAGTTTGAGACCAGCCTGACCAACATGGAGAAACCCTGTCTCTACTAAAAGTACAAAATCAGCTGGGCGTGGTGGTGCACGCCTGTAATCCCAGCTACTCGGGAGGCTGAGGCAGGAGAATCGCTTGAATCCAGGAGGCGGAGGTTGCAGTGAGCTGAGATCGCGCCACTGCACTCCGGCCTGGGCGACAGAGCGGGACTCTATCTCAAAAAAAAAAAAAAAAAACAGTAACATAATTGTAGAAATAAAACCTCACCGATGAGTTGAATGACAGTTGAGTCCCCGCTCTGGAGTGAAGGAGTGAGCCCTGACAGAACCAGGGAGGTTACCCCCGACAGGGAGGAACAGTCCCTCACTTGATCAGGTGCGGGCTCCTCAAGGTTGATTTGTTTGCTTTTCTGTGCGTAAACATTTGGCTTCATAAGACATAGAATAAAACCATGTCATTTCTCATCCTACTAAAAACCAGTCTACCAAAAAATGCCACCATGAACCTTTTCACACCTGTAACTTTATATACGTGTGTGTGTGTACATATCATATATATCTCATACGGGGCTGAGGGCTCAGGCACTGCCCCTTGGTGCAGCCGTGGGTGGGGGGCCTCAAGGACTGTGTGGGAGTCCCCGGGGTCTGTGAGGCCCGCAGGAGGCAAGGAGAGGCCGAGACCCCCAGGGAGCGCCCAGGCCTGAACCCCTCCTGCGCCGCTGACCCTGCAGATGCTGCCGTGGGCGGCGACCGCACAGACATCCCCTCTGCTATTGCTGCGGGACCGGCAAGGACGCCGGACCGACACGGCCTCCCCATCCCTGGGTCCACCCCGACTCCCATGGTGGGGAGCGGCCGGCTTGGAGCCCCTGTGGGACGGAGTGGAGGTGGAGCAAGTGCCCGGAGCTCTCGGCCATCATGTGCGAATGTTTTGCTCCGTGCTGACGCCTCCCTCGGCACCGTCCTGTCTGTGTTGTGGACTGGGCAGCTCTCACGGGGTTGGGCGCTTCTGCCCCCGGGGGACGCTGGCC
The DNA here is from genome assembly GCF_000001405.40 of Homo sapiens. Classification (NCBI taxonomy): domain Eukaryota; kingdom Metazoa; phylum Chordata; class Mammalia; order Primates; family Hominidae; genus Homo; species Homo sapiens. The sequence goes on from NC_000016.10 coordinate 813,596, forward strand.
GGCATCTGGAGACGTCTGTGATCTCCGCTGGTGTTGCCGCAGGCATCTGGCTGGTGGAGCCCGGGGAGGCCGCCCAGGACCCTGCGACCCGCAGGACCGCCCCGCCGCGGAGGACGGCCAGCCCCGAACCCCCAGCGCCCGGGGCACCCCTGCCTGCCTGCCCTGGGCGGATCCCCGGGGCCGCGCGGTTCGGGCCGCGCTCCTGCCCGCTGGGGTCTCCCGCCGTCCTCGCCGTCACCACCGGGTGGAGCCACAGGTCCGTGTGATCGTCCCCGTGACCCCGGGTTCCGGAAGGATCCTCACCCAACGCTGGCCCAGCCCGGCTCCCAGGACCCTTCACAATCCTAAAACCATTCGGGCTTTTGTTTACGTGGGCGGCCGCTGTGGACATTCACTCTACCAGAAACAGAGCATTTAAAAATGTTCACCTTTTCACGTAAAAATAGCAATAAATCCATTGCACGTGAACATAGCATTTTAAGGAAAAGCAACTGTTTCCCCATAAAAAAAAAATGTAGTGGGAAGAAAAAGAAGGCGTGACTTTGTGCTGGATTCTCATGTCTGCGTCTGCTTGCAAGCCGGTGGCCTCCGGAACATTCCGCCCCACACTTTCAGGAGAGTGGGAAGGAGGCCGGGCGCAGCGGCTCAGGCCTGTAATCCCAGCACCTGGGGAGGCCGAGGTGGGCTGATCACCTCAGGGCGGGAGTTTGAGACCACCCTGGGCAACATGGTGAAACCCCATGTCTACTAAAATGCAAAAATGTAGCCAGGCGTGGTGGCGGACGCCTGTAATCCGAGCTACTCCGGAGGCTGAGGCACCAGAATCACTTGAGCCCTGGAGGTGGAGGTTGCATGGAGCCGAGACTATGCCATATGCCATCGCACTCCAGCCTGGGCAACAGAGCGAGACACAGTCTCAAAAAAAAAATAATAAGAATGGGAAGGAAACCGTTCTTAGAAGTGTCAGGAAAACAGGTTTGACCTCGGGGACCCTGGAAGCTTTCTGGGTCCCCTTTGAGAAGCATGGTCTGGACACAGCCGCCAGATGCCTGTTGTGGGGTCTTTACCAACGTTGCTTTGCTTCATTCATTCAGAGATGGAGTCTTGCTCTGTTGCCCAGGCTGGAGTACAGTGTGGCACAATCTCGGCTCACTGCAACCTTCGCCTCCCGGGTTCAAGCGATTCTCCTGCCTCAGCCTCCCGAGTAGCTGGGATTACAGGCGTCCGGCACCACGCCGGGCTAATTTTTTGTATCTGTAGTAGAGATGGGGTTTCACCATGTTGGCCAGGCTGGTCTTGAATTCCTGATCTCAAGTGATCCACCTGCCTTGGCCTCCCAGAGTGCTGGGATTACAGGCGTGAGCCACCATGCCTGGCCATGCTTTGCTGCTTTTAAATCTTTTTGTTGAAGACGAGGATCAGACATATGTTATTACAGTTTTCAGAGTAGAAACCAGCTTGAGAAAATCCTATTTATAACCACAGTCACTCTGGGAGGTGAGACTCCTCAGTCCAGAGTCACTGAGGTCCGAATTGTTGGGGAATTACTCACAGAAACCCCAGAAGCAGCTGAGGAGAAGTGGGGCCGAGATGGGGGCCCGCGAGTACAGCCAGGCTGTGCAGAAACTCGGAGTGTGGCACGTGGGCTGCTGGGGCTCAGCCAGGCCCGTCTCTTCTCTTTTGAGGTTGGTGGAAATGCTGGGCTGATGTCATTATGGGTGAATCGTGCTACCTTAAAAAGTTTTTTTTGAGACAAAGTCTTGCTCTGTCACCCAGGCTGGAGTGCAGTGGTGTGATCTCGGCTCACTGCAACCTCTGCCTCCTGGGTTCAAGCAATTCTTCTGCCTCAGCCTCCCGAGTAGCTGGGATTACAGGCGCCTGCCAGCACGCTCGCCTAATTTTTGTATTTTTAGTAGAGATGGGGTTTCACCATGTTGGCCAGACTGGTATTGAACTCCTGACCTCAAGTAATCCATCTGCCTCAGCCTCTGGAAGTGCTGGGATTACAGGTGTGAGTCACCACACCCAGCCAAAAAATGTATTTTTTTGAGACAGGGCCTCCCTTAGTCACCCAGGCCAGAGTGCACTGGCGCCATCCTAGCTCACTGCAGCCTTGACCTCTCCTGGGCTCTAGTGATCCTCCTGCCCCAGTCTCCTGAGACCACAGGTGGGTACCACCGTGCCTGGCTAATTTTTTAATGTTTTTTTTTTTTTTTTTTGATAGAGACGAGGGCTCAGTATGTTGCCTAGGGTGGTCTTAAACTTCTGGTCTCAAGCGATCCTCCTGCCTTGGCCTCGCAAAGTGCTGGGATGACAGGAATCTTAGTACTTTAAACAAATAACAGGTTTTCTTTTGGGCAGCTGTGGGTTTTCTGAAACACTGAGGAGACAGAGCCGAGCCCCCATCTGTGCCCTCCCCGCAGGGTCCCGTGGAGGTGACACCCCACACTGGCGTGAACCAGGATCGACGCAGTTTACCGGAGTCCTCGGCCTTCACCGAGGGGCCTTTCCCCATCCTGGGACAGTTCCCGTCTGGCTGCCTGAGCACCCCTGGGCTGTGAACCCCCCTGGGCTGTGGCCATTTCTTGGACTTCCCTTGGTTTTGGTGGTCTGGGCGGTTTTGAGGAGGAAGGTCGGGATTTCCTAGAAGGTCCCTCAACCGGGGCTTACCATACTTTTCTCGAGGCTAGAAGGGACCTGTCACCTTCCCTGTAGGCACCCGTGTCCCTCCCCTGGCACTGGGAGGAGGTGAGGGGAACCCCAGAGAAGAGGTCACGTAGGGTCAGGCCTGGAAGCCAACAAGGCACGGGGCCAGGGGAGGCCTGGTGCCCTTGGGAGGTGCAGGGGTCCCGGGAGAGAGCTGAGCACCAGGAGGGGTGCAGAAGGCTGCCCCCTCCACACCTGCTGTGCCCCATTTGTTGTGGGTGGGGGCAGGGGTCTACCCAGCGGGAACACGTGGGGCAGCCCCCCTCCCCTGGCCTGGGGCCTCCTCAGCAGGGAGCAGAGGCTGTGCTTTCTTTTTTTTTTTTTTTTTTTTTTGAGACGGAGTCTCGCTCTGTCACCCAGGCTGGAGTGCAGTGGTGCGATCTCCTCTCACTGCAAGCTCCGCCTCCCAGGTTCACGCCATTCTCCTGCCTCAGCCTCCCGAGTAGCTGGGACTACAGGCGCCCACCACCACGCCCGGCTAATTTTTTGTATATTTATTAGAGATGAGGTTTCACCGTGTCAGCCAGGATGGTCTCAGTCTCCTGACCTCGTGATCCTCCCGCCTCGGGCTCCCATAGTGCTGGGATTACAGGCGTGAGCCACAGGGCCCGGCCCGAGGCTCTGCTTTCGTGGGGGGCTCTGGGTCTCTGGTGGCTGGACTCGGCGGAGGGTCCAGGTGTCCTCTTGGCTTCTCTGCACAGGCCTCAGCCCACATCAGGCACCCCCTGCCCCGCAGCAGAGCTCGCCCCTCCAGGCAGTCTCACGGGAATGCACGTTCAGGCCGCCTTTCCCCGGAACCCGCAGCGGCCTTTCTGGAGGCTGCTTCTTGGTGACTGGGGGCTCCTTGGAGCCGTCCCCAGCCTCAAGCGGCTGCATTGCAGCTCAGGGACCCCGAAGGGAGGACCACGTTCTGCCGCTGAAGACTCGGAGTCGCCTGGCAAGACGGAGCGAGAAGGGGAGGGTGGCTGGCATGGGGACTCTGTCTGCTGCCTCGCACCGCACCTTGGAGGACGCTCCGGCCAAGGCTGGGAGGGGCGAGTGCGGCTGCAGGCGCGCGGTGGCGAGGGAGGGTGAGGATCTGACCGGGAGGCGAGGAGGGAGGCTCTGGCAAGACGCAACGCTTTGGCGCCACTGCCGGCCATCCCCTTGCCACCCACCATCGCCCGCCAGGCCCTCACACCTACCTGGTCCTGGCGACAGCCGGTGTGTGAAAAGCCTGTTTCCTCCCCTAGAAAAAGCACGTTTGGCTCCGCTCTCCACTGACACGTTTTTAGCTGAGTGACGATGGAAGCCGCTGGCTTTTAACAGACGGTCTTAACGAGCCTCTGCTCCCCGGCGACCAGCAGACGCGGGCTGACCCACGGTTTTACACACCACGTCTGCGTGGCGGCGGCCGGGCGGCCCCACGGGGCCCGGGCAGGAGGTGACGGCAGCGTTTCTCGCCGCCTTTGCTCAGCGCGCCTCTCATCCCCTCTCTCCTGTCGACTCGCGGCTTCCTGCAGACCCTCGGCCTGTCTGCGGCCCCTCGCCCGCAGCCTCCCCAGCAGCCGAGGTTTCCTATAGCATTAAAAGCAGGAAAGAACCAGCCCTGCTCCCCAGGAACTGAACTTCTGTGGCTCATCTTCAGAGAAGCCACTGTTGAGTGGGGCTCCTCGGGGGTGCTCCAGCTGCGGGTGAGTGACATGAGCCAGACCTCCCCGTTTTTTTTTTTTTTTTTTTTTTTTGAGACTGTTTCGCTTTTTTATCCCAGGCTGGAGTGCAGTGGCGTGATCTCGGCTCACTGCAACCTCTGCCTCCCGAGTTCAAGTGATTCTCCTGCCTCAGCCTCCTGAGTGGCTGGGACTACAGGCGCCTGCCCCACACCCGGCTAATTTTGTATTTTAAGTGGAGATGGGGTTTCACCATGCTGCCCAGGCTAGTCTCAAACTCCTGAGCTCATGCCCTCCTTGGCCTCCCAAAGTGCTAGGATTATAGGTGTGAGCCACTGCCCCCGGACTGAGACTTTCCCATCTTAACGCCCACTTGCCCCGTCCTTCCGCCCCCACGGTGCCTGGGGGAGCCTTCTCTGTGCAGGACACAGGCCAAAGCAGAAGGAGGCAGGAGGAAGGAAAGCAAGGCAGTCCTTGCTGACTGGGCACCCACGAGCCTGCTGTGTCTGAATGCTGGCTCACCTAGAGTTGGGGGGCTCAGGGACAGGACTAATTCTGGAACCAGACTGCCTGGGTTCACACTCTGGTGGTGTTACCTTCTGCCTACGTGGTTTTAACCTCTCTGTGCTCTGGTTTCATCAGTTGTGAATTGGGGCTAATGGTTCCTACCTAACAGGTGTGAGGATTAGATAAATGGATACATGGAGAGGGCAAGTGGTCAGTGCCATGTAAGTGTCAGCCAAAGATGATGGTGACAATGGTGGTGAAGACTGTAGTGATGGTGATGATGACGGTGAACTGTAGTGATGGTGATGATGATGGTGAAGACTGTAGTGATGGTGATGATGGTGAAGACTGTAGTGATGATGGTGAAGACTAGTGATGGTGATGATGGTGAAGACTAGTGATGGTGATGATGGTGAAGACTGTAGTGATGGTGATGATGATGGTGAAGACTATAGTGATGGTGATGATGGTAGTAAAGACTGTAGTGATGGTGGTGATGATGATGGCCCTCACCATCTTGGCTGTACCACGTCCAGTTTGCTGTCAGGACACAGCCTGAGGATGCCAGACCTCCATGTTGCAGAACCACCTGACTTTTACTATGGAATACACGTGGACTGTGAAGTAATAATATTCCTTTTCACCTCCCTAGAGTCATTTCCATTAAATCAGAAAATAGGCGTTGAGAAAGGGATGTACTAGTGGGTCCCACTTAAAAAAGAGCAAGTTGAGTGTGAACTCAAGCAACAAAGCTCAACTTAGAGGATTCCTGTTAAGTCATGGAAGGGCTCACCGTTGGGTCCTCCCTGGTGGCCCCAGTGCATGTTGAACCTCTGGGTCCTGTGCTTTCTAAGCCCAAGTCTCTTTCAGGGAGTTAAGAACACTTGTGCCTATTTTTGGGGAAGGAATTTATTCATTATTCCAGGTGTCAGGTGTAAGACATTACGACAATTTATCAGATGCTCAGAGCACAAGCTCTGTTTCACTGAAAGAGTGAACCCAGGAGATGCTGGAGTGGGGGGTGGAGAAGGGGTGGAGTGACGGTAGGCGCGATGCTTATCTGACGTGTGTGTGTTGTCGGCACTGCGGGGCCCTCAGGAAACGATCAGCGGAGTGGTTTCCCTCTGAGCATGTCCTTGTGGCCTGCGTTTATTTAGCACAGCCTGAGCTGGGGGCTGCTGGCCTGGCCTGGGGAGGCCCTCTGGGCTCTGTTGGTGGCTTCCCAGAGTGAGGACCCATTTCAGCTCCTCCCCTCACTCCACACCGTGGAGCCTACATTCCCCTCCTGGTTCCTGCCTCATTGGGTTTTGGAAACATCCTCACTTGGGAGACTGAGGGGCTCCTAGAAGATCTGCTGGGGCCTGATCTTAGAGGAAAAGCGGATCTGCGTCCATAGGACGGGGTCGCAGCACGGAGCAACGGGCCCGGTGTGTTGTGGTTGAGGGCCTCGAAGGGGAGCGAGATTCATGACCCGAAACCACGCCACATTGGCATCAGGAGTATTGTGAGCTGCAGGCAACTGAGATCAACAGAGGCAGAAAAACGGCTTCTCAGAGCTTCTCTTCTGACTAAAACCAGCAACTCCTGGGACCTGAGGCTGCTACAAATTCCTTCTTCACGGTGATTCCGTTCCCAGAGGGGAGAATTGGAATAAAACATGCCCCAAATCTCTGCTTGGGGGGACCAAGACAGAAACACCGCTTATGCCTGTATTATCATAAACTAACTTCCTTCCTTCCTTCCTTCCTTCCTTTTTTAGACAGAGTCTCGCTCTGTTGCCCAGGCTAGAGTGCAGAGGCGCGATCTCAGCTCACTGAAACCTCCGCCTCCTGGGTCAAGTGATTCTCCTGCCTCAGCCCCCCGAGTAGCTGGGATTACAGGTGCGCACCACCATGCCTGGCTAATTTTTTTTTTTTTTGAGATGGAGTCTCACTCTGTCACCGGGCTGGAGTGCAGTGGCGTGATCTCAGCTCACTGCAACCTCCGCCTCCTGGGTTCAAGCAATTCTCCTGCCTTAGCCCCCCGAGTAGCTGGGATTACAGGCACGTGTGCCACCATGCCTGGCTAATTTTTGTATTTTTAGTAGAGAGGGGGTTTCACGATGTTGGTCCGGCTGGTCTTGAACTCCTGACCTCGTGATCTGCCTGCCTTGGCCTCCCAAAGTGCTGGGGTGACAGGCATGAGCCACCGCGCCCAGCTGCCCAGCAAATTTTTGTATTTTTAGTAGAGATGGGGTTTTGCCGTGTTGGTCGCTAGGCTGGTCTCAAACTCCAACCTTAGGTGAACTGCCCTCCTCAGCCTCTCAAAGTGTTGGGATTACAGGCGTGAGGCGCCCAGACAAACTTTTTCCATTGTCCTTCTAAAAGCCCTTTTGTCTTTTTTGAAGAAACCTATTTGTTCTTCCCCTCAGAAGCCTTTTCTGCTGCCCCCTTCCCTGACCTAGTGAGGATACAAGGCAGTGGTTTCCACGTTGCTGAACCACCCACTTCTTTTGTTCGCTGCCGCGTGCTTGTCAATCAAGTTTTTCATCCTATGGATCCGTCTTTTGTCAGTTTAATTTGCAGGCCCCAGTCGCAGAATTTAAGAGGACAGAAGAATGGTCTTTTGTTCCCAACAGCCTCCTTCACCACCACAACCCCACTGGCTGCCTCACCTTACGTGTGACACGCTCGTCGAACTTGCCAGCAAACCCGGGAGGTGAGGATTGCGTGTGATGCCCAGGCAGACACAGTGGCTTTTCATGAGAACAAAGCGTTATCACCTTGTGCAGGTGGCTGAGAGAAGAGGCCCTGGGAGGCAGGGGAGGGCCAGGTGCACACCTATGGGGCGGTGACCCCTGGCAGCATTGGGGGGCTGTGGATATTGGAAAACGTGAAAAAGATGTTTCAGTTTTTTCATGTGTATTCTTTTCTTTCTTTCTTTTTTTTTTTTTGAGACAGAGTTTCGTTCTTGTCGCCCAGGCTGGAGCGCAATGGCGCGATCTCGGCTCACTGCAACCTCTGCCTCCCGGGTTCAAGCGATTCTCCTGCCTCAGCCTCCCGAGTAGCTGGGATTACAGGCATGCGCCACCACGCGCAGCTAATTGTATTTTTTTTTTTTTTTTTACCAGAGATGGGGTTTCTCCATGTTGGTCAGGCTGGTCTTGAACTCCCGATCTCAGGTGATCCGCCCACCTCGGCCTCCCAAAGTGCTGGGATTACAGGGATGAGCGACCGCACCTGGCCTTTCTTGTGTATGTTTTAAATTGGTTTCAAAATGTCTCATGTAGAATCTTTGGTGGGGAGGTATGGATCCACCACGTGTCCCCCACTGCACCCACAGCTGTCACCAGAGCAGGAGCGGCCTGTCCCCGCCAGCTGGGTGCTACCTGCCGACCAGCCAGGAGCTGGGGAGGGTGGGAAGGGTTGTCTTCCAATGTCAGGTTTTCATTGAAATACCTTTTCATTGTGAGCTTTTAACTCCGGGGTTGACTCCGCCTTTCCTCCCTTCTTGACCCTCCTACCCGCCCCCTCCAGCCCTGAGGAGCTCAGCTCCCCACACGGCTGCCCGGAAGTGGCCTCTCTTGACAGCCGCCTCTCATCGCTAGGCCTGACCCTTCTTTCTTCACTTGCTGGCCGCTGTCTCAGCTTCCCCAGGTGTTCCAGGAGCTTGGGGAGGGCTGGACCTGCAGGAGGGTCCCCGGCAGCACTGGGACCCAGGGTGGGGACAAGCTCTGCCTGTTCTTCCAGGCTCTCCTTGAACCTGGCACCCCAGGTACACAGCATGCTTTCCTGGAACAGTGTGCCCCCAAAATTCTCATCTAGGGAGCCTCAAATATGGCCTTATTTGCAAATACGGTCATTGCAGGAGGAATTACATTAAGATGAGGTCAGACTGGAGCCAGGTGGCCTTGGTCCCGTGACCAGCGTCCTGGTGAGAGGAGGAATGAGACACGGGTTGGCCATGTGGACGGAGGCGGAGATCAGAGCCATGTGTCTACAAGCCCGGGAGCACTGAGGGTTTCTGGAGTCTCCAGAGCCATGAGGGAATGAACTGGTGTGGTTTGGAGCCCCTGCTCCTTGGCGGCCACAGGATGTGAACTCACCTGGAGCCTCTGGGCCTCCCCCAGGTGCAGGTGGGACCAGCCTGGCTCCTGCCGTCCTGAGGGCTGCAGCCACGGTGTCACGGCTCCTTCTCATCCAGTGGCAGGTCCCACAGGGTGGGGACACCCTTCCCTGACTTGGTGACTGCACTCTGGCAAGACCCCCTGGAGGACGCTCGGGCCCTCTGCAGAGGAGCAGTGAGCTCGGGGGGTTCAGCTGCGATGTGAGTCTGGGGGCTTTGGCATCCAGACCCACACGGAGCATGTCTGACCCACGAACCGAGGCTTCAGTGAGGCCCAGACATTGGGAATGGCCAGGGGCAGCCCCACGCGTGGCCACCGTAGCCCCCCACCCTTTTTACCAGGCTTGGCTGCTGCGGAGGTGGGGGAAGGACTCCGGATGTTTCTCATCAGAAACTCGGATTTTAGCTTGTGAGTGTGAGGGGTTGTACCCACACTTTCATGTAGACACAGAAAAGTGATGGTTCTGAATTTTAGGGAGTTTTTTTTTTTTGAGATGGAGACTGTCTCCCAGGCTGTAGTGCAGTCACGTGATCTCAGCTCACTGCAACCTCCGCCTCTTGAGTTCAAGCATTTCTCCTACCTCAGCCTCCCAAGTAGCTGGAATTACATGTGCCCACCACCACACCTGGCTAATTTTGTATTTTTAGTATAGACAGGGTTTCTCCGTGTTGGTCAGGCTGGTCTCAAACTCCTGACCTCGTGATCTGCCCGCTTCGGCCTCCCACAGTGCTGGGATCAGAGGCGTGAGCCGCTGCGCCCGGCCTTGGGAGCTCCTTTTAAATCGTGCTGCTTTTCAAGGGAAGGATTCTCAAGGCTGTAGGAGGTTTAGAATACAGCGTGTGCTGGTGCGGCCTGTGTGTGAGCGAGAGTGTCTGCCGAGAATCATACGGGCCCCACTTCCGTGGAAAACAATCCGAATTCCCTGTGTATCACGGGCAGAAGGCTGAAGGAAGTCTCGAGCCACCGTGCGGAGAGTGAAGCTGGCGGTGTCGCGGTAACGCGGTGGAAACGCGTGTTTTGATTCGATGTCTGTCCCGATGCTGGGTTTCACGGTGAGGTCTGGTGTCACTCTGCATTGCCTGGCTTGGGCAGTAACCCTCTTCTCTTGGTATGAGGGCAAATTTTGGTTCTGAAAATCCTTTCCAGGGTGGCTTTGGCCAGGATTTGGGATTGCGGTGGGTTTGCGTTCCGGATTTGGGATTGCGGTGGGTTTGCGTTCCAGATTTGGGATTGCTGGGCTCGCACTGGGATAGTTTGGAAGCCGTGGCCACTCTTGTATGTTATGCTGGCTCATGGTCAGCCTGGCCTCTGGGCTATCCCTTAGATCCCTTGAGGCTATTTGGGGTCTGTATCTTCCCAGGAGAAAGTGAAATATCCTGGATGACAATGTCGTCTGATCCAAGAAGGTCCTTAAAAATGGAACCTCCAGAGGATATTAAAACCCTGAGACCCCCCCAGTCCCGGGTCTGCTTCAGGGAGCATTAACCAAAGGCCTCCACCGCCTGCAAACGTCCTGTCATTCTCCAGGGGCTGGGCCAGGGCTGAAGGCCCCCATTGCCTCCTGTGAGCCTCACAGCCGAGTGCCGGGGACATGAGGGGATACCACGGGACTCTGGGGCTGGGAGGCACATCAGAGCCTTGTATACACAGGGGCTCAAGAAAGACGAGAGGAAATCACAGAAAGGCAAAGAGCCCAATTAACAGACAGGCAGAGGACCCGACCTGACGCCTGTCCACAGCAGGCCCACGACGGCCAGCAGCGGGGGGAGCTCGTCACACTAGGCCCACGACGGCCAGCAGCGGGTGGAGCTCATCACACCGTCACACTAGGCCCACGACGGCCAGCAGCGGGGGGAGCTCGTCACACTAGGGGGACTCTGGTCCTCCGCCTTGACCAGCCCCCACCTGCCGCCCCCAGTCCCACGTTGGCAGCTGTCCCCTCCCCAGGCCCGGCAGCGTGTAGGGAGGCCTGGGTCCCCCGAGTCTGTGGACAAATGTGGTTTGGGGACACCAGCCCCTGCCGAAGCCATGAAACTCAGGGAGAGTGGATGCCACCCCTGGTGTCTTCGTGCTGTGTCGGGAAAGGGATGCTGTGGCAGGGACGCACCTGAGCGTCCAACCTGGTCCTGGGGACGGGGGCGGGGTGGGGCTCCACATCCCGGCAAGGCGTCGGGAGCTGTGAGCCCGTAACACAAGTCATTACGATGCTGGCTGAGCGTGGGCCTGCTGAGAGCCCTGGTGGGCACGCCACTGTCTCGTCCATGGCACCGCCGTCCCATCCGCGGCACCACCATCTCGTTCACGGCACCAACGTCCCGTCCACGGCACCCTCGTCCCATCCATGGCACCACTGCTGGCCTGGCCAGGATGCATCCCTGCGGGGGGGCTGCCCCTGCTCTGAGGATGTTTGCAGCCTCCTCAGCCTCCACTCACCTGATGCCAGCAGCATCTGTGATTCGAGATGGGCAAAAACATCCCACGTTGCCCTGGGGTGCCCTGGAGGGCGGAGTCCCCCGGGGTCTTCTCTGGACAGTGAGAAGCCACGATGGGGCATTGGTGCCGATTCCATTCGCGTCACAAAGCCCTGCCTCTTACCAACCGGCGGGTGCTCAGCCGGCCGCCTCTGCCCTTCCTCCCTCCCCCACAGACCCCGTTCTGTGCACCCCAGAATGTGGGCTGACTTTTGTTCTTCACCGTGAGAGCTTCCGGGAAGCAGAGGAGAGCGGGATTCCTTCCTCCTTGTCCCTCTCCGAGCGGGAGGGTGATGGCCGACGGCATCGGGGCAAATGTGTTGCTTTGAGAGGCTGAGAGGAGGACGCGTGGCCCCCACCCCTTCCCATGTGGCTTCGTGCTGTGAGCCACAAACGGCCGTGGATCCCAGAGCCAGACTCCGGGCCCGCCCAGCCCAGGGGGAGGGCGGACTGCCAAGCTCAAGCACGCGGCCTCGGTTCAGGGACAGGTTCCCCGTGCGGCGAGGGGCACGGTGGGCCGAGAGCCAGATGAGAACCCGCTGCCTCCACGCGGCCGTGCCCTCTGGCAGCCTGGGCTGGAGGGAGGTTTGCACGGCTGCTAGACATCTTCCTTGCAGGATCCCTGGGGAATTCTAAATTTCAGTCACACTCTCTAAATTTTCATTAAGAGCCTTCACCCAGAGAAAATGATGGATTAGATTTTGTTGTTGGACAGGAGCCAGATAAAATTAGATGCCTCTTTTACTTCCCAGCCCCCACCCCTCCGTTCTTTCCTAAAACCTGTACTTTTCTCCCTCGGTTCCCATCAAACCGGGATTTGAGAATGTTTATTTGCTAAAAGCGATTACGTACAGCCGCTTCCTTTGAGCCTCTGCTTTTATTTTCTGTGTGATTTCGCCGTCATTCCACTTTTTAAAGTCCGGGATGGCTTTCGGTGTCGAGCGCTGTGGGTTTGAGAGCGAGAGGGTTGCTTGTGGTCTCTTTGTCCCCTTCAGGAAAGCGTGTCAGAATTTTACAGCTCAAAGCTGGTAAGATATTTTGCTGCACAAAGTAAATTAATCTGATTCCTCATCCGCCTCTCCTTCTCCCTCCCAAGTTCTCTTTCTCTTTGATGTGCTAACGTGCTCCTTCGGCCACCGAAATACAACTCAGCGTTTGCCACAAAACTGCTGCTTTTTAACCCGGCCGGATTTCCGTGGGCTGCGTGTGCTGTGGTCGCCACTGTGCCTGTGGATGGTGAATTTTAAAAACAGATGTCGGCCCGGGAGCAGTGGCTCACGCCTGTAATCCCAGCACTTTGGGAGGCTGAGGCAGGTAGATCACCTGAGGTCAGGAGTTTGAGGCCACCCTGGCCAACGTGGGGAAACCCCATCTCTAGTAAACACACACACACACACACACACACACACACACACACACACAAAATTAGCCGGGCGTGGTGGTGGCACCTGTAGTCCCAGCTGCTTGGGAGGCTGAGGCAGGAGAATTGCTTAACCCGGGAAGCAGAGGTTGTAGGGAGCCAAAATCAACCACTACACTCCAGCCTGGGCGACAGAGCGAGACTCCGTCTCACAAAAAGAATAAGAGGGTCGGGGAAATGTGAGTTTTTTTTTTTTTTGTTTTGTTTTTTTTTTTTTTTTTTTGAGACGGAGTCTCGCTCTGTCGCCCAGGCTGGAGTGCAGTGGCGCGATCTCGGCTCACTGCAAGCTCCGCCTCCCGGGTTCACGCCATTCTCCTGCCTCAGCCTCCCGAGTAGCTGGGACTACAGGCGCCCGCTACCACGCCCGGCTAATTTTTTGTATTTTTAGTAGAGACGGGGTTTCACCGTGTTAGCCAGGATGGTCTCGATCTCCTGACCTCGTGATCCGCCCGCCTCGGCCTCCCAAAGTGCTGGGATTACAGGCGTGAGCCACCGCGCCCGGCCTGAAATGTGAGTTTTAAACTAAAAAATGTAAAAGCCGTTTCAAGACTCACCAGGCCGAGGAGGGAGGTTCTCTGAGGAGCGGCTGTGCCTTCGGGGAGCGGAGGGTGCGCACACGTGTCTCTGTGTGTCTGTGCGTGTCCACGTGTGTCTGTGCGTGGTAGCACGTGTACCTGTGCACGTGTGTGAGGTGGTTTTGGGAGACCTGGCCCTGGCTCCACCTCTGCTCATAAACACTGAGGATGTGGCTCTCAGGCCAGGTGTGAAGACTTCTCCCCACCTGCCTTCCGGGTGACTTCCTGAGGTCGCTTCCAGGCCTCAGACCTGGTGCTCTCCCCACCTGCCTGACCCCGTCGCTTCCAGGCCTCAGACCTGGCTTCGCGTCTGTTTTCTGAAGCACCTCTGCTCCGCTCCCCGAGTCTGTCTCATGGGTTTCGCCGCCTGATTCTTGGGCGGCCCCTTGCAGGCTGTGGTCTTCCGTGCAGGTTGGTCTCCCAGTGGTTGCAGAGCTGGTTCTGGTGGAACCCCTGCCCTTGGGCTGCACTCGGGAGGTGCCAGTCACTGTGCCCAGGGATTTCACGGACCTGCTTGTCACTACGCTCCCCGGAGTCACCCCAGGGATTCTGGGAGGGTCCCTGTTGCACAAACAAGGAAACCGAGACACAGGACGGAAAACGGGCCACGGAAAACGGGCCGGCCTCTGCTGCCTGGGTTGTGATGAAGGCCTCGGGAAACGGGCCGGCCTCTGCTGCCGGGTTGTGCTGGAGGTCTCAGGGTAGCTGTGGAAGCTGCACGTGTCACCTTATGTCATGGCTGCAACGGCACGCAATGCACGCACAACATGTGTGCAGACACAACACACACACAATACACGCGCATACACAGACACTCGCTGCCAGGCACAGGAACACACCCCTCCCCTCATGCCACACACGTGACGACTGGAGCCCGGACGTGCGTCCTGGGGGGACCCTGCTGTTTCTCTCTTTGCCCCACTGTGTCCTGGGAGAATGTGCTCCAGGAACCTTGCAGCAGACAGGACCTGGAAGGGTGTCTGTCCCAGGCCCGGGGAACAGCCCAGCTCAGGCCTGGGGCGCGGGCAGCCAGGCAGGGGTCTGGCCCAGTCCTAGCCAGGGGAAATGAACTCTCGGCCTCCAGGGTATGGCTGGGGCCTCCGTGCCTGGACCCAGGTCAGACGAGTCACTCACGCATCCCGAAATCCTGCCAGAGGCTGGAAGCCAGGTGCATTAAATGTGCTGAGATTTACGCGCCCAGGGCACTGGGGACCTGAACCAACAGTTTGTTCAAAAGCAGACACCTGCCTACAACAGGGTTGTTGTAAAGCTGGATTCAAACACTGAGACTTGTGCGATGAAATGGACCCAGGGTTTGTGTTTCAGGCCTGAGGTTGGAGGCAGGAGGCAGGGAGGGACGCTGGGCCGAGGCCTCGTCTCCTGGAGGCTCTGACCCCACTGGTGCAGGGTGGCGTGTGGGCAGGGGCACCTCGGGAGGGGAGGTTTGACGTGGAGCACGGGAGCCGCTTTGGGTGGGAAGACCGAGGCCTGAGGGGCACTCAGGACTCTCTCTATCCTCGGGCTCTGTGAGCTAGAGTGGGGAATGGGGGGAGTGGACCGGGAGCCTCTGGGCGGCCGACAATGGGAAGGCCCCTGACCTGGGAGTCTGGGGGCCATCACTGTGGCAGCCCCATGCCCTCTGGGAAGGTCCTCTGCTCTCTGGGTGGGGTCCGTGGGACTGTGTTATGAGCAGGCCCCTGATGGCGGGTGGGGTCCTGTCCCTCCGTTCCTACCCAGCCACGGGTGGCAGTTCTGTCTTCCTCCTGCATCAGCCGACAGCCCCTTCCCAGGAGCTCTGAGTCCGCCTGCTGCTCCGGGGCCGCTGGGGTGAGGACGGGGTGAAGAGGCGCGGCCCTGTCTATACCAGCACCGCCACTGCCCACTGGGGCCCACATCCCGCCCACTGGGACCGACATCCCGCCCACTGGGGCCCACATCCCGCCCACTGGGGCCCACATCCCGCCCACTGGGGCCCACATCCCACCCACGGCGGCCAGGGACAGACGTCCTTCCTGTGTCTTGTGTCCCTTCACCACTACCAGCCCGGCACGTCCTTTGCCCATTCTCACTCCGACACTGACCTGAGATGGGGCTGCCCCACACCCGGGCACACACCCGGGCACGCACCTGGGAAGGCCTGGATCCTGTTGGCTGGGAAGAAGTGGGCAGGTGGGCTGTGGAGTGGGCAGTGCTGTTTGCATTGCTGCTGATCAGAGGTGCCTCCTGCTGCTGTGTGAGGAGGCCGGGCCTCCCCGGAGTCTCTACGAGGTGCTCTCAGAGAGATTCGAGGGGCCCCGGGCCTCTGGCTTCTGTGTGGGGTGATGTGGGAGGTTGGGGAATGGAAAAGCCTTCTCCCTCCCCCCATCATTAGGAAAGAAAAACAGTTTCCATGGGGCCAAGTTTATTTTATTTTATTTATTATTTTGAGGCAGAGTCTCCCTCTGTCGCCCAGGCTGGAGTGCGGTGGTCCGATCTCAGCTCACTGCAACCTCCACCTCCTGGGTTCACGCAATTCTCCTGCCTCAGCCTCCCGAGTGGCTGGGATTACAGGTGCCCGCCACCACGCCCGGCTAACTTTTTTTGTATTTTTAGTAGAGATGGGGTTTTGCCATGTTGGCCAGGTTGGTCTCGAACTCCTGACCTCAGGTGATCCATCTCCTTCGGCCTCCCACAGCACTGGGATGACAGGTGTGAGCCACCACCCCCGGCCGGTGTTAACTGATTTTAAAGTGCACGCTTGGGCGGCGTTCAGCACATTGCAGTGTCAGGCGGCCCTCACCTCTCTCTAGTCCTGAATGTCCTCATCACCCCAAAAGGAAACCCTGTCTCCATCAGCACTGGCTCACCACCCTTTCCCAAGCCTGAGAGCCTCCACGACTCTCTGGCTTGGCCTGTTCTGGATGTTTCGTAGAAATGGGATCAGACACTGTGTCCCTCTGAGCCTCCGTCGCTCGAGGTCCTGCCTCAGGTTTCATCCCGGTGTGGTGTGTGCTGGGGCCTCCTTCCTTCTTGTGGCTGAGTGGCGCTCTGTGTGTGGCCAGCCTGTGTGTGGTTTGTGGCTCATCTGTGAGTGGATGCCAGGCTGCTGGGCTGCTGGCCTGCATGTGGTTCGTGGCTCGTCTGTGAGTGGACGCTGGGCTGCTGGGCTGCTGGGCTGCTGGGCTGCTGGGCGCAGTGCGTGAGATGCTGTGGTTGTCCATGCACCGGCTCTTGTTGGACAGAGGTTTTTGTGGTGCCTGGACGTGTACCCAGGAGTGGTGTTGTGGGAGGTGTTGTGGGTGGTGCTGTGGGCGTTGTGGCCTCGGGCGGGATGGCGTTTGGTTCACTGCGTTTCCCGGCCGGCGTCTCCTTCTGTCATGAAATGCTCAGTGCCCACGCACGGTCCATACTGGGGTTTGGTACCGTCCACCTACGGATTAAAAACGTTCACGGATATCTGCTTTCAAAACACCCAGGCCGGTCTTGTCGGCAGAGCCGGTCTCAGGCCACCTCCTCTTTTCCGAGGTAGGTGAGACTCTGGGAAGGGAAGGAGCGAAGGAGGCAGGCTTGGAGCCTTGACCACAGGGAGGAGGGGAACCTGCTCCTGGATGCGCCGGAGCCCAGCCCGGCTTGTGGAACGAGGCTGCAGGAGCCTGAGATCGGGGACTGCCGGGCCTGCGCCACGGAGGGTCCCCAGGGGGACGGGACAGCCTTCCTGCCTCTTCCAGCCCCTGGCGCTCAGCTTTGCCTTAGCTGTGGCCTCATAACTCCAGCCTCTGCCTTGGTCGTCATGGCCGTGTCTTCTGACTTTGGATTTAGGGTCCGTCTTGATCCGGTATGACCGCATCTCAATGACGTCGGCAAGGACCCTGTTTCCAGGCAAGGCAGCTTTTTGATATTTGAGTGGTCGGAGGCACTGTTTAGCCACCTTGCTGCCTCCTCGTAGGACTGAAGGGCATTTTTCCCTTGAGCAGGAGACTCCACACACGCGGACACTGACGTTGAGCCGCAGGGCTGGTCACTGTCCCCGTCCCGTGGCACCGCACGCCAGGGCCCGGCACCTTCTGCCGTGGGTCACGTGGCCTTGGGTCCGGCCCCTGCCAGAGGCTGGGGCCCCAGGGACCCCTCTGGGCTAGAAGGTGCTGCTGACACAGGCGTTTTTAGATAAGCAGGAAGCTCCTGAGAGGAAGCTTTATTTTTACTTTGTTCCGGCCTCTGTGGTTTTTGGAGATGGCCTTTAAAGATTTGTTTTCGATTTTATCTTTAAAGAAGATGCAGGAAAGCCCATGGGTCAGGCTCCAGAAGAAATATCCGGGAGGAAGGCCCTGAGCCTGGGACGGCGGGGCCAGGAGGAGGCCCCTGAGCCTGGGAGTGTAGGGCAGGGGCTGCAGGGATCCCAGGAGGAGGCGCTCCCGGCCCCGCATGGCCCTGTGTCTGCAGTCCCTGCCTGGGCCTGTGGGCCTGCTGTGTGGTGGTCCTGGGGCAGGGCTCACAGAGCCTCACTCCCCAAAACCCCAGCCTGTGTCCCCGAAGGGCCCCCTCTCCTTAGAGGGGTTTAGTCCCACCAGGTGGGTAAAGTTGGCCTGCGTTGCTGGGCTGGTTTCAAGGGAGGGCTCTGCCCACCATCATCACGGGTCAGGAAAGCCCTGCCGAGCCCTCTGTCCTTCGACTTCTGGCCCAGCGAGGCACCTGGAGCACCCCGTGGCTGTGTTGAACGTCACAGAGGCTGCCGGGCACGTGGGGACGGGGCCCGCTGGGAACAGGTGTGGGGGCCCCAGCTCTGACCAGCGGGTGCCTGGGAGGGGGGTTCTCCTTGGACAAGAGCTGCCTCCAGCCCCTTGGTCCAGAACCCCTTGTGCCACCCCGGCACCCTCCGCCCTGTGAGTTTTTTCCCTCTGGGAGACGTTTACTTTCCTGGCAGTTGGCCAGCGTGGCACTCACAGAAAAGGCCAGGGCAGCCCCTCAGCCCCTTTCCTGAGGCCACACCGCCCTGAGAGCAGGGTGCGTGCCCTCAGCAGAAGCAAGGACCAGGGCCTCTCCTCCCGGCTGGGGCCCGGGATTCTGAGACCCATCTCTAAGGCCAGGGCAGGGCCGGGGCGGGGGACGTTTGTTAAATTTTTAGGAAAAAAAAGCAAAATCAACACAGAAACAAATGGATGAACCTGCCAATGGGTGGGGCCTGTGGACTCTGCCCCGGCCCTGCTCAGGGCCCTGTGGCCTCAGCTCCTTCCCTGGTGAGACACCCACCCTGCCCCATGCCACCAGTGGTATGACGCAGGGGAGGAGCAAGACGGGGAGGGGCTTGGGGGGAGGGGCGTGGGGGGGTGGAGTGTGAGGGGGGAGGGGGTATGAGGCAGGGGAGGAGCATGAGGGTGGGGAGGGGGTGGGGTGGTCAGGGTGTAGGGTGAAGGCGTGAGCCACAGTGCCCGGCCTCTCTCTTTTTTTTAGAGCTGGGTCTCACTCTGCTGTCCAGGCTGAAGTACAGGTAAGATCGTGGCTCGCTGTGCTCAAGTGATCCTCCTGGCCTAGCCTCCCAAAGTGCTGGGACAACAGGTGTGAGCCACTGCGCCCCCCTCCAGGTTTAGCTGTGGGATGTTTGGGCTTTGAAAGGAGCTGATCTGACGGAGCCAGGAGGGCTGGCTGCAGGACAGAGACAGGACGGCTGTCACAGCAGCCTCTGCCCCCAGCCGGTGCCCTGTCCTCGCCGTCTCTGTCCAGGAGGTCAGAGCAGTAGCACCCGCCCCGCCCCGTCCACCCTGTGGATCCTCAGCCCATCCGCCACCCCGCCCCGCCCCGCTCCGCCCCATCCACCCTGTGGCAGAGGCTTTTCATGGCAGCTCCGAGAACAGGAGGACAGTCACCTCCAGCATTTGCTCTGAGTCTGTTCCCTGGCGAGGTGAGGCCCCAGCTGTTTTAGCGCTCATAAAAATTTACGGCCATCACAAGGGAGCTCAGCTGGGTGGATCACGGTGTCGGGGCGGCGCCCCTGTGAGCTACCTTTTGTGAGCCGCTCCGGACACTTTGGCTCCGGGCTGGCATCTCCTGCCACCCTCATGAGAGCAGTGGCTGCAGCCCCCGCCTCTTGGGCTGGCCCTGTCATGGCAGCAAGGGCTCTGCGTGTGTACGGCCGCCCCCTGCAAGTGTGCTTGTTAACGGGGACTGTGAGGAACTGTGGGGGACTCAGGGCACGGGGAACCGGGGTCGGGCTGAACATTACTCCCTACTCTGAAAGGACAGCGTTGGGACAATGTGGCCAGGCTGCGTGAGGCTGAGTGGGGCAGCATGGCCAGGAGGGGCGAGGGGAGGGGGTGCGAGGCAGGAGGCTGGAAGTAGGGAGAAGGGGTGTTCCACTCACCATCACCCATCCCACCAATCTCGCTCACAAATCCCTGTAGTCTGCAGTGGCTGCCTCTTTATTCCTGGAACAGTGGCTTGGGTTGGGGTCTGCGTCTTGGATGGGGGAGAGCAGGGGGCTCATGCCCGGGAGCCCATGGACAAAGGCACCTGCTCCATGGTAGAGAAGGTTCTGCCCCAGCAAGGGGGCCGTCGAGCGGACAGCCCAGGGCAGCCACATGGGGAGGCTGGGTTGGGGACAGCAGCCCCGGCGCCTCTCCCGGAGAAGCAGCCTCCCCAAGCTGTGCCTGAGCCGAGGGCACCGTCCAGGTCATCTCAGCCAGAGCCTTGGCCGGGTCTAGGGGAGGGGTCACGCCAACGTGATGACCTCCTGGCAGCTGTGTGACTTGAAGGTTTTCAAGCAAAGGCTGAATAGCCCGGAGAACATCCACACACCCAGGCCCAGGGTCAGCCATTTCGGCAACTTGCCCATATGTGTTTTACACGTTACGCACATGCCTTTGTGTTTTCTGCCCACCGTTTTGAAGAAAGCAGCAGACACTGTGACTGTAAATACTTCAGCGTCTCCCGACGTGGGGACACTCCCATTAGAGAACAAATCCAGTGAATTAGTGAACAGGTGCATGCATTCAAACACGAATCTGTGCTGGCCGTGGTGGCTCACGCCTGTAATCCTAGCACTTTGGGAGTCTGAGGTGGGTGGATCACTTGAGGTCAGGAGTTGGAGGCCAGCCTGGCCAACATGGCAAAACCCCGTCTTACTAAAAATACAAAAATTAGCTGGGTGTGGTGGCGCAGGTCTGTAATCCCACCTACTCGGGAGGCTGAGGCAAGAGAATCGCTTGAACCTGCAAGGTGGAGGTTGCAGTGAGCTGAGGTCATGCCATTGCACTCCAGCCTGGGCAACAAGAGTGAAACTTTGTCTCAAAAAAAAAATTAATTTAACAAGAGAAGTGCAAGACTTGTACACTGGAACTACACTGGAAAGAAAGAAAGGTCTAAATAAATGCAAAGACATCCATGTTCATGGATAGGAAATCTTAATATAGCTAAGATGAGAATACTTCCCAAATTGATCTACAGATTCAACACAATCCGTATCAGAATCCCAGCTGATTTTTGTGTGTGCAGAAATGGACAAGGTGACTGTAACGTTCATATCAAATTGCAAGAGATGGCAGAGAGCCAAAATCATCTTGAAAAGGAACAAAGTTGGAGAATTCAAATTTCCCACTGAGGGATAGTGGCTCGCGGGGCCTGTGTACCAGCCTGGTTGTCTTGGCAGAAGTTTGGCATTTTGATACGCCTGATGCTTTCCTGTGCCGTCTGCCTCATTCCTCACTCCTTGAGTTTCCTGTGGGCTGGGGTTGAGGGGGTTCAGCCCAGTCTCCACCCAGCACCCTCAGCCAGCTCGTCTGTGCCGTCTGCCTCATTCCTCACTCCTTGAGTTTCCCGTGGGCTGGGAGTTCAGCCCACAGTCTCCACCCAGCACCCTCAGCCGGCTCCTCTGTTGGGTGCTGTGTCTGCGTCTCTGCATTGTTCCACCGACACCACAGCTGCACTTGTCCCTGTGATGGGCCCAGGCTGGGCTCCTCTTGCCCTGTGGTCTCCGATTCCTATTACCTGTCACCAAACAGTTCGCCCCCTTGGTGGTCCTTGCCTGAGTCACCATGGGTAGCAAAATGGTTTCTTCTAGAACTTTTGTGGCCGTATTATTACAGACTTGTCTTTAGTAGGGGCAAAATCCCATCCTCACGTCCCTCACCAAATTAAATGGCTGTCCAGACTCCATGTGGACTGTGACCCTGGGCCTGTGGGACCAGACTGGCCTGGGGAATGGGCATGACTCGTGTTGTGGAGGGAGGTGGGGAGTGGAAGAGAGGATGCCCTTCCATGTGTGGCCCGCCCTGCCCTGCCCTCCCCACACAAACTCCCTGGTTTCTGCCTGTGCCAAGCCATGAGCCTCCAGGAGGGCCTGGACTGGGGGAAACCAGTCTGGGGGCTGCAGCCCCCTCAGGCCCAGCTTCAGAGGACCCCACAAAGTGATGGGCCTGAAGGGGAGGGGGAGGGCATCTGCCTGCTCTGCAGACCCCAGGCCAGGCCAGGGGCTGGGCCAGACACAGGGGCTGCTTCTGGGCATGACCCCCCCCCCCGACCCCCCGCCCAAGTGAGGTGGCTGTGTGACCTTCGTGCTGGGCGTTTGTCTGGGACACAGAGCTGTGGCCTCCCCCACTGTGCAGCGATGGCCGACCTGTCTCTTGAGACCGTCTGTCCCCTTCTGAGCCCCTGGGAATAGTGGGGTGAGTTACCAGCCACACAGCTGCATGGCTGGACACTTCTCCCCACACCTCAGCCTGAGGCCCTGTGCTGGAGCACCGAGGATCATCTGGGCGGGAGCTGCCTGCGGCCTGTGGGTGCCTAGCTGTGCATCTCTGGGACCTGGAGGGAAGGATAGCTCAGAAGGGGCTTTTCAGGGGTGACCATGTAAGGCAAATTAAGGAAAGAGGGTGAACAGGGAACACTCGAAGATGAGAGATGCCTTTTCTCTTTGAGCATGTGTGAGAACATGCTAGGGTGGTCTGGAAGGTCTGTAATGGGGGTGGTGCTGGGTATTGCCCTATTGGGGGTGCAGCCTCCGCTTCACAGGGCTCTGCACCAACAGGCCCAGGTCCTCGTGGGGCCTTTGCTTGGGCAGCTATGGGCACAGTAGCCACATGTAGGGGGGCCTCCCCAAATGGAGCCTGCAGGGTTTGCAGTGGTGAGTCCTCAACCGCTAACATAAAATGCACATATTTTAGGTTATAACTGGATGAGTTTTAACAAATGTGACACCAGTAACCCACAGCTCGGTCAAGACAGAACACTCCTTGGTCAAGACAGAACAACACCCTGAACATTCCTCATGCCTCTCCCCAGGTAACCCCCCCCACAGAGGGAACCGTTGTCCTCATGTGTGTTTCAGGATAGGTTAGTTTCTCCAATTCTGAAACTTGGTGTAAACTTTCACTCCGTCAGTGCCTTTGGCGGCATCCATGTTGCTTTCTTTTTTCTTGCCTTATTACTCTGGCTAGCAAGTCTAGTGTGATATGGAATAGAAACAGTGGGAGTGGCTGTCCTTGTCCTGTGCTTGATCTTACAGTGAAGCTTTCGGTTTTTCCCCATTAAATAGTATGAGGGCTATGGATTCTGTAGATGCCTTTTATTAGGCTGAAGAAGTTTCCTTCTCTTCTTAATTTGCTGAGTTTCTATTATGAATAGTGTTGAATTTTGTCTAATGTTTTTTCCTGTATCTATCAGAGATACAATCATATGGTTTTTCTTAGTGTTTTAATTGGTTGATTTGCTTTTTGTTTTTGTTTTTTCTTTTTTTGATGGAGTTTCACAATCGTTGCCCAGGCTGGAGTACAGTGGCATGATCTTCGCTTACTGCAGCCTCCACCTCCTGTGTTCAAGTGATTCTCCTGCCTCAGCCTCCTGAGTAGCTGGGATTACAGGTGCTTGCCACCATGACCGGCTCATTTTTTGTATTTTTAGTAGAGATGGGGTTTCACCATGTTGGCCAGGCTGGTCACAAACTCCTCACCTCAAGTGATCCACCTGCCTTGGCCTCCCAAAGTGCTGGGATTACAGATGTGAGCCACCGTGCCTGGCTGATTGGTTTTCAGATTGAACCAACCTTGCATTCCTCATCATGGAATATAATCCACAGTCCAGTTGAGCATGGTGTCTAATTCTTTTTACATATTTCTGATATTACCAATTTGCTAATATCTTGCTGAGGTTTTGTTTTCTGTCTATATTCATGAGGTATATTGGTCTGCGGTTTGGCTTTGTTTTCTTTCTTTCTTTTTTTTTTTGAGACAAGAGTCTTGCTCTGTCGCCCAGGCCAGAGTGCAGTGGTGAGATCTCAGCTCACTGCAATGTCCATCTCCTGGGTTCAAGCAATTCTCCTGCCTCAGCCTCCCGGGTAGCTGGGAATATAGGCGTCTGCCAACATGCCTGGCTAATTTTTTCTATTTTTAGTAGAGACGGGGTTTCACCATGTTAGCCAGGGTGGTCTCGATCTCCTGACCTCATGATCCACCTGCCTCAGCCTCCCAAAGTGCTGGGATTACAGGTGTGAGCCACTGTGCTTGGACTCTTTTTTTTTTTTTTTTTTTTTTTTTTTTTGAGACAGTTTCACTCTGTCACTCATGCTGGGAGTGTAGTGGTGTGATCTTGGCTCACTGCAACCTCTGCCTCCTGGGTTCAAATGATTCTTGTGCCTCAGCCTCCCGAGTAGCTGGGATTACAGGTGCACACCACCACACCTGGCTCATTTTTTGTTTTTAGCAGAGACAAGGTTTTGCCATGTTGGCCAGGCTGGTCTCGAACTCCTGGCCTCAAGTGATCTACCCACCTTGGCCTCCCAAAGTGCTGGGATTACAGGTGTGAACCACTGTGTCCGGCCTGTGGTTTTTTCTTTTCTTTTCTTTTCTTTTCTTTTTTTTTTTTTTTGAGATGGAGTCTCGCTCTGTCACCCAGGTTGGAGTGCAGTGGTGTGATCTCGGTTCACTGCAACCTCCGCCTCCCGGTTTGAGTGACTCTCCTGACTCAGCCTCTCAGGTAGCTGGGACTACAGGTGTCCACCACCACGCCTAGCTAATTTTTTGTATTTTTAGTAGAGACGGGGTTTCACTGTGTTAGCTAGGATGGTGTCAATCTCCTGACCTCATGATCCGCCTGCCTCGGCCTCCCAAAGTGCTGGGATTATAGACGTGAGCCACTGCACCCCTCTGGTTTTCTTTTCTTGTACTGTCTTTTTCTGGTTTTAGTATTACGGTAATGCTGGCCTGATGAAACACACTGGGAAGTGTTTCCTCCTCTTCTGTTTTTTGGAAGAGGTTGTGTAGAATTGGTGTTATTTCTTTTATTAAGGTTTGGTGGATTCAGTCAAACCATCTTTGCTTGGACGTTTACTTTTATTTATTTTTCTTTTCTTTTTTTTTTTTTTTGAGACAGAGTTTCGCTCTTGTTGCCTAGGCTGGAGTGCAATGGCATGATCTGGGCTCACCACAACCTCCACCTCCCAGGTTCAAGTGATTCTCCTGCCTCAGCCTCCCGAGTAGCTGGAATTACAGGCATACGCCACCATGCCCGGCTAATTTTTGTATTTTTAGTAGAGATGGGGTTCTCCATGTTGGTCAGGCTGGTCTTGAACTCCCAACCTCAGGTAATCCACCTGCCTTGGCCTCCCACAGTGCTGGGATTACAGGCATGAGCCACCGCGTCCAGCCGGATGCTTCCTTTTCATATCTTTACAGATTTAATTTCTTTAATAGCTGAAGGGCTGTTCGTTATCAGTTACATTTTGGGTGAGTTTTTGTTGTGGTTTTTAAGGAATTGGTCCATTTCTTCTAAGTTATAAAATTTACATTCCTAGAGGGGAGTTGTTTGTGCTTTTGACTTTGTGTTTTGAGCAGCCCTGAGACCAAAGATGAGTCTTGACTGAGCGTCTGAGGGGCAGCTGGGCCCCGAGGCTGATGGGAAGAGCCAGACGAGGCCTGGGAAGATGGATCCGTCCCAGTGTGGCCGCGCGGCTGTCAGGAGGGCACGGGGACTGGGCGCGGCCGTCAGGAAGGTTCGGGGACTGGGCTGCTGTAGCAAACTCGGGGGCTTAAAGCAACAGAAACCCACCCCCACTGTCCTGGAGGCCAGAAGTCTGAGATCAAGGCTTCGGCAGGGCTGTGTTCCCACTGGAGACTCCAGGGGAGGGTCCTCCTGCCCTTTCCAGCTCCCAGGGGCTTCAGGTGTTCCTCGGCTTGTGGCCACGTTGCTCGTCTCTGCCTCTGACTTCACTTGACCACGTCCTCTGTCTGTGTTTTCTCCTCGCCTGTCTCTTAGAAGGACCCCTCCCACTGGATTTAGGGCCCACCGTACTCCAGGACGATCTCGTCTCAAAGCCCTCAACCTACTGATGTCTGTAGAGACCCTTTTCCAAATACTGTCACGTCCACAGGTTCTGGGGCGAGGACGTGGGTGTCTCTTTTTGGGGTTCCGCATTCTCCTACTATTACGGTCTCTAGGCCTCCGGGCCAGCCCCTCTGCTGCCTGGGTCTGTGGGTGGCTCCGGCCCCACTCTGGCCCTGCCCAGTTATGGGTGTGCACGGCCCGACCAGAGAAGGGGTACCCCCTGCCCCCAGTGTGGACCCACAGACCCTGTAGAGGGGGGAGAAGGCAGCTCTCCAGCCCACGGGGGCTTTGCTCTTCTCAGCTCGGGGGTCGTGGGATGGGGAGGTCAGCAGAGCCGGCAAGTTATTCACAAGG
This sequence comes from Homo sapiens, assembly GCF_000001405.40. NCBI lineage: Eukaryota > Metazoa > Chordata > Mammalia > Primates > Hominidae > Homo > Homo sapiens. Next base: position 839,668 of record NC_000016.10, read on the forward strand.
TGCTTGGTGTCTGGTTCCCACCCTGTGGGCCTGAGGACGAAGCAGGGCATGTTCACCGTCACCATCAGGTCATTCCCTTACTGCCACCGAGTGGCCGGGGCTGCAACTTGGCGGTGGGGTCCCCATTGCGGTACCGAGAGAGGGCTGAGGGTGCTGGTCACGCACTGCCCTGTGCTGAGTGGACGTGGCCAGGGCATGTGGACCAGCTGGTTTTCGGCGCTGCCTGCAGGGCGATGGACTCAGCACAGTCCCCACTGTGAACTGGGCACCCGGGGTTGAGGGGATGCCTGGGAGACCCTGGGCACTCAGGTCAGGGGGACGTCCAGGAAACGCTGCCAGCTGTGCTGCCCTGCAGAGTGGGAGGCTGGGTCCATGTGTGGGCACTTTGTTCTGAGCAGCCTGGATCAGAGGCCTGGGCTCACACTGTCTACACAGCTGTGCTGCCTGAGCCCTGACAGGTGACAGTGATGGGCCAGCTGTCCCTCCAGGGCCCCAGGGAAGGGCGTGGGGAGGCAACCCCGAGCTGTGGGTTTAACCCTCACCTGCCTGCACCCCTGCTCCCTGTGGAGGGGCAGCCTGGCCTCTCCCGTGTCCCCAGGTGGGGCGCGGTCTCCTTGCCCTCTCGTTGTTTCCCCCTCCCCCTGCCAACCTGCCCCCAGGGAAGATGAGTCTCATTGACATCCTGCTCCCAGGAGAGCCAGAGGCCCGGCCCCGAAAGGCAGATGCCTCAAGCCCAGGGACGTGGCGTCCTGGTGTGGTCGGGCTGAGGAGCCCTGGGGGCTGTGTGGCCCCCTCCTTGCTGCAGCTCTGCTTCTGGCTGAGATCACTGGGCTGGGCTGGGCTGGGGAGGGTCCACCCCGAGGAGGTGTGGAGCCCCTGTGAGGTGGCCACTGCCAGCCCTGGGATAGGAGAAGGGTGAGGACTCAAGGATGTGTGGATGGGTCCAATCGGCTGCCACCACCTGGAGGCCCCCAGGCTTTGCCGCTACCCCAGAGCCCTCAGGACAACAGAGGCCTCGAACGCGTCCTGCCAGCCAGGAGCCTGGTCCCCAGCACCTGGCTCCATGGCCCCCGGAAGGCAGGGGCTCCGTAGTTGTTTGTGGCATGAATACACGGGCCTCCCACTGTGGGGGCTTCTGGGGGGCCCTGCTGCAGCTCCGCATAGGGGGCTGGGGGCTGCCGTGGACAGCGTCCCCCTAAGGGGGTGGTGGACACTGGGCGTGGAGGGTCGCGGGGGGCAGGGCAGCCTGAGGATGGTCAGAGTGATGCCCTGGATGAGGTGTCCCCACCCCTGCCCTGGATGAGGTGACCCCACCCCCCCCAGAGGCCGGACCTTCCTCCGAAAGAGGCTTTGAGCTTCAGAAAGAGAGTTGCTCCCCAGGCATCCTGTGGCTGCTGGAAGCTCACGTTTCCCCTTGGGAAAGAAAAGCCCTGAGCCCCTTTCTCAGGTGGGCATTTGAGGTCTTGGGCCTGGTGGCTCTTGCAGAAGCCAGGCCCAGCAGCAGGGGCTGGAGACGAAAAGGCTCAGCCAGGCCGCTCCGTGCAGGGGCCGCTCCGTGCAGGGGCCGCTCTGTGCAGCGGCTGGTTCAGGGACGTGGCTGGGGTGTGGTCACCTCCGGGGTTAAGAGCAACCGCCGGGCAGAGGCTCAGCTCCACACGCCTCACTCCTATTTCCAAAATACCTTTCCATTCACACAATTGACAACACTGATGTTAGCAGGAAGTGTCGCACCCGCGGCTGTGTACTTATGTGTGCTGTCATCTGGTGCGTGCACGTGTTTCCACACAGGTGCTCTGTGTGTCCCCCTGGCCTGAGAGGGGTGTCACCGGTGCCTCTGTGTCCTGGTGCCCCTAGCCACGCTCCCTCCTCTTCCCTCCCAGGGAACATGGGGCTTCTGTGCCTGGGAAATAGCCACAAACCACGATGCCAGCTCCCGTCGCTTGGGGATCTTCTCGCAGGTTCCTGCATGGGGCTGCCCAGGCCCTACCTACCAGCCCCCGTTATCCCTCGAACTCTCAGACTCACTTGGACCAGGGATGGCAGGATGGGACCAGAGACCTGTCCACTCAGCACCTCAGGCAGGTGAAGGAAAAAAGAACCACTCCTGCTATTGCATTTCGGGAGACTGGTGCCCTCACGAGCGTGGGTGGCCTCGGGTGCCCCGACCTGCTGCCGCAGCCTCGAGCCCGGGCAGAGCCTTCCTCCCGGGAGGGGCCTGTGCTTTTCTCGGTGTCCGCCGCGTCTCGGCCTCCCCAGCGTCCCCATGAGTGTGTGAAGGGGGCGCCCACTGGCTTCTCTCGGGGTGTGGGGCTTGCAGAGGCCCAGCCCAACCTTCAGCTTTGGGGCCTGACCCTGGACTGCAGGTTCTCACCTGGGCCGTCGGTTTTGACTCTGGGCCACAGGACCTCACCCTGGGCTGGGGAACTCTGGGCTGTGGGTTCTGACCTGGGCTTCGGGACCTGACCCTGGGCCTCGGGTAGCGCTGCCGCAGGAGGCTGAGGGGGTGGTGGGGCGGTTGACTGAGGAGGGGCCTCCACGTGCTCCTCTCGGTTGGACCCGGGTCTGTGGGGCTCCTGGGCCTGCAGGCGCCGCCTCCTACTCCTGCTGGGGCCCCCGTCTCCTGGGCCTGCAGCAACCCAGGGCTGTGTTGTGTCTCCAGGCAACGGTGAGGTGTCCCCTCCCAGCTCTGCGGAAGTGAGTCTCGGTGTCTTGGAGATGTGTTCTCTGGAGGCTCCGGGTGACGATGCTTCCTGCCCCTTCTGGTTCCCGGCGGCTGGACGCCCCAGGGTGGGTGGATCACTCTGTCTCCGTGTTCACGCAGCCTTGTTCCCTTGCTGTGTATCATCGTCCCTGGCTTTACGAAGCCGTCACTGGGTCTGGGCCATCCTCAATCCAGGATGACCTGATCTCAAGGCCTTCCCCTTAATCACAACTGCAGAGACCCTAGTTCCAAATAGGTCCCGTTCTGAGATTCCGGGTGGCCGTGAATTTAGGGAGACAGCATTCAGCCCATTGTCCTGGGGTCAAGGCCGACCCTCAGACCCTCCTCGGGGGAGCTGACACCCAGTGAGGGGTCAGACAACAGGAAGGGCAGGACTGGCCACGCCTGCCCCAAAGGCACCGTGGACAGATGGGCGGGTGGCTGGGGAGGCCCCTGGCTGGGGTGACAGTGACCGAGTGGGGGATGCCCCTGGGCCGGGGGTGCGTTGGCTGGGGCACCCCCTGAGCTGTGTCCTGTGCACAGCTGTGGGCTGTGCCATCCACCTCCACCAGACAGGGCTGTGAAAGGGCAGGGCAGGCAGACGGGCTGGGGCTGCAGCCTGCAGCTGTGCGGCACACAATGGGGCCGGCCCTGGAGGGGACACGGGTCCTGATCTGGCTGATGATGCCGCGTATCTTTTGCATGGAGAAGAACTGTGAGTGTGGACATCGTGTGGGGAGACGAGGCCACCTGATGGAGAGCCTGGAGCCCGCCCTTTAAGGGAACAAGGCGCTTTTTTCACCCTTTTTTTCGTGTGTCTCAGACAGCTGGCTCCTTAAATATTAATCAGGGTCATTGAGATGCAAATGCGTGCCCACCACAGAAGGCCCCGCAGCTGCAGGGCTGGCACTGAACATCCTGGTGGCCCAGATGCAGCCCTGACCAGAGCCAGCGGCGAAGACCACCTTCCCTGAGGACAAACGGGCGCCGGCCCCTCGACAGGAGCAAGGGTGGCGTGGGCCTTGCTGGGTCTTGCTGGGTCTTGCTGGCCGTGGCTTTCCTGGCTTTCACTGCCCTTAAAACGAGGTGTCCTGGGGCCGGGCGTGGTGGCTCACGCCTGTAGTCCCAGCACTTTGGGAGGCCGAGGTGGGTGGATCATGAGGTCAGGAGATTGAGAGCATCCTGGCTAACACGGTGAAACCCCGTCTCTACTAAAAGTACAAAAAATTAGCTGGGTGTGGTGGCGGGCGCCTGTAGTCCCAGCTACCCCGGAAGCTGAGGCAGGAGAATGGCGTGAACCTGGGAGGTGGAGCTTGCAGTGAGCCGAGATCGCGCCACTGCACTCCAGCCTGGGCGACAGAGCGATACTCCGTCGCAAAAAAAAAAAACAAAAAACAAGGTTTCCTGGACAGGCACTCGCCAGGGCGCTCTCGAAGCCGTGGGGCTGGGGGAAGGCGCCGTGTGTCCGGCCTGTGGTGGGTTCAGAGGCTGAGTTTAGAAAAGTCCGGCCTGGGAAGCACATCACTGGGTGGACACGGTGACCTGGATGCAGGGGGGCGGCTGTGCTCGGGACACGGTGACCTGGATGCAGGGGGGCGGGGTGGCTGTGCTCAGGCTGCCCGGGGTCGACCATCAGCAGAAACAAAATAGGATGGAAGAGGCAGAGAGGCCAGGAGCCACAATGGCCCCGCCCGGAGCCGGGTCTCCTCCCGCTTCCTTAGCACACATGTTAGAGGACAAACCGCAGCTCAGCTCTTCATAATAAACACAGTGGAAGCTTCAGGGACTCAGAAGTGCAGCCCAGGCCGGGCGTAGTGGCTCACGCCTGTAATCCTACCACTTTGGGAGGCCGAGGCAGGTGGATTACTAGATCATGAGTTTGAGACCAGCCTGGCCAACATGGTGAAACCCCATCTCTACTAAAAATACAAAAATTAGCCGGGCGTGGTGGCGGGCGCCTGTATTCCCAGCTACTCTGGAGGCTGTGACAGGAGAATCACTTGAACCCGGGAGGCGGAGGCTGTGGTGAGCCCAGATGGCGCCACTGCACTCCAGCCTGGGTGACAGAGTGAGACTCCGTCTCAAAACAACAGCACAACACCCGGAACTGGAGGCTCTCACACGCCACAGTTAGAGAGATTTTCTGATCATAATAGTTTCCGCGTGGATTGGAACTCACGCAAAGCAGCACACACAGTGGACAGCGAGCTCCAACATGTCCACGGGTGAACATCAGCGTGGCCACCACCAGGTCCAGAGCACAGTAGACCCTGTGCCGCCAGTGTCCGTCGCCTTCCACACGTGGCCGCAGTTCTGTGCATGGGGCCGCCCGCCATCCTGCCGCCTCTGACCTGGGCTGTGGGCTCGTGACACGTGTCTGAGCTTTCCAGTCGTGGCCGTGACGCTCTGTGCGGAGGCTCCGTCCGCGTGCTGCCTCCGTCCCCTCTGCCCTGGACGGCCACTCACTACCTTTGTCTCTCACCCTGGGGGTTTCATGACCCCGGAGCCTCCACGTCCTGGTACAGAGCCTGCCTCTCCGGGACTGGGCTTCGGCCGAGCAGACACCGCCTAGCTGCTCTTTGACCAGCGTTCTCTGCTCTGCGTCTGGCTGGCATCGGCGGCTTGCTGAGTCCAGCCTGGCATCTCGCTGGCATCGGCGGCTCGCTGGGTCCAGCCTGGCGCTGACACGTTTCTGTGCTCATTTCATTTTACAAATCAACTCCCCAAGGTGAGGTGGGCTCGTGCCAGCAGGTGGGAGCCGGTCGTGCACGTCTGCCCAGCTCCGTGCTGAGTGAGGACGTGTTGGGGGCTTGAATCGGAGATGGGGGCGGGCACGGTGTTTAGATCACAGAAATTCAAAACCACATAAATCAGGGCTTTATCCAGAGAGCCGGGCATGATTTCCAAACACAAAATGCACCCATTTAAATGTAACCGACGGTTTCTGACAAGGGCACCCGGCACCACAGCTGAGATTCAGAACATTCCTCTCCCAGATCTCCCTGCGTTCCGGCCCCGGCAACATGGGCCTGCGTCTGTCACTGGAGTTGGGCCGCGGTCCTCCCTGCAGTTCCGCGAGTGGAGCTGCGCCCTGTGAGCTCTTTCGTCTGTGTTCTTTAGCTGAGCGTGGTGCCTTGGAGGGTCCGACGCTGTGCGTATCAACAGCCGGATGTGCCTGTTTCTGAGGACGATGGCTCCAAGATGACCCGGTTCACCCGTCCTCCTGCTGACGGACACCGGCACCACCCCGGGTCCTGGCTGCAGTAAATCAACCCGCTATAAACGCTGCTTACACGTCCTTGTGCTTTCATGTCTCTCGGGCAGATACCTAGGAGTGGAGTGGCTGCTTCCTGAGGAAGTTCACGCTTCATGTTTCCAGAACTGACACTTCTCCAGAGTGGCTGCCTCCTCCCGTCCTGGTGGGCGTATGAGGCTTCTCCTCCTCCATTTTCTGGAAGAGCTTGGATAGGGCAGTGTTATTTCTCTACCGAGTATTGCATGGAACTCGCCAGTGAACACATCTTGGCCTCAAGTTTTCTTTGTGGAAAATTTTAAATTACAAATTCAATTTCTTTTTTCTTTTTTTGAGATGGAGCCTCACTCTGTCACCGAGGCTAGAGTGCAATGGTGCGATCTCCGCTCACTGCAACCTCTGCTTCCCGGGTCCAAGTGATTCTCCTGCCACAGCCTCCCGAGTACCTGGGATTACAGGTGTGCACCATCATGGGGGCTAGTTTTTGTATTTTTGGTAGAGACGGGATTTCACCATGTTGGCCAGGCTGGTCTCAAACTCCTGTCCTCAGGTGATCCACCTGCCTGGGCCTCCTAAAATGCTGGGATGACAGGCGTGAGCCACTGCGCCCGGCCCAAATTCAGTTTCTTCAATTATTATGGGACTCTTGGGCTTTCTTTCTTCGTCGGCTGTAGGGAGAGGATTAGGGTTTGGGCTAGCGTTCGTTTTAGTAATCTGTGCCTTTCACGGAGTGTTTCTCATTTAATGTAGGGTGCTGAGTTGATTAGAATAAAGTTGTTCATAATATTACCTTATTATTCCTGTAGCATCTCTGTGGATTTGTGGTGATATCTTTTCTTCTTGATATTGGCTATTTGTATTTTCTCACCTTTTTGCTAGATCATTGCAGCTTGGGGTTCACTGACGTTGTTCTGTAATGGATCCCGGTTTCCTGTAAACCCACGTATGTCCCGTGTCTGTAATGCGTCCCGGTTTCCTGTAACCCGTGTGTGTCCCGTGTCTGTAATGCGTCCCGGTTTCCTGTAACCCGTGTGTGTCCCGTGTCTGTAATGGGTCCTGGTTTCCTGTAAACCCGTGTGTGTCCCGTGTCTGTAATGGGTCCCGGTTTCCTGTAACCCGTGTATGTCCCGTGTCTGTAATGGGTCCCGGTTTCCTGTAACCCGTGTGTGTCCCGTGTATGTAATGTGACCCGGTTTCCTGTAAACCCGTGTGTGTCCCGTGTCTGTAATGTGTCGCGGTTTCCTGTAACCCGTGTGTGTCCCGTGTCTGTAATGCGTCCCGGTTTCCTGTAACCCGTGTGTGTCCCGTGTCTGTAATGCGTCCCGGTTTCCTGTAACCCGTGTGTGTCCCGTGTCTGTAATGGGTCCCGGTTTCCTGTAACCCGTGTGTGTCCCGTGTCTGTAATGTGTCCCGGTTTCCTGTAACCCGTGTGTGTCCCGTGTCTGTAATGGGTCCCGGTTTCCTGTAACCCGTGTGTGTCCCGTGTCTGTAATGTGTCCCGGTTTCCTGTAACCCGTGTGTGTCCCGTGTCTGTAATGGGTCCTGGTTTCCTGTAAAGCTGTGTGTGTCCCGTGTCTGTAATGTGTCCCGGTTTCCTGTAAACCCGTGTGTGTCCCGTGTCTGTAATGTGTCGCGGTTTCCTGTAAACCCCTGTGTGTCCCATATCATCTGGACTAGGTACCTTCTCCCAGCGGCCCGGGGTGCTGACCTGGCTCAGTGCCTCTTCTTTCCTTTGCTGAGTGTTCTTTCCTCTTTTTTGTTGTTCAGATGAGAGTCTGTTGATGTTCCTCCAGCATGTCCACATGGCTGCGGGTGAAGGGCTTCACAGTAGCCCACCGTGGGCAGGTGTTTAAGGAACAACTTCCAGGTTAGGAAAAAGATGAGGCAGAGGAGATGGCCCCACCTGCCACCCAAGAGAAAAAGAGGCTCAGGGAGGGGAGGAAAGGATGTTGCGGCCCGCCATCTGTCTGCACACCAACCGTCAGAGCTGACGGAAGCTTTCGCCAACTTGCTTCCAGCAATGGGCCAACGACAATCAAGGCGGCTATGACGGCCAGTCCAGGGCTGGTTTGAAAGCTGTAACAGTTTGGACAGTGTGGTATGACCTGGGCAGGTATAGATCACACTGGGTCAGGTGTAAACCCTAGAACGGTGAGCCACCAACCCAGACTCAGCGGGTCAGCTGCGGCCCCTGGCCAGGCGGCCCAGGCAAAGTAAGGTGGCCGCAGCCCTGCAGGGAGGGTGGCACTGTCCGCAAACCCTCCCGGTGCCCCGGGTTCCCCAATGCGCTCAGACCTGGGGGTGGGCACGGAGGCCCCCCAGCCTTCCCCTGCCTAGTGCCTGGGGTGCTTCTTCCCAGCGCCTGGAGGTTTCCATCCCTCCCGCACACAGCGCTTGGAGCAAGATGGGAGGGAGGTGCCTGCTTGCTGCCTCCTGCTGGTGTGTGGGAGCCCAGGTGAACACTGGGTGGTGCGGAAAGCCACCAGCGTGATGTGGGAAGGCCATTTGCTAAGCGCCAGGTGGGCCCGGGTGTGGGCTGGGTGGGCAGCCTGGCTCGCGGCGTAAGGGGCAAGCTATCCAGGCAGCAGTGGGCTGAGAATTGCCGGCATCACCTGTCATTTGCTCGCGTGGTCCTCAGTGAATCAAAGTTTGCATGTCCGTGACTGCGGCCATCATCAGAGCTTGTGGGACCACTGGTGGCTCCGTACGGCACTTTCGGGTTAACCAGCATCCAGGTGCACTGAGCCTTGGTCTTAAGCGGCTCCAGCCCCATGCACGCCACAGAGAAGGAGTGAAGCGCGTTCCCTGCCCGGCATCCTGAGCCCCACTGGACCTTCTGGCAGGGTGAGGGTCTGGGCCCTGAGGCAGGGAGGCCCAGGGTCTCAGGACGCTTAAGACACTCTGCTTTGCTTTGCTGTATTTCAAAACATTGAGGTGAAGTTGACATTTACATAAAATTAACCACTTAAAGGTCAGCAGTGTGGTGCACGTAACACATTGGCCACACGCACAACCAGCATCTCTGCCTAATTCCAGATATTTTCATCACCCGCCAGAGAACCTTCTGGACCTGTGAGCCGTCATGCCCGCTCTCCCTGTTCCTGCCAGCAGCCCCGAGAGCCGTCCACCTTCTCCCTGCCCAGCGTCTCTGTGGGTTTCCCTGTTCTGGACATTCCAGAGACGGCATCGCAGGACCGGTGCCCTCTGTGTCTGGCGGGTTCACTGGGCATCAGGTTCTCAAGGCTCATCTGAGCGTCGGGGCCTCGCTCCTCTTTGCGGCTGCGTAATGCTCATGGGTGAGCACACCTGGTCTGTTCATCTGGGCTGTCCCCACCTCTGGGCTGCTGCAAACGTTCCGGTGCAAGCACACCCAGGTCCCCGTTTCCCGCTCTCCCGGGTCTACATGCAGATGTGGAGTTGCGGGGTCACGTGGTTCCCGTTTCTAGCTCTCCCAGGTCTACGTGCAGACGTGGAGTTGCGGGGTCACGTGGTCCCCGTTTCTAGCTCTCCCGGGTCTCCGTGCAGACGTGGAGTTGCGGGGTCACGTGGTCGCCGTTTCTAGCTCTCCCGGGTCTACGTGCAGACGTGGAGTTGCGGGGTCATGTGGTCATCCGTCTACACTGAACATTTCGAGGAACCCCCAGACAGTCTCCACGTGGCCACATCATTCTGATGCATGGCAGACGAGCCCGAAAGAGGAGCTTAGTCCCAGAGGGTTCTTGGCTTTGCCCAGGAAAGAATTCAAGGTCGAGCCAGAGGTGGAAGGAAACAGCTTTACTTCAGAGGTGGGGTTACAGCTGTGGCTGCTCCCGCAGGGCAGGGCTTCCACAGACAGCAGCCCGGGGCAGCTCTGCAGTCTCACTTATAGCCACAGTTTTTTTTTTTAAAGACAGAATATTACTCTATTGCCCAGGCTGGAGTGCAGTGGTACGGTCTCAGCTCACTGCAACATCTGCCTCCCGGGTTCAAGCGATTCTTCTGCCTCAGCCTCCCGAGTAGCTGGGACTACAGGTGCCTGCCACGCCAGGCTAATTTTTGTATTTTTGGCACAGACGGGGTTTCACTATGTTGGCCAGGCTGGTCTCAAACTCCTGACTTCAGGTGATCCGCCTGCCTTGGCCTCCCAAAGTGCTGGGATTACAGGTGTGAGCCACTGTACCCGGCCAGAAATGTCAAATTTTGATGAAGTCCAATTTATTTTCTGTGTTGTTGCCGGTGCTGTTGTTGTCATATCCAAGAAAACACTGCCAAATCCAATGTCCTTAAGATTTTCCCAGGTTTTATTCTGAGTCTTACAGTTTTAGCTCTTACATTTAGGTGTTTCATCCTATGTTTTTTGGGTTAATTTTTGTGTATGCTGTTAGGTAAGGGGCCAGCTTCATTCATTATTTTGCATGTGGAGATAAAGCTTTCCCAGTACCATTTGCTGAAAAGGCTGTCCTCTTCCCATTGAATGGTCTCAGAGCCTTTGTCGGAAGGTACCAGGCCACGTGTGGGACAATTTCTTGGGTCATTCTCATCGGAAGGTACCTGGTTGTTCTCGTTGGAAGGTGCCTGGTTGTTCTTGTCGGAAGACACCTGGTTGTCCTCGTTGGAAGGTACCTGGCTGCGTGTGGGACGATTTCTTGGGTCGTTGTTGTCAGAAGGTACCTGGTTGCATGTGTGGAATGATTTCTCGGGTTGTTCTCATCGGAAGGTACCTGGTTGTTCTCATCGGAAGGTACTGGTTGTTCTCGTTGGAAGGTATGTGGCCGTGTGTGGGATGATTTCTCGGGTTGTTCTCATTGGAAGGTACGTGGCTGCATGTGGGACAATTTCTCGGGTCATTTTCGTCGGAAGGTACCTGGTTGTTCTTGTCGGAAGGTACCTGGTCGTTCTCGTTGGACGGTACCTGGCCGCGTGGGGGATGATTTCTGTGGTTGTTGTTGTCAGAAGGTACCTGGTTGCATGTGTGGAATGATTTCTCGGGTTGTTCTTGTCGGAAGGTACCTAGTTCTCGTCGGAAGGTATGTGGCCGTGTGTGGGATGATTTCTCGGGTTGTTGTCATTGGAAGGTACGTGGCTGCGTGTGGGACGATTTCTCGGGCTGTTCTCGTCAGAGGTACCTGGCCGCATGCGTGGGACGATTTCTCAGGTTGTTCTCATTGGAAGGTACCTGGCCACGTGTGTGGGACGATTTATTGGGTTGTTCTCGTCGGATGGTACTTGGCCACATGTGGGACGATTTCTCTGGCCGTTCTCGTCAGAAGGTACCTAGCCGTGTGTAGGACGATTTCTCGGGTTCTTGTCGGACGGTACCTGGCCGCATGTGGGATGATTTCTCGGGTTGTTCTCATCGGACAGTACCTGGCCGTGTGTGTGGGACGATTTCTCGTGTTGTTCTCATTGGGCGGTACCTGGCCGCATGTGGGACGATTTCTCGGGTGGTTACTGTGCCCCGTTTATCTCTAGGTCTCCATGCTGCTGTGATACTGTTTTGACGAGGGAGCTTTCTTTTCTGCCACTGTGGGCCAGCTGCTGCCGTCTGTGGTATTCTTGTGTGTTGCTGATCTGAAGCTCCAAAGCTGCCATTCTCCCAAACCTTCCTGCTCAGATGAGGACCTGGGCAGTCTGAGACCTCCAAGCTGCAGTGAGAATGGCTGAGGGCCTGACCCAGCCAGGGAGGCTGCTCTGGGGACTCCAGGGTGCCTCTCCCTTCCCCCAGGCCCACAGTTGACCCAGCAGACCCACACTGAGGGCCTGGTGCGGGACTGGGGCAGCTTAGTGTCAGGGCGCAGAGCAGGCCCTGGAGAGCCAGGGGGTTGCCGTGTGGGCGCTGGCACTGGTTGCTAGTGTAAAGGCCCCACGGCCCTGACCACACAGGGACCCCAGACGTTTGGGGGAGATGGGCTCAGTGTGGTGAGGCCTTGGGACTATCTGCCAAAGACAGATGAGGTGAGGGGAACCCAGCCTTGGAAGGGTCAGGTGTGACAGACTCTGGGTCTGCAGAGGGTGCAGGCTCCACTCCAGCCGAGGCTGTCACAACCCGACCTCAGGTCACCTGTCCGCCCCAGGTGAGTGGACGTCTCTGGGAACCTGGATCCAGAGACTGGACCCCCACCATTAGGGCTCCTCTGCCTGCCAGCTGAGGGGGTCTCCCTGAGCAGGGCTGGACACTCACGGGTCAGAGCCAAGGGCTCCATGGAGTGGGCCCTCGAGGCCCCCAGCTGGGTCCAGGGGCCCCCCTATTTTTGTGACCTTGGTGGGGTACCCAGAGGTGGTAGCAGACCTGCCTTCCACAGTGACAGGCCCCCGAGGCTGGCCGAGATGGGGAGGGCAGATCACACCATGACTCCCACCCCGAGCACCCCTTCAGATGCCCAGGCCTCCGCCCCCAGGGGACTTCCTGACCACAGGCATCGGCCTGACACGTGTCGGGGCCACTGGCCCCATTGCCCCACACCGGCAGGTGGGACCCTCCGTCACACAGAACACAGGCAGCCGGGGGCTGGGCGTCTCGCACAGACTCTGTGGAGAGTTCAGACGTGAGGGAAGAAGCTGACATGCCCGATGGGAGGGCTGAGGCCCGTGATTCCGTTTATATGAAGGGTCCCGAACAGGGACCCACAGAGGCATGAGATGGATTCCCTGGGGCTAGAGGCTCTGTCTGGAAGATGGAAATGGGCTGGATGGAGGGGAGGTGGATGCACGGCCTCGGGAGCGCACTCCACACCACAAACTGTTCGCTTAATGACGGCCCTGGTCCACTTCATGCTGTGTGACTTGACCCCACATGCCCTGTGACCCCACCCCCAGGTCCCCTGGGAAGTCACAGCTGCCATCCCCAACGGAGGATGAGGGTGTCTGCTCCAGGGCTCTTGCAGGCCCTTCCCGTGGTCCCAGGACAGTGCTGCGGAGTCTCTGGGCTGTGGGTCCCATGAACGGGGTGCCCAGTCACTACTGCTGTGGGCTCCTGCCCTGCCCCCCTTGACCAGGACCTGCAGCCCCACTACGGGGTCCCCGGGAGACCAGTGGTGCACAGCTGCCCTGGGACAAGAGGAGCCTGGAGCGGGGTGAAGGAGCCCGGGAGGAGGGGCTGTGGGATTCGGGACCCACTACGGGGAGGACAGCCGCACGGGAGGGTTCCGGGCAGGGGGCATGGAGGGCTGTTGGCTCCTCAGGTCTCCCCCTTGCAGAGGCTGGGCAGGGGCACCCCGTGGCACCAGCCTTTCCCAGGCGATGGGTCCCTCGGGTTCCCACAACTGCCGCTGCCTGAGATGTCCGCCCCTGAGCTGTGCCACAGGGCTGGGCCCCACCAACAGCAGAGTCCCTGGGACAGCCCCCCGGGAAGGGCCGCCCAGGCCCCTGTGGCCGACAGCTCCGCGTGGTCGCTCCGGCAGACTTGCTGGCTCCTGGTGCGTCCCTCTGAGGCCCTGTCTGTCCCTCCACAGACACAGGGCGCCCTGTTTCCCCGGGAGCTGGAACACGGGCCCTCTGTTGGCACCTGGGCTGGCTGTCCCCCCCGGGCAGGCCGAGGGGGGGCTCCACACAGACCCACACTGTGCCTACCGCAGCCGCCCTCCTCGGCCTGAACCACCGTGTTGTCCCCACTGGGGCCCCCCACAGTGGCTCAGCCGTGGGCATCATGGCTCCAGGTGCCGTGGATGGAGGCAGGGGGAAGGGGTGGGTGGGGGAACCGCCCCCCCAGGCTGGGGGAGAGGGGAGGGCCTCTGTCCTATGGTGGGGCCCACTTCTGACTTCTCCCAGGACCCAGCCTCACAGCGTCCTGGGTGGGGGACGTTGCCCCAGAGCTTTGCCTCCTTCCGGCAGGGCTGGCACCCCTGCTCATTCCCATTTACTCCAAGTATTGCCGCAGCAGACACTGGAAGGGTCGCCAGGCAAAGCACCACCCATTCACCTCTCCATCAAGCTCCCGCTCGGTCACCCGCTGCCCCAGCATCAGAGTGTGGGCTGGGGGCACGGCCACCGCCAAGGGGAGGGAGGTACAAGAACTTCTTCATTTAAACAGTGTGTTTTCGAGTAAGCTGGTAAGTGGTATAATAGGAATAGTAGAAGAATATGCCATAGCTATGGCTCAAGAATAGGAATAAGAAAAATGTGCAGTAGACGCTGTTTGTCCGACGATGATGAAAGTGTGCACGGCCGGCTGTCCTCCGATTGAGGGGCCTTGTCAAGGCCTCAGAGGCAGCGAGGTCACAGCCTGGTGGAGGGTCTGGGTGTGCGCTGTGTCCATCTGCACCTCACAGACACCAGTCATGGGGGGATGAAACCGGGCCAAGAACACATGTGTGCACAGGCTGTGTGTGCCTGCATGTGTGGGATGCGTGTAGGCTGTGGCGGGGGTGGAGATGAGGGATAGGACAGAAAATGGCCCATCCAACCCCACATCCTGGCCGGGCGTGTCCAGGTCCCTGTGGGGCGAGGGTTTGGCTGCCCCAGACGTGACAGGGACTTGGCTCTGAGGGTCAGGACCTGGCTGGGAACACACCATTGAAGAGGGAACAGAAACCAGGCCCTGGGACGCTAGAGACCCCAAGAGCTACCTGGCTGGGTCTATGGTCAGGGCTGTAGTGGAGGAAGGTGTCAGGATGGCCATTGTCTCAACTCCTGTGGGCGGCACAGCCCCAGGCTGGGCCTCTGGGAGGAGGGTGGGATGGATGGGAGATCAGAGCCCCTGGCGCCTGGGACAAGGGTTGGCCTGGATGTGGGGCCCCAGGTGGGCAGGGCCTGGGAGCCGCCACAGTATGTGACAACAGACCCCACCCTGGACCCCCGTGCTGGGGGCTGGGTCCCACCGCTCTCCTCTCCACGTCTCTCTTGGCGATGCCCAGCTTGGGCTGGGCGCAGGGAAGGGCAAACGTTGCTGAGCCGCCGAGGGGCTGGGTCTTCGCCTTTATTTCTGGTGCACGTCTAGAGGGGCCCGGGCAGAGGCCACCCACGGTCCCTGAAGTAGGGCCTCAGCTCCTCCAGGCTGAGCGGAGGGAAGTAGGCTCCGATCCTCTTCCGCACCCACCACTTGCCCTCGGCGGCGTGCCTGCCCCCAGGACGGCTGAACTTGTACCTGTAGTGCTCTCCTCGGACCCACCTGCAAGGGGGCACATGTCAGCCCAGGGCCTGCTGGGACTCCCGGCCCCCGACCCGGCTCCTCAGCCTGCTGCTGAGCTGCAGCTGCTCACAGGGTCCCCCACGGACAGAGGGGCTGCATGAGGAGCCCCCACCCTGAGCACAGGTAGACCCCCAGCAGACCCCGGGCAGGGCAACTGTTCCAGTCGGCACCCTCAGCAGTGAACAGCGCAGCAAGGGGGAAGGGCGGACGGGGGGCAGCTCCGGGAGGGGAGACCCAGCAGGGCCCACTTGGCAGAGGGACCGGCCCGGGGAAGGCCAGGAGCTTCACGGGTGGCACTGAGCAAGCCTGAGACCGTTCACAAGGCCCCAGTTTGAGCCCCAAGTGTCCCCCGCCTGGGAAGGTGGGGAGAGGAACCTACTGCTCATGGTGTGGCGTCTCCACCATCAGGCCAGTCCTGGCGCAAGGTGCCTGGGGGTTTCGGTCCACGGGGCAGTCCGAGGCTGTGAGGGAGCCAGGCCGGGACCTGTTTCCTGAGGGCGGAGCCTCTGCTTCCCAGGGCTTCAGGCCCTTCCCTGCCTGAGACGTGCAGATGCTGGCTGGCTGCTCTCCTCTGTCATGCCCGAGTGGGATGAAGGCCCCCACCCCCATCTCCCCTGGAGCAGGGTAGCGGGCAGGTCTCTCTGCTGAGCCCTGTATAAGGTCCCGCCTGACCCCTGGTGACCAGGCCTGGTTTAGGCCATACTGGGTCTTGGTCCCTGGCTGGCAAGCCCTCACTGGACTCTCGGAGGACTGGGCATTTTCTCCTGGGGGTGGGACGAAGCCCCCTCATGTCCAGGGTTGCTCGGCTGCCCCGGAGGAGGAGGCGCCAGGAGGAATTGTCACCGTCACAAGCTCCCGGCCCTCCAGGCCCCTTCGCAGTTGTGCAGCAGGAGCGGAAGCTTCTCAGCCCACAGGGCGGCTGCTGCCTGGCTGGGATCCATGGCAGAGCTGGGCCCCAGCTGCCCGGTGGGTGTGATGGTGCAGCCATAACAGGACCCTCTCATGGCCCCTGGAATGAGCCCAGGCAGGTGCCAGAGGCTTCACACTGCACCAGGGCCCGGTAGCGACTGTCTGGGCTGCTGTCATTATTTGGGGCTTCTGGTGACCTGCACACAGCTGTGCTCTGGGGGCTGGGGGTGGAGACCTTGGGCCATGCCCCTTAGGCTGGCAGGGTGAGGGCCTCTGGGTCCACCCGGCTCCTCCTGGCTTTGAGTCTCTTTGGGTCTGGGTGTGTGATGGATGATGATTCTTCTCTCCCCAAGTCTGAATTACGCCAGGAAAACCGGGAAGACAGAGACCCTCTGGGTGGAGGAGGGTCCCTGAGGCGCCTGATGGGAGAGAGGGATCAGCAGCTCCAAGAGGAGTGGGGTCGGGCCTTTGGAAAACCTCCCGGGCAGCCAAGACTGAGGGTGATGCTGGCAGTTGGTGGCTCCCGTCCACTCCAGGAGGGCACTGCCCACTGCCCTGGGCCCCAGGGGTCTTTCCTGGACCCCTTGGGCCTGAGGCTGCCATGGTTTTCCTTGGCTATAAGGACGGCAGCGGCCAGCATGGGGACTGAGGCCAGGTGGTGCCAGGCAGAGAAGTCACACTGGACCCCGAGGTCGACCTCTGAGCAGCTCAGCAGCAGACTGAAGGGACGGGCTGGAATGCGGCCGTGAGGGCGCTGGGCTGTGCGGGCAGCATGGTCCCTGCACACTCTCCTGGGCCTTGCTAGGGCAATGCAGTCCCCAGGCAGGCCCACCCTCTCCCAAACCCTGCATTTAGTGAGGCCGGGAGGGTGGGGATCCTGGGAAGGCCTCCTGCAGTGGGATTGCCCATCTTTCCCAAATTCCTGCTCTTGCTTTCTGCTCCTTCCCAGGACAGGGTCAAGGCCTAGGGGGCCCAGGGCCTGGTCTCTGACATCAAGAGCTGGAACTGCAGTTTGGAAAGGGTTTTGGAAAGGGTCAGAACCCTCTGTGCCAACTGGCAGGTTGGTGGGAAGGGGCCCCAGGCCCCAGCGGCCTGAAGGGTTGCATTTCATTCCTGCAGACAAAGTACCCGAGAAGGCCATGGCACCGCCCCGGAGGGCTTGAGAGTGTTGAAAATAGGGGATCTCCCAGCCCTTTTGAAATAGACCCTACTGGCAACAGCTGGGCATCTTGCACAGCTATAGTAGGGATTGCAGCCAGGGCCTGACACTGAGGCCACAGACACGGGTCCCATCCACGCCCGGACCCCCGTGTCCTTCCACACCCTCCCCGACCTTCGGCCTCCTTGTGTGATTTCAAGAACGTATGATTTCAAGAATGAGTGGAACCCTGCGGCACGTACCCGCGGGGCAGGCGATTCTCACGCCAATTCTCAGGTTCCGCCAGGTCGTGTGATGGAGGCTTCCTTCCTCCTCGTCGCTGACCGGCGTCTGCGGCGTGAGTGCACCCTAGTTTGTGCGGTCGCTCTCTTGTGGAAGGACAGCTGAGCTCTTTGCAGTTTTTGTCTGTGACGGCTGCCGTAAACCTCTGCACGGGTTTCTGCGTGAACCTGGGTTTCAACTCTCTGGCTTAAACGTCCATGGAAGCAGCTGCTGAGTCCACTGCAACTTCGGGTGTCCTTTTTGAGGAGCCATTTTACCCTCCCAGCAACAGCCGAGTGACTCGATTTCTTGGTATCTTTGCCAGCATGTGGGGTTGTTGCTACTTTTATTCCAGCCGTTTTGATGGGTGTGCAGTGGTGTCACGGGACGGGTGTGAGTGGTGTCTCGGGACGGGTGTGAGTGGTGTCACCGGACGGGTGTGAGTGGTGTCTCGGGACGGGTGTGAGTGGTGTCACGGGACGGGTGTGAGTGGTGTCACGGGACGGGTGTGAGTGGTGTCTCGGGACGGGTGTGAGTGGTGTCACGGGACGGGTGTGAGTGATGTCACGGGACGGGTGTGAGTGGTGTCACGGGACGGGTGTGAGTGGTGTCACGGGACGGGTGTGAGTGGTGTCTCGGGACGGGTGTGCGTGGTGTCTCGGGACGGGTGTGCGTGGTGTCTCGGGACGGGTGTGCAGTGGTGTCTCGGGACGGGTGTGCGTGGTGTCTCGGGATGGGTGTGCGTGGTGTCTCGGGATGGGTGTGAGTGGTGTCTCGGGATGGGTGTGAGTGGTGTCTCGGGATGGGTGTGCGTGGTGTCACGGGATGGGTGTGCAGTGGTGTCTCGGGATGGGTGTGCGTGGTGTCTCGGGATGGGTGTGCGTGGTGTCTCGGGATGGGTGTGCGTGGTGTCTCGGGATGGGTGTGCGTGGTGTCTCGGGATGGGTGTGAGTGGTGTCTCGGGATGGGTGTGAGTGGTGTCTCGGGATGGGTGTGCAGTGGTGTCTCGGGATGGGTGTGAGTGGTGTCTCGGGATGGGTGTGAGTGGTGTCTCGGGATGGGTGTGAGTGGTGTCACGGGATGGGTGTGAGTGGTGTCTCGGGATGGGTGTGCGTGGTGTCACGGGATGGGTGTGAGTGGTGTCTCGGGATGGGTGTGCGTGGTGTCACGGGATGGGTGTGAGTGGTGTCACGGGATGGGTGTGCAGTGGTGTCTCGGGATGGGTGTGCAGTGGTGTCTCGGGATGGGTGTGCAGTGGTGTCTCGGGATGGGTGTGAGTGGTGTCTCGGGACGGGTGTGCAGTGGTGTCTCGGGACGGGTGTGAGTGGTGTCTCGGGACGGGTGTGAGTGGTGTCACGGGACGGGTGTGAGTGGTGTCACGGGACGGGTGTGAGTGGTGACTCGGGACGGGTGTGCAGTGGTGACTCGGGACGGGTGTGCGTGGTGTCTCGGGACGGGTGTGCAGTGGTGTCTCGGGACGGGTGTGCAGTGGTGTCTCGGGACGGGTGTGAGTGGTGTCTCGGGACGGGTGTGAGTGGTGTCTCGGGACGGGTGTGCAGTGGTGTCTCGGGACGGGTGTGCAGTGGTGTCTCGGGACGGGTGTGAGTGGTGTCACGGGACGGGTGTGAGTGGTGTCACGGGACGGGTGTGAGTGGTGTCTCGGGACGGGTGTGAGTGGTGTCTCGGGACGGGTGTGACTGGTGTCACGGGACGGGTGTGCAGTGGTGTCACGGGACGGGTGTGAGTGGTGTCTCGGGACGGGTGTGAGTGGTGTCACGGGACGGGTGTGAGTGGTGTCACGGGACGGGTGTGAGTGGTGTCTCGGGACGGGTGTGCAGTGGTGTCTCGGGACGGGTGTGCAGTGGTGTCACGGGACGGGTGTGCAGTGGTGTCACGGGACGGGTGTGCAGTGGTGTCACGGGACGGGTGTGCAGTGGTGTCACGGGACGCGTGTGCAGTGGTGTCACGGGACGGGTGTGAGTGATGTCACGGGACGGGTGTGAGTGGTGTCACGGGACGGGTGTGAGTGGTGTCTCGGGACGGGTGTGCAGTGATGTCTCGGGACGGGTGTGCACTGATGTCACGGGACGGGTGTGCAGTGGTGTCTCGGGACGGGTGTGAGTGGTGTCTCGGGACGGGTGTGAGTGGTGTCTCGGGACGGGTGTGCAGTGGTGTCACGGGACGGGTGTGCAGTGGTGTCACGGGACGGGTGTGAGTGGTGTCTCGGGACGGGTGTGAGTGGTGTCTCGGGACGGGTGTGCAGTGTTGTCACGGGACGGGTGTGCAGTGGTGTCTCGGGACGGGTGTGCAGTGGTGTCTCGGGATGGGTGTGCAGTGGTGTCTCGGGAGGGGTGTGCAGTGGTGTCTCGGGACGGGTGTGAGTGGTGTCACGGGACGGGTGTGAGTGGTGTCTCGGGACGGGTGTGAGTGGTGTCTCGGGACGGGTGTGCAGTGTTGTCACGGGACGGGTGTGAGTGGTGTCTCGGGACGGGTGTGCAGTGATGTCACGGGACGGGTGTGCAGTGGTGTCTCGGGACGGGTGTGCAGTGGTGTCTCGGGACGGGTGTGCAGTGGTGTCTCGGGACGGGTGTGCGTGGTGTCTCGGGACGGGTGTGCAGTGGTGTCTCGGGACGGGTGTGCAGTGGTGTCTCGGGACGGGTGTGCAGTGGTGTCTCGGGACGGGTGTGCAGTGGTGTCTCGGGATGGGTGTGAGTGGTGTCTCGGGATGGGTGTGCAGTGATGTCACGAGATGGGTGTGAGTGGTGTCTCGGGATGGGTGTGAGTGGTGTCACGGGATGGGTGTGCAGTGGTGTCTCGGGATGGGTGTGAGTGGTGTCTCGGGATGGGTGTGCAGTGGTGTCACGGGATCGGTGTGAGTGGTGTCACGGGATGGGTGTGCAGTGATGGTACCGGATGGGTGTGCAGTGGTGTTATGGTGGTTTTTGCTTCTCTAATGACAGGCATTTCTCCTGAGCTTATCTGTCATCTGTGCACCTTCTTTGGTGAAACGTCTCTGTGCTCATTTTCTAATAAGATTATTTTAGTATTAAGTTATGAAACTTCTTTACATATTCCAGATTTTAGACTATTGTCAGATACGTGACTTGCAAATATTTTCTGTCTGTAGCTTAAAAATTATCTTTGTTCTCTTAACAGGTCTTTTTATGGAGCAAATGCTTTTAATTTTAATGAATTTCAATTAATTTTTCCTTTCACAGATCATCTTTAAGTATAATGACTCTGCCTGGCCCTAGATCCCAAAGATTTTCTTCTATTTTTTCCTGAAAGTTTTTTTTTTTTTGAGATGGGCTCTCGCTCTGTTGCCCAGGCTGGAGTGTGGTGGTGTGATCTCGGCTCACTGCAACCTCTGCCTCCCAGGCTCAAGTGATCCTCCCACCTCAGCCTCCCGAGTAGCTGGGACTACAGGCATGTGCCACCAGGCCCTGCTAATTTTTTGTGTTTTTAGTAGAGACGGGGTTTTGCCACGTTGCTCAGGCTGGTCTCAAACTCCTGAGGTCAAGCAATCTGCCCACCTTGGCCTCCCAAAGTGCTGGGATTACAGATGTGGGCCACCATGCCTGGCCCTGAAAGTTGATTGTCTTATGCTTTACGTTGAAGTCCAGGATCCGTTTTGAGTTATTTTTGTGTGGGGTGAGACGTGGGTCGAAGATTTTGTTTTTGTCCATGGAATTGCTTTTGCGCTTTTGTAAAAAAAACTCATCCGGGCATGTTTGTTTGGGTCTCTTTGTGGGTTCTCTGTTGTGTTCCATGGAATTGCATGTCTGTCCCTCTGTCAATACTACACTGTGTTGACTACTGTAGTTCTGTGTCTTGAAACTGGGTAGATTGATTCGTTCCACCTTGTTCTCTTTCAAAATGGTTTTAGCTATTTTTGCTCCTTTACATTTCCATAGAAAACTTGGGATGACTTGTCCTTACCTATTAACACATCTTGCTGGGTTTTTTTTTTAATAGGAATTGCATTAAACCTGTCCATCAATCTGGAAGGACCTGTCATCTCCACGTTGTTGTATCTTCCAACCCACGAACGCGGCCGTGTCTCTAGGTGTGTGCTGACGTCTTTCAGCAGCATTGCTGAGTTTTCAGCATGTAAGTTCTGTGCATGTTTTGTCAGGTTTATACCTAAGTATTTCGCTTTTTGGAGTGGTTTTAAGTGGTTCTGCGTATTTAATTTAGGTGTCTGTGTGTTCATTGCTAGCGTACAGGAATACTATTGAATCATTTAGGTTGATCTTGTGTCTTCTGACTTTGCTGAACTCACTTATTAATTTTCTTTCTTTTTTTTTTTTTTTTTTTTTGAGATGGAGTTTCACTCTGTCGCCCAGGCTGGAGTGCAGTGACGCAATCTCAGCTCACTGTAACCTCTGCCTCCCCGGTACAAGCAATTCTCCTACCTCAGCCTCCTGAGTAGCTGGGATTACAGGCATGCGTCACCACACCTGGCTAATTTGAATTTTTTTTTAGTAGAGACAGGGTTTCTCTATGTTAGGCTGGTCTTGAACTCCCGACCTCAGGTGACTGGCCTGCCTTGGCCTCCCACAGTGCTGGGATTGCAGGTGTGAGCCGCTGCGCCCGGCCTCGCTTCATAATTCTAGGAGTGTTTTTGGTGGATACCTTGGGATTTCCTACAAAGACAACGGCGTCATCTGTAAACAGGCAGTTTCGTTTCTTCCTTTGTGATCGACACGCCTTTTCTTTCCTTGTCCTGCGTACTGCAGTGCCCAGCGCTTCCAGCACCATGCCGGATCCGATGGTTAGAGCAGACGTCCTTTCTTGTTCCGGATCTGAATGGTGAAGGGTGATTCCTTGCCCTCGAGGAGAATGCTGGCTGCAGGGCTTGTACAGATGCTCTTTATCCAGCGGAGGAAGTTCCTCTCCTTCTCTGTTTTTCCAAGTTTAAATCATGAATAGATGTTAAACTTGTCACGGGCCTTCCCAACACTGACAGATGTGATCGTGTGAGTTATCTTCGGTAGCTGGTAACGTGTGGATCTCATCGACTGATTCTCAAATACGGAACCAACCTTCATCCCTGGAATAATCCCTACTTGGTCATGGCATAGAATTCTTTGTTATATATTGGCAAATTCTATTTAGTAATTTTTTTTTTTTTTTTGAGGCAGAGTCTCACTCTGTTGCCGAGGCTGGAGTGCAGTGGCACCATCTCTGCTTACTGCAACCTCCACCTGCCGAGTAGTTGGGATTATAGGCAGCCACCACCATGCCCAGCTAATTTTTGTATTTTTAGCAAAGATGGGGTTTCACCATGTTGGCCAGGCTGGTCTTGAACTCCTGACCTCAGGTGATCTGCTCGCCTCGGCCTCCCAAAGTGTTGGGATTACAAGTGTGAGCCATTGTGCCCAGTCTATTTAGTAATATTTTGTTAAAAAATTTTGTGTCTATATCACTGAGGGATATTGGCTTGTAATATTATTTTCTTGTATTATCTTTGTGTGGTTTTGGTATCAGAGAACCACTAGCTTCATAAAATAAATTGAGGCTGGGTACAGTGGCTCATGCTTGTAATCCCAGCACTTTGGGAGGCTGAGGTGGGAGGACTGCCTGAGCCCAGGAGTTTGGGACCAGCCAGGGCACCATGGCAAGATCCTGTCTCTACAAAAACTAAAAAAATTAGTGAGGCGTGGTGGTGTGGGCCTGTGGTCCCAGCTACCTGGGAGGCTGAGGCGGGAGGATAATTTGAGCTGAGGAGGTCGAGGCTACAGTGAGCCATGTTTGTGCCATTGCACTCCAGCCTGGGTGACAGAGAGTGAGAACCTGTCTCAAAAAATAAATAAATAAATAAATAAAACGTAAATTGATGCTTTTCCTTCTCTTCTATTTTCTGGGAAATTAATCTTAGAATTCTCCAGTGAAACCATCTGAGCCTGGATATTTCTTTTTGGAGTTTAAAATGACAAATTCAATTTCTAGTTATAGGGCTATTTAAATTATTATTTCATACCAGGTGAGTTGTGGTAGTTTGTGTTTTTTGAGGAATTGGTCTATTTCATCCAAGTTATAAAATTTATGTATGTAGATGTTTGTCGTAGTCGCTTATTATCCTTTTCAGATTGCAGGGTCTGTAGTGATATCTCTTTTTCGTTTCGAGACAGAATCTTGTGGTGTCGCCCAGGCTGGAGTGCAGTGCTGCAGTCTCGGCTCGAGCAATTCTCGTGTTTCAGCCTCCCAAGTAGCTGGGACTACAGGCACCTGCCACCACGCCCAGCCAAGTTTTTGTATTTTTAGTAGAGACCGGGTTTCACCATGTTGGCCATGCTGGTCTTGAATTCCTGAGTTCAGGTGATCCACCCGCCTTGGCCTCCCAAAGTGCGGTGATTTCAGGCATGAGCCACCACACCCAACCTCTTTTTTCATCTTTGATATTGGCAATCGTATCTTCTCCTTTTGTTATTCTTACTAGAGGGTTGCTGATTTTATTGGTCTTTTAAAAGAACCATCTCTTTGTTTCAATAAGTTTCTCTATTGTTTGTTTTCAGTTTCATTTTCTGCTTTTTACTATTTTCTTACTGCTCCTTGCTTTAAATTTTTTCCTAGTTATTCATGTGATCTTGAGCTAGATTATTATTATTTTTTAAGCGATGGGGTCTTCCTGTGCTGCCTGATGCCAAGAGGCTGGCGTTAACGTCCTGGGTTCACACAGTCCTCCCACCTCAGCCTCCTGAGTAGCTGGGACTACAGGTGCTTCCACGGCATCCAGCTGATGTCAGATTATTGATTTGAGATCCTTCCTCTTTCTAAAATCTCAGGTCTCTTTTCTAATGTATGCATTTGGTGCTTTCTCTCTCATCACTAGTTTAACTACATCCCAGAAAATGTGACATGTCATTCAGTGCAATGGGTGGCATATTCTATAAACATCATTAGGCCCTGCCTGTCGATGATGGTGCTCCTTTATGTTCTTGCTGAATTTCCATCTAGTTATTCTACCTATTGTTGAAAGAAGGGTGTTGAAACATCCAGCCGTAATTGTTGATTTGTCGAGCTCTCCTTTCAGTTCTTTTTCTTCACATGTTTTGCAGATCTGTGCTTAGTGCACACACTTAGGATTGCTACATCTGTTTGGCAGGTTGATTCTTTTCTCATTGTCCGTCTTTGTCTCCAATAATTTTTGCACTGAGGTCTACTTTGAGGTTAATACAATGAATCCTTTATTTTCATTAATAGTCACATATTTTTTTCTATCCTTTTACTTTCAACCTGCCTATACAGAGGGTCCCTAACTTATGAGAGTTCCACTGACAGTTTTTCAGCTTTACAATGGTGCGAGGGATACGCACTCGGTAGGAACCGCACTGTGAGTGCCCAGACAACTATCCTGTTTTCACTTCCATACAGTATTCAGTAAATGACATATTCAACACTGTATTACAAAACAGGCCTGTGCTAGGTGATTTTGCCCAGTGTAGTCTAATGTAAGTGTTCTGAGCACGTTTAAGGTAGTAGGCTAGGCTGAGCTACGACGGATGTTTGGTAGGTGTATTAAACTCATTTTTGACTTACATTTTCAACTTATGCTGCATTTATCAGGGCATAAGCTCATTATGCATATATTTAAGTTACTATCTTTTTTTTTTTTTTTTGAGATAGGGTCTTGTGTCGCACAGGCTGGAGTGCAGTGGCATGTCTTGGGTCACTGTAGCCTCAGCTTCCCGAGTAGCTGGGATTACAGGCATGCACCACCATGCCTGGCTAATTGTTGTATTTTTAGTAAAGAGGGTTTTGCCATGATGGCCAGGCTGATTTTGAACTCCTGACTTCAAGTGATACACCTGCCTCAGCTCCCAAAGTGCTGACATTACAGGAGTGAGCCACTGCACCTGGCCAATCTTTATCTCTTAATTGGCTTATTTAGACCATTTACATTGAATATACAGTCGGTCATTTTACTTCTTCCCATCTGTTCTGTTTCTGATTTCTTTGTTTTTCCCAACCTGCTTTCCTATGGGTTATGTAAGTGTTTTAGAATTCCATTTTGATTTGTCAATAGTGTGTTCCAATGTATCTCTTAGTATAGGTTGTTTTTTACTGGCTGTTCTTGGCACGTAACTTACAGTCTACTGATGTCATTTTACCACTTCAAGTTAAGCATAGAAACCTCACCTCTATGTCCATTTGCCCTCATCCATTTATAGTTATCTTAACTACTTCCTCTACATAAACTTTGAACTACTTCAGACAGTTTTATAGCCTTTGCTTAACCATCCAACATGATTGGAACTCAAGAGAAGGAACGTCTATTGTATTTACCCATGTCTTTTCTTTTTTCTTTTGAGATTGAGTCTCGCTCTGTTGCCCAGGCTGGAGGGCAACGGTGTGATCTCGGCTCACTGCAACCTCTGCCTCCCAGGTTCAAGCAATTCTCCTGCTCAGCTTCCTGAGTAGCTGGGATTACAGGCGTGTGGCACCATACTCGCTCATTTTTTATTTTTGTAGAGACGAGACTTCACCATGTTGGCCAGGCTGGCAATGTTTTATTATCTCTGGTTTTTAGAAATTTGACTTTGATGTGTTTAGGTTTGAATTTCTTTGGGTTTTTCCTATTTAGGGTTTGCTCAGTTTATTGACTCGGTAGGTTTGTCCGTTTTGCCAAATTTGGGAAGTTTTCAGTTCTTATTTCTCCAAGTACATTTTCAGCCCTAAAGCTCACTCTGTCTTCCTCCTAGGACTCTGATGACATGAATTCTGGATCTTCTGTTACAGTCTCAGTCCCACAGATCCCTGGGGCTCTTGCTGTTTTTCCCCGTCTATGTCCTCTCACTTGTTCCCACTGGGTACTTTCTATGTTTAAGTTTATTGATTCTTTCCTCTGTCCTCACCATTCAGATGTCGAGTGTTTTGTGTCAGTTATATTTTTCACTTCTAAACTTTTCATTTGGTTCTTTAAAAAACCGATTTCTTTGCTGAGGCTGTATTTTTTATCAGTTGTGTTCATAATTACTGCATGCGTTTTCGACGGCTGCATTCACATCTCTGTGAAGTCACTCTAATACCTCCCTCATCTTGGTGCTATCATCTGTCGACTGTCCTTTTTCACCAATGTCTTCCTGTTTCCTGCTGTGACAAGTAATTTTTCCACTGAAAACTGAACATTTTGTGTATTAGGAGATTTTGGATCTTATTTAAACCTTCTGCTTTAGATGACTTCTTCTGACCTCATGCTGGTAGAGACAGGGGTATTACCTTGCTCCTGCCAGGTTGGGGTAGAACTCCAGTGGACGCATTGGGAGTATTCCTTGTTGTTTCTGGGTAGGGTGGGAGTCGTGGCTCTGCACTAGGCCTCCATGACACTATGGCGGGGGTGGCCTAGTCATTGCTGGCTGGGTGGTGGTGAAGGTCCTGACTTTCTGGTAGCTATTACGTAATACCACTCTGGAGGGGAGGAGCCCTTCAGTACTGCCAGGGGTTGGGGGAGTCCAGGCTCCTCGTGTGGTCTCCACTGATACCACAGAAGCGGGGGATCCTTCCTGCCCACTTGGATGAAAATCTCAGCTTCCTATTTGGCCTCCTCTGGTAGCATCCCAGTGAGCCGTTTGGAGGAGAGTCCAGGCTCCCTACTCCATACCTTGCTGGTGTGGGTGGGGCCATGGTTTTTTCTGTGGTGTTGCCTGGAGTGGTGATTATTTTATGTAAATTTCCTGTCTTGCTAGGCTGCTCTTTTCTGGCCCTTTAGTCAGAGAGAGCAGATTTTTGTTGAGGTGTTTCTTGTCTGCATCTGCTGGCATTACTGGGTTTCCAGTTTCCTCACCCCCAAGTCTAGAAAATGAGGCCGAAAGCAAGCCTAGGCGATCACCACCATTTTGGGGCTGTGGCTCCGTCCCGAGGGCCCTGCTGGTGGCTCTCTTCTCTCACCTTCGGTCTTCCTGTTTTATGTATAACGTCCAGGGATCTTGGTTGCACTTAGTGGGAGGAACAGGGGTAAGTGTCTGTTCCATCTTCCAGTTTTAAAGTCGATGATGAACTCAATGCAGGCCCACGGTTAGCCACAGCCTGTCATGGTACCACCTGCTCCAGCTGCCAAACATGTGTATCATGGAGACGGGAGAGATGTGCCGTGTGGCAGTGTTCAATAATGTTTTCCCTAAATGTTAACTCATTACTGGTTCACATAAAATAGTTACTGCTTTTCACACTTGGTTTTCACAGTATCCATCCTTTCAGGTAGACTTTGGGACTCATGGATGGACCTGAAGCTGCTCTGACATGATTACTTTTTCCAGCACCTCCTGGCTGAGAAACAGATGATCCGACTGTGTGCTTGGCCAGAAGAGGCTTCCGTCACGACCTGACGATGGCAAACCTTCCTCTGGGCCAGCTCCAGGGTCCCCAGGCACCGAGGAGGCTGCGATCTGGGGTGGGGGCTGGGGGGCTCTGAAGGCTGCTGAGACGGGGCAGTAACAGAGAAGACCCGTATTGAGCCTCGAAGGACGAGCTCTGGGGCCTGGTCCCCAGTGAGCCAGGGGAACGGCCGCCTGTCCGGGCTCCAAGGTCTCAGGCTCCCAGGGCTGCTGGTGGCCACGTGGCAGGCAAGTCACCTGGAGCTTGATGCCAATTCACAGGAAGGTGGCCCTGAGGGCGCCAGCTAGGAGGGCGGCCACCCCACCGGGGGCTCTGGGATGGAGCCTCCCCTGGACTGCCTGAGGCCGGGCCCATGAGGAGGGACCCCATAGCCCCTCTGCCCCAGCTCCCTGTGATACCCGTGCTGGGGAAGCAGCCCTGGAAGCATCGCTTGGCCGGGAGCACCTGCCTGGGCTGCCAGACTCGGGCCCAGCTGCTCCACTGCCTCTGTGGACCTCGGCGCCCCTCCCATCCCCGCCCTCCGGCTCCTTGGCTGGGGTCTCCAGGCAGCTGTGAGCAACTCCAGAGGGTGCAGCTGTCCCAGCTCCCGAGTGTTCTTGGAGGGAAAATCCAGAGCTGTGTTTTCCGTCAGAATCGGCGGCTGATGGCGCAGGGGAGGGGTGGGCAGTCCAGACTCTGCTCTGTTCCTGCTACCTCCAGGGGGCTGCTCAATCCCAACCATGTGGGGCAGGGGATACAAACGCTTGTCAGAGTGGCCGCCCCAGGTCTGGTCACGTGGACGTCTCCAATCCTCCATGCTCTGCCCCACCCTGGGCCCCACCCCACACTGTCCTCAGATCCCCTCCCGTACCCCAGCGGGGCCCCATCCCTGCCTCCTGCTCCTCTTCTGAAGGCCCCAGCTCTCCCCAAAACCTTGTCCTCTGGTCACAATGCTCAGGGTCCTTAGTGTCTCCCTGTGCACCCCAGCTCCCCTGCGTGGAGTCTGGAAAGTCATCCCTGGTATGGAGAGGAGGGTGACTTCCCCCATGGCTACCACCTCTGGCTCCTGAGAATCTGACCCTGCGGGGCTCCCTCCTTGGAATGTCACCACGTCACTGGCCGGAGTGGGCGAGGCTGCAGGGCCCACAGGGCTCTCACTGCAGTCCCCTGCCCAGTTCACCATGGACCCCTGGGGCTCCTGGAGTGAGGGCCCTGCCTGTCCTTCTTGCCTCTCCAGGCCAGGAGCAGAGGTGGCACCTAGAGGACACCTCAACAAAGCTGTGAGCCGGGGTCACCCTGCCCAGAGCAGCTGTCCTGGGCTCCTCTCACCACGGCTGGTTTGGTTTGAGGTGGGCTATGAGGCAGGGGTGGGACCAGCCTTGATGCCAAGGCTGATGTGGGGCGGGGGGGGGGGGCCCTTTTTGCTCCCAGCAGGCCCCACCTCCTGCCTCTGCGGGAGGGAAGGGGCGCTTCCCGTGAGCAGGTGGGGGTGCAGGTACAGGTGGTGGGATCCCAGCAGACACCTGGATTTGGGGGAGACCCCTGAGCAGCGGCAGGGAGGGCATCCTACCTGGGCGGGGGCCTGCCCGCGAAGGGGTTGTGTGCCAGCAGGGACAAGGCCTCGGCGTCGCTGGCCAGGAGCTTGCCAGCCAGGTGGATGATCCAGTCGTTGTGCTCGTAGGTCTGGGAGGAGAGGTCGGGCTGGAGACGGCTGTGCCACTCGCTGTCCAGGCACAGCCCCTCCGGACGCTCGGCTGTGCCCTCCACTCCCTCCTGAGGCTTTCCTGGAGGTGGGTTCCCTGGGCAGCCGCACTCCAGCTCTTTGGCTGGGGTCCCCTTAAGGGGCTGCCTGCTTCGTGTAGCCCTGACCACTCATTCCCATGTCGGCCGCTGGCTTCGCTCCCCTGGCTGGGTGCCTTGGAGCCTGTCCACCCCAGCACCCTCTGTCTGGGCCTTGCCTCCCTGAGGCTCAGTTTTCTGGTGGCTGAGACGGGACCGGGAGGACAGAAACAGCAGCTCTGTCCATGGGTGCCTCTGCTACCCCCAGCCCTGGGGATTCCTTCTTTCCTGTTCGCTGAGACAGGGTCTGGCTCCGTCCCCCAGACTGGAAGGCAACGCTGCCATCATTTGAGGCTGCAGCGGTTGGGCTCAATCGATCCTTCCTCCTCCTGCGTAGCTGAAACCACAGGCGCCACCCTCAGCTGCTGGCTAACTTTTGTATTGTTCGTAGATACAGGGTCTCGCTATGGCACCCGGGCTGGGATTCCTGGCATGAGACACTACCTGGCAGACCCGGGGGGACGGTGGGGCTGGGCTCCCACATGAGGCCCCTCCTAAGGCTGGGCCTGGATGTCGTGTGGGCTCAGTTCTCAGCTCAGGCAGGATCCCATCTCTCCCAGCCTCCCTCCCCACCAGCCCCTTCAGTGGGCGTTCTAGAAACCTGCCATCTATGGGCAGAAGAGGGTGGGGTACAGGCAGGTCCATGCGCCCGCCAGGGACCGTCCCCCACCTGGAAGGCCGCGAACCACATCAGCCAGTCCAGGCGGTAGTGGTACGGGGAGATGAGGCAGGGCCGTCTGCTGGGGTCACCTGGCTTGCACTTGAACTCGTAGTCCTCCCACATGGCATCGGGGGCGCTGGCGTTGGAGCTGGCTGTGCCCTGCAGGATCACCTCCGCCCGCTCCTTGGTGATGCTGCCGGGAGACCGAGGCAGGCCAGGCCCACGTCACACACCGGCTGGGCCGAGTGGGGTGCATGGGTGGGGGGGGTTCCCCGACTGTCCATCCTGGCCCAGGGGGAGGGCTACAGCCTCCACCTGCCTCCTGGTCAGGGGCTACTGAGAGGCTGGGTGGGGCTGAGGAGAACTTTTGGGAACTGTGGCCCCAGGGTCTCATTCGAGAACACCTTCTCTGCCCGTGAAGACCCAGCTGCAGCCGCCATGTGCCCCATGCCCCTCGGCAGCTCAGGGTGGACATGAGGGGGACAGAGGCCAAGGGGCTGGCCCCAGGACAGGGAGGGTGCCTGTGTTCAGGTGGCACTACCTGGCATTCCCACGCAGGGGGTTGGGGCCTGGTGGCCTCTCCCTTACGCCCCCAGTAGGCATTCCAGGGCCGCAGCCCACCTGCCTGGTGACCTCGGGCCCTGCCCCTTTGCCTCATGGGACCAGGACGAGGAGGCCTGCGTGTCCAGGCCCGGTAGTGGGGACAGCACGGCCTGTGCCTGGGTCAGGCTGGGGTGGGGCAGGGGACACTTGGGGTCATGGGGGCCTGCACTGTAACCCCACCTGAATGTGGCTGGTCAGGGCTGAGTCTCCCCATATACCCAGCTCCGGGGGACGGGGACCCCAGGCTCATACCTTCCGAAGGCCCCGTAAGTGTTGACGATGTGAAGAGAGTTGAAGTGGGTGTTCATGACCTGCCTGGAGCTCAGCAAGTTGAGGACCACGGGCACGCTGAGCCAGGCCAGCAGGACGCCCAGCGAGACGTTGGCTGCACGCCGCACCACGGAGCCTGGCAGGGGAGTGACATCTTCCAGGTGGGGCTCCCAGCTGCCCCGTGGCCTGTCCCTGGGGAGACCCCAGCTGCTGCTCCCTAAGGGTCAGCTGTCCTGGGTCCCGGGGACGGAGCAGCACCCGAACTCACACACCTTGTTCCTGGCACGCTACACTGCGGACGGCGCTGACTCTCCTCCTACCCTGGCGTCCCCAACCCACACGGGCAGGCTGTGGGGCTGGCACCACCCGACTTTCTCCTGCCCTTGGGCAGGGGCCCCCAGCTGAGCCACCTACCGAATCTGGGCTCGGGCCGGGCCCCTCGGATGTCCCTCTGCATCTGCAGAACTCGGTCCTTCAGGCTGCCTGGCCCAGAGGGGAACAAGAATCCCAGGGTGGCGTCATCAAAGCAGGCCAGGCTGGGCACCATAGTCAGCCAGTTCAGGAAGCTGAGGTTCCCGCTGACGATGAGGACGGCCTGTGGAGACGCCGCAGCTGAGTCTCGTGCAGGGGCTCGTGTGGGGCCCCTGGGCAGCTGGCGCCTCTCTTCCTGGAGCAGGGAGGGGGGAGGGAACCTGCACCCAGCTCTGCCCTTGCTGTCCCTCGGGCCCAGCATCACAACTGAAACCCAGCTGTGCCTTCATGGAGGGGACAGCAGATGCCTCAGAGGTGCCTTCCGGCAGGTGCTTCCAGAACATTCCTCCCATGACTGCACATTTCTGTGCAGGTTCTGTCCCTTGCTTTAGTGATCCGCAAGGCGGGGGCTGGACCAGACCACCAGACCCTGTGCCCTCCTGGAACTCCTCACTTTCAGAGGGCACCTGCCGGGGTCATGCCCGGGGAAGGCTGGTGAGTCCAAACAGAGGAGGCTGTGCTTGGAGAGTGGGTACTGGGGACGCCCCTCAGCCGATGGGTGACACAGACAACAGGGGCCGTGGGGGGGCCACCAGTAACGCCCCCACTCCAAAATACGAAATGCAAGGAAGTGAGACACAGGCACAGGACCCTGTGCCACAGAGATGAACAGCAGGAGAGGGGAGGGGCTGCATGCAGGGCTGGCTGAGCAGCACGGCTGGGAGAGCTCCAAGGAAAGACTCAGCAGCAGCAGTGAGTAAACCTGCGGCAGGAGGGACTCAGAGGGACCCGCTTCTGGACATCCCCGCAGGCCAGCGATCGTTAGGTGACGAAACTGGAGATGGAGCCGCTGTCCCTGCAGCTCCGTCGGGTGATATCACAGGTGTGCTGCCAGACCTCACCCCTGCCGTTGCCGTGGAGGCATCAGGGAGACAGGGGCAGCTTGCGTGGCCGGTCGCCCTGCATGGGTGATGGTCTGCAGCTGAGCCGGTGGACCCTGGGCCGGCAGGACCTGGGTGTGGCTTCCTCAGACAGCTCCGTCAGCCAGATTTGATGCATCAAAGCCCAGCCTTTATCCCCGTAACTCAGGAGGAAGGTTGAGGGCAGGGACATCGACGTCTAATGAAGGGACTCGTGAGGGCAGCCACATCAGTGTTATGGGCGATGATGGTGTTTTATGAACTGTGCACTCATGGCTCTCCCTGGGTGAATTGGGAAAAATAGCTTTTCTGGTTCTGAGCCCCAAAACAGTTATTTCTTATTCTCCACTGTCTACAAGGTTACTAAACCCCTGTGCCAAAAACAGCCCCGCCTCGCCCTGGCTGGGGTTAGCCACCTCTGCCACCAGCTCCCCTCCGCTGGTCCAGACCCCCATGCCCTCCGTCCTGAGTGTGACCAGGGCTGGTCTGGGGTGGGGTGGCTGGGAGCCCCTGAGCTCCCGTGACAGGGAGGGTGCAGGGCTAGGCACTGAGGTCTGACCTTTGGGCCCACTCTTGGGGATGCTCTGGAGGAGATGCCACAGGTGACACTGGAATGTCCTGGTGGGAAAAGCTCGGGTCTTTCTGGCCCTTCGCTGTGGTCAGCCTGACTGGCAGATGGGACCAAAGCGACCTGGGGCACAGCCTGAGCCAGTGCCCGTTCGGATGCTCGGCCATGCCAGAACCATCAGGAGCTTTGAGGAACACCCAGCCCTGAGCACCTGCCTGCCTGGGTCAGGGTGGGCCCTGCCTGAGTGTATTTCCAAAGCCCCCTTGGGTCATCCTGCTGTGGGCTCAGTGGGGAACTCTAGCCTCAGGGAACTAGGGCTCCAGAGAGCACAGATCTGGGCATCAGATCCTGTTTCTAAGAAAGCTTCGGGGCTCGGGGCCCTGCTCCATGCAGAGGCATCCCCAGCTGCGCCCCGTTCAGCTGCTCTGGTGCATCTCTCGCCCTCCATCTGGTCGGCTGTTTTGTTATGAAAACGCAGTTCCGCGTAGAGTGCACGGCCTGAGCGCTCCTGGGGGACCTCGCCTTCCTTGTTTTTCTTCTAGCATCACTGAGCCATCTCCTCAGAGGGAAATCAGTCTTCTCACTGCCCATCTGTGCTCGCCCCCGCCGGCGGAGTCCTCACAAGGCTGTGCGGCCCACAGATGACCCGGCCGGTGGCTGGGAGCGGAGGCGAGGCCCGAGGGGGTCCCCAAGGCCGGCACAGGAAGAGGAGCTTGAGGTGATGGAATCCTGGGCCCAAGAGACGGAGCAGCAGGTGTTCCGAGGCCAACGGCGCATGGCCCCAAGAAGGAAGAGTGGCATCTTTGGATGCAGCCTCCTGCCTGTCAGCTGCCACGGAGAACAGGTGGCTTGTGGGGACCCTCTGCCGAGGACACGCCCGCGCTCACAGGGACCCTCCGCCGAGGACATGCCTGTTCGCGGGGACCCTCCGCCGAGGACACCCCTGCGCTCGCGGGGACCCTCTGCTGAGGAAATGCATTGTGTTCCAGGTGGGCACTCTGGTGGGCGTGAACCCAGGTCTCTCTTCAGTGTCACAGAGAGGAGATGAGGGCAGAAGAACATGGTGGGAGGTAGAGAATCTGCTGAGGTCTAACACCAGTCCATCAGCATCCACGACAGCAGTGACCCAGAGCCCTATGCCTGACCCACGGAAACGCATGCAGCCTTGCAAAGGAATCGGAGTTCAGCACGTGCCCCGAAAGGGACAGACCCAGGGTCATGGTGCTCAGGGAGGGAGGCTGGACGGAGGCCGCACATTGTAGGATGCCAGTTGCATGGAACGTCCGAGTCGGGAATCCAGAGATGAAGCTCCCAGTGGCTGGTGGAGGCCCGGCGGCGGGTGTGAGGGTCTCCTTTGCCGGGTGTGGGGGGGGTATGGGAAGTTCTGGAACCAGGCGGAGGCGGCGGTTGCATCACGCTGTGAACGTGCTGGAGGCCCCCGAGTTCACTTCAAAAGCATGAACTTACTTTGCGTTATCTGTGTTGTTTCATCACAACCGAAACACAGCTAAGGGCCGGTGAGCCCAGCTCTGGGACAGAGCCTCAGGACAGCCGGCCTGTGTGTGCGGGGCTGGCAGGGCCTCCGGGCCTCTGTCTTGAGCGGGCGTGGGGTGCAGCCACCACAGGGCAAGGAGCCCTTTGGGCAGGGCGGGGTGGGGTGGGGCCGGACAGCCCGCTGTGGGCAGGCGCCTCAGAGGTTCCAGACCTGAGCTCACCCCCTGCCCCTCCCGCCCTGGCAGTCCGGGGCTGCGTCTCCCTGTCACCAGTGCCCTAGTGGAGGCTGATGGCTCCCGTGGGGTGCTGGCTGGGCGGCCGGGCTCTGCGGTCACTGCTCTTGTGCACCTCTCCAGGCAGGCAGCGGCCCCAGGGCCCCGCGGAACCCTCCGGAACAGCTGTGTAAACTGCGTGGGAGGAGGGAGGCTGCTCATGCCGCAACTCCCCAACGGAAGGATCACGGGAACCAGGACAGGCTCCGGGGGACGGTGCTCAGATGGGAACACACGGAACCAGGACGGGATCCGGGGAGGCGGCGCTCAGATGGGAACACACGGAACCAGGACAGGCTCCAGGCAGGCGGCGCTCAGAAGTCTCAGGGCACTCGGCTGTCACAGCGCGGCACAGGGGAGTACGCAGCCCCAGCCAGGACACTACAATGTTAGAGGGCGCGGGTCACTCTCAGCCCCACACCATATCATCCCCCAGACACCCTCTGCCCTGTACGCCTGTGGGGGCAAAAGCCCTAGTTCAAGACCCCACACTGCCTGTGAGGGGGCAGGATACATCGCAGCCGGGACTGCCGGCCGACCATCTTGTCTTCCAAGGGGGGACGCCAGGCCACGCCGCAGAGCACAGCCACGACCCTGGTGCTTCCACCTCGTCCTGGACACAGTGTGGGGCTGGAGAGGATGACGCAGCCTGACCTCCGAGGCCTGGAAGGGAGGCGCTGCCTGTGCCGGGTCTTTGAGGGTGGTGCTCACAGTCCCAGGTGCAGTGAGGCCCAGCTCTGTCCCCTCCCCTTTCAGCATCCCCACTGTCCACCGCCACTCACCCCACCAGGCAGCGGACTCCAAAACGGGGCCAGCACCGGCACTAAGGGAACCCGCAGCCTGGCCGTCATGCTTGGGAGGGTCCCTGTCTGCCTGCACCAGGGCCCGTTGGTCCAATTCTCATCTAACCCCCTGGCCAGGTTCCTGCGTTCTGAATAAACAAGGACGTTTTTGAGGCCTCTGGTTCAAGGGTCACCTCCCCATTCCATGTCACGGTAGCTCAGCCCTCAAGTGACTCCCACTTTCTCCATTTACTTAAGTAACTCAGCACCTTGCTTTTCATGAGAGCTTCTCCCAGGCAGCATCAGCTTATCGGGAGAGGGGCAGTGGTGGAACTGGCCAGCACAGCCTGAGGGAGGGACGCTACAGGGTACACGGGCCATGGAAGCGGGAGGTGGGATCCTGAGCACTCCCCACTGCCAGGCAGCCACGGAGCCAAGCAGACCAACACCCCTGCCTGGGCTGTGTGTCCAGGGGTGCCCTTGGACCGGCCTCGGAACCAGACCCGAGCCTGGCGTGGGCATCTCTGTGTTCTCCACCGGCAGGGGCAGGCGGGACCCTGGGGCAGCACAGCCCACGCAGGAGGTGTGTGGGGTCGGGGTGACTCCCGGGAGTCTCCAGCCCGGCCCTCCTCCAGCAGCTGGGACCCCAGGACCGCATGGCTGAAGACGGCTCAGGAGTCACCCGTGTGTGTGGCCCCACCCAGGTCAGGAATCCTGGAACACACCCCTCCATTCAGGCTGGACACCCCTCCCTGGGTGGCAGTGGGACCCGGGGCTGGCACAGCCGGCCCTGGCCCCACGCCTGTGCTCAGCACAACCCTCCTTGTGCGCCCTGTGGGAAGCACATGTGCCCGGGGCTCCGTCTGTTGCCCTTCAGAGGCTGAGTGGAGAAACAAACCGGGGCACGTGCGGACCACGGGCGTCTCGGAACCGAAGAGAAACAAGCAGTGGAGCCTGCAGGAGGTGCAGGAGCCCACGCGCGGCCGCGGAGGGCAGGAAGCCAGTCCGCAAAGGCTGCACAATGCTTCCCACTCTAGGATGTCCGGAAGAGGCAGTACCGTGGAGACGGAGGGTCGGCGGGGCACAGAGAACTTCCAGGGCCACAAGCGACTCTGCATGAAGCTGTGATGGGGACACGTGTCGTCGTCCGTTTGTCGGAGCTCACAGAATGAGCAACACTGCGAATGGCTCTCCTGTCAGCCGGGACTTTAGTTGGCAACAGTTTATCAGTCCTGCCTATCAACTATACAAGGTCCTGGCCGATGCAAGACGCTGAGCGCAGGGAAACTGGGAGGGGGGGATAAGGGAACCTTTGTAGTCTCTGCACAGTTTTTCCGAAAATCTAAAAGTGTTCTAAAATAAGTCAATTAATAAAACGAAACAGAGCTGAAACACTGGAGCAAAGGACGCAAGTGGCTTGGGGCGGACAGAGGCAGGCTGGGTGGGCTGAGGACCTTGGACAGAGGCGGGCTGGGCGGGCTGAGGACCTCGGGGGGTCATGGTGGCAAAGATGCTGCCCAAACTGAGACCTTCAGTAAGTTAACATGGCTGATTGATTGATAACCACTGAGGAAACAGAGGATCTTCCTTATCCATTAGAGGAGGGAAAATAACAGAAAAAAACGAGAGAGAAAGATACAAAGAACAAAGAGAAAAACACAAAGATGTGGAAATACGTCCAAATATGTCAGTTGAGATATACGGGCCTGTTACTTAAAAGAGAAAGACGGCCACGCTGACCCTAAGCATGACCTTGCTCCCCGCTGTCTCAGGAGATGCGTGTCGGTGAGGACACAGGCCTTGAGGCCGGGCGCACACCTGCAGTCACGGCACTTTAGGAGGTCAGGCAGGAGGAGTGCTCGAGCCCTGGAGTTCAAAACCAGACTGGGCAACATAGCGAGACCCCCAGCTCTACAAAAAATGAAAAATAGCTCGGCGTGGTGGCACCTGTAGTCCCGGCTACTTGAGAGGCTATAAAACTAAGATAATACTATGACTTTTTTTGCCAAAAGATTTGAAAACAGATGAACAAATTCCCAGGGAAATGTTCACCACAAAAACTGCCTCAAGTCAAGAAGGAATGGAAACTCTGCGTGTCCTACGGCCCGCAAGGGTGATCAGTCACAGAGACCCTGGCGGCGCAGGTGGCCTCATGCAGGAGCACTGCCAGGTGTGAGGGACGGTCACCTCTGCTTTCCAGACTCCCGCAGAGGAAGAGGCTCAGATGTTCTGGGAATGTGAACTTGCTTCAGCATCCACAGCATTAATGTAACTCGCCACGTTACAGACGAAACAACAAGTCATCTCGTGACTGATGGAGAAACGCCACAACTCAACATCCATTCATGGCTAAAAACCCACAAAGGAGAAGTGAATAAAAGCAGCCACGAAAACAACCCACAGCCGGCATCGTGAGAGGCAGTGCGCGGGGTGGCGGGCCCTCCCTGCTGTGGGACCCCAGACCCAGGACAGCACTCGAGCCCGCCCAGCAGGGGAGAAAGGGATGGACGTAGAACCGGCAGAATCCCTAGATCACCCACAGGACGCGTCTCTGAGGGACCCGCAGACAGACGGGGAAGTACCAGTGCAGAGGTTGTCTGAGAAAGGTCAAGGTCACCAGAGTCCCACACTTAGCCACCAAGAGGAGGAAGTGTGACTTAAAAGGGCACCATTTACAACATCAACAAAAAGAAGTCACCTCAGAGCTGCAGCCTACAAACGCGCGTGGGGTCTGGCTACACAGAATCCACTGAAGCTATTCCAGGAGCCCCCAAACACACATGGGGTCTGGCTACACGGAACCGACTGAAGCTATTCCAGGAGCCCCCAGACGCGCGTGGGGTCCAGCCACATGGAATCCACTGAAGCTATTCCAGGAGCCCCCAAACACGCGTGGGGTCCGGCTACATGGAACCGACTGAAGCTATTCCAGGAGCCCTGAGCAGCTGCAGAGAGAAACGTGCGGTCCTGGCTGGGGGACGATCTGTGAGCAAGTCCGTTCTTCCCACTTAGATTCACGGCGACATCGATGCCCACAGGGAAATCACCTGATGGGCACCGGTGCCAGCCTCCAAGCAGCTAACGCGGAAAAGCCCGAGGGAGTCAGGAGCTGCTCAGGGCCCCGGCGGCCAGAGTGAGGGTCCTTGCTGGGGGGAGGGGTCAAGAACAGCACAGCCACCCTGGACACGTGCAGCTTCCAGTAAGGTGAATCACAGGCCTGCTCACGATACAGTAGCGCCCTTGAAAATACATCCACAGGATGACGAGATTGCACCTCTGCACGGCAGGCTGTGGTGAAAACCAGAAACTACCACACGTGCACAGACGGGACGGGTGAACCGACCGCAGGCACGCACCGTGAAACAGGACCCGGCCAACAACCATGGGCGCCCCCACGTGCACCAACGTGGCGTGGCACCCGTGCCTGCTGACGGAGCTTTGCCCCTCTAGGCGGCGGTGCTCTGGCAGGGGTGGGCAGGGCAGGGGAAGGGCGGGGGCAGGGGCGGGCAGGGCAGGGGAAGGGGCGTGGGACACCCAGGTACATCTGTTTTCCAGAGCACGTGGAACGCCACCTGGACCTGTGCATTTTCCTGGCTGTATGTTACACCTCCATTGAAACAATCGAGAGAGAGAACCACCTTTAAAATCCCCACCACATTTTCCTTGGGAATTGACAGTCGGAATGTAGCGTTTACAGGGAAAAGCAAAGGCTCGGGACTGGCCCAGCCCCCCTGGAGGCAGCGTGGGGGTGCTCTGTCCTTCGAGGCGCCCTCAATGCAGGGGGCTTGTGGGGCAGGGATGGCGGTGACTGTGGGCAGGACGGGGCGTTAGGGGGTACCCGGGGTTCCGGGGGCTGGGGGAGGCAGCCCCTCACCCACATGGAGGCAAATGACCCTGGCCTCTCTCAGACCCTGGTTCCCCGTGGACTGACATGAACACTTGAAAGGAAACCTCTAGAATGGAAGAATCTTAGGAGTGGATCCCAGGAATGTGGGGGTGTCCACACAGGGCCTTGGCGTGCTGACCCCGTCCCACTGCCGAGCCCAGGACATGGCCGGGCCTCTCGCAGCTGCAGGAAACGCTCTTGGGAGGAGCCAGTCCTTGGAGGAAGCCTGGGAAGGAGACCCTCAGCCTGCAGCCCGGGACAGGGCTGCAGTGGGGCCCGTGACACAAACGAAGGCTGGGGAGGACAGGCTGTCCCCAAGAAAGGGGGCCTGTAATGCCCCAGGGTCCTCCCAGAGAGCGGGGCAGCCAGAAATAGGGCGACGGGCCAGCGTCTCTGTGGACACGGGGCAGGGCGGGCGGCGCGGGCTCACCTGGAACAGGATCTGCAGCACCCCGTGGATGATGCACGCCCGCCGGCCGAGGAAGAGGAAGAAGGGCACCAGGAGCTCGATGAAGTGGTTGCTGAGCGTCTCGAAGCGATGGAACCACCAGGGTGAGTGGTGCAGGTAGTACGCCACAGGATTGGGCATCGGCTGGGTCTGCAGGGACAGGAGGGGCCGTGAGGTGCCTGGCCGATCTCGGGGGGCGGGGCTAGGGAGAGGCTTGTGGGTCCCTGGCCCCCTGACCCCGGCTCCTACTGCACACAGGATCCCCCCGGCCCGCCTGGCCCTGCACACGTGGAGCCCACCTGCCACGCTAAGAGGGGCCAAGAGACATTC
This sequence comes from Homo sapiens, assembly GCF_000001405.40. NCBI lineage: Eukaryota > Metazoa > Chordata > Mammalia > Primates > Hominidae > Homo > Homo sapiens. Next base: position 879,918 of record NC_000016.10, read on the forward strand.
AGGGAGCTTTTGAAGCAAAAGCAAAGTGTTCATTTTTGTCTTAAAATCTTTACCATCTAAAAGCAAAGAATACACACCCCAGCTGAAGGAGAGACGACACCTGTAAACCCCGTGCCCAACTTGAGAACACAGGCAGTCGGAGAACAGGCAGTCGGAGAACGCGCCGCCTGCTGCCCACAGGCGGCCAAGCTGCAACCCCCAAGAGCCGGGGTCCACAGGCGGCCCCTCAGGCTCAGGATGCCCTTTCCCTGGGGATGGACACGTGGGTGGGGACGTGCCGGTTGGGGACCAGCAGGAATGGGGCCCGGGTCCCGAGCCCAGCTCAAGGCTCTAAGCGCAAGACCTGGCTGTGGGGACCTGGAAGCCTCCCAGGCCAAGGCACAGAGAAGTCCCCACACCTAGGGTCCCACTCAGCAGCCCAGCCAGGAGGAAGGGTGGGAACTTGCCCTGCACCATAATTCAAAACTATCAAGGCCAGGCACGGTGGCTCATGCCTGTGATCCCAGCACTTTGGGAGGCCAAGGCAGGCAGATCACTTGAGCCCAGGAGTTTGAAGCCAGCCTGGACAACTTATCAAGACCCCATTTCTATAAAAATAAAAAATTAGCTGGGCATGGTGGTGCGTGCCTGTAGCCCCAGCTACCCAGGAGGCTGAGTCAGGAGGATCGCCTGAACCCAGGAGGTAGAGGCTGCAGTGAGCCACGACTGTGCCACGGCACTCAGCCTAGGCAACAGAACAAGACCTTGTATCAGACAGTCGATCCATCAATCAAGTCAGAGTGGTTGTGCAGACTTGTCTGGAGTGAGAACACCCCACTGGCAAATGGGGCCCAGGCCCCCACACGCTGTTTTCTGGAAGCCCCCAACAACGGGATCCAGAGTGGCACTGCCAGGGCTGTGTGAGTCGGTGAGCCCAGGGTGGTGGTGGGAAGAGTGCCCTAGATGGACGATGCTGCACGCTCTGCTTGCCTTTGTGGAGGGGCCTGCCCGCATGCTGCTCAGGGCTGAAGGCCTTGCTAGCACAGCCCGCGGGAGCCATTGGGCCTGGCACAGCCGCAGAAACCCCACTAGGGACAACAATGAACACGCCCTGCAGGGAGGGAGGCGGCCCCCAGACGCTTCAGAATCCGCACCCAGGTCCTGGGACTCCCAGGGTCCAGAGAGGCTACGTGGAAGTCGGGGCCCCCAGGTGGCAGAAAGCGCACATAGGGGCTGTGCTGGGCAGCGCTTGCTCCGGGGTGGGGGTGTGGGAAGCGCAGGAGAGGCGGCCATGTGCACACCCGAGGGGGTGACCGGGCACAGGGCCCCAGTGCACCCCAAGAGCCGTGGGCTGGGGAGGGTCCTGAGGCCTCTGCTCATTTGCTTAGAGGGCAAAGAGTTATTTTTGTTTACACTGAGGCTAGGAGAAAACATCATGACCTGAAACTTGGCTGTGAGCCGTGAGGTGGGTGTGGCAGTGTCGCATGCTGCAGGCAAGGCCAGGAGTTCCCGTGCAGCTGGGACACTCAGCCCGCGGCCAGGGGAATGGTGGGTCAGGGCATGGCGGTGCTGCTGGCCCAGACCTCAGGAAACAGCCTGCAAACTTCTCCTAAAAAGACAATTTTAAATAAGAAAAACATGAGGAAAGAGTGAAGGGGATGACACCTGTTTAGGGACTTAGAAGGCAGCAGATCTTGGGGGAGAATGAGTGTCGTCTGTTAGGGCTTGAGTGCCCCATGTGGGACCCACCCCCTAGTGCCCACAGGGAAAAGCCAGAGAAGAACCGGAATGCCTGGTCTGCCACTTCCCTTTTAGGCTGCTTGTTGTGTGTTTGGGGTTGCGGCGAGACCCATGCAGGAGGCAGCAGGCTTGGCCAGGTGTTGGGAACAAGCATCTCCAGGGCTAGGCCCACACCCGAAGTCCCAGCTCTTGGTCTGGCTTTTGGGGTGGGGGACTTTAACCTCTCCTTCCCTCTTGCATGCTGGGGCTGCTGACGTGTGTCGGCTGAGCTCTGACGGGGAGGGGAGCGGGGGCTGCTTATGCTTATCAGGTGAGGGTCTTGGGATGAAGAAGGAGGTCCCATGTGTTCCAGGAACAAGCCAATCACAAGCGTCCCCGTGGGAAGCGGCCCTTGGATGTTTGTGTCCCGAAGTGGTAATTGCCACGGGCTCTCAGAACCTCACCTGGGAAAGGGCCACAGCAGGGACACAGTGCGATGCCTTTGTGGACGTGGAACCCCCACTTCCCACCAAGGCAACTGCAGATGGAGAAAAATGACACTGAGTGATAAAGACGGTGACAAATGTAACAGACATGGGGCTGACATGACCCAATGCTGTGTTAAAAAGAGAAGAGCATCAGGCTCAGCTGTAGTGGCCACTGCCCCTCCTGAGCATGGCTCGCCTCCCCTGGAATCCCAGCCGACCTTGGGACTCAGCTTTGGCCAAGAGAATGCAGCGTGAGTGATGTTCTGAACTTTCAAGCTCAGTCCTTGAAGAGGCAGCTCCAACCCCATTAAAGGTCCCTCTACTCTGAGGCCACCAAGCTGTGAGGAAGCCAATGGTGGCCATGTGGCAAGGCCACCGGGAGATGCACTAGGTTCCAGTACAAGTGAAGCCTTCCTGGACCTCCCGGCCTAGCTATCAGCTCGTGAATGACCCCACCTGACACCACGTGCAGCAGAAGAGCCACCCAGGGGAGCCCATAACAGGACCAGGAGAAAGTTGCTACTGCTCAGGAGAAGAGCTGCCCAGCAGAGGCCATCACAGGACCAGGAGAAAGAGAAGCCAGCAAGCAGGGCCCATCGCAGGACCAGGAGAAAGAGGAGCCGGCAGCAGAGCCCATCGCAGGACCAGGAGAAAGAGGAGCTGCCCAGCGGGGCCCATCGCAGGACCAGGAGAAGGAGGAGCCGGCGGCAGAGCCTATCACAGGACCAGGAGAAAGAGAAGCCGCCCAGCGGAGCCCATCGCAGGACCAGGAGAAAGAGGAGCCACCCAGCGGAGCCCATCGCAGGACCAGGAGAAAGAGGAGCTGCTCAGCAGAGCCCATCACAGGACCAGGAGAAAGAGGAGCTGCTCAGCAGAAGAGCTGCCCGGCAGAGCCTATCACAGGACCAGGAGAAAGAGAAGCCACCCAGCGGAGCCCATCGCAGGACCAGGAGAAAGAGGAGCCACCCAGCGGAGCCCATTGCAGGACCAGGAGAAAGAGGAGCCACCCAGCGGAGCCCATTGCAGGACCAGGAGAAAGAGGAGCTGCTCAGCAGAGCCCATCACAGGACCAGGAGAAAGAGGAGCTGCTCAGCAGAGCCCATCACAGGACCAGGAGAAAGAGGAGCTGCTCAGCAGAGCCTATCACAGGACCAGGAGAAATAGGAGCTGCTCAGCAGAAGAGCTGCCCGGCAGAGCCTATCACAGGACCAGGAGAAAGAGAAGCCGCCCAGCGAAGCCCATCACAGGACCAGGAGAAAGAGGAGCTGCCCAGCAGAACCTGTCACAGGACCAGGAGAAAGATGCTGCTGCTCTAAGCCACTGAGGCTTGGGGTGTGTTGGGCAATAGCAGATCTCTGAAACAGCCTGAATCCAGAAGCCAAACAGTGTTGAACTCTGATGTTACTGGGAAAACCCCATTTTAGAGAAACCAAAGTAAAAGTCTTTCTGAGTCTTTGGGTAACAGATACTTAGTACTGACTCACACACCCTCCACCCCAGACAGGGCTCAGCACTCGTACCCGTGTAAGCCTCCTCACATCCTGGAGAGGTACAGAAACAATATTTGAAGAAATATTGGCCAAATATTTTCCGAATGTAATGACAATGATAAACCTATAGATTCAAGCAACTCAGCGAACTCCAAGCACAAAAAATATGAGGAAAACAACACCAGATAACCAAATGGTCACATTTTACTGCATGACAATATGACACTATTGATCACTTTGATTGTAGTTTGATTGACAAATAATCAAATTGTCACAAACTGCCTATAAATGTTAATTAGATCATGTTGGTTAGTAGTGTTTTTCAGCTCTTTTACATCCTTCCTTATTTTCTATCTACCTGCTTTATCTATTATTGAAATCTCCAACTTTATGGATTTGTCTATGTCTGCTTACAGTTCTATCCATTTTTGCTTCATGTCTTTTGAAGCTCTATTATCAGGCGCATACGTGTTTGAGAGTCTTCTGACCTCCTGATAAACACTGTGAAATGGCCTCTTTACTCCTGATCATATTCTTTGCTCTGAATTCTGCTTTGTCTGGTGTGAAGGTGGCCAGTCCAGCCTTCTTGTCACTCATTCACGTTTTTGGTATGTTTTTCCATCCTTTACCTTTCAGCCTGTGTGTCTTTGTATTTGAAGCGGATCTCTTAGAATAGTACTACAAACTACACATCATAATCGAATATTGCTTAAAACTCGTGATAAAAATCTTACATGCAAATAAAGATGTTACAGAGTATGTACATAAGGAGTTGTCACAGGAAATAATGCAAATGAGACGAGAGTAGAGTACAATCTTTAAAGTACTAAACCTGTCAACCTAGAATTCTATACCCAACAACAATCTCTTTCAAAAATGAAGGTGAAATAAAGACTTTGTCAGACATTGACAAGCTGAAAGAACTTGTCACCAGCAAACCTATGCTAGAAGAAATGTCAAGTCTGTTAGGTGGAGGGAGAATGATCACAGATGGAAACCTGGATCTCCACGCAGGAGTGAAGAGCTCTGGAAGTGGTGATGTTAGGTGGAGGGAGAATGATCACGGATGGAAGCCTAGATCTCCACGCAGGAGTGAAGAGCTCTGGAAATGGTGATGTTAGGTGGAGGGAGAATGATCACGGATGGAAACCTCGGTCTCCACGCAGGAGTGAAGAGCTCTGGAAATGGTGATGTTAGGTGGAGGGAGAATGATCACGGATGGAAGCCTGGATCTCCACGTAGGAGTGAAGAGCTCTGGAAATGGTGATATTAGGTAGAGGGAGAATGATCACGGATGGAAGCCTGGATCTCCACGCAGGAGTGAAGAGCTCTGGAAATGGTGATGTTAGGTGGAGGGAGAATGATCACAGATGGAAAAAAGAGCTCCGGAAATGGTAAGTATATGGATACACAATGAGGCTGTTCTTCCAATTGAATGAAATGTCTCTGAAAGATAACTGGACTGTTTAATCAAACTGTTTGGCAATAATAGCAAAAGGCCAGGAGAGGAAAATACTGTTGGGAGAATATTGTTGTAAAATTCTTTCAGCATTTATGAGATAGGCATAGTATACCTTGAAGGTGAGCTGTGATGGATTAAAGGCATATACTATAAACCCTAAAACCACCACACAAATAAGACAAAAAAGTTACAGCCAAGAAAGAAAATAAAAAGGAGTCACAAAAATATTCAATTAATCCAGAGGAAGGTGTAAAATAACAGCAACAAAAAGGAACAGAGAACACATGGGAGGATCAGAAAACAAATCGCAAGACAACAGGCTGAAACCTTCCCCAGGAAAGACTGCATTGGATGCAAACGGCCCAGACACCCAGATAAAGGGCAGGACTTGTCAGACTGGATTTAAACATAAGACCCAAGCATACGCCAGCTCTAAGAGATCCGCTTCAAACACAAAGACACACACAGGCGGAAAGGTAAAGGACGGAAAAACATACCATACAAACACGAGCGACGAGAAGGCTGGACTGGCCACCGTCACACCAGACAAAGCACAATTCAGAGCAGAGAATATGATCAGCAGTCAGGAGGCCATTTCACAATGTTCATCAGGAGGTCAGAAGACTCTCAAACACGTATGTGCCTGATAATAGAGCTTCAAAAGACATGAAGCAAAAACGGATAGAAATGTAAGCAGACATAGAGAAATCCATAATTATAGTTGGAGATCTCAATCTCCCTTATCTCAATAATTGATAAAACAGGCAGAAAATGAGGACGTACAGAAGAGTTGAAAAACACTATTGGCCAATTTGATCTAATGAATCCTGACAGAACACTGTCTGTTCATTTTTGGCTCAAACGGAACTTTCACTAAGACAAACCATATTCTGGGCTACAGAACAAATCTGACTAAATTTTAAAAGACTCAAGGCATATCAAGTATATTCTGACAATAAAGGAATTAAATTAGAAACCAGTAACAGAAAGATATCTGGAAAATCCCCGTCTCTTTGGAGCCTTTAAGGAACTTTCATTCCAGTGCATGTTACGACATTTGATTCTCACAACCGCCGTAGGGTAGTGGGTGATCAGTTTAAAGCTGGAAAGACAGAACTTGCTCAGGATCACACAAGCCAGTAAGGGGCGCATGGAGGATGGGCAGCACAGGGCTGCATAACAACAGGGCTCAGATGCAGGCGCTGCTGTCCTTGGCTGCGTGGGTAGAACAGCCGTGAGCACTGCTGACCTTGAGGCGCCACCCCTGTCTCCCCCAGCCACGGCTTGTCCCTGGCAAGAGGACCCCAGGACAAGCGGGAAATCCAGGCCCACGGAAGGTCGGTGTCTCCTCAGGCCTGCACTCGCCCAGTGGGCTGCTCTGCTGAGTGATGCCAGGGCACGGGCCTGGGGCTTTGAACCGCGCCCGGCCAAAACCACCCTGCAGCGGGCCACCTGCCAGGCCAAGCCCCTCCCACCCGAGACCCCCGACATTCCCCAGGCCCCTCCCACCCTAGGCCCCCGGCGTTCCCCAGGCCCCTCCCACCCTAGGCCCCCGGCGTTCCCCAGGCCCCTCCCACCCTAGGCCCCCGGCGTTCCCCAGGCCCCTCCCACCCTAGGCCCCCGGCGTTCCCCAGGCCCCTCCCACCCTAGGCCCCCGGCGTTCCCCAGGCCCCTCCCACCCTAGGCCCCCGGCGTTCCCCAGGCCCCTCCCACCCTAGGCCCCCGGCGTTCCCCAGGCCCCTCCCACCCTAGGCCCCCGGCGTTCCCCAGGCCCCTCCCACCCTAGGCCCCCGGCGTTCCCCAGGCCCCTCCCACCCTAGGCCCCCGGCATTCCCCAGGCCCGGCACTGCCCTTCCTTCCCAGCCCCCAGCACACAGAGAAAACATTCTCTTCTTACAAAAACCAATAAAACAGCCAGGAGACAAGGCGAGAAGCCTCGGCTCCCAGCCGCCGGATGGGATTCAGGCGTGGTTCCCCTAATGGTGACATTTACAGTCTTCACGGGCGACGCCAACCTGGATATATATTATTTCCACATTAGCGGGCCCCCATATCTGAGGGCGCTTGGTGACCCACAGTCTGAGCGGGCTGGCAGCCCACGGCTCCTGGTCGCAGTTAAAGGCATTACAGGATCTCCTGGCCCAAATCCTTGCTGGGTGGGTCCTGGGACACCAGGAGGATAGAAGGTTGTGTTGAGCTTCCCTGTTGGGAGTCAGCCAGGAGCAGCCCCAGCCGCTGTGCTCTGTGTGAGCCTTGCGGGGGCAGGCTGGAAAGGGGCGCCTGCCTGACACGGGGATGCACCAGCCACAAGATACACTGCGTGGAAGCTGGCCGGGCCAGGCTGAGCACTTCAACACGGATTCCTGCAGCTCCTGCTGGGAGTGTTGGGGCACACGCGGTCTCGGTACCCGTGGGGGAGCTCGGCGGGCACGGGGGCGTGAGCCGAGGCTTCTGTCAGCAAGGCTGCTCTAGGCAGCAGGGCCATGTCCCTGGGGGGCGTCCACAGCAGCTCTGCACCCCCTCAGCCACTCCCACCCACGCCTGGAGGCCCCGCAGAACTCTGGGAGCCCAGCCCAGAGAGGGCTGCTCTGTGTGGTCCGCCCCACGCAGAGTGCGCGCTCCTAGCATGAATGGCCTCTAGCCTCCGAGAGCACCTCAGGGTGAGCAGGGTGGTCGCAGGTACCCTGGAAGGCATGGCCGTGGCCTGGGCCCGGAGTCAGGGTGCAGACAGTGACCTCAGGCAGGGGCAGTGCTTCCGGATCACTCTACTTAAGCAGTGGCCTAAAACTCCCCCTGCAGGTGTGGGAGCCCAGAGACGCACCCCCAAGTTGCAGGCTGCCGGCCACAGGCTGGGACACCCTTGCTCCAGGAGCGTAGGTGGCCCCAGGCAGATCCAGGGGACCCCCGCCCTGGTCAGGCAGCTCCCTGAGGGTCTGTGGTGCGTGGCCTGGGCCCCAGCGGTGAGTCGACTCTGGGGGGCTCCGTGCCCGTCACGGGGCCTGTCTGTAGCCCTGACAGCATCCTTCGGCGGACGGAATTGTAGTTCTCCACGACGTCGGCCCAAGCTCACAGACAGGCCCGGCCTCGGCCCAAGCCTTGGGGTGCAGGGGGTGGAGCTCAGTGGGGTACTCCTGCAGGCAGCAAGGGAAGTGGCCGTGGGTCCCTGCCCGCCCAGGCCCTGGCAGGGGCTGCCCTGTGCCGCGTCTGGGAAGTGGCTCCGAAAGGGGTGTGGAAGGAGCGCCGTGGGACTGAATCAGAGTGTTGGATTTCCCGCAGCTTTCTAGCAACAGAGTTATGTTCAACTCCCCTAAAAAGCAATGGAGAATTGTTTGCAACGTTCAGGGTCCCTGTACTCCAGATCCAGTGAGTTTTCTCTGCATCAAAACCATCTGTGGGAGTCCTCACTCCATCCTTCTTGATGACAGCTGACTTCCTAAAACCCAAGTGGAGAGAGAGGACAGGCCCGGATTTTCCATTTCAGCAGCTAGTGCCATCCCTGCTGCTAAAAGCAGCTGCGTGACCCCCACATTCACAACCTGCTGTTGCATCCGCGTCGTCAGGCAACCGCTCCGATGTGGGGACCGCAGCAACCCTCCCCACAGCCTGCTGCATTCTGGACGGCGCCCGTCCCTGGTCGACAGACGGAGCAGTGGCCATGCCCAGTCCAAGGCCAGAAGCACTGGGGGGGGTCCTAGGTACAGGGGGCAGTGTGTGGGGAGAGCGAGGACACCACATCTGGGGTGGGGTTTTAGGGACAGCTACATGGGGACCCCGGGAGAGGGATGCACAGGTGGGCAGCAGGGCCAGCCAGTGTCAGGCAGCAGCCATGAGGCAGAGGCGTCCTCAGCTGGGACAGGAGCTGCATCCCCCCTCTCCTGTGCTGCGCTGGCCCTGGGATCCTGGGGGTCCTCACAACGGTGCTGAGGACATGGCTCTGGTCCCTCTGCCGGCTGAGAGCAAGCGGCCGTCCATGCATCCCCGGTGTCTCATGGGAGCGGGCCCTTGGCCTGCGGGGTCTGCACTCACCCTGGGTAGAGGTCGTCAGAACTGAGTTAGCTGCAGGGCACCCTGGTGGAGTCCACAGAGATCTGGGAACACGACGTGAGGAAAGCCACAGGCTTGTTGTCAGGAGTTTCAGGCAGAGCCACCCGGTCGCCTTTCACCCTCCAGGGGGCTGGCCCCTTCTCTTGGAACTTGGGGATGCCTTCCCTGCTGCTTCTGGCTTAACCGACTGAATTTGCCGGCAACTGCCTTTCGTTACCAGCAGATGAAAAAAGCGGTGAGTGTGGGGTGTGAGGCTGCGGATGGCCATGGGTGTGAGGCTGCGGATGGCCGTGGGTGTGAGGCTGTGGATGGCCATGGTGGAGCAGTTCCTTCTGGGGAGAGAAGTCTGCACACTCAGAGCTCCCAAGCCCGGAGGGAGGAGTCCCGAGGGAGGCATCCCCGGGGTGCATGGCTGCCTCTTGCTCTGTGCTGCTGAAACTTCCGGAGGTTTTCAGGCTCCTGAAGAGGCTCAGCGTCCCCTACAGCATAGGGGCAACTTTCCAAGAAAGGGGCACCCCCCTCTGACTCCTTATCTGACCAGCAAGAATCGGAAAGACAGCAAAAGGGCCTGAGATCCCCGCCCACAATGCTGTGGGGCAGAGGGCACGGCTCGGGGGTTGCAGGCAGGGGCCTGCCACCTTCCGGAATCAGGTCCTCCTTGGAGAGAGGATTCACGCAGGGCCCTGGGCTCGCAGTTGACACCCTGACTTCCTGAAACCTTCACCAGTGCCTCGTCATCAAGACACACGGGAGGGAGCATCCTCGTCCGAGACACAAGTCTGAGGTGAGAGGGGGGATGCAGCTCCTGTCCCAGCTGAGGACCCCTCTGCCTCATGGCTGCTGCCTGACACTGGCTGGCCCTGCTGCCCACCTGTGCATCCCTCTCCCGGGGTCCCCATGTAGCTGTCCCTAAAACCCCACCCCAGATGTGGTGTCCTCGCTCTCCCCACACACTGCCCCCTGTACCTAGGACCCCCCAGTGCTTCTGGCCTTGGACTGGGCATGGCCACTGCTCCGTCTGTCGAGTGGAGTCCAGGCCCCTGAGGCCGGTATATGGGCCATTCCTGCCCCAGGAGACACAGTGAACCGCAAAGAGCCGTGTCACGGCGGTCCACCTGCTGCAGGCACGGCGCCGCACTGCTCTGAACGCTCGCTACTCCAGGTACTCGCTCCTGGAGCCCCAAGGGGCCCCCGGGAAGCAAGAAAAGGGGCTCCTGGGCCCCGTCCCAACTCAGCGGGGCTCCCTCATGCCTTTTCAAGTCACAGTGGGTTTTGAAATGCGATTCCCCAAGGACAGCCTCCACAGCTGGAAGGAGCCGGCCCGGCCCCCCGAGACAGCAGCTGCTGCCAGAGCCTCACGCTGCCTGGCTTGGCCCTGGACCCCGTGTGACCATCAGGACATCAGGCTCATGGCTCTCTGTGAGCCAAGGCTCAGCCTGTCCTGGGATGTGGATGATAAGGGCCCTGACCTCACACACCCTGCACTCCAGCCTCAGTGTCTGGAGATGGGAGTGGCCTCAGCCACAATCCAACCTCCCAGGAGGCTCCACCTTCCAGAAGCTCAGCCATGTGGGCACAGGACCCCCCCATGTGTCTGGGCCTCTTTTAAGGACACAGTCGTTGGATTTGGGGCTCAGCAGTCCACTCTGACTTCATCTTAACTAATCACAAGGAGGTCCCAGATAAAGCCACGCTCCAAGCTCCAGGGAGAGTGGGTTTGGGCCCTGCCTGCAGGCCCTGACACTGCTGCGGCCAACCCTCCGGTGGCAGTGACACCGAGGGTGCCTCGAGACATCCAGGGCCATCCCTCTGGCCCGGGCTGCCCCTGCCTGTGTGCTCCAGGCCGGGCCCACCCTGTCCACCGTCTCGGGCCATGTCTGAACTGGTGTTGACGGCTGACACAGAGCACTCCTCACAAACAGCACAGCAGAGAGCTCTGGTGAGGGGCAGTCCTGGGCCTTTAAGGCACAGGAAGAACTGGGTGCTCATGGGGGCGGGAGGGACCCACTGCATCCCAGCTGGCCACGTGGACACAGGGGAAGGCAGTGCTGACAGGCAGCTGTGGGCCCCCCCGGCCCGCCTCCCCAAGAGTTGCAACCTGCGTCCTCGCCGGAGTGCAGCTGTGGCATGACCCGTCCCCCAGAAACACCACACCCTGGTGGTCCTGGCCAGGTGAGTCCTGGGGATCCTGAGACACTCCTGGGCCCAGAGCAGCCACATTCACTGAAGGGATGCAGCCCAGGACGCCTGATGCCGGCTTTGAAATGCAGCCACTCCATAGAGAAGGCATCAGAGTGTTTGTTTGTGGGGACATGGTGGGCGCCTCAGCATCTCTTGCCAATGGAAAGCTGTGCGGGACGGTCCTCACCAGCACGCAGCCTTCGTGGACCTGAGCCCACTGCACCACTGCTGTCGCCACCGGTGCTGGGCCAGGGGGCTCAGTGAGATGCGCTATGGAGCTTCTGGCCTGGAGACAAGGGGTCCACCCAGCTTTCCTGACCTGTCCTGAGAGCATCTGGAGACACGGGACCCCCCCACCACTTTCCTGACCCGTCCTGAGGGTGATGGGGGAGACACAGGCCCCCCTGCCCACTTTTCTGACCTGTCCTGAGGGCATCTGGAGACACTGGTCCCCTCAGCTTTCCTGACCTGGGCTGAGGGCGCTGGACCTTATTGAGGGCAGGGTGGCTGGCGTGGGCTGCGGTGTGCACAGCTTTGTTGGCGAAAGCCTCTCACACACGTGTGCCCTGCGGCTGCTCCCCGTCACGGCTGTGTTGGGACCATCCAGCCAAAGAGCTGAGAGTGTTTACTTTCTGGTATTTCACAGACCGTCAGCTGAACCTGCTCTCGGACAAAGAGAGGAGCTCACGGGTCCTCAGCAAGGCGGGGCACTTGATGGGCTATGGAGACATCTCAAGAGCCTGAAGAATAAAGTCAGGACACAGCCACTAAATGCAGGCACAAACGCCTGTGCCAGGCCGGCACGTGGACCAAGACCCGGAATCGCAGCAGAGGCACCGCGTGAGGACGGTGCCAGCTCCACGCTTGGAGGCGGTGAGTGCCAGAGCAACCCTGGCAGAAAACGCAAAGGCAGTGAGACAGCCATCACTGGCTGTCGGCAGCAGGCAGACGATGATGGCTTCCGCGTGCAGGTGCGAGTGACGGGCCAAATGCAGGAAGGGGTGTCCAGGCCTGAGATGCTCTAGGTGCACCGTGGCCATGACCACACGGGCCCAGGGTGGGGATGGTGCTACCAGGAGGCTCCCACATGGACTGAGAACAAATGACTATCCAAGCTCCAGGCCCCAGACCACCCCCAGCCCCCACGTGAACACGTGAGCTCCAGGCCCCAGACCACTCCCAGCCCCCATGTGAACACGTGAGCAGTTGGCAGGAACTGGGGCGTCTGAAGGGACTCAGCCTTGGTCTGGGGGCCAAGCACAGTGGAACTGTGCTGTGGTTCACACCTGCCCTGTGGGACACACCTGCCCGTGTCCAGGTAACGATGGAGCCACAGTTCCGTGTGGCAGGGGCTGGGCACGCAGCCAGGAAGCCCCCAACAGGCACCTGTCAGGGGACGGTGGGGAGCTGTGGACTCCAGGAAGGAGGGGCCGGCCCGGAGGCCTGGGCAGGACCAAGGACAGCAGCGGAGGGTGCCCGTGCAGGAACCAGAGCAAACCAGCTGCACTCGAGACCATGGAGGGCCACAGACCCCGTCCCCGCAGCCCCAGCAAGCCCCCGTGTGACCACCCACCCCGTGAAGGGAGGGAGAGGACGTCCTGAATCAATGGGGGTGACCCTGTGATGCGACAGCTCACCAGGGTGTGCAGGACTGAGCCCCGCCAAGAGTGGGAACGGGGCGGCGTGAGACCGGGTGCCCTGCCCTCACGCTGCACGGCACGCTCACCTCATAGTGGAAGTCCATGCAGGTGAGGTCTCGCCAGCACCGGTCCCCCCGGATCTTGATCAGGCCCTGCAAGGAAGAGAGCAGAGGGAGAGTCAGTCACAGGGGCTGGGGATGCGGCGGCCCCGACAGAAACAGCTTCCCAGGAAGACGAACCATCCACGAAGGCCGTGGATCTGGGCTGCAGGCGCTGTGAGGGAGGGGACCTTACGTATGAAACACTCAGGAAGGCAGAATTTGAGAAGGGCAGATTCAGGGCTGCTTTGAGGACAGGAGTTTAGTGCACACCGCGGGCGTGAGCAACAGTGGCTTCCTTTGCGCCTTCCCCAACACTCATTCTCAGAGCTCCACGCATCATCACGCTACAGAAGTTGCGTGTCTTTAAAGAGGACAAATGCACCACGCCCTGCACAGACCCCACGGACAGTGTCAGAGGGAAGCTTCTCAGTGCCTCCAGGATGAGCCCAAAGTCGGAGGGAGCACCCAGTGCACACGCGTCTCAGCCCCGCCCCCTGCGGCACAAAGGGAGCCGAGGCGCAGGCCCCGTGTGTCTCCCACACACTGCAGCTCGCCTGCTGTGAGGACTCCTGGGGCACGGGACAGGCTTCCAGGGGCCTGCAGAGGGAGCCGCCAGCACTGGGGAAGGTGGGACTTGGGCAGAGAGGCTGCGGGGCTGGGGGTTGGTTCTGCAGTGCCAGGGCCACAGTGAAGCATCTGGGGAAGGGTCGGCTCCCACACCCGTCTGCTTTCCCTGGGTCACTCCCGGCTTCAGATGATTCCTTCACAAGTCAGAAACAAACTGTCCCCTCTTCCCGCTAACCCTAAAATCACCGCTGAGACACAGATTCACATCCAGCGTCTCTCACACACTGGTGCATGGGAGGTGAAACTGCACAGATGTGGAAGTGAGTCCCGCCTCCTCCATGACAGGGGTTTCTGCTGCACAACCACTCCCGGCCAAATCCCCTGGGCTCCATCCACCTGTCCACCCCACTGTCCACCCACCCGTCCCCCTGTCCACCGGGCCGTCTGCCCACTCGTCCCCTGTCCACCAGACCATCCGCCCACCCGTCCCCCTGTCCACCGGGCCGTCCGCCCACCCATGCCCCTGTCCACCGGACCGTCTGCCCACCCGTCCCCTGTCCACCGGACCGTCCGCCCACCCGTCCCCCTGTCCACTGGACTGTCCGCCCACCCGTCCCCCTGTCCACTGGACTGTCCGCCCACCCGTCCCCCTGTCCACTGGACCGTCCGCCCACCTGTCCCCCTGTCCACCTGGCAGTGCGCCCACCCATCCCCTGTCCACCGGATCGTCCACCCACCCGTCCCCCTGTCCACCGGACCGTCCGCCCACCTGTCCCCCCGTCCACCTGGCCATCCGCCCACCTGTCCCCTGTCCACTGGACCGTCCGTCGACTCATCCCCTGTCCACCTGGCCGTCCGCCCACCCATCCCCCTGTCCACCCGACTTCTACCTGGCACATAAGTACTGAGTGCCCTTGAGGTGCCGGGCCCTGCTCCACCCCATAGAGGCCGCATGCTGCAGGCGCAGGTGCGACAAGGCGCAGAGAGGAAGGACGGCCACCAGTCGTGGCAGACGCAGTGGCACATAAAGGACAGGAATCCATGCTGCAGGTTCGGAGGCGATGGCTGTGGTGGGTGTAGCATGGTGGGCTCTGGGGCAGCCGCACTGGGCTGCAGGTAGCGCTGTCTCACTGTTGCCCACACGGTGGGAAGAGGGTGAGGGTCTCTCTGGGGACACTTTCGTAATGGCCGCCTCCCATCAGCGAGTGCTCCCCTCCGTGGGCGTGCTGGGGTGTCGGGCCTGGCTCCTGGTACCATGACACTGGGCTCAGGGTTTCCACACGAAATGGAATTCGGGGAACACGATCTGTTCACAGCGGAGGCCAGCCTCGGCCCGGACAGAGCTGACAGGGCTGTCCTGGGCAGGGAGCCCCGGGGCGGGGTGGGGATGGCCACGAGGGAGGAAGACAGGGTGAGGGCGCCCCCCTCAGGCAGAAGCGTGGGGTACAGCAGGGCTGAGGAGGCCGCGGGGGGAGGCCCAGGAGCCCCTGGAACGCAGGGTCCCATCTGCCACGGCGCCAGTCGCGGTCCCACTGCGGGAGACTGGCCTCCAGACGGCGGGGGGTGCGGCCTGAGGCCTGCCGGGGCCATCAGGACCTCCAGAGCAGGGGCCGGAGCTGCTGTTGGGATGGAATTTCCTCCTCTCCAGGGAGCCCCAGCTCCAGCCTCGGTCTCCTGCCTGGTCGGGTCAGCCTCGGGCTCCCAGTAGAATCCTCCTCCCCAGGTCAGCCCATCACGGGCTGTAGCCACGTCTGCGAAACATTAATACCTCCCAGTAGCACGGAGGCCAGTGTTTGGTGATGGACCAGGGACCCCAGGCCAGCCAGGCCAACAGAAAACCAACCACACACGGGAGGGCCTTCGGGGCGGCCGTGGGCCCCTAGCCGGGGCCAGGCAGGACGGGAGCCGCCGGGTTCTCTGGCTACATGTGACCGAGAAGGCAGCAGGCTCTGCTGCTGTCTGTGCAGGACGACCTGGGCAGGGGAGGGGCGTGTCCAATTCCAACGTGTTTGGAACATGGGGCTCGCGAGACTGGCGGGGGAGTGGGAGAGCCAGGAGAGGCTGCACCGCGCCCTGAAGGACGGCACGTGGCTCAAGTGACCGATGCCGAGAGGGACACGAATGAGAAACGGCAGGGGAGTGGGACCAAGAGCCCAGCCCGGCCCTACAGGAACACCAAGCAACAGGCACCCTGTTCCTCACGTCACGTGAGCCAGACGGGACACCACCCACATGCAGGCTGCACGGTCCACACACACGCCTCGGAGGGGTTGTGAGGCTCAGCCACCCACACGCAGGCTGCACGGTCCACAGACACGCCTCGGAGGGGTTGTGAGGCTCAGCCACCCACACGCAGGCTGCACGGTCCACAGACACGCCTCGGAGGGGTTGTGAGGCTCAGCCACCCACACGCAGGCTGCACGGTCCACAGACACGCCTCGGAGGGGTTGTGAGGCTCAGCCACCCACACGCAGGCTGCACGGTCCACACACACGCCTCGGAGGGGTTGTGAGGCTCAGCCACCCACACGCAGGCTGCACGGTCCACACACACGCCTCGGAGGGGTTGTGAGGCTCAGCCACCCACACGCAGGCTGCACGGTCCACAGACACGCCTTGGAGGGGTTGTGAGGCTCAGCCACCCACACGCAGGCTGCACGGTCCACACACACGCCTCGGAGGGGTTGTGAGGCTCAGCCACCCCGCGCACTGTGAAGGCTGCCTCTGGCGGGGCCATGTCTGGGTCCGGCATCGCCGTCTCTAGGGTCTTGCTGTACGTCCCTGCCCTCACATGCCCTGTGCCCCCAACGACAGGGAGGGCGCCGAACACCCGGGAGTGTTACTGTTTAAAGACCTGAAGGGTGAACTGTTTTAAAAACTGAGAGTCAGGTCTTCTGGAGGCTGGGTTTGCTCAGATCACAAAAGCACCGGAGACTGTTTCCCGCTTGGGCTCCTGTTCTGCAAACAGGCATGAAAACAGCCGAGGGTGTCCAGCTGACCGGGCGGAGAAGGCCCCACTCCTCAAGGCGCTGCCCACACCCAGGGGAGCTGCTGCTTCTGATGAAATGCACGGCTCCACCGGGCAGGGGCACAACCACCGCCACTGCTCCCCCCGCATGAGCACCAGCTCTGCTCCCTGCAGAATCCGAGAGTGGAACTCTATGGAGATTCAAA
Organism: Homo sapiens; assembly: GCF_000001405.40. Lineage (NCBI taxonomy): Eukaryota > Metazoa > Chordata > Mammalia > Primates > Hominidae > Homo > Homo sapiens. The sequence goes on from NC_000016.10 coordinate 896,762, forward strand.
CCAGGAAAAGAAGAAAAAAACAAAATAATTAAAATGTCATTCAAATTCTAAGCTGATATGAGACACTTAAAAATCTGAAAAATTCTTTCAGGAGTGGAGGATAATTATATTCCTCCCATCTATTGATTTCTCTCTACATTGCACATGTCAGATTTTCCACGGATTTTTTTTTCTCCCAGAGCAAGTGTCAAAGGAACAAAGCCTTCTTTGAGGCTTTTCAGCCCAAAATTAATTCTAAAAAAAAAAATGGCACAGACAGGCCAATAAACGCACCAGACCCAAAGGGAGCCGGGGACCCACACTGCCCGTGCCACCCTCCCGCTCTGCTCGGAATGCCAGAACTTTCCAGGCCCATCGACGATGTTCCCGCCTTGCAACGTGTGGCTGCAGCAGCTCTTCTCCTGATGCCTGTGTGTCCTGGGACACACTTCCCCAAATCTGCCATCTGGAAACTCGAAGTGTCTTGACGGTCGTATGCGGAGAAGGAGACACTCTGTGGAGACCCCGCTTCTCTCACTTGGCCCCCAGAGGCCGCCATCCACCCTGCAGCGACAGCCCCCTGTGTACCCTTGCACAGTGGCTCAGGACAGACCCCCAGCCCCTACAGTCCCCGAAAGCACCGGCTAACGTGGTGTTTGAGGAGGGGGCGCCGCCAGGCCTCCCTCCGAGCCACAACCTCCTCCATCCTTCTGGCGTTAGGGTCCCCTCGCCTGTATCAGTGGCCCTTCCTCCCCACCTGTAAACACAGGGAATTACTCGCGACAGGTCCTGCCTCCGCAGGAGAGACTCAAAGGGGAGAGCTTTGTCCTGGAGTCAGGTCACAGCCCAGTGCCCCTGTGAGCAGCTGCAGGGGTCTCAGACTTGTTGCAACAGCCACTGCTTCTCCCCGAGTGCTCTGAGAGCTGGGGGTGGGTGGAAACCGTGTCTCAGGGTGAAGGGACCGCTGGTGGGCTCCGTGGGCAGAGGCACTATGGGGTCTATCAAGACCCTCTAGTCTCCATATCTGAGGGTGGCCCAGCTGCAGCAGGGGTGGTGCCTGGGGTCCCGCCTGGCTCCGTGGCTTTCCTGTCTTCCTGGGATGGTTTCCGCACTTTCTTGCCCTCATGCAAGAGAGAACTGGCATGGGAGGTGGGCTCCGCCCCCGAGTGCTTCAGCTCACGCAGACTTCCTTGTGGCACAGCTGCACCAGGAGCTGTGTACATGGCAGGCATCCTCTGCGTGGTGGGCGCCTTCTGCGTGGCGGGCGTCCTCTGGAGGAGGGGCCTCGCCTCTGGGCCACTTCATGCCTCAGAACAGTGGGCTGAGCATCAAAGTGAGGTGGGCCAGGGTCTCCATGGCTCCTGATGAAGGGGACCCAGGTCCCCCGTGGCTTCACATTGAGGACAAAGCTCTTCCCTCAGACACGCAGCTGACTGGCTCATCGACACTGGCTGGGCTCTAACTTGCAGACCAAGGGACCTGGACCTGGACAAACGCCCTGGGCTCGCTTGCTGCCTGGAAGTGAATTCCCATGAGTTTGAGGGCAGCTGTTTCCTCCCCAAGCACCTGGAAAAGGCTGTCCCAAGCTGACAGTCGGGCCGCCGCAGAGCCTAGGGGACCCACGCTGCGGGCAGGGGCACTGACTTTCTGACCAATGCCAGCCGGGAGAGCCTGGGCTTCCGGGATCTAAGGCCTGTTCTCAGAGGCTTGTCTGTCTGAAAACACCTGAACTGCTCCTTCCCCCGGCTCTGGGTGTCCTTGAGGCCTTGGCTGCTGGGGCCTGGAGCAGCCCAGGTGGGGGCAGAGCCAAGGGGTGGCAGCCAGGCCGTGTAGGGGCCAGGATTTGGGGCACATGCTGTCAGGTCACCAGACACCATGAAGACCCCAAGAATCACCAGGCCTTGGCAGCTTAGTCGGGCGAGGGGAATTAAGAGGAGGGCAGTTCATCTCCGAAGCACAGGTCTGCTGTAGACTCTCAGCCGCCTATCTCTCTGACGGGATTGGTTTGCCTTCCAGAAGTTGCTGCCCTAGTCACCATACCATGTAAATTCCTCTTGCTGTGATCACGGTTTTAACTTAGAAATCAGACAGAGCAGATTTTGGACTTACTGTATTTTTATTTTTATTTTTTGGCAAACGACGTGCACTTCAATAGAAACCTTCGGCGTGAACCCAGAAAGGCGTGTTCACGGTAAGCACAGGGGCTGGTTCTGTTACCGGGAGATCGCTTGAGCTGAACTGTGCGGTTGGGAAGAGGAATTACTAATGCTCTTTGTAGCAGAGTTTTATTTTGCACCCCCACAACCCAGGAGATCCTTTGAAGATCACAGGAGAGCACTGTCCTGTGTGATTGTCCCAGGGGCTGTGTGACGGGCTGTGCGGGGATCTGAGACACCCTCGCCCTGGAGGCTGATGCGCTTCAGCCGCGAGGAGCACCCCGGCTCCTGCCCCAGCTCTGCCAAAAACGCCGGAGGTCGGAGGCACAAAGCGCTTTCAGGGACTCCGGTCTGGGCCTCGGCCTCACAGGGGGCTGCAGCTGGGGGCCAGAGATCAGGATGCCATAGATATCATTTTCTAAAAATTCCCACGACGCCTCCGTGCCGGAGTCAGAGGTCTGCCCCTTCCGGGTGGAGCATGTCGCCCTGAAGCCGATGGGCCCTGAAAGAAGCCCCTTTTCCTCTGAGCTACCCGAGCTGCCCCCACACTGATGCAATAAAGCAATTAGGATAATTACTCTCGTTCTGGAGTGTGGCTGCCCAGGACCAGGGCGGGCCTGTCAGGGAAACGGCAGCACATCTGCCTGATCCTGGCCTCACAGGGCTGCATGCCGATACCAATTCCATTACGTTTAATGTGATTTCATCAGTGGCTCTGATGCCAAGCAGCAGCCTGTGGACTTCAAAGTCAGGTCTTGATGTCGGCAGCACCGCTCCACGTCTGCCTTTCAGCGCCGCCCATGACCCACACCTCCCATGGGCTGCGGACCCTCTGGCAGGCTCGGGGGTGAAGCATGCTCGGCGTAAAGCGCTTTGCAGACAGTCCTGGGCCTGTGGGAAAAGAGCAGATGACGAAGGCGCAAACCTGTTGAGCCCCTGGCACCTTCCTTCCGACCCCACGAGGCTTGGGGTGGCAGCACACACGTGGGAGGCACACGCCCTGGACGCCGGATGTGCCGTGCCCGTGAGGGTCGGAGGCTCCACTGCACGATGCCGCACACTCGGGCCTGAATCCCACAAAAGGTGAGCAGGTCTGGGTGTAAAGAGAGATGTGGGGCTCAGCTCCGACACGCGTCCCAAATCCTGGCTTTCCTTGAGTAAAGAAGTCACTGCACCCGGCACTCCCCCGCACCCTTCTTCAAGGGTTTTGTCCATCTCATCTAAGTTGTCACACTGACTGGCCTAAGGCTTCTGTAACATCCCAGGCAGCTCTTCATGGTGCCATCTTAGTTACTGGAGTTTCCACGGTGCCTGCAATCACACAGCCTGGCTATGGCTTCCTGGCCTTTGCTCGATTCTGACCCCAAAATGGTTCACACTGTGGGCTTACGTATTCCACATTTCAGCCGTTGCTTTTTCTTCTTGTGTTAATGAGGACCAAGACAGTTTGCACACAAGGAGCATCAGAAGGCCCTACCTCTGGGTGCTGTAGCCAGGTGTGAGCCCTCCAGAGCCATGAGCCACACAGGTGTGAGCCTCGCAGAGCCGTAAGCTGCACAGGTGTGAGTTTGGACATCTTATTTTATTTATTTTATTATTTTCTTTTCTTTTTTCTTTTCTTTTATTTTTTTGAGCTGGAGTCTCACTCTGTTGCCCAGGCTGGAGTGCAATGGCACGATCTTGGCTCACTGCAACCTCCGCCTCCCAGGTTCAAGCAATTCTCCTGCCTCAGCCTCCTGAATAACTGGAATTACAGGCGCCCGCCAGCATACCTGCTAATTTTTATGTGTGTGTGTGTGTGTGTGTGTGTGTGTGTGTGTGTGTGTGTGTGTGTGTTTTAGTACAGACGGGATTTCACCATGTTGGCCAGGCTGGTCTCGAACTCCTGACCTCAGGTGATCTGCCCATCTCAGCCTCCCAAAGTGCTGGGATTACAGGTGTGAGCCACTGCACCCGGCCAGACATCACGTTTTAACTTTGCCAGCTTTTGGAATTATGAGTTCTCTGGCTTCTCTTTATCCTCCCGTGGGCCTGCGATGCCTCTGCCAGGCAAACACTCACACCAAAGTGGGCTCCAGCAGGAATGGGGAGACAGTGGCGGTGAGCATCTGCACACCTGCAGCCACCCCAGGACAGCCATGCAGACGTCCTCTCCAGACAGAAGCCAGGTAGGGAGTCGGGGGAGGGTTGGGAGGGGGAAGGTACAGAAAACAGATTTCCAGCTTTTCAATTCTCCAGGGGTCAAACTAAAAATCAAGTGGTCTCCTCTACTGATATTGTCCAGGTCTGAGAATTCCCAGCAACAAGGACCCTGGCTCAATTCCCAGAACATACGCAACCGAGACCTCTGCACCCCAACACAGCCCAGTTCATCAGGAGGAAGTGATCAACGGTGGTTTGGCTCCAGGGGGCGTCACGGAAAACCCACCCTCTGCCCCTGTGCAGGTGGCACAGAGGTGCCGGGACACAGAGCTGTGGGGCTCCACCTACAGGGATCTGCTGCGTGCTGGCCACAGAGTAGGCAGACCCACCCCCGCCCTGAGATGCCGATGCTCTGTCCTCACAAAACCAGGATGGGGAAAGAAAGGGGAAATTATTTTTTAAAATAGCGTCATTAAAGGCCATCTGTTGCCTTCAACGCTGTGACTTGATGGCCACGCCATTGATCACGTCCTGAGTGAAAGAGACCTTCACTTTGACACGACTGAAATAAACTCATTTAAAGCAGAAAACCTGGCCGAAACACGGGGGAAATGCTCCAGGGCTCCAGGAGAAGCCGTCTGTGCGTGCAGCCCCGGTGGGATGTAGGCTGGAGACAGCCCTGAGTCAGGAAGTCCGGCGAGGCCATCTGGGTCCACGTGGCTTTTTGGTGCTGTCCCCGCAGCTTGAGGCAAGGAAGGTGGAGAGGCGCCGCCTGCCCCGCCTGTGTCTGCAAGGAACCGTGCTGACTCCATGATGGCTCTGGCCCAGCCCCAGGAAGCCATGACCCGCACAACCTGAGGATCCACGAAGCCCAGCCAGGGCCGGCCCCGAACCGGGTGGAGAGCAGTGGGGGGTGGGGTGGGGGTGGTTCTTGTTTCAGTGCAGTCAGGTGGCAGCCAACCCACACATACAGCCAGCCTGGCCACCAGCACTGGGGCCCTGTCTGTTGCCCCAACCCGCTGACACCCTGTGGCAGCGGCAAGCTCAGCTATCCTGTGCATGGCACGGACATGGGTTGGGCTGAGGATGCCCACTGCCTGCCGCTCCAGGGCCTGAGGGGAGCTCTGGGAGCCAGGCTTGCTCTGCCACACGCCTGGGGTGGACAGCCCTGGGCCAGCGCAGCAGCCGGAGTGAGACGGAGCAAGTACAGTGAGTGCCAGGCTCTGCTCCAGCCCCCGCAGGCCGATGCGTCTGGCCTGGCATTCTCCCTGACTTGTCAGCTTCCCAGCTCAGAGCCCTCACCTCACCTCACACTCCTGGACATCAAGGGGCACCAAGAAGCCACTGAGGGAACACAGCGTCCCCCGCCTTGCTGGAGCCCACGAGAGGATGCGGCTTCCTGCAGCTGCGCCCTGGGGGCTGCCTGTTTCAGGCTCTGGCTCTGGCTGGGCTGATTGTCTTTCCAGGGCTCAAAGCACATGGTTTTCATCCGGTGCTCAACCCAGGGAAGGCCGAGGACAGTCTGGCTCAGTGTGGTGACCTCTGCACTGCCTGTGGGGACGCCCGTCTCTGCTGCGTGGTGGTGACCTCTGCATCGCCCACAGGACGCCTGTCTCTGCTGTGTGGGGTGACCTCTGCACTGCCTGTGGGGACGCCCGTCTCTGCTGCGTGGTGGTGACCTCTGCACTGCCCACAGGACGCCTGTCTCTGCTGCGTGGTGGTGACCTCTGCACTGCCCACAGGACTCCTGTCTCTGCTGTGTGGTGGTGACCTCTGCACTGCCTGTGGGGACGCCCGTCTCTGCTGCGTGGTGGTGACCTCTGCACTGCCCACAGGACGCCTGTCTCTGCTGCGTGGTGGTGACCTCTGCACTGCCCACAGGATGCCTGTCTCTGCTGTGTGGTGGTGACCTCTGCACTGCCCGTGGGGACGCCTGTCTCTGCTGCGTGGTGGTGACCTCTGCACTGCCTGTGGGGACGCCTGTCTCTGCTGTGTGGTGGTGACCTCTGCACTGCCTGTGGGGACGCCCGTCTCTGCTGCGTGGTGGTGACCTCTGCACTGCCCACAGGACTCCTGTCTCTGCTGTGTGGTGGTGACCTCTGCACTGCCTGTGGGGACGCCCGTCTCTGCTGCGTGGTGGTGACCTCTGCACTGCCCACAGGACGCCTGTCTCTGCTGCGTGGTGGTGACCTCTGCACTGCCCACAGGACGCCTGTCTCTGCTGCGTGGTGGTGACCTCTGCACTGCCCACAGGACTCCTGTCTCTGCTGTGTGGTGGTGACCTCTGCACTGCCTGTGGGGACGCCCGTCTCTGCTGCGTGGTGGTGACCTCTGCACTGCCCACAGGACGCCTGTCTCTGCTGCGTGGTGGTGACCTCTGCACTGCCCACAGGACGCCTGTCTCTGCTGTGTGGTGGTGACCTCTGCACTGCCCGTGGGGACGCCTGTCTCTGCTGCGTGGTGGTGACCTCTGCACTGCCCGTGGGGACGCCTGTCTCTGCTGTGTGGTGGTGACCTCTGCACTGCCTGTGGGGACGCCCGTCTCTGCTGCGTGGTGGTGACCTCTGCATCGCCCACAGGACGCCTGTCTCTGCTGCGTGGTGGTGACCTCTGCATCGCCCACAGGACGCCTGTCTCTGCTGCGTGGTGGTGACCTCTGCATCGCCCACAGGACGCCTATCTCTGCTGTGTGGTGGTGACCTTTGCACTGCCCGTGGGGACGCCTGTCTCTGCTGCGTGGTGGTGACCTCTGCACTGCCTGTGGGGACGCCCGTCTCTGCTGTGTGGTGGTGACCTCTGCATCGCCCACAGGACGCCTGTCTCTGCTGCGTGGGGTGACCTCTGCATCGCCCACAGGACGCCTGTCTCTGCTGCGTGGTGGTGACCTCTGCACTGCCCACAGGACGCCTGTCTCTGCTGTGTGGTGGTGACCTCTGCACTGCCCACAGGACGCCTGTCTCTGCTGTGTGGTGGTGACCTTTGCACTGCCCGTGGGGACGCCTGTCTCTGCTGCGTGGTGGTGACCTCTGCACTGCCTGTGGGGACGCCTGTCTCTGCTGTGTGGTGGTGACCTCTGCACTGCCTGTGGGGACGCCTGTCTCTGCTGCGTGGTGGTGACCTCTGCATCGCCCACAGGACGCCTGTCTCTGCTGCGTGGTGGTGACCTCTGCATCGCCCACAGGACGCCTGTCTCTGCTGCGTCGTGGTGACCTCTGCATCGCCCACAGGACGCCTGTCTCTGATGTGTGGTGGTGACCTCTGCACTGCCTGTGGGGACGCCTGTCTCTGCTGCGTGGTGGTGACCTCTGCATCGCCCACAGGACGCCTGTCTCTGCTGCGTGGGGTGACCTCTGCATCGCCCACAGGACGCCTGTCTCTGCTGCGTGGTGGTGACCTCTGCACTGCCTGTGGGGACGCCCGTCTCTGCTGCGTGGTGGTGACCTCTGCACCGCCCACAGGACGCCTGTCTCTGCTGCGTGGTGGTGACCTCTGCATCGCCCACAGGACGCCTATCTCTGCTGTGTGGTGGTGACCTTTGCACTGCCCGTGGGGACGCCTGTCTCTGCTGCGTGGTGGTGACCTCTGCACTGCCTGTGGGGACGCCCGTCTCTGCTGTGTGGTGGTGACCTCTGCATCGCCCACAGGACGCCTGTCTCTGCTGCGTGGGGTGACCTCTGCATCGCCCACAGGACGCCTGTCTCTGCTGCGTGGTGGTGACCTCTGCACCGCCCACAGGACGCCTGTCTCTGCTGTGTGGTGGTGACCTCTGCACTGCCCGTGGGGACGCCTGTCTCTGCTGCGTGGTGGTGACCTCTGCACTGCCTGTGGGGACGGCCGTCTCTGCTGCGTGGTGGTGACCTCTGCATCGCCCACAGGACGCCTGTCTCTGCTGCGTGGGGTGACCTCTGCATCGCCCACAGGACGCCTGTCTCTGCTGCGTGGTGGTGACCTCTGCACCGCCCACAGGACGCCTGTCTCTGCTGTGTGGTGGTGACCTCTGCACTGCCCGTGGGGACGCCTGTCTCTGCTGCGTGGTGGTGACCTCTGCACTGCCTGTGAGGACGCCTGTCTCTGCTGCGTGGTGGTGACCTCTGCACTGCCCACAGGACGCCTGTCTCTGCTGCGTGGTGGTGACCTCTGCACCGCCCACAGGACACCTGTCTCTGCTGCGTGGTGGTGACCTCTGCACCGCCCACAGGATGCCTGTCTCTGCTGCATGGTGGTGACCTCTGCACTGCCCGTGGGGACGCCTGTCTCTGCTGCGTGGTGGTGACCTCTGCACTGCCCACAGGACGCCCGTCTCTGCTGCGTGGTGGTGAACTCTGCACTGCCCACAGGACGCCCGTCTCTGCTGTGTGGTGGTGACTTCTGCACTGCCGTTCTTGTGAGGAGGAAGTATCTCAGTTTAATTTCAGCTGTTCTTGGGGGGAGGAATTGTCTCAATGTAGATACGCTCAGCATTTCCCTAATAGCCAGTGCATCTGAGGGATTTTTCAAGTGCCGTGAGAGCCATTTGCATGTTTCCTTTTGTGAAGTGCCTGCTAAAATCCTTTCCCTCTTTAAAAAATCAAATTATCTTTATTATTGAACTTTATGAATTCTTTATGTATTCCAGATACAGGTTCCTTGTCAGGCATAATGGCATTGTGAATATTTTCTCCTGATCTGTGCCTTGTCATTTTCTCGGTGGTGTCTTTTGAAGAACAGAAGACTTTAATTTTGAGGAAGTCCAATGTATGTGTTTGTTTCTTTTTCTTTCAGGGTCTCACTATGTTGCCCAGTCTGGGCTTGAACTCCTGAGCTCAAGGGACGCTCCTGCCTCAGCCTCCTAACATGCTGGTGTTAAAGGTGTGAGCCACTGCACCCAGCCATTTTCTTCTTTTATGGTTAATTTTTTTGTGTGTCCTAAGAGACTTTTGCCTATCATAACATTACAAAATATTCTATGTTACCTTCAAGAAGTGTTAATGGTTTTAGCTTTTATGTTTGCAATCCATCTCAAATTAACGTTTGTGTGTGGTGACGGAGGGGGGTTCACTTATCCAGGTGCATATCCAGAACTTCCAGCACCAACTGGTGCAAAGGCTTCTTTCTCTCAGTTGAATTGACTTGGTGGCTTGTCCAGGAATCATTTGATCCTGACTTTGGTGTGGGACTATTTCTTGGTTCTCTATTTTGCGGATGCAGCTATCTGTCCTCACGCCTTGTGATGGTTAATACTGAGTGTCAGCTTGATTGGGTTGAAGGATGCAAAGTACTGATCCTGGGTGTGTCTGTGAGGGTGTTGCCAGAGGAGATTCCTGTTTGGGTCAGGGGGCTGGGGAAGGCGGACCCAAGCTTAATCTGGTGGGCACCATCTCATCAGCCGCCAGAGAATATAAAGCAGGCAGAAAAAGGAGAAGAGGGGAGACGGGCCTACCCTCCCAGCCCGCATCTTTCTTCTGTGCTGGACGCCTCCTGCCCTCAAACATGGGACTCCAGGTTCTTCCGTTCTGAGACTCGGGACCGGCTCTCCTTGCTCCTCAGCTTGCGGGCAACCTATCGTGGGGACTTGTGATCGTGGAGTTAATACTCAATAAACCCCTTTATATATATATTTCTCCTGTTAGTTCTGTCCCTCGAGGGAACCCTCCACACACCTGTGTCACACTGTCTTCATTACGATCATTTTTCAGTAAATCCTGGAATCAAGTAGTGTGACTCCTCCTGCATCTTTATTCTTCTTCAAAATTGTTTTGGCTATGTAGGTCCTTGGCATTTCCATATACATCTAAGAGTCAGTTTATCTGTTTCTGGAAAAAACAATCCTTCTGGGATTGCTTGGGATGTCATGGAATCTATAGCTCAAATTGGTGACGATGGACAGTTTAACAATATGAAGACTGATTCATGAACATGGTATACCTCTCCATTTACTGAAGTGTTCCTTACTTTCAGCAATGTGTGCTATCTTTCGAGGCATACAGGCTGCATTTCTTTTGTTAAAATTTCCTATTTTATGGTTCTGAATGTTATTATAAATGCTATACTTAACATTTTCATTTTGACATTTTCTCCCAGCATATAGAAATATAACTGATTTGCCAGGTGTGGTGGCTCACGCCTGTAATCCCAGCACTTTGGGAGGCTGAGGCAGGTGGATCACAAGGTCAGGAGGTCGAGACCATCCCGGCTAACACGGTGAAACCTAGTCTCTACTAAAAATACAAAAAATCAGCCAGGCGTGATGGCAGGTTCCTGTAGTCCCAGCTACTCGGGAGGCTGAGGCAGGAGAATGGCGTGAACCCAGGAGGCAGAGCTTGCAGTGAGCCGAGATCGTGCCACTACACTCCAGCCTGGGTGACAAGGCGAGACTCCATCTCAAAAAGAAAAAAAAAAAAGAAATACAACTGATTTTGTGTGGTGGCCTTGAGGCCTGCAGCTGACGTCCAGCTCCGGCGGGCACAGAGGCTGTGGCTTCTCCTTCCCTTCTGCTTGGCACCCTCATCGGGAGGGCCACGGGGCTCCCCCTGAGATGGCTCTGAGGAACCCAGTGGTTAGGGCATCTGAAACCCTCCAGGCCACAGAACCACAGGTGCTGGTTTCTGAGTGAATCCGCCAAGCTGACGGTGCGGCGCTGGTTGTGACCCAAGTGCGCGAGCGGGGGAAGGGGTGTGCGTGCCTTCCTAGCCGGCTCTGTCCACAGGGTGGTTCATCAGCAGGTGGACACTCTGCTGCTGTCACTTTCTTATCAACTCACCCTCTGCTTTCCACCAAAGGAACATTAATCACACCCAACACAGGAGTCTATCAAGTAATTATACCTTTTAGTGCACCTGATAATTTCTTCTCCAGCTGGCACTAGCAATCAATCAAAATGCCATAAAAGGTGCTTCCCATGAGCAGATGAGTCCCTGCATCCACTAGGCATTGTGGGAGCTGTTCAACTCTTGGCACCAGGAGCTTTGCATACAACCGCCTGGCGGCTCCTCTGCGGGGCCGGCTCCTCTCCCTGGAGCTCTGCTTCTCTCCCAGGGCTTCGGCCTGACAGCGCTTCCCCCACCCGGCTGCTGTCCACAGAGTCCTTGGAAATGCTGCATCCACATCTGTGCATATTCAAGCCAGCAGAGGGTGGAACCTAAAACTAAGCCCTGGAAAGATCAGGACCCACAGCCTGTGAGAATATCTGTATTCTGGCTGGAGACAATGAAGAATTTCAATGTTCCATTAAAAGGAGCCATGGAAACATCTCTAGTATTTCTAATTAAATGGAAAAGTAAACCCGGAGACAGCATCCCACTTTCCTGCGCGATCTGGATGCCGGGTTGCAGCTATGCCCTCCTCCAACAAGCCATGGCCAACTGTCTGCAGCCACTCACGCACCCCTCAGCCAGGACCCTGCCCGACACCACGTCCAGAAAGCTCTCCAAAGACCCCACCCACCCATGTTTCCCTCCCGCTGTGCCATGGCCCCGAGCACACCCGACCAGGCAAGGAGGCAGAGATGGGAAGGCCCTGGCCCTTGACAAGCCCTGGGGGCCTGCTCGTGCCCTCGAGGGGATGGGGCAGGTCAGGCCCTGCTGCCTCCAGCTGCTTCCAGTGCCCTCCCCAGACACCTGGCCTCGTGGACAGAGGCTGAGCTCACCAGCCCAGAGGTCACCAGGCTGCAGCATGCGGGAGCGGCTCCTGGGAGGCGGAGCCAGCCCGCAGGGTTCACACAGTAAAAACAGTGAGGACCTAGAGTAAGCACCCAAGACTCCCCACAGCCCCAGAAAACCAACCTGTCAGGGATGCCCCGGTGCCCGCCATCCACAGGTATGCAGTGACATTGCGGACGGGTGCCCACCACCCCCGTGCGGCTGGGGCAGGAACACCTGGGTTGAAGCTGGCATGCCACAGAGGGCAGAGAGGAAAGCTGGAGGCTCCCTGCCTGGGACAACCCTCTGGACACCTTGTCCTGGGGGGTGAGAGGGGCCCTGGTGTTGAGGTCCCTCTCTGTGGGTCTCCTGCTAGTGCAGCTGAGCCTGCAGTGACCCCTCCCAACCCCGGCAAGTGCTCATCATGAGAGGCCATGTAACCCTCCCAGAAAAGGAATAAAGGGAATTAGGTGCTCGCATACCACCAGGGAGCACCTCAAGAAATGGCCAGTTCACTCCATGCATGGCTGACGTTTCTGCAGCACTGGCTAAGGGCTGGCGCAAGGTGAGACGCAGGGATGTGAGTGAGGGGGAGGGAAAAGGAGGGCGCTGGGGAAGATGGGAGCCACAGGGGGACAGAGCCCCGAGCTGAACGAGATGGAAAGAAGAGCTATGCCCAGACATGGACGTTACGATGCAGGGAACACACGGTGAGGAATGGGCCCAGACAGCCCCTCACAGTGCACCAAAGCACACTAAACACTACACCAAGCCACGCCACACAGAACCACGCTATGCGCTACAGCGAGCCACGCCACACAGAACCACGCTATGCGCTATACTGAGCCACGCTACACAGAGCCACGCTACACGCTATACCAAGCCACGCTATGCAGAACCATGCTACACGCTACAGCAAGCCACGCTACACACTACACTGAACCATGCTACACGCTACACCGAGCCACACTTCATGCTACATGATACCCCAAACCACGTGGAGTCATCGCTTCCTGAGTCCGTGGCCAGTGCTGTCTTAGGACTGGGTGTCCCAAGTGTCCGCAGCTGCCCCGGGGGGACAGGGTGGGAGGAGCCGCCCAGCACTCGGGCCCCTGCCTGCGGCATGACCTGAAGCTGAACACAGGCACGGCAGCCACGCCTCGAGGCCAGGGAGAGAAGAGGAACGTTCCGGACTGAAGGAGTGGCCGAGACGGCGGCACACTCTGGCCGTGGCCCTGGCGTGAGCGCGCTGTCGGGTGGGGCAGGCACAAGTTCCTTGGGGCAGTGCCCAACTCTTCGTACGTCTTCAGCGAATCCTCCACGAAACACTTAAGCAAACAGATGCTCAGAGAGCATATCTGTACGACATGGTTTCCAACACAAAAACATGAAGATTTTATCATTCCAGCCCAAAATGAAAATCTTACTACCAAACCACGTGAAGCGGAAGAGCAGGTGAGAGCTGCGTAGCTCTGGTCAGTGTGGCAGACGTCAAAAGGACCACGTCGCTCCTGCTTTTAAAGTGCACATCGTGTTTTTGTGAACTCAGAGGTCACATTACTGAAGCTGAACAGGGGGTTGGCATGTGATTCACCGTTTGCAGGGCAGACGCAGATGAGCAGCCCCTGGCTGGGCAGGAAGCACGCACAGCCCGCCGCCCCCACACCAGGGCCCAGGAGGGAACCCGCCACCCCCACCCCGGGGCTCAGCAGGGAACCTGGACAGTCTGGTCGTCCTGAGAGACGTCAAAGCCAAGCAGGCAAAGCACCCGGGAGGAAGGACGCAGCCAAGAGACCATGAGGAGGCCGCGCTTTCCCTGAGCGTCAGGACGGCGGGTCTCATACCTCCCTCACCCTTGAATATGTCTGCCAACGCGCCCACCATGGCCTGAGACTCTGTCATTTAAAAACGAGCTCTGAAATATTTCGGACACTCCGGGAAGCAAAGGAGGGCTGGTGGGGGAAGCTCAGGAGGGCTGGTGGGGGAAGCAGGGCGTCCAGTGCTCCTCTCTGAGTCTCCTCCTGAAACAGACTCAGAGGTGTGGTTCTGTCCCAGAAACAGGGATCATGAGCATGCCCGGGAAAAGCCAGCCGGTCCCCAGCATTCAAACACAGGCCCCTGAAGGGGCAGAAGAGTGCGCAGCTGGCCAGGCCAGGCCGACAGGAGGACAGAGGGCGGCGGGGGAGGAAGGAAACAGCCTCACCTCTCCTAGAAGCCTCACAGGTTAGAAGAGCCACCGTTATTCCCCAAACACCACGCAGAAGAGCTCCACTTACTGCTCCAAGCATGATCCTGAAGATCAGCCACCGGAAGCCCCACAGGACAATCCGGGATGTGGGGGTATGCTGGGGCAGCCTTGACAGCGTCCACAGAGGGCACAGGAAGATCCCCAGGAACCCCGTCTCCAGAAGCTGGGACTCCCATCCTAAAACAACGAGACATACCAAAGGTGAGTTAATGGAAGCCACACATTTCACAAAGAAATCATTTCAGAAACTCAGTTTAATGGAAACGGTCCTTGAGACAGGGCTGATCTTGCTACTGAGAGACACCAGCCCGCACGTATTAGTCTCAACATCGACACGCAAGGTCAGGTCTGCAGGAGTGGGAGCTCTGGCGTGGGACCCAGGGCCTAGGTCGGGACTTCCTGTGACCTCGGCACCCTTCGCCCTGGAGGGAAAGGCCCCGCTCTGAGGTCCGCCACCTGCCACCCTGCAGGACGCTGCACGGACCTGACATCTGAGAATGCGCCCTGCACACATGCTGCCGGCAGACTTTGGGGGAAGCTTTTCCCCTCCCATAGGTTTGCATGAAAACAGCTTTCACCTTCTTCCCAGCCCAGAAACAGCATGGGGAGGCAGCACTGGGGAGGCAGCACTGGGGGGGCAGCACTGGGGGGGCAGCACTTGGGGGAGGCAGCACTGGGGGGGCAGCACTGGGGGGGCAGCACTGGGGGGGCAGCACTTGGGGGGGCAGCACTGGGGAGGCAGCAATGGGGGGGCAGCACTGGGGGGGCAGCACTGGGGGAGCAGCACTGGGGGAGCAGCACTGGGGAGGCAGCACTGGGGAGGCAGCCCAGCCTCCATGTGAGGCAGTGTCTCCCTCTGGCCCTGTCCTTCCCAGATGGGCATGGAAGCCAGGCAAGGATGCAGAGGCAGGTCATGGTGGGTCCACACGGAACCAACACCGGTCAGCCCCTCGCAGTCCCAGGATAAGGCAGCAGCTCCGCCACTGGATGCGGGGGACACGTGGGGGCCCAACGGATTCTTCGCACTGGAAACCCAGCATAAGAATGCGGATGCGGGTCGCCATTCCAGTGCTATTCTCAGAGGTGAGGCCACCGTGAATGTGGCTGCTGGAAACTGCCCACAGCTCGCGTCTGTCAATGGAAGGTCACATCCCAGGGCCCCAGAGACCCCACAGGCCGGGCTCCCTCCTGGGCTCTGAGGATGCTGGATGGGACAGAGGCCACCCGCTGCCCAGCATGACAACGATCACATGACTCACACCACCACAGTGTCTATGCGCCACAGAGCGGATGGGAGAGTGCGGAGGGGATGCAGACAGAGACTCGCAGGGGCAGCATCTACACACCACAGAGCAGATGGGAGAGTGCGGAGGGGAAGCGGACGGAGGCTTGTGGGGGCAGTGTCTACCTGCCACAGAGAGGACGGGAGAGTGCAGAGGGGAAGCAGACGGAGGCTCGCGGGGAGCTTCCTCCAACCATTGGTGCAACTCATCTCTACCTGAGATACTACGGTAAAGTCAAAAGCCCGTGAAGAGGCTGCTACAGCAGCACTGGACTGTAACCCAAAGTACAAAATAAACGCCTGCAAGTCCACACTGATGTGCGCCAATTACTGAATAAGCAGATCGGCGTGAGTGGAGGCAGCGCGACCCTGGTCTCTGAATGGACAGACGGTCAGTCCTTATGCTGCCCCGGCTTATGGAGGGCACAGGCTGCCAAGCTGACGCCTGCTGGTCTCTCAGCGGGACCCCCTCCACCTCGCTCACGCCCCAGGCTCGCTGGGCCCCATCTTCCCCACGGAAGCCAGAGCCGCCTGGCTGGCTGGGCCTTGCGGACACCCTGGGAAGAAAAGGGTTGCCCTGGGCCCACCTGCTTCTGTTTTCTTTGCTTGGGTCTTGAGGAATTCCAGCAGCTGCGCGGCGTGCACAAGGGCTGCCATTGTTCTCCGCCTCAGCGTGGCGGACAACGCGTCCCCAGGAAAGTCAATAAGCAGCACGCTGCCAGGGCGGCCTCAGCGCCAAGGTCAGGGCCAGGGCTCTCCAGACAGCTCTCACCCAGCAAACACCAGCGCTGCCTGAAGCGAGCCCCAGGCACCCGAACGAGGCGGCAACACGCAGGGCCACAGCACACGCTGCCACTGCCGGGGAGAGGAGCCGTCCTCGCCCCCGCCTCAGTGCCTTTCCCGTTGCGCAGCTGCACGCGCTGCCTGCTGGGCGCCAGCATCTGCACGCCCTGCTCTTCCCCAGGGACCTCCCTTCCCTTTAGCCAGGGGGACGGCTCCGGGAGGGCCCCTGCTCCACTCCACGGCTCCGGCGTCGTTTCCACCTCGTGCTGTGCTGGGCCTTCCGGGAGACTGAGCACACCCTGTGAGGAGCCTGACGCGTTCTGCCTGGGTAACGGGGCAGTAGCTCTTGTGGGGAACATTCACTTCCACGGCCGCTGCTCTCCTTCCTGCGACACAGACAGCGTTGGCCCAATCAGCGGAGAAGCTGCATGTGCACGGTCCAGGGAGATGCTCCTGAGCCCTGCCCGCTGGACAGGGTGCGACACCCAACTCCTGCCCTGGCGCCTCGCCCGGTGCACCCATGTTAATGGCTCATTGCCGGCTGGATGCCCCGATGCTGGTGCGGAGGAAATGCAGGTGCCCCAGCACCCAGGCACAGCTGGGCACTGGTGCTTCTCAGCTGCCCTCCCCCTCAGGATTCATGCAGATCCACAGCCAGGCTGGTGCCCAAGGCAGGAGCCTGTGGCCTGCAGGCCCAGCCAGCGCTGCAGGTAACTGTACTGTGCCATTCACAGGCGTCTCGGGGCATCAGAAAAGGCAGAAACAAGGACGCAGCCTCATAACTGCCTTGCTGGAGACAGTTTAGGGTTTGAAGGCTCTGGATGTCAGGTCTGCAGCCACCGGAGGCGTGGGGCACACAGAAGAGAGGCTTCGCCATGGGGCAGCCCGAGGCACATGGCGAGGCCAGGGCCAGACCTGCAGGCCCCCGACACCCCGACAGGGATTCTGACGCCTCGGTTTATAATGGAAATTTAAGATGAAATACTCGGAAGAGAAAATCTGCAGACAATGGCGAATGCCACATGGCGCCTCTTGGAGTGGCTTCCCAGAGCTCTAGACTTTGGAATCAGTTCTCACCATTGTTGATGGGCCGCGAGGCCTGGGCGGCTGCAGCTACACGCACGGTCTTCTGAGGCCCTACGAGATGCTGAGCCCTGGGGACAGGGACATCCCCACCACTGCAACCTGGGCCACCCCGACCCCTCCTAGGAGGGGAGATAACATCTCCACCACTGCAACCTGGGCAGTCCCTGACCCCTCCTGGGAGGGGAGCAAACGTCTCCACGTTGAAGGGGGACTGCAGGTTGCTTCAGTACAAACCCTTCCAGCACCCTGTGAAGACAGCCCTGACCCAAATGGGGAGAAGGCTGGGCAGGCCAAGACCCGGGGAGGCTCCCCACACCCGACCTTCCTGCTCTGCAGGACACAGACCGGATGCTCACTCGTAGGGTCCACGAGAGAACGCACACCGCTGTGGGCCCTGAGCCCCGTGATCGCTCCAGCTCTCCAAGTGCAAAACCAGACACGCTCCCTCCCTCCCTTCCATGACCATTGGTGACACACTCCCTCCCTCCTTCCCATGACCACTGGTGACACACTCCCTCTTTCCCTCCCTTCCCATGACCACTGGTGACACACTCCCTCCCTCCCCATGACCATTGGTGACACACTCCCTCCCTCCTCATGACCATTGGTGACACACTCCCTCCCTCCCATGACCATTGGTGACACACTCCCTCCCACGACCATTGGTGACACTCTCCCTCCCTCCCCATGACTATTGGTGACACATTCCCTCCCTCCCTCCCTTCCCATGACCACTGGTGACACACTCCCTCCCTCCCTTCCCATGACCATCTCCCTCTCTCCCATGACCATTGGTGACAAAATTTTACTGCCTTGGAATCAGATGGAAACGTGGTTTCTCTGAACTAAATATCCGAGTGCTAATCAGTAATGTTCCGTAGTGACTGACGCAGAGGGCCACACAGCTCTCAGCCCTAAATCGGCGTCTCTAAGGACTCCGGCCTCGCTGCTGCCTGCTCGGCTGGCCCAGGAGGGGCATCCCCCGAGGCCTGAGGGCTTGTAGGGTTTTCACCATCTCGTGCTCGCTTCCTAGATGGCAGGGTCCTGGGCTACTTGTTTTAATACCACTGATTTAAAAACAGCTAAAGAAAAACTCACCCTAGATCCGCCTCTGCAGAGCCAAGGGGCGACCAAGGGATGACTCTGGGGACATTCAGGCTGGGCAGGCCCTGTGTGCATAGGTGTGAGGCATGGGTATGGATGGGTCTGAAACACCAGAGGAGCCAGGCACAGGATGGGGGCAGAGGGCAGGCAGAGACCACAGGGTGGTGCGGAGAGCCCTCTTCATCCTCACAACGGCCGGGGTCCCTCACTCCGCAGCCAAGCTCCTAGGCACCTGCTCCCCAAATAAAACCCAGGCAGAGGTGCGTGCTCACCTTTCTTTTCTATTTATGGGAATCAGAGGTTGAGGAGGGACCCTCTGCCACTGAAGAACCAGAAGATTCTCCACCAAGAGGCGAGATCTGCGCCTGGCGGCCTGGGGCATGTGGGAACATGTGGAGGGGCACCTGGCGGCTGCTCTGGGCTGGGCTGGGCAGCCGGCAGCACACTCATGCACCACCAGCCTTGGCGACCCCAGTCAGAGGATGGAGGGTCCCAGGCCAGCCTAGGGACAGGGTGCAGTGCTGGCCAGGCAGAGTGCTGGGGTGGAGCCTGAGATGGGGTTTTCCGGACGGAAGTCCTGGAGGCCAGCAGCCGTGTGGGACGAGAGACACGCAGGGTGGGGCGACTGCGGTGCCTCAGGCGGGTGAGATGAGCACCATCACCGGGGGCCGGAGCAGGTGAGATGCAGGGGCCGGAGCACGTGGGACGCGGGGGCCGGAGCAGGTGAGACTTGGGGGCCTGGGGCAGGTGAGACTCAGCAGCTGGGGCAGGTGACACCCAGGCGCTGCCTGGCCACCAGTGAGGGGCAGAGGCTCGGAGGGTGCAGAAGGTGTGCAGGGTGGGGGCAGCCCTCAGGACACAGGGAGGGACACGGGGTAGCCTCCGGCAAAGGGAGGGATGAGGGGCCAGTGGGTTGTGGGCTGAGCCGCCTCTGACCAAGGAAGAAACGTGATTTAACACAACGCTTTGGAGGTGCAAGTCATTGCAATGGCCACTGTAGGAGAGAACGCCAGCTGAGGCCTCATTAACTCTGTGGAAACTATTTTAGTTACTTAGGGAGAGTCATTAAATATAGCACAGATGGATCCTTCAAAAATGACAGCCACCATCCACGTTAGAAACAGGAAATCCATTAAGTTCGCTGTTAAAATCGGGGACGAGGGAGCAAAGCGCTTCCATCTTGACTGCCTGTCACTCAGCTCTGCGCCGGGCCGCCCTCTGCCACCCCAGGGGCTTCTAATGGCGGCCCCAGAGAGAGCTGGGAGCTTTTAAAAGTTTCCTTCATTTTTACAGGTTATATTTTAAGCTGAAAAGTTATGAAATAGCACTGCAAATCTTACTTTGCACTATCACGGAACAGGGGCTGTGGGCTACAGACGCCCCTGGGGCTGGATGATGGGGGCTGGGGAGTTCGGCTCTCGCTGCGCGCCAGTGGCGGGGCTGGGCACTGGTAGGCCACACCCACATGGCCCCGGGACACCAGGTGGCCTTGTCTGTGATCCGCCCACATGCAGAGCCCCAGACCCCACTTCTCCATGTCTCTGGCCACGGGGAAAACATCTTTTGTGACCATGTTTGAAAAAGCTTCAGAGGGACAAGTGCAGGCTCTGCCACTGAGGCCTGCGGCCTTGGGATGCCTCGTTGGCTCCCTGGCAGCAAATGAAGGTATGTCAGGAACACCCCTCTCCTGGCAACTAGCCACCTCCCGGGTGTCCCCTCGCAGATCCTCTGAGTGTTGAGCTCCGGGTCTGTTATGGCCATTGCTCTGCACAGCCAGCTCTGGGATCCCCTGAATATTGAGCTCCGGGTCTGTTACGGCTATTTCTCTGCGCAGCGAGCTCTGAGAGCATGAGTACTGCTCAGCGTCGGGGATGGAGACGCCACCCAGGGGCTGCCATGCTGCAAACTCATCTTGAAGGCAGAGCTAAAGTCACGTGTATGGGGCCATCTGCAGCCCAGCACACAGAAGCAATCCTGTGGGGAACCAGGCCCAAAGCCACTCTCATGCCGGTACCATGGGGGACGGGTCACCACCATCTCACCTCCCCCAAGCACATGGGCAACACACAGCCATGGTGTGGCCACGCAGAGCACATGCTGCGCAGGCCCACGTGAAGAAATGCCACACGTGTGCACTGCGGGCGGGCACAGGCCCACGTGAAGAAATGCCACATGTGTGCACTGCGGGTGGGCGCAGGCCCACGTGAAGAAATGCCACACGTGTGCGCTGCGGGCGGGCGCAGGCCCACGTGAAGAAATGCCACACGTGTGCGCTGCGGGCGGGCGCAGGCCCACGTGAAGAAATGCCACACGTGTGCGCTGCGGGCGGGCGCAGGCCCACGTGAAGAAATGCCACACGTGTGCGCTGTGGGCGGGCGCAGGCCCACGTGAAGAAATGCCACACGTGTGTGCTGCGGGCAGGTGCCGTTCTAGGGGCTTGTCCAGGCCCGCTGACCCCTCCGGCTCACTGGAGATGACCAGGCAGGGCTGCCCTCCCCTAAGAGACATGCCTGCCCCCGTACCGGGGCTGTTTGCAGGGGTGCTGGGAGGTCCTGATGTCAGCCCCACCCCAGAGGTGTCCCAGGGGACAGGAGTACTGCTGTGCTCGCCCGGCACCCCCGGCCTCCTCCTGACCGTGGGCTCCTTCCCTCCTCTGGGATTGACCAGGCTGTGTCTGGAGTGGACTGCAGCTCCCTGGCCTGTGGTCACCCAGAGCCAAGCTCTGCACAGGAACCTCCAGAACCGGCCTGAGCTTCACAGCTGCGTCTGCCCGCTGGCCATGTCTCACGTCCTGAGGACGTTTCACAGGAGGGCCGCCCTTCTGCTGCCCGCAAGACATACAGGTGCAGAGCTGGGGACATGGCGTCGGGACGTGGCGCGGGGCGGCTGGCTGGGTTAAACCAGAGATCAGATGGCAAATGGGAGGGCATTTTCTAGTAACCAGACATCTCTGAAAGTGCTGGTTAAGGGCTTTCGTGCTTTAGATAAAATTACGTTAACTGCACGCTCTCAGTTATGAGGAATTTCGTGGACTGTTACATATTTTAAGGCTGTCCGTGGGCGCTGCCGAGAAACAGGAAGTGGCCTCAGTGACCCCTGCGCCCGGCCGCGCGGCTTGTTCGTACTTGGTTGCCGTGACAACCAGACTTCCTAGCCCCAGGTGTCCCTGTGGCTCAGCTCTGTGCAGGTGTCACCAGCTCTTGGGAAACAAATCCGCAGTAATGACCTTAGCTATCTTTATTGGTTTTGGATAAATACGAAAATGCTTCCCGTCCACGGAAATTAGACTTCGCGGCAAAGAGTGTTTAGGATTAATGTGTTCCAAGTATTTCACCTAAGTCAGGCTGGTGGGCACCACACCTGACCATTTCTTTGTCTTTTGTGTCCCGGGCATGAAAAATGGCTGAAGTGTGCCGAGCCTCCAAGGGACTCATGAGACCCCAGAAAAGTGCTGGCCATCGTGGGCTGCGGGGACGTTGTGCCCACGGAGCTGTCCTGGGTCACGGGGTGTGCCTCAAGGGCCCCGGCCCTTCAGGCCTTGAGGCACTCAAAGGCAGCCTGCGTGGCTGAGAAGCACATTTTAAATCACATTTAACTTTGGTTCACTTGGATGTGAATTTAAGTGACCACGCGGGGCCGACGTCCCGGGGCGCACCCCGACTCTCACGCGGGGCCGGCATCCCGGGGCGCACCCCGACTCTCACGTGGGGCCAGTGCCCTGGGGTGCACCCTGACTCTCAGCCAGTCCTGGGGTGGGCGCCTGCTCAGAGACACCTGTGGGATGTGGGTCTCACTCCCGAGTAGCGGTGGGACGAGCTCTCGGCACCTGCTCCTCCCACGGGGCCTCCTGGGCTGGAGCCCGCACAGCACAGTAGCATCCACATCCCTGCTGTGACACCTGTGTGGGCAGTCGGCATGTCGGCGTGGACTCCCAGGCTGCAGAATCAGGTGTTCCCCTCACCACACAGTCTCGGGGGACAGTCTGTTTTCACTCGCGGCTTTTCCAGACCCTCCCCTGACACTCGGCAGTCGGCGTTTCCAGGTGTGCTCAGTGTGGCCAACAGGCACGATCCACCCCACGTGGAGGGTGGTGTGTCCAGGGGCTATGTGAGCTCACACACTCACAGGGAAGGAACGTGGGGGTTGGCACACCTGAGAAGTGGGCGGGAATCACCCCACATGCCCGCGGCAGGGGGCAGGGCAGCCCTGTGGCCTCTGCTTCATCTCTGTCAGGACCTATGGTGGACACACACAGCTCCTGCCCCACCTTCATCACTGCTGAGCCCCCCTGGGAAAGCTCATATCTCCAGCGCTCGCGTGAGGACAGCAGTGCCGGCAGCACCAGGGCACAGGCCCCACAGACAAGGGGCCCGGAGGCCGCTGGGGGCATTCCACCCACAGACCCGCTCTGGACAGTGTGCGCCCTCAGAGGCAGGGAGGGCGTCTGGACCGCAGTCTCATGTGGGTCACTCTTGGGGGCCTCGGGCAGCAGCAACTGAAGGAGGCAGTGATGACCTCAGGCCCACGTCCTGGAGGTCTTGGGGAGAAAGACAGGAAGTGTTTTCCTAGAAACACTGGTGTGCAGAGAGGACTGGGTTTCAGCTACATCATGTGGCAGGGCCGCCCTGGGAGGAGCCTCACGGAGACCCACAGACAGAACGTGGGGGTGAGGGTGAAGCAGCCAGCATCCACAATGGGCTCCCCACCCCACAGCTCCGCCCCGGGACCCCCTTCCTCCGAGGCAGTCAGGCTCCTGCCCCCGGCACCATCCTTCCGGCCTCGGTCAAGACTGCCCGGACACCACCTCCAGGGCCTTGCTGGACAGGACATCCACACTGGCCCCAGCCTGTCGGCCCCCAGCACAACATCTGCACCGGCCCTGGCCCGTCGGCTTAGCCCCCAACACGACATCCACAATGGCCCCAGCCTGTCGGCTCCCAACAGGACATCCACACCAGCCCTGGCCCGTCAGCTGGGCCCCCAACAAGACATTCACACTGGCCCTAGTCCGTCGTCCCCCAACATGACATCCACACTGGCCCTGGCCCGTTGGCTCGGCCCCCGACACGACATCCACACCGGCCCCAGCCCGTCAGCCCCCACAGCACGCACTGCATGTCCACATTCCCCTCTCTACACACCACACCCCAAGCGCTGGCTCCACACGGACGCAGGAAAGCATCAGGACCGGAAAGCACAGGAAAACGTGCTTGCCAGGCAGGCGGGCTGGAGAGCTGAGCAGAGACACAGAGCCTCGGAGGAAGGCCAGGCCCACTCCAGAGCAAGAACTAAAATCTCCAGAGCACAAATGCCCCTGGCTGAGCTCAGCAGCAGAGTGAAGAACGAAAGAAAAGGCAGTGAACACGAAGACATAGCAGCCACAGTGACTCATTCTAGAGATGAGAGGCTTTTAGAAAACACCACACAGAAGCACAGGGCCCAGGAGCTCGTGGAAGGCAGGGAGAGGCCTGATGTCCATGTCCGTGGAGCCACAGGAGAGGAGAAAGAACATGGGGCAACCCCCCCAAATATTGGCAAAAATTATCCAAATTTGGTAAAAAGTAGGCATATCATAGTCAAGAAACTGGCAACGGAAGATAAAATCCCCAAAGCCATCAGAGAAACATAACACGTTACACTGGAACGTCAGGAATGATAGTCGACTTCCCGTCCAAAACGAGGGACAGATGGAGAGAGGGAGCCAGGCGCGGATCCTTCCCCAGGGGCCCCTGCATGCCCAGAGCAAGCATCTGCAGGCATCTCCAGCAGCAAAGGACACCGCTGTTCTCCCCGGGGAGCTTCAGTGTCATCAGAGCCTGAAGGAGGAAGCAACTCGGCACCACGTGGCCCAGAGCAGGCTCGTGAGCTGGCCTCGGTCAGCAGGTCGCCTGGGTCTCTGTCTCAGTGCTCAGCAGGGCGAGGACAGGACAGAACGGGCCCCATCACAGACTGCGCTTAGAAGGAACTCAGTAAAACAAAGACCATTTTCTTCTGGAGGCAACTCAAGGAGGTAAGACTGTGAGTCAAGCGCCTTGGAGGATAAGAAGTCCAGGTAAGTAGAAGGCAGGAGGAAGCTTCCCTAATATCACCTGCAAATCTGCTTCCACTGGGGCATTCTGTTCCCCTTTTCAGACAGCGCAGAGCCCTCCTGCGGTGAACAGTCGCCATAGCCCTTCTTGAGGGGCTGCTGGGTCCAAGACCTCCTGGGTGGGCACACGGACCTGCGCTCCCTGCAGAGACGTGGACAAGGCAGGCCCTGTGGAAAGTTCACCCGCCAGCCAGGCACCGGCACAAAGCCAAACCCCCCGGCGGAGTGTGTGGGGGCAGGGACAAAACGCTCCACGCGTTCTCACAGGGACTCGCCCTTAGAACAAGACAGCTGTATCTCTGTACAAATGCGGGCGGTGACGAGTGGGGATGACGGGACTTTCTGGGGTGACGGCCACTCCCTATACCTTGATGGGGCTCGTGCAAGTTCTTTATGGAGGGAAAGACGCAGTGTGCGGTGAGTTCCAGCTAATGATGTGGGAAGCATTGACACCAGCCCCACCCTGATGTGCGCTGAAGCACCGACGCAGGGACGGGGGACACGGGCGAGGAGACCCACTACGTAACAACGCAGCAAACCCCGTGAACAGAACCTACGGCATCCAGGCGGTCCCCGTGCGGGTTTTACTATACAATTCTTAGGAGAAAAACAAAGGTTAAAAGGTTTGAAATGTAAAAAAGATTGACTACATAGAAAATTTAAAAACAAAACATAAGTAAGAGAATCTACAGAAATAGGCTTAGCCGCTGAGAGGTGTTAGCAAGGTCTGGGCGGAACATTAAAAATCCTGTGAGTGGGCCTGGAAACCAGCGTTCCCCCACAGCTGAGGAGTAAGGGGAGAGAAGCAGCTGTTTATCCCAGATGAGGTCCAGAGAGACGCATTCCAAGCAGCCAACACGGGACAGAGGCGATGAGGGAGGGCGGCCTGGACAGAAAACTTCCAGGCAGATCGGGGCACCCTGTCTCGCAGGCCCAGCCATGCTCCTTGGCAGCAACCACCCAGGGGCTTTCTCACAGGCAGACCAGGGCAGCCTCTGGTCCCTGCACAATCTCGCCTCCGATGCAAGGTGGGAGAAGGCAGCCACCTCCCGAGGGGGGCCACAGAGGGGGTTCTGATCCAGCTGTGAGCTCTCACCCCCAGCCCACAGCGACTGGTAGCCAGGTAGGCAGAATGGCAGGCAGAGCGGCCACTGGGGAACTGATCCAGCAGGACCTGAAGCAGGGAGACAGCACACGGGCGTCCACCTAACGTGGCCAGCCCTTGTGTGGACAAACAGCTGAGAAAAGGCATTACTAACATGGACGTGAAGAAAGTCGCCTCGGTTTTTGGGTGTGATGTGGTGTTGGTGTCGTGTTGTTGCGAAGGCCCTGTCTGAAAGTCGCCTCGGTTTTCTGGTGTGATGTGGTGTTGGTGCGTGTTGTTGCGAAGGCCCTGTGTGAAAGTCGCCTGGGTTTTCGGGTGTGATGTGGTATTGGTGTCGTGTTGTTGCGAAGGCCCTGTGTGAAAGTCGCCTGGGTTTTCGGGTGTGATGTGGTGTTGGCGTCGTGTTGTTGCGAAGGCCCTGTGTGAAAGTCGCCTGGGTTTTCGGGTGTGATGTGGTGTTGGCGTCGTGTTGTTGCGAAGGCCCTGTGTGAAAGTCGCCTCGGTTTTCGGGTGTGATGTGGTGTTGGTGTCGTGTTGTTGCGAAGGCCCTGTGTGAAAGTCGCCGGGGTTTTCGGGTGTGATGTGGTGTTGGTGTCGTGTTGTTGCGAAGGCCCTGTGTGAAGGTCGCCTGGGTTTTCGGGTGTGATGTGGTGTTGGTGTCGTGTTGTTGCGAAGGCCCTGTGTGAAGGTCGCCTGGGTTTTCGGGTGTGATGTGGTGTTGGTGTCGTGTTGTTGCGAAGGCCCTGTGTGAAAGTCGCCTGGGTTTTCGGGTGTGATGTGGTGTTGGCGTCGTGTTGTTGCAAAGGCCTGTCTTCAGGTGTACGAGGAGGCATTTCCAAATGCAGGAATGTGATGCCTGGGATCTGCGTCATGGCAAAACAGCAGGGGCAAGGAGTGTGGGGCGGATGTGGCAGCTGCTAACACTGGCACGGTGCACTGTGGCCTACGAGGGTCCCCAGCTGTCCACAGTTCATTCCTCCCCATTGCGTGGCTTCCTGAACAGCCATGTATTTCCTAACTCTGCCGGCTGAGGGGCTGAGAAGCTGCAGCACCCCAGTAGTAACGGGCACCCCAGCACCCACGTCTTGGTCTCTAAACACCTTCCCCACTAAAGCATCAGGCTTCTCAGGGAAGCCAATAGTCCCGGCTACTCAGGAGGCTGAGGTGGCAGCACAGCTTGAGCCCAGTAGGTTGAGACTAGCCTGAGCAACAGAGCAAGATCCCAGCTCTAAAAAAGAGAAATCCTCCCTAAGAGCACTGCTTTAGAAGGACGTGGAGGAGGGGCTGTGGACTCTGAGCCTTACCCTCAATACAATGAGGTCACCTGCTCCTGGGAACCATCTTAGGATCCCTGGAATGGGCAGAGGGACAAACTCATCAGTGGCCCCCAATCTGGCAGAGTTAACCTGCCCCACAATCTCCAAATCCAGAGGCCTACAAAGCATCTGCTCCAAGCAGTAACAATGAGGTCCTGAGCGGAAATCTTCACAAAGTGGAGAGAAAAAACTGATGGATTGTCCAATGTGTTTGATTCTGTAAAAACAACAGTATTGGAAAGGGTTGACCAGTTGTGCTGGTAAAGTTGGAACAAATGAGTGAGATATGATCAGAGATGAAAAACGAAGCCAATCAAAATAGAAAAGGCAACTATGAACTCCAGGAAAAATGAAGAGTTATTAGAAAAAAAGTTACTATAGTTCACTATTTGGCTCAGCAGTCACAATATTTACAGAGTCAAAATAATGTAAAGACAATCAAACTAATAAAAATTATACTTGTGACACAGCTATACTGATGATGATGAGAAGAACATTAGGGTGTGTGAGGGCAATCCCTGTCGTTCATAAGAGGACATGTATACACAGTGTCTAACCGTGGTATGCGAAGAATAACCCATATAAACCTATCAGTCAGAAAGACAGACAAATACCAGAGTTAAGTGCAGGAAGTGATAAAAGGGTTGTCTGGAGAACAGCATGTGGCTGAGAAGTGGTACGGCAAGGGCTTCTGTTTTTATTATAAGTCGTGTAATACAATTTGACTATTCATGCACATGCCCATTTTTTTTTAATAATTAAAAGAACAATCTTCAGGCCACACTGGCCACAGTGTAATAAAATCAAAGTTGAGAAACAAAAGGCCACCTGTAAAACCCTGAGCATGTGGCATTTTCGAAGCATTTCTCCAGGCTGTCCTTGGTCTAGAGGCATTAGCGCTGAAGGTTATAAAACCACACCATCGGCCACTGTCAGGGGCAGCCGGGGGTCTCAGATGACAGGGTAGGGCAGGGACATACCCAGAAGTGGGTAGCCGCCCTCCAGTTGGCTTTCATTAGCAGAGAAGAAGAGACAGAAAATAGCTGAACCAACTCCAGGCACTGGAAATGATAAACCACTTTCTCCCAGAAAAAGCAAGCAACTACAAGAGGCAAAAACGAATGAGCTAGAGTATATTTTAAAATTCTGATAGATAAAACCAGCTCTTTGAAAAGACCCATAAAGGGGATGATCTATGGCGGTTTAGGCAAGGGAGAGTGAGGAAAAGGAGGAAACAAGTATTGAGGCCCAGGCGGGAGAACGGATGCAGACCTGCTAGGGGGTGGCAAGGCCACCGCACAGACTGTGCCCTCCAGCCGGCAGCGGGGGGTGGAGGGGAGGAGCGGGTGCAGTCAGACCCCCGTCCGCAGAGTGCTGGGTGCGAGTCCCCAAATGCCTGCTGGGCTGAGCTGCCCCCTGCGGAATGGGTGGTGACGAAACCGCCCTCTTCAGCCACACAGGAAGCCCCTTGCTCACTGTCACTGTCACTAATCCACTAGGAATGAAGAGCAGATGCCACCAAACATCCTGCATCCATACAGTTAAAAACAATTAAAAAGCCACGTTGAAGATTCTAGATTAAAGCCACTCAAGTGGATTCAGCACTGGAAGTATGAATCACAGCAACAAAACACTTCTTCAGTAGTTTAGAATTCTGCATAGTAAAGAGAATTTTTTAAAACAGAAATGGCTAACAACGTGATGGGAGAAATTCAAAACCAACAAAATGTTAATGATCGTGTGAATGAGACAAAATGGCCTTTAAAATCTATTTTCTGGGAGGGCGTGGTGGCTCATGCCTGTAATCCCCTAAAGCACTTTGGGAGGTCAAGAGAGGAGGACAGTTTGAGCCTAGGAGTTCAAGACCAGCCTGGACAACATAGCAAGACCCTGTCACTATAAAAAAGAAAATAAAAAAATTAATCGGGTGTGGTGGTTCATGCCTGTGGTCCTAGCTACTTGGGAGGCTGAGGTGGGAGGATCACTTGAGTCTGCGGAGGTCGAGGCTGCAATGAGCCGTGATTGTGCCAGTGCAGTCCAGCTTGGACAAATGAGCAAGGCCCTGTCTCTGAAGAAAAACTATATATATATGCTTTTCTTCTAGGTTCAACTTAGTAATTTTCACCAGATATTAGTAAGTGAAAAAAAGGGAATGAAAGAAATGTATCTAATATGGCCCTGTTTGAGTAAAGCAAACATTTACCCCTAAATCCTGTATGTGCATCTGCATGTGTGTCTGTGTGCATGTGCACGTGTTTGCATATGATCTGCATATGTGTCTGTGTGTGCACGTGTGCACGTTTGCATATGATCTGCATACGTGTCTGTATGCATGCATGCATGTGTGCTTGCATATGGTCTGCATACCTGTGTGCGCATGTGTGCACACGTTTGCATATAATCTGCATAGGTGGGTCTGTATGCCCATGTGTGCACGTTTGCATATGATCTGAATATGTCTGTGTGTGCATGCGTGCACCTGTGTTTGCATATGTGCATACGCGTGTGCACACATTTGCATATGATCTGCATACGTGGGTCTGTGTGCGCGTGTGCACGTTTGCATATGATCTGCATACGTATGTCTGTGTGTGCATGCATGCACCTGTTTGCATATGATCTGCATACGTGTCTGTGTGCATGTATGTGCGTGTTTGCATAAGATCTGCAGGTCTGTGCGCATGTGTGCACGTGCTTGCATATGATCTGCATTGTGTCATGTGTGTAGTTTGCGTATGATCTGCATATGCATCTGTGTATGTCCATGTGTGCTCGTGTGTTTGCACAGGATCTGCATACGTGTGTCTGTGTGTGCGCATGTGCGCACGTGTGTTTGCACGTCTGTGTTTGGGTACAAATCTGAGTTGGCATGAAGATAAGAATGGACGGAACCGGGAGGTTAACACGGGGTGGATGTAAATTAGATGAAAAAAGACTACCCTCAAAACAAGCGCCACCAAAGAAGACTACCCTAAAAACAAGCGCCACCAAAGCTGCGCACGCACATGTGTGAAGAAGGTGGAACCCGGCACCACGGCCCACACCCTAAGGGGTCCCGGCATCCACCCAGAGGCTTCCTCTCCTCCTTCACTGTGCTGGCTGCATGCAGGACCCAAGGGACCCTGCAGGTCACAGCCAGGATGTCAGCTGCTCCCCGGGTCCCCATTTGCCACCTCTCCTCTCTGTGAGTCCTCCCCTTCTAGCCATAGGAGTCCTCCCTGGACGGCACCCCGGGCCTATGCTGGGGTCCCTGTGGCCCAAGAAGACAGCCTGGCAAGTAGTGACAGAGAAGCCACCAGGCGAGAACACCACTCCTGGAGCCAAGAAACACCCCGAGACCCCAGTGGAGAGCACTGGAGGGTCCAGAAGGGCCACTGCACCCAGGCGGAGACTCAGGCCCAGAGGCCTCCAGAGATGGAGCCGAGTCTGAGGGCAGCCTCTCCTTCTCTCATGGCCAACCAAGGGCCGCTCATGGTGAGGAAGTGGCAGAAGCTGCTCAAGAGCCCTTTCTCACCTTGGAAATGGCCCGTGGAGATGGCTCACAGCTAGCCCATGTCACGTGGCGGGCTCTAAAAGTCACCCAAGTGGGCTTCCCTGTCCTTCCTATGAAGAACACGACCAGACACTGAGACCAGAGACACGCAGGACCACAGTCATTCACGCCCCAGGTGACAGGGAAGGGCTCTGCCTCCCGGTTTGAGGGAACCCTCTGGAACCACGCTCTACAGGATGCTTCTCCCCCAGGGAGGGGCCGTGCAATTAAATCAACACAGGAATGCAAGAGAAAGGACCCAGAGAGGAGCTGGCTCGGCCTACCGGTTGCAGCCCGGCAGCTGAGCGAGCTCACGGCAGAGGCCGTGGAGGCTGCCTCTGATTAGGGAATAATTTAATTAAAAGAAACTGCATCCCTGACCCTGGGAGCTGGGAAGGGGAGGGAAGGGCCATCAGCTAAAGCAGGGACAGGAGGGCGGGGACTGGGGCTGCTTGGTGGAGCCTGGTGCAGCCCAGGCGGAGCTCACCCGGCGATCGCTTCCCGCAGGCAGGCTCTGCTCCAGCACTAATAGGGCTTAATAAAAACTTCCAGTTGGGCCAGTGAACCCCTCATTAAGCTGTTTTTAAAGCACGAATTTAAGAGCCGCAAGGGTGAAGGGTCACAGGGAGCATTTAATTCACAATGGCTGGCGGGAGGTGCTGCCGCAATGGAAAACACCCTAGCCCAGTGTCTGGGGCCCCGCACACGCACGGCGACACTTGGCCTGTGCGGGGACAGCCTAGAAAGCAGACCTGAGAGGTGGGGAAGTTTCCCGCTTGGCAAGAGCACAGCAGCAAAACCCAGGAGGGGCCTGGTACGCTTGGAAAGCCTCCGAATGTAGCGACAAATAACCGAATTCCAGCACAACCTGCAACGAAACCTGGGCCGCGGCCCCACACAGGCACCCAACGCTGGGACAGCCTGGCCGTCCTGCCTCCGTGGCTCACACAGGAGCGCCCGTTGCTGCTGAGATTCATTCCTCGCACCCGCTACGTGGATGGGCCCCCCCAGCCTCCACGTGTTTTCAGCATAACCACAGTCCAATCCCAGTGAGACCCAGGCCACCTGTGTGTTGGCGCTGACACCTGGCCCAGCATGGAGGAAGGCCCCAGACCAGCTGGCATTGGCCTTCCAGAAGATGAGGATAAACCAATCATTCATCAGTGGAAGATAAGGATAAACCAACCATTCATCAACCAAGTTTCTTACTCCAAGGACCCCAAATTCCCTCAGGCCCTGGCCTGTCCAACTCTCCCCTGGATGGGACTGTAGTAAGAAACAGAACCCACTTCCTACAAAGGAATATCCTGGGAAGGTGGAGACTTCCAGAACCCTTCCCTGGGTCCTGGGACCCTCACTCCTCTGTATGCCCCCAGCTGACACCCTCACTTCACTGCCCTGAGGGAGCAGGGGGGCAAAGGCCTCCAGCCCCTCCCCACAGGCAGTCACCATCAACAGCCCGGTTCCCTGCACGAGCCCATCCCCACGCCCCCACGAGCCCCTCCCCACATCCCCACGGGCCCACCCCACACCCCCACGGGCCCATCCCCACGCCCCCACGGGCCCATCCCTACACCCCCATGGGGGCCCAGTGGTGCAAGATGGGGGTAGGATCGCCTGGAGGTAGACACCCGTACACACCCAAGTCCATCAGGCTAAAATCACAAAGAAATTACAAAACGATTTTGGGGGCCTAAAACACTCCAAAGGCCTTGGGAACCTGTTGGTCTTCCTCTGGGACTCTATCTGGGCACAAAGACCTGGCAAAGTGGCCCAGGAGCTGAGCCAGAGGAAGCCCTGCCCTGGCGCCTGTGCACTCTGCCCCCTACTCACACAAGGCTGCCCCTGGTTCCAGAACCCCTCACCACGAGTGTCTCCTTCCCCTGGTCACATCTCAGCGGCCAGTGGGGTCACAATGCTGTCCCATCCCGCGCCTGAAAAGCCCAGCCATCCCTCCCAGCTGCCCCAGGCCTGGGAGGGGCCAGAAAGCGTCTCCAGAAGCACTGGGGACCGGCCCTGGTCTCAGTCCCAGAACAACGGCTGTGGCCTTTGCTGTTTCAACCTCACCAAACTCTGCAGACGGGAGCCCCTTCCCAGAGCCCGCTCTCCATACAGAACCAGGTGCTAGGCATGGCGCCCCATGGGGGACGGGGACCACGCTGGAGGACAGGGTCCACACTCAGGGGATGGGGCCAAACTGGGGGTCAGGCCCACACTTGGGGGACGGTGCATTGTCGGGAGGGTGCCGGCAAAGGCGGTCTGGTCCTGGAGGGAAAGCAGGCAGCCCCACGGAGCCCTGCCACCCGCTGCTGCGGGTCCTCTCGGGTTCCCGCATCCTTTCCAATGCGCAAGGGCGGCTGGAAGCTCGAGACACTCCCAGATCCAGGCTCACTGAATATCAAAAGGTGCACTCGCTGCAGGGCGGCAGGAAGCGGCCACATTCGGGGCTGCGGAATTCATTACCGTCAGGCTCCTTCTTTGAAGTGAATGTTACCAAACTCAGCAGCCCTCAAAGCTCAGCTCTATCTAAACTCCAGCAGAAACACAGACGGCAGAATGGGGTTTAACAAATATTGTGGTTTTCCTGCGTCCTGGAAAGCGCGGCCCTGACGAACGCAGCTTCATCCTGCTCAGCAGTCACGTCCGTCTGTGAACGGGGGCGCACGGCCCTGGGACACAGAGCCCAGGACAGCAGTGGTCGTGTACGTGTGAACGGGGGCACAGGGCCCTGGGACACAGAGCCCAGGACAGCAGCAGTCGCCTCTGTCTGAACGGGGGCGCAGGACCCTGGGACACAGAGCCCAGGACAGCAGTGGTCGCGTCCGTGTGAACGGGGGCACAGGGCCCTGGGACAGAGCCCAGGACAGCAGTGGTCACGTCCGTCTGAACGGGGGCGCAGGACCCTGGGACACAGAGCCCAGGACAGCAGTGGTGGCGTCCGTCTGAACGGGGGCGCAGGACCCTGGGACACAGAGCCCAGGACAGCAGCGGTCGTGTTCGTCTGAACAGGGGTGCAGGGCCCTGGGACACAGAGCCCAGGACAGCAGCAGTCGCGTCCGTCTGAACAGGGGCGCAGGACCCTGGGACACAGAGCCCAGGACAGCAGCAGGCGAGCTCGCTGGAGGGGCTCTTACAACAGTAGAGAGATGTGAACGGAGACCCAAAGACCAGCCTGGGCAGCACAGTGGGACCCCATCTCCACAAAAAGTTAAAAATTAGCTGGCCATGACAGTGCGCCTGTAGTCCCAGCTAATCGGGAGGCTGAGGCGGGAGGATCGCCTGAGCCCGGGAGGTCAAGGAGCTGAGATTGCACCACTGCACTCCAGCCTGGGTGACAGAGCAAGACTCTGCCTTGAAAAGAAAAGAAACGTAAACATTCTGTGGATGGTGTGGTCATCCTGAGAAAAAGGAAGACACTAGCGACGGGGGCTGTGCGGACTTCCCGGCCAGCGGCCGTTTCACTAAGAGCAGCCGTGTGTATTTTCAGGCGGGTCCCGCTCACACCCACAGCATTGTGAGAGCATGTCCCGGGGAGCCCACGCCGAGCCACGAGCCCTCAGAAGGCAGGGTTTGCTGCTGGTGAAATGTTAGGATCTTTGACTGGCAGCCTCTGCAGACTGCTGGGCTGAGAATGGTCTGGGGCCGGGCGCAATGGCTCATGCCTGTAATCCCAGCACTTTGGGAGGCTGAGGTGGGCGGGTTACCTGAGGTCAGGAGTTGGAGACCAGGCTGGCCAACACTGTGAAATCCCATCTCTACTAAAAATACAAAAATTAGCCGGGCGTGGTGGCGGGCGCCTGTAATCCCAGCTACTCGGGAGGCTGAGGCAGGAGAATCACTTGAACCCAGGAGGTGGAGCTTGCAGTGAGCCAAGATCGCACCACTGCTCTCCAGCCTGGGCGACAGAGCGAGACTCCATCTCAAAAAAAAAAAAGGTCTGGGACCGCCCAGTGGGGAAGCCACAGCTACATGCGGCCACGGAGCACATGAGGTGCAGCCAACGCAACCAAGGACTGGAGCTTTTTATTTCATTTAGTTTTAATTAATTTTAGAAACACATGTGCCCAGTGGCCGGGCTGGGTGGGGGCCCTGGAAGCCTGGCCCACCTAGAGCCGGCTGGCTGCTGCCTCGGGGCACGCACTGCCTGAGGATGCTGCTTTGCGGGCCGCAGGGTCCCAGTGACCGACCCCGTGCCCCGCCCTGAACCACCTGATCTCCACTAAAGCCCATTGTGCAAAATGAAGACAAGGAATGTCACTGAGATGGACACAGACGCACACGCGGCTCGGATGAGCTGAGGAACGCACGCACAAACTGCATTCTCCCAGGCCGTCCCGAACGAGGCCACAGGAAAGGAGCCTCCCCAGAGGTCTCAGATCAGGAAGCCTGACCTTCCAGTGCCTTTGGTCTAGGTGTTCTGAGGCCCAGCACCCGGAGTCATACCTCAGTAACTGGCAGCTCTATGTTCTCCAAGATCAGGGAAGGGAAGACAGTTCAAAGACGCATGGCTGCTCGGAAGGCAGGGAGAGCACTGCCGAAGCTACTACGAGTCTTCTGAATTTCTGCGCGACAGTCCAAAGTGACGTGCTGAGCCGCTGCAGGGTCAGACACAACATGAAACTCAGGCTCACGAGGGCTCTCAGGCGGAAAACATTAACATTAATGAGTCAACAATTCGCTTCTGAGTCCCTACAATTACCACCTGCTACCGAAGAATCAGTTAGAATGTATGACGCTCACCTGAAAACACCCAGGGAGACACAAACGCAGAAGACTGACTTCCCTGGGCTGGGAGCGCAAGCGCAGCCCCCGACGGCGGCCACACAGGCTCACGTCCCACCCCCCATGCAGACCCCGTTGCTTTTGCTTCAGCAAGTGGTTGGGGACGCGGGAGGCTGGCTCCAGAGTCACCCGGCTCCTCGACTGCCTCTGCCGCTCCAGCACTGCCTCTGGGAGTCCACTGCCCCAGGCACTTCCCCCCCACCCTACTTAGAGTAGAGCCTGTGTTCCCCAGGAGGCCTCACAGGCGGGGGCACGGGGAGGGTGGGCTCCAGGCCCTCTCATCCTCAGCGATGGGTCCTGTGGCCCTGGTGCTGAGACACGGCAGCACCGTGGCCTCGCAGGCCCATCTCTCACAGGGAACACACAAGCCTCAGCCGCTGCCCCCCGAGCCTGCCCCGGCCTGCCCGCTCACAGCCCCCGCGGTGCTGACCCTCTGACCCGCGCACTGGGCTCTTGCCTCACGGACTCGATTTTGCGATCACTGCTCAGAGTCCACAACATCAGACAGCAGGGACTTCTCCCGCTAGACACAGGTGTCAGGACCTAAAGCTTTCCCTCCTCATAAGAACTGGGAAAAAATAATACTGTTGTGATTGTACAATTTTAATTAAAAAAATTTTTTTTGTGGTGATAGGGTCTTGCTATGTTGCCCAGGCTGGTCTGGAATTCCTGGGCTCAAGAGGTCCTGCTTCAGCCCCCAAACTGCTAAGATTATAGGCATAAGCCACTGCACCCACCCTGTTGTAATTTTAAATAAATAAAATTTACTAAGAAAAGATTTGTTTATCTAAATGTTGAAGAATGTAGTTTTCTCTGTGGGCATTTTGATACTGAATGTATCCTGGCGCACTGCGGGGGAGGCCCAGGGACTCAGGTCACCACACACGCTTCCTCACGTCTACTCGCTCCCACACGCGTGAGCACTCTAGGGGAGGCCTGGGGACTCAGGCCGCCGCACACGCTTCCTCACGTCTACTCGCTCCCACACGCGTGAGCACTCTGCTCCCTTGATGCAGCCACAGGACTGGCAGGCAAAAAACCAGCTGGTTCCAACCAGGTTGTGTCAGATTTGCAAACAGAAAAGGAATTCCTGAAATAATTCCTTGCTTCTTGCTTTAAGAAAAACATGGAAACAATGAACAGACGCAAGCACGCAGAGCCGCACGCCCTGACGGTGCACCCCGAGCCAGGTGGCACCCAGCAGCCAGGAAACCCATGAGTGACAGTGGCCAAGGTGGCCTGGTCGTCTGCAATTACAGGAACCTGCCTTTCAAGGTGATTAAAATCAGGAATAAGGTTCCTTTGTATTTACGTTTTAACAGATTCTGATGTTCTTCCTTTCTTTGATTCGATCCAGATTTCCAGCATCACTGGTACTCAATATTGAAGGAATGAAAATACGTGAGGAATAAAAGAATGAAGAAAGTGACCTCTACCGCAAGGACACAGGCCCTGAAGGCTGAGACTGTGAAGGGGGCAGGCAAAGATCCACGCCCAGACAGGCCACCCCTGCTCTCCTGGGAAAGGGGCCGAGAGCCAGAGAGTTCGGGGCAGAGAGAGCCTGAGTGCGAGGCCCAGGCCAGGGCCTTTACCAGCAAAGACCGGCCCCTCTGCCTGCGCCCTGAGGTCATGGAGAAAGGCAGGGGTGGGGGTATGGTCATCCTTCCCAAGGTCCTGGAGTCAGGTCTGCTTACCAAGCCACCGTGTGTCCCATGACATTCTGGAGGCCTCCGGGCCCAATGGAGGTCACATCCACCGTCCTCCCGGCCCTGTCCTGTCCACTGGGTGGCTGCCCTCTTCCCACCCTCCAGTATTGACTGCGTTGTGTGGGATGGGGAAGACCTCCGGTCCCCTCCACCAAACAAAGCACAAGCCAAAGTGCCCACCAGCGTGAGTGCCGTGAGCACCGTGAACCTTCTCTATGCCGAGGGGCACACAGCCTTGAGCGTCCACGGGGGATGGGCCTGTGGGTGCTTTCCCTCTGCCCCAGGGAAGCGGTGGTAATCACACCTGTGAGATGCCGACAATCATGCGTGCGACCATCCGTCTCTAGGTGCCCGGGGCCTGGAAGCCCAGGAGCTCCCACATCCAGGGAGGAGGCACGGATCAGATCACAAGCGCCCATCACTGCCCTCCGTGCATACTGGGAAGGCTGATGGCAGAGGCTAAGGAAGGGGAGAGGCCAGGAAAAGTGCGTGAAGATACATACCAAACACACAACGCTCAACTCTCGCAGAGCTTTCTCTAAATGCATCTCACTTACCGAAAGAGTACCTGAAAAACAAAAGAAGAAACGAGTATTAACACTTTGGCTTGTTTCAACCAAAAACCCACTGTTTCCCCACTGAGTGAAGCCCACCCTGGCACCCAGCACGGTGTGGGGTCAGGGAAGCCCTGCGAGGAGGACCTGCCCGCTGGGCATTAGGGGAACAGGAGCCCCTCCCCACGGCTCACACACAGGCAGGCCCAGAACAGGCAACCAAAACATATTCCAAGATACACCTACTAAGTACCCATAGAAATAAAAAAATATGTATTTTGCGAATGAGTGAATTAATACTTATTTTTTTGCAGCATCAATTAAATGCCACGGCAAATGTCATACTCTGGAATCTGAAAATTTAAGGACATCACATGACCTCGAGCGCAGCTCATTAGAAAAGGGATCTTAAATGAAAGGAATTGGTGGGAAAGGCTGGGCAAGGCCTGTGTCTTTACTATTGAATCCCAACCAAAAGGGGTTTCAGTGATGCTGTGACCCGCTTCTTACCCTCAGACAGCAGAGGCGTGGGCAAGCAGCACGGGTGTCTAGAGGAGGCAGAGCCGCGGGAAAGCAACACCAATGCATCCCACACCTGCCTCAGCCTCTGACCTCTCTAACCCCACCCCACCTCACAGCAAGACCTACCCTTGGGCTCTAGAAGAAACCCCCTCTGCCACCTATGGTCCCGCAAGAGGCGGGCAGGATGCACCAATGCCCGCATGAGGAGCCCTGCCTCAGGTGCTCAGTGCCACACCTGACGTAGAAGGCACAGCATGTGGTTTGTGGACACGAAATGTACGGAACAGGCCGGTCCACAGACACAGGAGGTAGATTGCCAGGTTTATCCTGGGGTTGATCAGAATTTTTTTTTTTTTTTGAGACACGGTCTCATTCTATCACCCAGGTTGGAGTGCAGCGGTGCATAACCTCACTACAACCTCAAGCTCCTGGGCTGAAGCAGTCCTCCCGCCTCAGCCTCCTGAGTTGCTGGGACCACAGGTGTACACCATGATGCCCCACTAATTTTTGTATTTTCTATAGAGGTTTTGCCATGTTGCCCTGGCTGGTCTCAAACTCCTAGACTCAGGCGATCCTCCTGCCTCCACCTCCCTAAGTGCTGGGATGACAGGTGTGAACTGCCCCAGCCAGAATGTTTTCAACGTGGTGCTGATGGCTTCAGAGTCCATGAATATGTACGCTGACTTGTACACTTTATGTCAGGGTTGTCGGTTGTCCAATCTTGTGGCTTCCGTGGGCCACAATGGAAGAAGAAAAATTGTCTTGGGCCACACATAAAATATACTAACACTAGTGACAGCTGATGAGCTAAAAAAAAAAAAACTCATAATGTTTTAAGAAAGTTTATGAATTTGTGTTGGGTCTCATTCAAAGCCATCCTGAGCCGCGTGTGGACAAGCTTGCTTTAAATGCAGTTTTATGGTATGTGAATTCTATCTCACTAAAGACATTAAGGAGCAACGTTGCCTAATGAAATCCACAGGAATGAAAAGCTACAGGGTGTGGGACGGCCCTCAGGGCCCACTGCCCATCCCAGGGCTCCCTACATCGTCCGACCTTTGAATATGTCTGTGATTTTCCACCTTGACATTACGATAAAAGCACAGCAAAGGCCATGACAAACGACATCTGAGCCGTGGGGGAGGTGGGCGGGGACAGAGTACTGGAGGGCTCATTCTTCAACCGCATCAGGTGTGTGGCTGCCCCAGTGGCTCTGATATCTTTTTAAATCATCCCTTACCCGGTAGAGGTCCACACTATTTATAGGTAAAAGAGTACGAAGTCTAGATTTGCTTTTCACTCCAGAGGAAGAAGGCTGGGAGGGAGAGAGGGCACCCCGTTGGCTGAGGAAGGAGGCTGGGAGGGAGAGAGGGCACCCCGTGGGCTGAGGAAGGTGGCTGGGAGACAGAGGGGGCACCGTGTGGGCTGAGGAAGGAGGCTGGGAGAGAGGGGGTACCCCGTGGGCTGAGGAAGGAGGCTGGGAGGGAGAGAGGGCACCCCGTGGGCTGAGGAAGGAGGCTGGGAGGGAGAGAGGGCACCCCGTGGGCTGAGGAAGGTGGCTGGGAGAGAGAGGGGGCACCGTGTGGGCTGAGGAAGGAGGCTAGGAGAGAGGGGGTACCCCGTGGGCTGAGGAAGCAGGCTGGGAGGGAGAGAGGGCACCCCGTGGGCTGAGGAAGGAGGCTGGGAGGGAGGGAGGGCACCCCGTGGGCTGAGGAAGGTGGCTGGGAGAGAGAGGAGGCACCCTGTGGGCTCAGGAAGGAGGCTGGGAGAGAGGGGGTACCCCGTGGGCTGAGGAAGCTGGCTGGGAGGGAGAGAGGGCACCCCGTGGGCTGAGGAAGGAGGCTGGGAGGGAGAGAGGGCACTCTGTGGGCTGCAGGATACACTCCCTGCCCCCCTTTCCGTGACCAAAATCTTCCAAGCAACCGCTGTACACATTGGCTAATGCTAGAAATAAATTTACCCCCAAAATGTTCCCAATATATAACCTTAGTTGAACGGAGAAAGGAAAAGGAGCTGATTTTTCAAATCCATAGAGAATAAAAGCTTTGCTCTTTTATTAGCCAGGTGTGGTGGCGCACACCTGTAGTCCCAGTGACCTTGGGGCCGAGGCTGGAAGATGGCTTAAGCCCAGGAGTTCCAGGCTGCAGTGAGCCAAGATCGCGCTACTATTGCACTCCAGCCTGGGCGACAGGGCGGGAGATCCTAGCTAAAAAGACGCAGCCTCACGCTTTTATCAGAAGGGACCAAGGCCTGGAAGAGTTTCAGTGACTCAGGGCCACCAAAATACAAGCGTTGTGCAGAGAAGGGGTGAGTCCAGACGCAGCTGCCTTCACATCGGCTGAGGGTGTTCGAAAATGCATTCTTCTGTCACTTCACCTGCTTTGAATTTTGCATTTCAAGGCTGCCTGATAAAAGAATCTTTAAATAGCAGGTTTTAGCTAAGGTAATGACACGAAAAACTAAAACGTCTTATTACTTTCATAGCTTTTATTACATTTTCAACAGTTGGAACTCACGTTAGAAGATACCGACTCCGTGGAGTTCTTCTGGGTTTGTTCTGCTGTTTTGTTCTTTAAAGAAACTCAAGTCCTTTCCTGGACAGTGGGACGTAGATTTTGCTTTTGGATGGTCGGGGTTAACACGCTCCCTCTGACTGCCTAGTGAGGTCAGGAACCTGCTCCCCTGTGAGCCTCCACACCTGACTGACAGGCCGCTGGGGTCTCTGTTGACTGACAGGCTGCTGGGGTCTCTGTTGACCGACAGGCTGCTGGGGTCTCTGTTGACTGACAGGTCGTTGGGGTCTCTGTGCTAGGGAGGCAGCAAGACCCCCGATGCCCTGCAGATGCTGCACACGGCCCCAGCACAGGCCCTGCCCCTTGCACTGGATGGGGGCTCCCATTTCTATAGGAAGCTTTTGATTTAAAAACACATTTGGCTCCAGCTACTTATCATCTGTAAAAAGACTTCATGTATAAATATTTGTTAAATTTTATGCTCCCCATTTTGGGGCAGGCTAGTTGTAAATTTGTAAGAAATCTTCCAGTTTCTGGCCTAGTGCAAAGAACTTTGCTGGAGGCCTATCTAGAGTGTGTAGTAGGGACTTAATCATGAACCATGTCCTCCTGAACCACGCCCAGGTTCCTGACTTGTGTCTGCAGCTGATCCTGAACCACGCCCAGGTTCCTGACTTGTGTCTGCAGCTGATCCCACCATCAAGACTGAAGTCTTTGTCATGTGGTGAAGGCCAAACGTGGATTTATTTACAGAAGTTACCAAAAAAAAAATACCACAAAAAAAGAGGGGCGCCTTTGGGTGAGAGCAGCTGGGGGGCTTCCATGTCTACCCGCCTCGCAGGAGAGGGGGTGGAGCACCCACCAGACCACTGTGCCTCCCACTCAATCACGGAACGGGGTGCCAGCTAGCACTGGCAAGGCCGGGACGCTGGGTCCCGCTGTGCAGGGCCATGGCCTGCCTGGCACAGGGAAGCGCTAGACTGAACAGTGGCTTGTGGGGACGGCAGGGATGGGGCTGGACAGTGGCTTGCAGGGACAGGGCTGGATGGTGGCTCGCGGGGACAGCAGGGACGGGGCTGGACGGCGGCTCACAGGGAAGGCAGGGATGGGGCTGGACGGCGGCTCGCGGGGACAGCAGGGATGGGGCTGGATGGCAGCTCGTGGGGATGGCAGGGGTGGGGCTGGACCACACATACCAGTTCGGCAGTGCCAGTGAGGCAACTGGTTCACTGAAGACATGACTGCTGCCACCCTAATGTTTAAGTTCATACAACAGAGAAAATAAAATGGTAATAACAAGAGGTGTCTTTGCAAACATCTGTCGCCTGTTGCCTCTTACTGGAGCTGCCAAGAGGAAGTCCAGGTCCCAGGGCTGTTGGGAGGACCCGGGCTGTTGAAGCCAGGCAGCGCAGGGAGCACCAAGTGCATGTGTGGCTCCCACGGACAGATGGATGGATGGACAGACGAAGGGATGGATGGACAGTGCTCCCATTACTGTGTGAAAACCGACCTCAGAGTACATAGTCCATTCACTACAGGTAAGCAATTTAAAACAGGATGTAAATATGTAAATAGCCCTTAAAAGTGTAAGGAAAAAGTGCTGGAGGCCGTTTCGACAAAGCACCTAAGGCAGCAATGAAAATGGGGAAAGACGGGCAGACTGGACACAAGAGGAAACCTGTGCAGAAAGCAAAGTCCGTGCATACAGAATGGGATGCGGCCAAGGGGTTACACCTTCCACGTGCATTTACCTTCCCGGACAGCAGGGCCTCTTACAGATGGATAAACAAAGAACATTCACACCAAAGGGGAACGGCAAAGGCAAAACACAAATCCCCAGAGAAACAACAAGAGCAAAACCAAGAAAAATAACTTGGCAGAGAAATGCGTATTTAAATAACATTATTTTCACTTAAAAACTCTCAGTGGTTTTTCGGAAATGGGATGTTCTGAGTAGGGAACAGGACAACAGCACGCTGTCCCCGCCGTGAGCACGAACCCTGGGTGCAGGCTGGCGGCACCCGTCCACCACGCACACCCTGACCCAGCAGCCCACCTCAGGAGCTAGTTCACACAGTAAGTCACAGCCCTGCAAAATATCCCTGCGCCACAAAGCTGGCCACCGAGGTGCCACTTCCAGCAATAAAAACCAGGAACAACCAACGTGCCGGCCGGTGGGCTTGGCGCAATGAGCAAACACACGTAACAGACCACCCTGTGGCCACCACACGTGCCGCCGAGCAGCGGAGGTCCAGACGGGCGCGTGGCATCTGGGGCAATGACCAGTGCGTCGCTGAGACTGCCGGCGCCAGGCCTCGACCCTGCTGTGTCTGCGGCGACCCGGCCCACTCTCCACGCGGCCTCTGCCTCTGTCAGGAGCAGTACATGCTGACCAAAGCTGCTGTAAGACAACGTCGGCGAGATGGGAAGATACTTGTGATTTGACGGGAAGTAAAAAAACTTTGGTTATTTCCAATATTGTCATAAGGACCAGGTAATGAAAATTGTTTAAGAATTAAGTGACCAGACAGGGAATAAAACAGGGTGCGCAGTCTGAGCCCACCTTTATTAGAGAGAAGCCCTGGGCAGTGGGCTAAAAGGAGGCCCCCAGAAAGACCTGTCCACATCTTAATGCCTGCACCCTGTCTTATTTGGAAAAGGGGTCTCTGTGGAGGTAATTAAGTTAAGGATCTCGAGGTGAGGGCGTCCTGGACTATGTGATCACAGACGTCCTCATCAGAGAGACGTACCAGGAACCCTGAGACAGACCAAAGGGGAGGAGGCAAAGCGGCAGGGACCCGAGTGATACGTCCACAAGCCGGGGGTGCCCGGAGCCTCCAGGGGCTGGAAGAGACGAGGAAGGACCTTCCCGCAGAGACTCGGAGGGAAGGGAAGGTCCCTCCTCCCATAGAGACTTGGGTGGAACTGGCCCTGCCGACACCCTGATTTCGGACTTCTGGCCTCAAGAACTGTGGAAGAGTAAGTGTTTCTTGTTTGAAGCCTCCCCACGTGGTCACGGTCATGGCTGCAGAATGCCGCCATGCATCTCTCACAGGGCCATGGGAACTGGTTTGGACATATCTCCATTCCCTGTTGACCACCTAGAAACACAGGCTCACCCACCGGGGACCAGCATATCATGGAGGACAAGGCAGGTGGTGTGGGAGGGTCCTCCCCGCAGGCAGCGTCCTGCCTGGGACGACGACCACAGGAAACAGCTGGGAAACCCCAAAGAGGAACACCATTTATTTAAAGGAATGCATAACTTTAAAATATCAGTGTCATAAAAGATGGATGTCCCAGAAGAGACCAGACAACTAAACCCAACGCCGAACCCTATTCTGGAAAGTAAATGCTATAAGGATTATCCTTAGGTCAGATGACAAACTGGAAAATGAGTGGGAGACGCAGTCTCAGAACCGCAACCGTGTTAAACCTACTGCAGCTGATCCCTGCAGGAATGAAAAGAACACTCTTCTTAGGAAAAACACCCGGAAGTACTGCAGGGTAAAGGGATTCATCAATTATGTCAAAGTGGCCGATAGTGCCGTTCTGATCTTCTATGTCTTCTTTTTTTTG
The DNA here is from genome assembly GCF_000001405.40 of Homo sapiens. Lineage (NCBI taxonomy): Eukaryota > Metazoa > Chordata > Mammalia > Primates > Hominidae > Homo > Homo sapiens. The sequence goes on from NC_000016.10 coordinate 940,855, forward strand.
TTTGTTTAGTTGTTCTTTCAATTATTGAAAGAGTGATTGATGTTAAAATCTCCAAACAGAATTGTGAATTTGTGTATTTCTTCCTGGAGTTCTGCAATTTTTGCTTCATATATTGTGAGGTTCAGTATGTGGTGCCTTTATGTCTTTATGATCAATTAAGTCTTTTATTACCACAAAATGTCTCTGTACACCTCTGATAATACTCCGTGTCCTGAACTTTACTTTGTCTAAAGTTAATACAGCCACTCTAGCTTTCCAGTATATTTATGTAGTCTATCCTTCTTTATCTTTATCCTTCCTCTTTCAACTCATTTGTACCTTTATATTTAAAGCATAGCTCTTGAAAACTGCATATACTTGATACCTGATTTTTTTAAATTGATTTTTTTTTTTGCGACAGAGTCTCACTCTGTTGCCCAGGCTGGAGTGCAGTGGCTCACTGCAACCTCTGCCTCCTGGGTTCAAGTGACTCTCCCTGCCTCAGCCTCCTGAGTGGCTGGGACTACAGGCACGTGCAACTATGCCCGGGTAATTTTTGTATTTTTAGTAAAGATGAGGCTTCACCATGTTGGCCAGGCTGGTCTTGAACTCCTGATGACCTCAGGTGATCTGCCTGCCTTGGCCTCCCAAAGTGCTGGCATTACAGGTATGAGCCACCATGCCTGGCCTGATTCTAAATCTCTGTCTTTTAATTGGAAGATTTAGTCACTTACATTTAATGTAATCATTGATATGGCTCATTGGTTATTTTTTGTTTTCAGAGTCTCACCTGGTTTTTCGTCCTGTTCCTCTGTTCCTGCCTTCTTACTGGAAGCAAACATGTTTAACACTCCATTTCAATCACTCCATGGGCTCCTCAGCTACATATCTTTGCACTACTTTTAGTGATTGCCCTAGGGCTAACAGCAGGTATCTCACCTACTCACAACAGACCTGGGGTTAATATTTTCTCGCTTCACGTAGAATTTAGAGAGCCAGTGATGTTACAGATTCAGGAAGGATCCCCTCCCTCCTTTGTGCTAATGTTGTGTATATTACAGTATTACAGTTTTTGCCTTAGTTGTGTCTGTATTAAATTAAGAAAAAAAGAAATAGAGAACATTTCATATTTCCCTACCTTTACCATGTCCAGTGGATTTTACTCCTTTCTATAGATGACTTTCTGCCTAGCAATAATTCTTTCTGCCAAGCAATAATTCCTTCAGCCTGAAGATATTCCTTTAACATTTCTATAGTGTGTCTGCTGGCAAAGCCTTCTCTCAGTTTTCCGTTATCTGAAAATGTCTTTATTTTGCTTTTGTTTTTGAAGGATATTGTCACTGGATAGAACTCTGGGTTGACAATCGTTTTTCTTTAGAACTCTAAAGATGCCAGTCCATCATCCTCTGGCCTCCAGTGGTTATAAGAAGCCAGACATATTTGAATCTTTATTCTTTGAGTGTAACGTCTTTTTCCTTCCAGGTGCTATCTTTGTCTTTGGTATTCGGTAGTTTGACTACAATGTGCCCAGATAACATTTTCTCTTACTTTTACTGCTTACAGTGTGCTGAGCTTCTTGGATTTACACATTTATATCATTCAGCTATTATTTCTTTAAATACTTTTTATGCCCCATTTTCTGTGTCCTCTCTCTGTGGGGCTCCAATCACAAGTATGTTAGACCACCTGGTGCTATATGCCTCATTCTCTGTGTCCTCTCTCTGTGGGGCTCCAATCACACATATGTTAGCCCACCGGGTGCTACGTGCCCCATTCTCTGCGTCCTCTCTCTGTGGGGCTCCAATCACATGTATGTTAGACCACCTGGTGCTATTTGCCCCATTCTCTGTGTCCTCTCTCTGTGGGGCTCCAATCACATGTATGTTAGACCACCTAGTGCTATATGCCCCATTCTCTGTGTCCTCTCTCTGTGGGGCTCCAATCACATGTATGTTAGACCACCTGGTGCTATATGCCCCATTCTGTGTGTCCTCTCTCTGTGGGGCTCCAATCACAGGTATGTTAGACCACCTGGTGCTATCCCACATGTCACTGAAGCTCTGCTCGTTTCAATCTTTTTTCTGTTTGTTCTTTAGCTTGGATAATTTCTACAGATTTCTCTTAAAATTCATTGAGGCTATCTTCTACCCACCTCCAACCTGTTATTAAGCCCAGGCAACAGATTTTTCAGTACAGATACTGTACTTTTCAGTTCTAAAATGTCCAATTGACTCTTCTTTAAAGATTCAGAGTCTCGGCCGGGCACGGTGGCTCACGCCTGTAATCCCAGCACTTTGGGAGGCCGAGGCGGGTGGATCACAAGGTCAGGAGATCGAGACCATCCTGGCTAACACGGTGAAACCCTGTCTCTACTAAAAATACAAAAAATTAGCCAGGTGTGGTGGTGGGCGCCTGTAGTCCCAGCTACTCAGGAGGCTGAGGCAGGAGAATGGAGTGAACCCAGGAGGTGGAGCTTGCAGTGAGCCGAGATCGCGCCACTGCACTCCAGCCTGGGCGACAGAGCGAGACTCCATCTCAAAAAAAAAAAAAAAAAAAGATTCAGAGTCTCTGCTAAATTTCCCATGTGTTCATTCATTAAGACCACTACTAGGCTGGGTGTGGTAGTTCATGCCTGTAATCCCAGCACTTTGGGAGGCCGAGGCGGGCGGATCACCTGAGGTCAGGAGTTTGAGACCAGCCTGGCCAACAATGGTGAAACACCATTTCTATTAAAAATACAAAAATTAGCTGGGTGTGGTGGTGCACACCTATAATCCCAGCTACTTGGGAGGCTGAAGCAGGAAAATTGTTTGAACCTGCGAGGTGGAGGTTGAAGTGAGCCAAGATCTCACCACTGCACTCCAGCCTGGGGGACAGAATGAGACTCTGTCTCAAAAAAAAAAAAAAAAAAAAAAAAGAGGAATACTTCCCTTGAGTCCTGGTGTGTATCTGTAATGGCTGCCTCAAATCCTCTTTTCTACGTGTGCTATCTTGGCTATCATGGTCAGTTTCTTGTGACCCTTTTTTGTTTCCTGTATAGGGATCCTATTTTCCTGTTTCTTTACTTGTGTAGTAGTTTCTGATTCTAGTTGACATTATGAAAGATCATAACATCATTGAGAAGTTAATTTTGTCTGCTTCCTTTGGAGAGTGAATGAGTCTGTCTGGTAAGCAGCTGAGCTACTGGAGGATGAACTTGGTCTTTCCAAAAGCTCAGTTAGGGTCAGTCTAGAACAGCCCTTTTCTAGGGCGAGAGGAACCCTCCTCCTAAGATGTGGCCTTTCTGGGGGCATGCGCTGAGTGCCTAGGGTCTTATGCAAGTCACCTCTGGACCGGCTGATGGGGAGGCTTGTCTCCCAGCCAGCACTGTGGGACCCTCAGACTCACCACTAAGGTCACCACTCCCTACCTGCCACTTTCCACCAACCCTCAAAGACTCTACCCGCCACTTTCCACCAACCCTCAAAGACTCTCACTCTCCACGTTCACAGCTTAGAACAAACCCAAGGACTTAGTGGAATCCATGTAGCTTTCTGTGGTGATGTCTGTGTTAGCTCCTTTACTCTAATGCCTTGCCGCACAAATGCAAGCTGCCCTCAACTCTGATCCCTGCCTCCTGAGCTTGGAGACGCCTTGTGTTCTGCTGGGTGCCCTAGCTGTGGTGTACAAGGTGCTCAGGCAGAAGGCCGGGGCCACCAAGGCCACCCTGTATGTATCTCCTTTCCAGGGACAGCAGTCCTGGGCACCTGTGCCCTCTGGTATTTCACTTGCTGACGGTTTCATAGTGGGGAGGCTCGTCCTGCACCTGCCACTCTGCCATGGACGGGCATGGAGTCCATGAAGACAAATCTCTTATTTTAAAGTATTGTTTCAATGTGAGACGTCCTCTCCCTCAAACTGCCCCTGCCAGGCTTGCCCTGTCTACGGCCCCTCCTTGCTGCTTGCTGAAGTCTCGCCCTGTCTACGGCCCCAGTGCCCTAAACACCCCATCTCGTCTCAATTGTCATCCCTGCCCCTTTGGTGCACCTTGATGATTATGGGATGTACTCTTCGGAGTCAAAGAAATACATATCTCTTGTTAGGTTAAAAAAAATAGGGGGCTGGGCACCGTGGCTCATGCCTGTAATCCCAGCAGTTTGGGAGGCCAAGGCGGGTGGATCACTGGAGGTCAGGAGTTCGAGACCAGCCTGACCATGGTGAAACCCCATCTCTACTAAAAGTATAAAAATTGGCCAGGCGTGGTGGCAGATGCCTATAATCCCAGCTACTTGGGAGGCTAAGGTGGGAGAATCGCTTCAACCCAGGAAGTGGAGGCTGCAATGGACCGAGTTCGCACCACTGCACTCCAGCCTGGGCGACAAGAGCGAGACTCCATCTCAAAAAAAAAAAAAAAAAGGAAAATATTTGGCTGGGCACGGTGGCTCATGCCTGTAATCCTAGCACTTTGGGAGGCTGAGATAGGAGTATTGAACTTTGAGCCCAGGAGTTCAAGACCAGCCTGGGCAACATAGTGAGACATCCATCTCTACAAAAAATAAAAATATTAGCCAGGTGTGGTGCTGGGTGCCTGTAGTCCCAGCTATTTGGGAAGCTGAGCAGGTAGGATTGCTTGAGCCCAGGAGGTTGAGGCTGCAGTGGGCTGTGACTGTGTGACTGCATTCCAGTCTGGGTGACAGAGCAAGAGGCTGTCTCAAAAAAAAAAGAAAAAAGTTCAGCTGGCACTGGGTCAGAGTTAAAAAATTTAAAAAAGAAAAAATATCTGTTTAAAATGTGAAAGAGATTTAGGTTAAGAACGGAAAGGGTCACAATCTATTTGGATAACTAGAAGGCCTCGGCAGAAAGGGTCGGGAATCTATTTGGAGAAGTAGAAGGCATTGGCAGAAACGGTCAGGAATCTATTTGGAGAAGTAGAAGGTCTTGGCAGAAAGGGTTGGGAAACACATGTTACGTGGCTTCAAGGAATCCACTCACCTCTAGGAAATGAAGTAAGTCACGGTTCATACACCACAGCTACTGTGGAAGAAAGCTCTGGACGCAGGAGACTGGGTTGCCAAGTCCCCGCAGGACCAGAAAAGCCTCAGTACAAGGTGCAAAGACAGACTGTTCTCCCCCCGGCGTCCAGCTGCCTGAAATGTTTCTCTTGTTATGCAGCAATGATAGGAAACCCTCTGGAAACAGCTGACATGGACACCCCAAAACAAGCTAATGGTGGACACAGAGTTCACCCCAAAACAAGCTAATGGTGGACACAGAGTTCACCAAGAAGTCAATGCAGAGTCTCGGAGCTGGCTTCAGCTGTGGTTATCTGCAAATGACACATGGGACATGGGAGTTCTTTCGCCTTAGAAGTGGACCTGCAACCACAGGCCAGCCAGGGAGGGCAAGGTGCGGCGTCTGCCAGCCCCATGTGCCGCAGCAGCCACGAAGGGGAGGGGACAGCTGGCTGGCAGCGGATGTAGCCACTTGTGTGCTTTCCGAATTCACTGTATTGTTGCAAATCCCAGAAACCTCAGATCCCAACTCTGCCATTACAGCTCCAAGCAGGAGTGGAAGCCAGAAGGAAGCGCTTCTCCCAGCAAGTCCTAGAGAGGAGGGGGACAAGCCTCTGCAGAAGGCACCCACGGCCACGCTGTCCTGTGGCCTCCTATCCAGGGCAGGGTGTCCGCTAAGGCAACTGATCCAAGGCCAGAAGAGGCCTTTTACAGTGTGAGGCCCGGACAGTCCTGGTCTTCCTGCTGAGGCTATGGCAGACTTTTAGAGCAGACTGGAAAGGTGAGTGCTCACAGGCCCCTCTCGTGGGAGTTCCCGTCTACAGGTATGCTGTTCGGAAGGTGGGCTTAACAGAGAACGTTCACAGGTCCAACCTCAAGCCAAACAACATGGGCTCAGTCACCTACATGGCCCATGCCCTGCCATGGATTCCTCTGCCTCTCAAGGGACCTCACGTGCCCTGGTGGGCCTGACCAAGCTGAAGTCAGGGCACCCCCTCCTCAGTGTCCACGGTGCCAAGCAGGGGCTCAGCAAGTATCTGCCAGCTGTGTAAATGACCCGATGACAGTTGCACCAGCAGACACACACAGGCTCCCATATGAGAGACGCTCACCCACCTGCCAGGCTCTGGAGACTAATCCCCGTCTAGCCAGGAAGGTAACTCTGTTGTTTCAGAGGTCAGCTCACAGGCAGGACTGAGTGCTAGGCAGGAGTCAGATATCACAGACAAAGACACCCAGCACACAGCAACAGGATCAGGCTTTTCCCACGCCATTTGAAAGGAGGACACGACCATGACCCGGCTGACAGAAGAGACGCCCAGGGTGGGCTCTCTGAGTGCCTGGCCTTGTGTGGCAACTGCCACCCCTCCCACCACGGGGTCCCTGAACCTTGTGAAATGAAAAGGACGTCACTTTTACCATCAAATATGTCTACGCCTTGTCAAATCCCTTCCCATGCATTAACACAGAGACAGAGGCTGCAGCCCAGCCAGGGAGGGCCCCACCCACCCAGTTGGGGCTACGCAGAGGCAGGTGGTGGAAAAGGTGTTGCAGGTACTTGTGGAACCTCCTTACATTGAAGTCCTGGAGCCCAAACATGCTGTTCATCGTCAGTGAGAAATGAAGCACCGAGGGCGGTGTCCCTGGGTGCTGGCGGCCTCCCAGCGTCCCCTCCAGCCCTGGCGCTGCTCTCAGTACTCTTTGAAGTGGAGCCACCATCCGTCCTGCCCAGGAAGGAAGCTCCAAGGGCAGCTCCCGCCACAGGAAGGAGGACCCCTGAGGTGTCCTGACTTTGGTCCAAGTTTCTGGAGAGGATCTTTCCTTCCTTCTGGGGTCGAGACAGTGGGGAAGGGATGGCGGTGCTGCCGTGCTGAAGAGCAGCAAAGCAGCCTGCAGGGCCACTGCCAAAGCCAAGCGCGGATGACAGTCAGAGCCAACGAGAGAGTCAGAGCCAACGACAGAGTCAGCCAATGACAGAGTCAGAGACAACGACAGAGTCAGCCAATGACAGAGTCAGCCAACGACAGAGTTAGAGACAATGACAGAGTCAGCCAACGACAGAGTTAGAGACAATGACAGAGTCAGCCAACGACAGAGTCAGCCAACGACAGAGTCAGCCAATGACAGAGTCAGAGCCAACGACAGAGTCAGCCAATGACAGAGTCAGAGCCAACGACAGAGTCAGCCAACGACAGAGTCAGAGACAACGACAGAGTCAGCCAATGACAGAGTCAGCCAACGACAGACTTAGAGACAACGAGAGAGTCAGCCAACGACAGAGTCAGCCAACGACAGTCAGCCAACGACAAAGTCAGCCAACGACAGAGTCAGAGCCAACGACAGAGTCAGCCAACGACAGAGTCAGAGACAACGACAGAGTCAGCCAATGACAGAGTCAGAGACAATGACAGAGTTACAGAAAATGACAGAGTCAGCCAACGACAGAGTCAGCCAACGACAGAGTCAGAGCCAACGACAGAGTCAGCCAACGACAGAGTCAGAGACAACGACAGAGTCAGAGCCAATGACAGAGTCAGAGCCAACGACAGAGTCAGAGCCAACGTCAGAGTCAGCCAACGACAGAGTCAAAGCCAACGACAGAGTCAGCCAACGACAGAGTCAGAGACAACGACAGAGTCAGAGACAATGACAGAGTCAGAGCCAATGACAGAGTCAGCCAACGACAGAGTCAGAGCCAACGACAGAGTCAGCCAATGACAGAGTCAGACACAGCGACAGAGTTAGAGACAACGACAGAGTCAGCCAACGACAGAATCAAAGACAATGACAGAGTCAGCCAACGACAGAATCAGAGACAACGACAGAGTCAGCCAACGACAGAATCAGAGACAATGACAGAGTCAGCCAACGACAGAATCAGAGACAACGACAGAGTCAGCCAATGACAGAGTCAGAGACGACAGAGTCAGAGCCAACGACAGAGTCAGCCAACGACAGAGTCAGAGCCAACGACAGAGTCAGCCAACGACAGAGTCAGCCAACGACAGAGTCAGAGCCAACGACAGAGTCAGCCAACGACAGAGTCAGAGCCAATGACAGAGTCAGCCAACGACAGAGTCAGCCAACGACAGAGTCAGCCAACGACAGAGTCAGAGCCAAGGACAGAGTCAGAGCCAACGACAGAGTCAGTCAACGACAGAGTCAGCCAACGACAGAGTCAGAGCCAACGACAGAGTCAGTCAATGACAGAGTCAGCCAACGACAGAGTCAGAGCCAACGACAGAGTCAGCCAACGACAGAGTCAGAGACAATGACAGAGCCAGCCAATGACAGAGTCAGCCAACGACAGAGTTAGAGACAATGACAGAGTCAGCCAACGACAGAGTCAGCCAACGACAGAGTCAGCCAATGACAGTCAGCCAACGACAGAGTCAGCCAACAACAGAGTCAGAGCCAACAACAGAGTCAGCCAACGACAGAGTCAGAGACAACGACAGAGTCAGCCAATGACAGAGTCAGAGACAACGACAGAGTCAGCCAACGACAGAGTCAGCCAACGACAGAGTCAGAGACAATGACAGAGTCAGCCAATGACAGAGTCAGAGACAACGACAGAGTCAGCCAACAACAGTCAGCCAACGACAGAGTCAGGCCAACGACAGAGTCAGCCAATGACAGAGTCAGAGCCAACGACAGAGTCAGAGACAACGACAGAGTTAGAGACAATGACAGAGTCAGCCAACGACAGAGTCAGAGCCAACGACAGAGTCAGAGACAATGACAGAGTCAGAGACAACGACAGAGTCAGAGACGACAGAGTCAGAGACGACAGAGTCAGAGCCAATGACAGAGTCAGCCAATGACAGAGTCAGAGCCAACGACAGAGTCAGCCAATGACAGAGTCAGAGACAACGACAGAGTCAGAGACAACGACAGAGTCAGAGACGACAGAGTCAGAGACGACAGAGTCAGAGCCAATGACAGAGTCAGCCAATGACAGAGTCAGAGCCAACGACAGAGTCAGCCAATGACAGAGTCAGAGACAACGACAGAGTTAGAGACAACGACAGAGTCAGCCAAGGACAGCGTCAGCCAACGACAGAATCAGAGACAACGACAGAGTCAGCCAACGACAGAGTCAGAGCCAATGAGAGTCAGAGCCAACGACAGAGTCAGAGACGACAGAGTCAGAGCCAACGACAGAGTCAGCCAACGACAGAGTCAGAGCCAACGACAGAGTCAGCCAACGACAGAGTCAGAGCCAACGACAGAGTCAGCCAACGACAGAGTCAGAGACAACGACAGAGTCAGAGCCAACGACAGAGTCAGAGACGAAAGACTCAGAGCCAATGACAGAGTCAGAGCCAATGACAGAGTCAGCCAACGACAGAGTCAGAGCCAACGACAGAGTCAGCCAATGACAGAGTCAGAGACAGCGACAGAGTTAGAGACAATGACAGAGTCAGCCAACGACAGAGTCAGCCAACGACAGAGTCAGAGACAATGACAAAGTCAGCCAATGACAGAGTCAGAGACAACGACAGAGTCAGCCAACAACAGTCAGCCAACGACAGAGTCAGGCCAACGACAGAGTCAGCCAATGACAGAGTCAGAGCCAACGACAGAGTCAGAGACAACGACAGAGTTAGAGACAACGACAGAGTCAGCCAACGACAGAGTCAGCCAACGACAGAGTCAGAGCCAACGACAGAGTCAGAGATGACAGAGTCAGAGACGACAGAGTCAGAGCCAATGACAGAGTCAGCCAATGACAGAGTCAGAGCCAACGACAGAGTCAGCCAATGACAGAGTCAGAGACAACGACAGAGTTAGAGACAACGACAGAGTCAGCCAAGGACAGAGTCAGCCAACGACAGAATCAGAGACAATGACAGAGTCAGCCAACGACAGAGTCAGAGCCAATGACAGAGTCAGAGCCAACGACAGAGTCAGAGACGACAGAGTCAGAGCCAACGACAGAGTCAGAGCCAACGACAGAGTCAGCCAATGACAGAGTCAGACGACAGAGTCAGCCAACGACAGAGTCAGCCAATGACAGAGTCAGAGCCAACGACAGAGTCAGCCAAGGACGGAGTCAGAGCCAACGACAGAGTCAGAGCCAACGACAGAGTCAGCCAATGACAGAGTCAGCCAATGACAGAGTCAGAGCCAACGACAGAATCAGCCAACAACAGTCAGCCAATGACAGAGTCAGCCAATGACAGAGTCAGCCAACGACAGAGTCAGAGCCAATGACAGAGTCAGCCAATGACAGAGTCAGCCGACAGAGTCAGCCAACGACAGAGTCAGAGCCAATGACAGAGTCAGCCAATGACAGAGTCAGCCGACAGAGTCAGCCAACGACAGAGTCAGAGCCAACGACAGAGTCAGCCAACAACAGTCAGCCAACGACAGAGTCAGCCAATGACAGAGTCAGCTGACAGAGTCAGCCAACGACAGAGTCAGCCAACGACAGAGTCAGAGCCAACGACAGAGTCAGCCAAGGACAGAGTCAGAGCCAATGACAGAGTCAGAGACAACGACAAAGTCAGAGACAACGACAGAGTCAGAGCCAACGATGGAGTCAGAGCCAATGTTCTGGAAAAGCTGAAGCGACTTCAGATACTATAGCAGATGCTGTGCTCAGGGCTCCAGCGTCCTGCAAGGCTGCGTGGCTTTATGTAACAGGAAGGCCAGCTCTGAGCAGAGTCAGAGTCCTCTCTAAAATCACTTAGAGTTTTATGCAACAATTATTAAGCTGTGGCTCTCTCCGTCATAAATGTTGCCAAACCCCCAGATGTTTAAATTTCTAGACCAAGAAGACAGACCCCCAAAGTACCAAAACAAAAACGTGCAAGTCCACGCTGCGACAAACCACGCTCAGGTGAACGATAAATGGGGAGCAGAGAGAAGCCTCCCACGCAGGTGGGCTCATGACTCCTGCAGACCCCCAGAGGCGGCGGAACCTCACACCTCCAGTGAAGACTGCAGAGCGACGTCCTCACCAAGAGCATGTGGTGAAGGGAGAAAAAGCCACTTCACCGTCCAGACACTCAACAAGCACAGCCCCCACCAGGCCACCGTCAGCAGAGACAGCTCATGTGAACGTGATGTGCGGGGGAGGTGCGTCACAGGGCCTGGGGCATCGGGGGCAAACCACAAACAGCCACAAGCATTGCACGTGGCCCCAGGCCTGCAGACTCCCGTGAGAGCGCCTGACCCCAGCACACCACTTCAGCCTGTGCTGACAGCTCATGGGCGCCTCGGCAAAGTCAGGCATGTGTGCGTGGAGGGGTCCTGGGGCGGAGCCACGTTGTGGGTGCCCAAGGCATCCCCAGGCCTCCTGCCCTGCCCTGGTGACACTGTCTGGCCTGCTTGTTGAATGAGGTGACACACTCAAGTGTAGCTGAGACCTGAGGAAACACCAGCAACTGGACCTGGCAGCGGTGCCCACCCCAGCAACAGCCACACAGTGGGGACCCCCCTTACAAGTGCCCACTCCAGCACAGCCACAAAGTGGGGACCCCCCCCCACAGGTGCCCTGATGCCAGCTGCAGCCCTCCCTGCATGAGCCTGCAGGGCCTGGGCTGTGCCACCAAGCCCAGATCAGAGCAATCTGAGCCTCCGACCAGGGAACACCGGAGCCACAGGCGCTGTGCTGGAGGCAGAGCATTCAGGCTCCCGGAAGTGCACGTGGCCCCAGACACTCCAACCTCAACTCAGCCGCCCTGACCAGGATGGAAAACACAGGCTCCACAGCCCAAGGCTGCGCCCTGCCCGCACCAACTCACCACCACAGCCTTCCATCCTGGGACAGGGTCCTGGTTCCGACCACTCAGCCCTGAGCCAGCTGCCTCCTGTCTCCCGTCCACGAAAGACACAAGAGCCATCCTCAGTCTCCATGCAAAGCCCAGCTGTCCCATTGAGGGCGGAACCAAGCTGGGCATGCAAGAGCCAGCGCATCCCCAGCTTCCTACACATCCACACAGACACCCACCCCAAACCAGCCTCCTACATGTCCACACAGACACCCACCCCAAACCAGCCTCCTACACGTCCACACAGACACCCACCCCAAACCAGCCTCCTACACATCCACACAGACACCCACCCCAAACCAGCCTCCTACACGTCCACACAGACACCCACCCCAAACCAGCCTCCTGCACGTCCACACAGACACCCCAAACCAGCCTCCTACATATCCACACAGACACCCCAAACCAGCCTCCTACATATCCACACAGACACCCCAAACCAGCCTCCTACACGTCCACACAGACACCCACTCCAAACCAGCCTCCTACACGTCCACACAGACACCCCAAACCAGCCTCCTACATATCCACACAGACACCCACCCCAAACCAGCCTCCTGCACGTCCACACAGACACCCCAAACCAGCCTCCTACATGTCCACACAGACACCCACCCCAAACCAGCCTCCTACATGTCCACACAGACACCCACCCCAAACCAGCCTCCTACACGTCCACACAGACACCCCAAACCAGCCTCCTACACGTCCACACAGACACCCACCCCAAACCAGCTTCCTACACGTTCACACAGACACGGACCCCAAACCAGCCTCCTACACGTCCACACAGACACCCACCCCAAACCAGCCTCCTACACGTTCACACAGACACGGACCCCACACCAGCCTCCTACACGTCCACACAGACACCCACCCCAAACCAGCCTCCTGCACGTCCACACAGACACCCCAAACCAGCCTCCTACATATCCACACAGACACCCCAAACCAGCCTCCTACATATCCACACAGACACCCCAAACCAGCCTCCTACACGTCCACACAGACACCCACTCCAAACCAGCCTCCTACACGTCCACACAGACACCCCAAACCAGCCTCCTACATGTCCACACAGACACCCACCCCAAACCAGCCTCCTACATGTCCACACAGACACCCACCCCAAACCAGCCTCCTACATGTCCACACAGACACCCACCCCAAACCAGCCTCCTACATGTCCACACAGACACCCACCCCAAACCAGCCTCCTACATGTCCACACAGACACCCACCCCAAACCAGCCTCCTACACGTCCACACAGACACCCCAAACCAGCCTCCTACACGTCCACACAGACACCCACCCCAAACCAGCTTCCTACACGTCCACACAGACACCCACCCCAAACCAGCCTCCTACATGTCCACACAGACACCCCAAACCAGCCTCCTACACGTCCACACAGACACCCACCCCAAACCAGCCTCCTACACGTCCACACAGACACAGACCCACTGCTTCTGCCTCCCTTTCCCCATCCCTCTGGCTCCAGTAAGCTGGCAACGCAGTCCTTTAAGTAAGGAAGAGCTACTGCAAAGAGGTGGGGTTTTAATCCTGAAGATGGGTGGCTGCTGTGGCTGGTGCACTGGCCGCTCTGCCATGGCCTAAGTAAAATGACAATACCCTCCTGAAGGAATTTAAGATAAACGCTCGTCCAGTCTTTCCAAGTGCCAGGACACCTGCAGTGCCTGTGCTGAGTGACAGCAAGCCCTAAGCTCCGACCGCCCCATTCCTGCTACTCACCAGACATGGCCCACATTAACCAGGGACATGTAGAGGCCCCACAGGGCAGCCATGAGAAGCATGTTGGCGCAGCCCGTGATCAGTACGAAAGACGAGATGCCCAGTCCGAGAAGAGCCAGCAAGTCCAGGTTGGAGTTCATGTCTGACCAGTCCATCAGCCAGAGGATGGTGGGCATGTAGCTGAAGACTTCCCAGCTCGTCCTGTCCTGGAAGTACTGCTGGAAGTTCTTCAGGAACACTCTGCAGGGAAGCAGCCCCCTGTCACCGATGAGCTGCTTGTTCTGATGGAAAGCCACCAGGAATGCCACGACTGGAAGAAAAAGAAGACAAAACAAGCATGACTAGGAACAAACCACATGTGGACACCATGGGCGCAGCTCAGAATGCGGGGCGAGGCAGGCGGGAAGGGGAGGCAGAGTCTGGCTGACGGTTTGGGGCCAAACCCTAGACTCAGGAGTCTGAGTACTTTCTCAAGATTTTGGGGGAAACACTGGAAAAGCCAACCTGCAGCAGACGCGGTGTGTGCATACACGCATACACATCTAAGTGAACTAGACACGTTACATAAAATGCGTGCCCGCAGCAGACGCGGTGTGTGCATCCACACACACACATATCTAAGTGAACCAGACACGTTACATAAAATGCGTGCCTGCAGCAGATGCGGTGTGTGCATACACACACACACATCTAAGTAAACTAGACACGTTACATAAAATGCGTGCCCGCAGCAGACGCGGTGTGTGCACACACACACACACATCTAAGTAAACTAGACAAGTTACATAAAATGCGTGCCTGCAGCAGACGCAGTGTGTGCATACACACACACACATCTAAGTAAACTAGACAAGTTACATAAAAGGCGTGCCTGCAGCAGACGTGGTGTGTGCATACACACACACACATCTAAGTAAACTAGACAAGTTACATAAAAGGCGTGCCTGCAGCAGACGCGGTGTGTGCATACACACACACACATCTAAGTGAACCCGACCCGTTACATAAAATGCGTGCCCGCAGCAGACGCGGTGTGTGCATACACGCACACACATGTAAGTGAACCAGACACGTTACATAAAATGCGTGCCTGCAGCAGACGCGGTGTGTGCATACACACACACACACATCTAAGTAAACTAGACACGTTACATAAAATGCGTGCCCGCAGCAGACGCAGTGTGTGCATACACGCACACACATCTAAGTGAACCAGACACGTTACATAAAATGGGTGCCTGCAGCAGACGCAGTGTGTGCATCCACGCATACGCATAGAAGCAAACTAGATGCTTGTATATAAATTCCGTGTCTGCAGCAGATGCAGTGTGTATACACGCACACACATAGAAGTAAAGTAGACATGTGTATATAAATTGCGTGCCTGGCTACACACAGACAGCCAGCTGACCAACCGGACTGCACTCAGCATTCACCATTATGAAACACACCCTGAGGACCCTGGCTCTGGTCAACGGCATCACTCCCAGCACACGCTGCAGGGCTTGACACTTACTGCCTATAGGTGAGCCACACTTGCCCTCTACGCAGACCACAGGTCTCCGAGTTCACGTCTCACGGCGCCCACCCCACGACGGCTCTCTCACATCCACAGGTCTCCGAGTTCACGTCTCACGGCGCCCACCCCACGACGGCTCTCTCACATCCACAGGTCTCTGAGTTCACGTCTCACGGCGCCCACCGCACGACGGCTCTCTCACATCCACAGGTCTCCGAGTTCATGTCTCACGGCGCCCACCCCACAATGGCACTGTCACATCCACAGGTCTCCGAGTTCATGTCTCACGGCGCCCACCCCACGACGGCTCTCTCACATCCACAGGTCTCCGAGTTCACGTCCCACGGCGCCCACCCCACGACGGCTCTCTCACATCCACAGGTCTCCGAGTTCATGTCCCACGGCGCCCACCCACAACAGCTCTCTCACATCCTCTGGACGTCAGTATTTGTAGAACACTGAATGCTTACCCAGAGATGCTGACAGGTGAGAGAAGCACATTCCCATGTGTAAACGTGAAGAATGAAAAAGCAGTTGAAAGTAAAAAAGATACACCATTCAAATGTGAATCAAAAGAAAGCTGGATCTAATTCATCATGGCTGAAAAAAATTAAAAATAAAAATAAAAAATACAAACAAAAGAAAGTGGAAGTGGCTCTATTAACATCATAAAAAGTAGATTTAAGGGCTGGGCAGGGTGGCTCACGCCTGTAATCCCAGCACTTTGGGAGGCCAAGGCAGGCGGATCACCTGAGATCAGGAGTTTGAGACCAGCCTGGGCAACATGGAAAAACCCTGTCTCTACTAAAAATACAAAAATTAGCTGGGCGTTGTGGCAGGCACCTGTAATCCAAGCTACTCAGGAGGCTGAGGCAGGAGAATGGCTTGAACCTGGGAGGTGGAGGGTGCAGTGAGCCAAGATTGCGCCACTGCACTCCAGCCTGGACGACAAGAGCAAAACTCCATCTCAAAAAAAAAAAAAAAAAGTAGATTTAAGGGTCGGGCACGGTGGCTCACGCCTGTAATTCCAGCACTTTGGGAGGCTGAGGCGGGTGGATCACCTGAGGTCAGGAGTTTGGGACCAGCCTGGCCAATATGGCAAAACCCTGTCTCTACTTAAAAAATACAAAAATTAGTCGGATGTGGTGGTGCACCCCGGTAGTCCCACCTACTTGGGAGGCTGAGGCAGGAGAATCACTTGAACCCGGGAGGCTGCAGTGAGCCGAGATGGCACCATTGCACTCCAGCCTGGGCAACAGAGACTCCATCTCAAAAGGAAAAAAATCAATTTACAAACAAGGAATGACACAGGGATGAAAGAAGATATTGCATAATGATAACAATATCACAAGAGCAACCCCACAAGTACATGCGGCTTCCTACTGCGTGTAGGAATCTGGCTTGGGGTCCATGTCTGTGTAACTGTGCATGCTGGTTTGGAGTGAGTGTCTGTGTAGACATGTAGGAAGCTAGTACATGTACTTTTCCCCATGCATTTATAAATCTAAAAACATATAAACGGAATCTGCACATGGAAAACTACAAAACACTGATTAAAAAAATGAAACAAGATCTAACTATATGAAGAGATAGACCATGTTCATGGATTGGAAAAATCAAAATCATTAAGGTGTCAATTTGATCCATAAATTCGGCACAATCTGAACCAAACACCCAGTCAGTGCTTCCGCCGAGGCTGACAAGCTGATTCTAGAATATACATGGGAGAGCAAAGGGATTAAAAAGCCAAAATCATCTGGAAAAGAACAGAGGTGGAGGACTCATGTTACCCAATTTCAAGACTTACTAAAAAGCTAATCAAGACCACATCAAGACAGCGCAGTATTGATTAAGGAAGAGCCGCAGAACTCAATGGAATGGAAGAGACGGCCCAGACACAGCCCCCCTGCCCCCGACCCGACACACAGAGTGAACAAATTCTGACAAAGGTTCAAAGGCAACTACACAGACAAAGAGCAGCCTTGGGCCGGGCGTGGTGGCTCACACCTGTCATCCCAGCACTTTGGGAGGCTGAGGCAGGAGGATCGCTTGAGCCCAGGAATTCCAGAGCAGCCTGGGCAACATAGTGAGACTCAGTCTCTACAAAATAAATAAAAAAACAAAGAAGAGTCTCTGTAACAATCATGTTGGAACAGATGGATGTCCACATGCAAAAAGATGGACCTGAACACACTTCACACCTTACACAAAAATTAACCAAAAAGGATCATAGACCTAAATGTAAAACATAAAAGCATAAGACTTCCAGATGGAAATATAGAAGAAAATCTATGTGACTTGGGTTTGGCAACAAGTTTTTAGATACAACACCAAAAGCATAATCTATGAAATTAGAAACTGTAAATTGAACTTTATCAAACTGAAAAACTTTTGATCTGCAAAAGCTACTTTTAACAGAATGAAAACACAAGCCGCAGATTGGAAGAAAATACTGGCAAATCACACATCTGATAAAGGATTTGTATCTAGAATATTTAAAGAACTTTTAAAATTCAATAATTAGAAAACAAACAACCCAATGTTAAAGGTGGGAAGAAAAAACCAGGCCACAAGGTCTGAACAGACATAGGAAGGTGTACGGATGGCAAATAACACGTGAAAAGATGCTCAACATCCTTCATCACTGCGGAAATGCCCATGAAAACCACAGCGTGCTGTCACCACACACACGTCACATGGCCGAAGTGCTTGAAAACGGACAGTGCCCAGGCCGGGCGCGGTGGCTCATGCCTGTAATCCCAGCGCTTTGGGAGGCCGAGGTGGGCAGATCACCTGAGGTCAGGAGTTCAAGACCAGCCTGGCCAATGTGGTGAAACCCCGTCTCTACTAAAAATACAAAAATTAGCTGGGCATAGTGGTGCACACCTGGAATCCCAGCTACTCGCAAGGCTGAGGCAGGAGAATTGCTTGAACCCAGGAGGCGGAGGTTGGAGTGAGCCGACACAGCGCCACTGCACTCCAGCCTCGGCGACAGAGTAAGACTGTCTCAAAAAAAAAACCAAAAAAACAAAACAAAAAAAACACGAACATGGACAGTGCCCAATGCTGCAGAAGGTTCGGGACAGCAGGAGTGCCCTCGCTGTGCCGGGGATGCTGTGGCCTACCACTGTGGATGGCAGACGGTGGCATCTGACCCAGATAATGAAGGGTTACCTTACAAATCAGCTACTGCACCTCTCAGGCCTTCAACCTGAAAGTGTGCTCGCACAGAAGCCTCATGCAGATGCTCATAGCAGCTCTGTTCATAGCCACTAAAAACTAGAAACAAGGAAGACATCCTTCACGGTGGAAGTGGATAAATAACCGGAGGTGCATTTGTGCAACAGAAAAATAATCAGAGATAAGAATGCAGCTGTTGGTTCAGGCAATAACATGGATGAATCTTAAGTGCATTTTGCTAAGCAAAAGAATCTAGACCCAACAGGCTATATACTGCGTGATTTCATTCGTATGTCACACTGGAAAAGGCAAAACCAGAGGGACGGGAGACAGACCCGGGCGTGCCAGGGGCTGGTGCAGGGGAAGTGGTCACTCCCATGCACGGGGGACTTGGGGCTGGAGCTGGGGTGATGGAGGCAAAGCCCACAGCACTGAGCATTACACGAGATGAACTTCAATGTGCACAAACTATTGGGGGAAGACCCGACCAGGAGGTTGGGGGATGCAGATAGAATACAGGCTCCACACGCACGGATGTGAAACAGAAACACACTGGCCAGAGGGCAGGAGCCGCCTAAGCAACTCCGGAAAATGTTCTGAGTGGAGACCGCAAGGCCAGAAGGAGCTGTACACAAACGCTGCACTCCAGGGCTTTCCCCCCCGGGCCTGGGTGGACAATTCTCGCACGTGCACCAGGGCTGAGCAGATGCTAGAGGAGTCAGGGGAGCCAGGTTCCCACTAGCAGAGAGGGAGGATTCAGATGGGCCAGCAGGGAAGACTGGAATACACCGTGTGCCAGGACGGGAGGATGGAATACACCATGTTCCAGGACGGAAGGCTGGAATACACCGTGTGCCAGGTGAGAGTCAGAGTCATCGGCATGGACCAGGTTGACCTTCGTATACTTACAGATGGATAGGTGGATACGACAGAGAAGCAATCAAATGTGTGAAATGAGATAGTGACACACAGAGCCTAGCTCTACCCAGGAAGAGGGCCAGCAGCTGTGACACCCCGGGAGCAACGGCCCTCCCAGTGCCCAGACTGAAGTTTCTATGCTCCCCTAAAAAGAACCAGGGCTCCTTGGAAACAACTCATTCTAGGGCTGGGGCAGAGAAACAGAAGCTGGGCCGGAAGCATCCCTGCGGGGAAGGAGGGGAAACCCACCAGTGGTCAAAGCTGGAGGAGCTGAGCAGCAAACTCACAGTGACAGCACTGGATCATAACCCAGACAAAGACTCACAGTGACAACACTGGATCACAACCCAGACACAGACTCACGGTGACAGCACGGGATCACGACCCAGACACAGACTCACGGTGACAGCACGGGATCACGACCCAGACACAGACTCACGGTGACAGCACGGGATCACGACCCAGACACAGACTCACGGTGACAGCACGGGATCACGACCCAGACACAGACTCACGGTGACAACACTGGATCACAACCCAGACACCATCTCATGGTGACAACACGGGATCACGACCCAGACACAGACTCACGGTGACAGCACGGGATCACGACCCAGACACAGACTCACGGTGACAACACGGGATCACGACCCAGACAGACTCACGGTGACAGCACGGGATCACGACCCAGACACAGACTCACGGTGACAGCACGGGATCACGACCCAGACACAGACTCACGGTGACAGCACGGGATCACGACCCAGACAGACTCACGGTGACAGCACGGGATCACGACCCAGACACAGACTCACGGTGACAGCACGGGATCACGACCCAGACACAGACTCACGGTGACAGCACGGGATCACGACCCAGACACAGACTCACGGTGACAACACGGGATCACGACCCAGACAGACTCACGGTGACAGCACGGGATCACGACCCAGACACAGACTCACGGTGACAGCACGGGATCACGACCCAGACACAGACTCACGGTGACAGCACGGGATCACGACCCAGACAGACTCACGGTGACAGCACGGGATCACGACCCAGACACAGACTCACGGTGACAGCACGGGATCACGACCCAGACACAGACTCACGGTGACAGCACGGGATCACGACCCAGACAGACTCACGGTGACAGCACGGGATCACGACCCAGACAGACTCACGGTGACAGCACGGGATCACGACCCAGACACAGACTCACGGTGACAGCACGGGATCACGACCCAGACACAGACTCACGGTGACAGCACGGGATCACGACCCAGACACAGACTCACGGTGACAGCACGGGATCACGACCCAGACAGACTCACGGTGACAGCACGGGATCACGACCCAGACACAGACTCACGGTGACAGCACGGGATCACGACCCAGACACAGACTCACGGTGACAGCACGGGATCACGACCCAGACACAGACTCACGGTGACAGCACGGGATCACGACCCAGACACAGACTCACGGTGACAGCACGGGATCACGACCCAGACACAGACTCACGGTGACAGCACGGGATCACGACCCAGACACAGACTCACGGTGACAGCACGGGATCACGACCCAGACAGACTCACGGTGACAGCACGGGATCACGACCCAGACACAGACTCACGGTGACAGCACGGGATCACGACCCAGACACAGACTCACGGTGACAGCACGGGATCACGACCCAGACACAGACTCACGGTGACAGCACGGGATCACGACCCAGACACAGACTCACGGTGACAGCACGGGATCACGACCCAGACACAGACTCACGGTGACAGCACGGGATCACGACCCAGACACAGACTCACGGTGACAGCACGGGATCACGACCCAGACAGACTCACGGTGACAGCACGGGATCACGACCCAGACACAGACTCACGGTGACAGCACGGGATCACGACCCAGACACAGACTCACGGTGACAGCACGGGATCACGACCCAGACACAGACTCACGGTGACAGCACGGGATCACGACCCAGACACAGACTCACGGTGACAGCACGGGATCACCACCCAGACAGACTCACGGTGACAGCACGGGATCACGACCCAGACACAGACTCACGGTGACAGCACGGGATCACGACCCAGACACAGACTCACGGTGACAGCACGGGATCACGACCCAGACACAGACTCACGGTGACAGCACGGGATCACGACCCAGACACAGACTCACGGTGACAGCACGGGATCACGACCCAGACACAGACTCACGGTGACAGCATGGGATCACGACCCAGACACAGACTCACGGTGACAGCACGGGATCACGACCCAGAGGGAAAATAAATGGGCGTGGGTCCATAGTGACAAAATCAGTGACCACAAACAAGTAAGTAACAAGATCTTCCTCACAGAGGAATTCCACATAATGTCCGCAGACACTCCCTTCAGGAGGCGGGGGCTGGACCCAGTGAGCGGCTTCCAGAGGACAGAGCGGGCGGGAAAGCAGGGACCTGTCAGAGGGCACACCTGGCAGGCAGACCTTGGCCGGGTGATCAGAAAGCCGTGCGGACGTCAGGACCCTGATACGGTGTGACGGGAAGGGCCCCGCACCTCTGTGGGCGTCTTCCCAAAACCCATCACCCAGTCTAATTGCGAGGAAACACCAGACGGACCCAACGTGAGGGACGCTCTACAGACGCCATGACAGGCCTGCTTGACACTGTCAAGGTCGGAATCCTGCACAGGAAAGTCTGGGAGACTCACAGACCAGGGAGGGAGGGAGGAGACGCCAGGACAAAACCGGGTCCCAGAACGGAACAGGCACGGGTGGAAAAGCCATAGAGTCTGCAGTTTCAGTTAATAGTTTTATTTTTAATAAAAAAATTTTAAAAAGTAAAGGTTTCTCGAAGACTCTGCACCACTCAGTGCCCGGCATGAAGCGCTGTGAGCAGCCTCCCTCCAAGGCAGTGGGAGCAGGGCCACAGGCAGAGCACCGCAGGGCCCTGGGCGACGAAAGGGTCAGGGCTGGTGACCTCTAAAGGGGCTGCGACGGCAGGTGGGTGGGGGCAGCTCCAAGTGAGGAGGAAGAGGGTGGACACAGGCGGGCACGGGATGGACACAGGGTAAACAAAGGGCAGACACAGGGCGGGACACAGACTGGACACAAGGCTGGACACAGGGTGGACATGAGGTGGGACACAGAGGGGACTCGGGGTGGGTCGCAGGGCGGGAAACAGGGCTGCAGCAGAAGGCTCCCCACACCCCTACTGCCTCCACCACTGGGTGGAAGGGACCTGAGCTGTGAGCGCTGACCTCCTAGCAACATAGAGGACACCTCGCGGTAGGCCCTCAGCCCCGGCGGCCACACGTGCAGGGACCGCACCAGCAGCTTCCACAGCTCAGGCCAGTGTGTGTGCATATGGGTATGACATGCCCATGTGTCCCTGTGTGTATGTGTCTGTACACATGTGCACATGTATACATGTGCACCTGTGCATGGATGCCCTGTGTCCATGTGTGCACGGGTGTATGCATGTCTCTGTACACGTGTGCACATGTACACATGTATGTGTGCGTGTGCAGGGATGCATGTGTGTATGTCCTGGCATGTATGCAGGTGGGAGAAACACAGGTTGTGACTGTTCAGCCACTGCACACTCCAGGGCCCAGCCTTCATTGGTGCTAGGCTGGGGCCCCTTTCCCACAGGGACCTAATTGGCGCTAGCTGAAGGGTGGATGTGCTCCACCCCTCACCACAACGCAAACTCCAGGACCACAGAGGAAAACAAGATGTGGCCTCACCAAAGCAATAGCCTAAATCAGTAATTCTAAGGCAAGAAGCATAGGATGCTTCCTGCTTATCAGGAAAAAGGAAGACAGACTGAATTGAGATTTCAGAGAGAAAAAAACTATTTCAACCTCTACTCATGTTATAAAAATAGCTACATAAAAAGATGCAGTAAAAATCTTGAAACATCACAGGCTCTCAAAACAAAACTAACCAAGCAGTCAAGCTTCGGAAGGCCCCGTCACTACCCCACACGGGAGGCAGCAGAGCCATGGCGGCCACCCGCCTCTCACAGGGACCCAGAGCCTGACCTGGGAGCTGCAACGAGGAAATACCGAGGAAATACCGTGTCGCCCGAGCAGCCAACAGCAGGCATGGCCGATAAATACTTTGTTTCAGAATCAGAAAGAAATAGCTGGGCGTGGCAGCCTGTGCCCGTAGCCCCAGCTACTCGGGAGGCTGAGGCAGGAGAATCTCTTGAAATCGGAAGGCGGAGGTTGTAGTGAGAGGAGATTGCACCACTGCACTGCAGCCTGGGCGAAAAAGTGAAACTCTGTCTCAAAAAAAAAAAAAAAAAAAGAATCAGAAAAAAAAAATCAGCTTTCTCTTTTCTCCTTTCAGATAAATTGTTGTAAGATTAAAACAGTCATCCCAGAAATGCCGTTCTCTGTTGATGGTTCTTACTGGCCGTGGTTAAATTCTGGGCCTCAGCACAGTGACCTCAAGTATTTTTTCTTTAAGGGATGTGCTGCAGAGCTCCGAAGTAGGGCAGTGCTGTTTGCTTTTTAAACAAGCAAGTATTTTATAGAAGAACTTGTAAAACCAAGTGGTGCATTTCATTAGAACTCAAGTGGCCCGGAGAAAAGAAAAAGAACTCATTTCCCATGAGCTCTTAGAGCCACTGAAAGCTCAGAACAAAACCAACTGAGCAGGGTTTCAAGTATTCTTTTTGGTTTCATTTTCTCCTCAAATTTTCTGAAGAACAGCTGAGAGTTTAGCAAATACGGGTGCAAACGATTCTGCCTGCCACGTCAACCCTGCCTCGGGTGTCATCTGACGAGGATGCCAAGCTACAAGGGCTGCGGTGAGACTCAGAGACACGCTACCAATGGCACCGCGGCCCCACCTCGCCGAAGCAGCTGCCGGGGAGACGCGATAAAACTGCCCCACGCGGAAAAGAAGGAAGGGCGGTGAGCAGGCGCACAGAACAGACGCCACAGTGCGGCACGCATGCCTCCACGCCTAAAGGACAAAACTAGCATGGAGATCCCCTAGAGGTCGGATTTTCAACATAATCTCAGTGAGCCCAGGACTCCAATGTGACAATGTGGAACTGGAAAGACGAGCAAGAAAAGCCCCTCCGTTCCCGCCAGCGTTGGGCATTCCTTCTGCAGTCCAGGCTGTCCCCGTCACTCGGGATCACAGCCAAGCGGTGGGTTCTGTGTGGTGCTTGGCTCCTAGGGCCTCGCGGAAGCCATGTTCTTCTCCATTCAGCTTCATGGAGAGACTTTCCCAGGTTTCAGCCCACGCTACGAAGCTAGACAGGAGAGTGGCCCCCACCCGCCCTGTTTGGAACCCAGCTGGGGCATGCGGTGTTTGGAACACATGGGCAGATTGGGGAGAGGCCAGAAGAGCCTCATCCAGAGCCAAGGACAAGCCTTGAGGCTGAAGAGCTCACCAAGGCCACTACAAGAGAGCAAAAAAAAGAGCCTCAGAGACTCCTCGATAAATAACCAGAACAGAGAGCAAAGGTGGAGAGCAGGAGGGCAAGGCACTGAGACTTTAGAAGCTTCCAGGGAGAAGAAGAGTCAGATGCTTGAAGATGCCTCCTCAATGCTGCAAAGCTCTGAGGGAAAGTGGCTTTGATGGAGAATTAGAGATCCGGGCAAGTTGGTCCTTTCTGGAAAAGCTGCTTGGGGATACACTCCAGCAAAAAGAGAATCCACCAGCAAACAGGAAGGCATGAGCAGCCCAGGAAGTATGAACACAACCAAGGGAGGGCTGTGGCAGTATCTGTCCTGCTGGGCCGCACCTCGGGGCTGGAGGTGGGTAGAGGGGAAAGAAGGGGTAATGGCTGGAAAAGTGTCCCATGCTGACACTAAGCCCTGGTAGAGACCACCTGCTACGGGTCAGCACATTTCACTGAGCAGGAGATGCCCCTAGAAGACAAGGGATAGAGGTATAAAGAAAGTCCTCTCCCTGACTGCAAGGAGCTAGAGGGGAGACAGGCACAAGAACAACACTGGAATGGGGACAATATCAGCCGCAAAGGAAGCAGAGAGCAGGGCTCCGGTGGTCAGCCCTGGGTGGGGTCAGGAGTCCACGAGTGATGAGGGCTAAGTCTGAAGGCCAGAAGGGTGTCGGCAGCCACGGAGAGAACAAGTACAGTTAACCCTGGGAAGGCAGAGGCCAGGTGGTCTCAGGACCACGGTCAGGAAGAGATGCCTCACGTGGCGGGGACACAGCGGGAGCAGTTCAGGCACCACGGCTCGTCCACTGGGGCCCCAGCCTCTCACTGCAAGCAGTGCAGGTGGACATCTGCCCCAGAGGCAGCAGGGAGCGTGTGTCCCAAAGCCCCCAGCACTCATGCCCTGTGCAGGCGCCGAGCAGCCGGCCCTGGCCGGGGCGGTTCCCTCCTAGGCCTGTCCAGGACTCGGCCCCCACAAACACATGGACCGACAGACGAAATCCCTCAGGAGTGTCTCTGCGCCGACGCCATGGCACCCACGAAAAGTGCCACACATAAAGTCAGTCTGCAAATGCCAACGTTACCCAGTCTTCATGTCACATTTCACCTACAGATCCCTTCCGAATTGTAACAATATCTCATAAATGTTTGAGCTTCAAAGGAAAGGTCCTTTCCGACGTTCAGATATATATACTCCGTGGCTGCCTGCGAGCCGTCTCCCAGGCGGGTGTGTCCTTGGTCCGCCTTCTGGGAAGTGTGCACAGGCAAGGAATCCCATGTCAGCCTCAGGACGGCCCAGCGGTCACTCTCACCTCATCAGTGACAGGAAGGTCTTGATGAGCAACTTGGCCAAGGCCACACAGCTAAGGTGTGGCCCACCAACCCTGAGCCCCACTACTTCCACCTGTCACAGCTTCCAGAAAGTTCTCTGCAGTGAACTGCTATCAACCCAATTCTGACCAACTGTAATTACACTGTTTCCAGATAACACCTTAATTCTGAGGCAGTTAAAATGCATTGTGTACATATACTATGTGACTCTCATCAATAGCAAACCAACGTCAGTTCAGTCCAGGAGAACCCACCCAGGGTGGGCAGCTCTAGCCTAGGGTGTCTTCAGTAGCACCTGCAAGGCTGTCCTTCCCCCGTCTTGTCAGGGAATCCAGCTCTACCACTGGCGCTGTAACAGACACAGGGCTGCTGGAAATTCCAGGAGTCCAGCCCCAGCTGCCTGTGGCCGCCCATGGACGGACCTGGCCAGGCCCCCTGGGAGGGGGATTTCAAAGCATCAAGGAGCCGGCCTGGCTGACGAGGCTCCAGACCAGCTGTTTGCCACACACGCCCCCGTACTGCAGGGTTGACCAGTGAGGGCCTCAATCTTCCGCAGGGAACGCCGGGCCACAACGTCGACGCACGACCCTGGGGGTTCCTGCCATAAAACAGTGAGGGATTCTGGCCAGGCTGCTCTGCCCTCTGTTCCGGTGAGCCTGGGCATGGTGCCCACTCTTGGGTTCGGTTTCCTTATTGCGCACACAGACAGCAGCAGGCCTGACTGCAGGAGGCACCGGCACCCATGGGCGGCCGGCACTGCCCCTACACACCAAGAACATGGCACCCAGGTCCCGCTGCTTAGGCCGGAAACTCCTGTCACATAAGCTTTTACTCGTCCAGATTTCAGCCATTCCTGGGAGTGACATCTGTGCTGAGGGGAAGCTCAGTGTCAGTGTCAGGCATCCCCGACCACCTCGGGCAGCCTCGGTCCTCCCAGGAGCCGTCACGGCCCGAGAACGCCGCTGCCCAGATGTGAACCGGGTGTCCAGGATACGCAGGCTGCACAGTGGCGTGAATGAAGGGCAGGGCTGAACTCCAGGGCCTACGGACAATCGCTGCACAGCCGGGCCAGTGGCTGACCCTGCTTCCTCGCTGTCCACTGGGGGTAGTGGCGTTGTCACCAGGAGGTCAGCACCGGGCAGGGTGCTACTTCAGCATCTGCTCAACGCAGTAATCACACTAGGGACCCGAGTCCACACGTCAGGAAGACAGGTGTGTCTTCAACTCTGAGCCCTGTGAAAATGCCGCTTTCCGCTAACACACTCCGGCTCCCACAGCACAGCAGGGCATGCCCGACACCCCAGGACGCCCGCGGTATGCACGTCTGTGTGCAGTGAGCACACCCCTAGCACCTACACACCTCGGTGGCAGCACATGGAAACGCCCAGGCCCGCGGTGGGAAGGAGCCAGCCCCAGGACGGATGCAAAGTCAGGTTGAATGCAGAGGCCTGTCGCTGGCAGCCGGCCTCTCCAGGTCTGGCTTCGAAGCTTCCCCGACAGGGCAGGCGTTTCTGTGTTCTCCTGATCTGTACATCTTTACTACATGTCTGCTGAGACAATCTGCCTAAGGGTAAGCCTCCCTCAGTTCAATGTCTTTTAACAAGGGGAGTTTCCACAGAATACATTTGGTTATGTGTTTAATTACAAGTGTTTCAATAGCTATAAACATTGTAAAATTCAGTATCAAGTGAAATATTTGGAGAGCCCCTATGGCAACTTGGAAAAACCCTGGGATTCTGAGGAACAGGGAGTAGCGCACAGTCCCAGTAAAATCCAGAACTTTCTAGAAGGAGATAAATGCAGGATGACTGCCTGCTTGCCCTGGGCCAGCTCAGCCAGAAAACCATGTCCCTGAAAGATGGGAAACTGGTTCCTTGATACAGCAGAAAAACACTGATTCTACCCCAAATGTACTCACAAGACAGAAGAACGTGCATATGTCAAGGAGAAATGTTCAATGCTGGGCACCAGGCTTAAAATATCCGCTTGACCCAGTGGCTTAAAAGCAGTTCCTTCTGAATTGAACAGAGAATCCCTGCGGAGATCAAAGGAGCCTCAGCTCGTTTGAAAGAGTCTGAGCTGGTTTTATGAAGCTGTGCTCCGGAGGCAAGGCCGCTGGGACTTCCTGCTGTATCTCGGGCTCCCCTGTGGAAGGCCTATTAGAGCCTCACAGCTTCACTTTATCTCTACTTCATCGTTTGCTAAGTGACAGCACCAACATTTAAAATGACTGTTTAATACTGTGGAGGGAAAAGCAACCTGGGAAGAACTACTTTTTAAAATAATTGCAGGCCGGGCATAGTGGCTCACGCTTGTAATCCCAGCACTTTGGGAGGCCCTGAGGTCAGAAGTTCGAGACCAGCCTGGCCAACATGGTGAAACCCTGTCTCTACTAAAAATATTTTTAAAAATTAGTCAGGCATGGTGGTGCGTGCCTATAATCCCAGCTACTCGGAAGGCTGAGGCAGGAGAATCGCTTGAACCCAGGAGACGGAGGTTGCAGTGGGCCGACATGGTGCCGTTGCGCTCCAGCCTGGGCAACAGAGTGAGACTCCGTCTCGAAAAAAATAAATAAATAAAATAAAATAGTTGCTTTAAAGAAAGAGAGAGAGAGACACAGACCCAGTTGAAGCCGATACTGCAATCCCACAGGAAACCTTGTAGTGATGAGCGCGTCTCATCACTTTGCACCAGGAGGTGGAAAGTATCACACAAATGTCACACAAAACGTCGAACTGAGCATCACTCCAGCACAACCAGGCTACCAAACTTCCCGCGACGTGTGTGGCACAAAGGCTGTGCAAAGAAGAACTTCTGCAACCTGACCCTTTCCTTCCACACGTGAGGGAAGCAGACGATGGAAGGAAAGGGAGACGTCCAATGCCCACGGCCTACAACCAACGCGTGGGCAACGCCCGGGGCCAGCAGCTCCGGAGCCCTCTGGGACGGTGACTGCCCACGCGCCCCGCTGGCTGCATCTCGGCCTGGCAGGCTCCCCTCACTTCCATACTCATTTGAGAGCCTCACTTGAGGTTCGTAGCTCCTGACACGTTGGGCTTATGAAACATGTATCCGTGTGATCACATGTCACCGTGATCACAGAACCGTTCTCTTCCAAACCAGTTCTGGGTTGTAGGGACTGGGGAGAGAGGGAGTTGGAATCGCCAGCTGCCCCTGGCCAGGGGATCCAGAGGTTTTGAGCGTGAACTGACTTTTCTCAGAGCTCTGCTCTGTAGGCTGCGCACGCGGGCCCCGCACAGCTGTGGGGTGAAGGGTCTCCGCCAGTGGACCCGGCCAACCACATCCCACAGTGAGGCGCAGGCTTCACTTGCAGATGAGGTTCCGGAGCTGCCCCCAGACCTCCGCTGGGAATCTTCCCGAACGCAGACTGAGCTAGTCGAGAACACTAAAGGAGAAACTCCAGTCTGGCCACCAGCCAGTCACCTTCCCTCAGCCCCTGGGAGACGCGAAGGAGGCTCCCGGGCCGGCTCCTCGGATTTTGGCAGGGGCCGCACGCGGCAGGGATGTGGCGTGCGGGCGTCCAGTTACAGTGGGAACCTTCACCGTCAGCACAGCGCTGTGTCGGGGACAGCAGGAGCGCCTCGCCTCTCCAGGCCGCCCCCCGCCCCGCAGCCAGGACGCAGACCCCCGACCTGCGCACGGACGGGTGACCCTCCACCTGCCCAGCTCTCCTGGGAACTCCTGGGCCAGGGCCCGGGCCGGCCCCGCCTCGCATAGCCCCGAGCCGGTCCTGGCAGGCGCGGCCGTGCAACTTCGGGGCTGCGGGTGGAACCGGGAGCCCAGGAGCCCAGGCCGGAGGCTCGAGGCGGCGACAGGGGTAGGGCCGGGTGCGCTGTCGCCAGCAAGCCTTGTCCTGCCCTGCCCGCCCCGCCTTGCCCGGGCCCCAGCAGGAAGGAGGGCTGCGTGGGGGCGCCGCGGCCGCGAGACCGCGCGGAGGAGTCTCGAGGGAGGGCGGGGGTCGTGGTGCGCGGAGGTGACACTGGCGGATGTCCCGGGCCCGCCCGGCACTCACAGTACACGAAGGCTAGGGCCTTCAGGAGCACGATCCGGGTCAGCCAGAAGGTGCCCGTGTGGAGATGGGCCGGAGAGCCTGCGGGGCCACGCCCCGGCGCGGGCGGCGACTCAGGCTCCGGATCCGAGTACCCAGTCTTCCGCCTCCTCAGCGACTCCGCGGGCGCCGCCATTGTTGGGCTGTCAGGGCGCATGTGCGGGGAGGGCGCACTCCCGGAGGCCCCGCCCATTCTCGGAGGCCCCGCCCATTCTCGGAGGCCCCGCCTCTCCCTGGCCGGCCCTGCCCACGGCCGAAGGCCCCACCCACACCCCGGGAGGCCCCGCTCACAGTCCCGGAGGCACCGCCCCCTCCAGCCGGCCCCGCCCACGCGCGGGAGCGGGTGCCCGGAGCCTGCCTCCTTCGCAGTTCTCGCTGGGCGCTGCTGCGGGTAGGGCGCGGGGCCGGGTACCTGGGAGGTGGTGCGCGTCGCCCGACCCGAGCTCACTGGGGCAGGCACGCGTGCCTTCCGTCAGTCCGAGTTGCAGAGGCCAGGTGCCCTCCCCCAGCCAGGCGCCTTCCCAGCTGTGGTCCTGGGGAAGGTGGGCTGCACAGGCCCTGGCGGTGCTACCACTGCGTGCCCCTGCCTCACAGCTGACACTCACTCTCTGCGGAGGAGGGTGCTAGGGCGATCGTCGCAGCCAGCAAGGGACAGAGTAGGCAGGGCTGTGCCTGGAATGCTCGGGGGACCCTCCCCTTTCTCCCAGCCTGAGCACCCTTCCGCCTTTGCACAACCCAGCTCCTGCCTGCCCTTGGGACTGGACTTCAAGCTGTGGGGGAAGAGGGGGACTCAGGACTCAGGAGGGAAGGGCTAACTGCCCAATGCCCCAAACAGAACATGAAGGAGGACGCCAGCACTCTACACTCTGATGACTGGAGCGGGGTTCTGGAGGCTGATGTGAAGCGGGTGCTAGGAAGGGCTGGGGTCACAGGCATTCCTTAGAGGAAAGAAAGGGCGTGAGGCTAGAGTAGGCATTGGAGACCTAGGGGTTAGTGAATAAACTGTGGGGCACTTAGGTGGAAGTGCAGATTTCTCCTTATTCATTTGTCAGCACTCTTTACGTATGAAAAATCCTGTTCTTTTGTGTATATTGGAAATATTTGTCCTGGTTTTTTGTTTTTGTTTTCATGTATTCTTCTCTTTTGCCTCTCTAGCTTTCCTAGTGTTTTGGCGTATCAATTATCGCCACTGGGTTGGTCAAATGACCCGTCTTTATTGCTTGTTTAATTACCTGTTTAATTATATCTTCACCACCTGCAGTGTGAGCCTTGTGTGGGCAGGGACTGACTGTGGACATCGGGCCCCCAAATCCAGGCCTGACCAGCAGTGGCCCGAGCTTCCTCTCAGCCTCCACCTTCCCTGTGTTGCTGGGGCCGTAGCATACGTGTACATCTTATGGTTTAATTCATTTTTAGTTTCCATTTCTTTTCTATGAAACCCCCCTTAGGAGCCCAGCTGTGAAATGGGACCCTGTTAAAGATGTTGCAACGGGTACGAACACACAAACATCCTCCGCATGCTGGCCCAGCCTCCGGGAGCGTGGTGTGTGCCTGAGGGCTCGGAGCCTTGGGGATCGCAGGAGGCATCGGCCCTGGCTGGCGCCCGGCACCCAAGTCCCTCCACAGAGCCCACGACCCGTACCTCTCCTCGTGACCTGGGGGCCAGCTTAGGAAGGGCCGGCACAGCCCACACTGTTCCCCTCATCTGTGGGGAACAGGGAGCCCCACACCCTGGGACCACGCCTGCAGAGCGGGCCCTGTCTGGGTGCCAGGCCTGCTAGGGGACGGACGGCGAGAGGGACTGCCCTGCGTCAGGTGTGGCCCTGCGCTGTCCTCAGGTGGGGCTGCCCTCACAAGGAGGCTTTGTGCACAGCTTCCCCTCGCTGGGCCGAGCTGCTCTCCCCGCGAAGGGCACAATGGGGCATTGTGCAGAGCAGAAAAGGGCCTCTTGTTCCAGCTTCCAGCGCTCCGGGCTCCGGCTCTGCATTTGCCCAGGGTGGGAGCAGTCAGCGGAAGGGTCTGCTGGGAGCTCCTGTTCTCTCTGAGCTCAAGTTTCCCTCAGGGTCTGCTCTCTTGAGACGCTGACCGCAGGGGTCCCATCCACTGCCCAGAATGGCTCCAGAGCAGGTCACCGGGGGCAGGGCTTGGGCCGGGGAGAGGTGGACCAGCAGCTCTGGTCGTGCCCATTTCAGCCTGAATTTAATCAAAAGTGCACTGGGTTATGATTCAGCCATCAAAAAGAATCCAGGAGCCGGGCGCCTGTCATCCCAGCACTTTGGGAGGCCGAGGCAGGTGGATCACCTGAGGTCAGGAGTTCAAGACCAGCCTGGCCAACATGGTGAAACCCCGCCTCTACTAAAAATACAAAAAAATTAGCCAGGTGTGGTGGCGGGCACCTGTAATCCCAGCTACTCGGGAGACTGTGACAGGAGAATCGCTTGAACCCGGGAGGTGGAGGTTGCAGTGAGCCTAGATCGCGCCACTGCACTCCAGCCTGGGCCACAGAGCGAGACTCTGTCTCACTAAAATAAAACATAAAATAAAAAGGAATCCAGTTCTGACACGTGCTACAACACAGATGAACCTCAGAACATCAAGCTCAGTGGGACAGGACAGACGCGGAGGTCATGAGTTGCGTGAGCCCATTTACATGAAATGTCCGGGGTGGGCAAAGCCACGGGGAAAGGAGGGAGCTCTGTGGTCCAGGTCTGGGGACGGGGAGTGGGGAGCCAGTGGTCCGGGGGTAGGACGTTTTCTTTTGGGCTGATGAGAATCTTCTGGAACTAGGCGATGGCTGCCCAGCACTGTGAGGTGCTAAACACCGAGTCGTTCACTGGCAAATGGCTTATTTCATGCTATGTGAATTTCGCCTCGAATTTTAGAAAAGTAAAATGAGGCCGGGCACCGGGGCTCACGCCTGTAATCCCAGCACTTTGGGAGGCCGAGGCGGGTGGATCACGAGGTCAGGAGATCGAGACCATCCTGGCTAACACGGTGAAACCCCGTCTCTACTAAAAATACAACAACAACAACAAAATTAGCCGGGCATGGTGGCGGGCGCCTGTAGTCCCAGCTACTCGGGAGGCTGAGGCAGGAGAATGACGTGAACGCGGGGGCTGGAGCTTGCAGTGAGCCGAGATCGTGCCACTGCCCTCCAGCCTGGGCGACAGAGCGAGACTCTGTCTCAAAAAAAAAAAAAAAAAGTAAAATGAAAACAAAAGACAACAGACAGCCCTGCACTGGTGTTTCAGAATCGCCCGGAAGGCGCTGTCACCTGTCGGAATACATCATGTCATTTACGCTCACCTTACTTCTTTGTCTATATTAAGGCGCATCTAGCAGTTTAAAAATAACATTTAGATACAGGTGTGTCTTATTCTCTAAGAAGGCACTTCACTTAAAAACAGGCTTCTCTGCAAACCCAGAGTGAGCTGCAGCGGCCGGGAGATCGGCCAGGTGTGGTCCTTTCACCCTGCAGCTCAGTGTCCTGTGACCACAGGCACGTGGGCCCTGCCCTGAGCGCCTCACACCAACCCGAGGCGGGAGGAGGAGGAGGGCGTCCTGAGAGTGCCCTGTCAAGCAAAAACTCTAAGAGAAAAAGCCAGGCTGACCCAGGAGAGGCCTGAGGGAGGGGAGTGGAGATGAGGCTCGGCCACCCCAGGGCTGCCCGGTGCTGGGGGAGAAGACGCTGAGAAGAGGAGGAGAATGGGGAGGAAGGGACGGACACCCCAAGAGCACGCAGGCTGAAGACTGGGCTGCCTCCCCGGAGACCGACCAGCCTGCCCTAGGTGGGACCCTGTCCCCGCCGTCCCGGCCTGCGCCAGCACAGCCCCCAGGACCCAGGCACACACAAGCCCGTGGCTGGCCACGCTCCCAGCAGCTGCGGGCCGGCTTCAGGGAGGAATGAGCCCCTGTCGGCACCTCGTCCAGCTGTCCCCCAGCACCCCGGCCTGGCAGCTCCCGCCTCCTCGGGGCCATTGTCCCTGGCATGCGGTGGCAGCTGTCTCTGGCACCCGCAGGAAGCCAGTGTGGGCCCGAAGATAATCGTGCACCCTTCATTTACCCCAATTTTTCATGTCCTGAAGTCTGGGTATGGAAGGGGGGCCCAGGACCCGTGGATGCTAACATCTGTTGCCTCCTCCTGGAAGGGTGGTCAGTTTGGGCAGATCCTGCTGTGACTGTCCAGCGGCCAACCCCCCCACCCCCCACGTGAGGCTGGCAGGTGCGGGTGGGGGCTGAGAGAGCAGGTGTTGTGCCATTTGCTGGTTGTCCTGGGACGATGACTCACAGACGGCTGTTCTGCTTGGCTCACCCTGTCCTCTCCCTGCACCCTCGGCTACAGGTCACGAGTGTTCCCACCCCTGCACCCCAGAAGGAGATGCGGCTCCATGTGACCCTGCAAGCTGGCAAGCCATGGTTTCTAGACAGTGGAAAGCACAGCTCCCAATGTGGTGGTGTTCTCCGGTTGCAGGGCCCTATGTTAGGAAACGAATGTGTAATTTTTTTTTTTTCTCTAGGAATCATATTCTGCACTGGAAGAAGCCTTGAGAGTTGCCTGGCCCAGAGGTCACAAACCAGAGCCCTGCGGGCTGAGCTCTACCCACAGTGCAGTTATCAGTCACCGTGTAGCGGTCACCGACGGCCACATTAATGCTGCGTAACAAACAGCCTCAGAGCCCACCGTTGTGTGTCGCCAGGCGGTGCTGTCCATGCCCAGGCCCCAAGAAAGGCAGGGGAAAGGCTGAGCTGGGCCTGTGCCCTCTGTCCCTTCCTATGAGCCTCTAGAGCAAAGCTTTGCTGAAGGCTGTTGTCTGAACCAAGGCCACAGAGGAAGCACGCTCCCTGCTCCCACTTTGCCCCTCGTACCCGCCTGAGGGCATCTTAATTAAGCCTTCCTTCCCCACGCTCAGAAAAATAAATACTTGGGAGACAGCAGAGACATTTTCACAGGGTGTGTT
Source organism: Homo sapiens (assembly GCF_000001405.40). Taxonomy (NCBI): domain Eukaryota; kingdom Metazoa; phylum Chordata; class Mammalia; order Primates; family Hominidae; genus Homo; species Homo sapiens. The sequence continues at coordinate 975,782 of NC_000016.10, forward strand.
TTCATTTGCCTTTGGCACTAATGGGTCTCTGGAACGTTCCATCCTGGCCGGGGAGGTCAGGGCCTGGGCGGCCAGGGCCCATTTCGAGAAAGCAGGTTTTCCTTTGTGGCATGCTTATTTCAAGCACCATTTTCCCTCCTGGTTATACTTGAAATGGGGCTCGGTGTTGGGAGGTTTCAAATGTGGACATTCCGGGCAAGGGGCCTCATGAACTCTGTGGACATTCTGGGCAAGGGGCCTCATGAACTCTGAAGGTTGAGCTTGGAAGGACGGACACAGGTCTTGGCAGCCTGAGTGGGTACAAACGCTGATTTTTCTGGAGTCAGTCCTCTCCTGCTGATGGGCTGAGAGAGCCCCCCAGGCCCTGTGTCCCTTCTCAGAGGACCTCAGCCCCCCAGTGCCTGGGCCACGGATGGGCTGGGGGCTGGGGCCCAGGGCCTCGCATCCTACAAGGGCCCAAGGGCTGAAATGGGGCTGGGGTCCCTGGATCTAGGGGATGAGGGCCCAGAACGAGGCTGGGGTCTGGGGTTCAGTGGAGCAATGACCAGGAATCAGGCTGCGATCTGTAGTCCAGGTGTCTGGCGTCAGACAGCACCCTCCTGTACACGGCACAGCTGTACTGCAGGGTTAGGGACAGGATTTACTGCCACCAACGGAAGCGTTGATTCCAAGTCTCAGACACCGCCCCCAGGCTGGGCCTCCCTCGACGGAAGGTGACGCTCTCTGGGAGGTCCTTGGTGCTCACCTCCCTGGCTGCTTGGGGCCCCAGGGCTCCTGCCTAGGGATGTTTTGGGGCTGCAGAAGGACCCTCTGCCCATTATCAGACGAGAAGTGCAGAGAGCAAATGCGTGCTGTTGGCGCCCCCCACCCCCACACTGAGAGTGGAGACGGATAGGCCCAGCCAGAAGCTTGGGGACCCGCTCCCAGCCTGGAGTGACGGACGCTGAGCAGCAGGAGCACAGCTGTTCCCGACACATCCGTGATCTGGGCGTGCACCTGTCACTGGGGAGAGAGCAGTGCTGGTCTCCACGCTTTGGGCATCGCCTGCTCCCTGAATCCTTTCCACATGCGAACAGCCTGGGCAGGGGTCCCCAGCGGTCAGTAGCTACTCCCGCCAGCGCGGGTTCACGGATCAGGAGGCTCCCAGTGTGTCAGGGGAGTGCGAGGTGAAGATGGGGAGGGCTGGGCTGGAAATGCTCGTCCTCCGTGGAGGTCGGGGGCATCAGGAGGACCAGGAGGACGTCTGGGCTGCAGGCAGACGTAAGCTGCAGCAGGGCCAGCTCTGGCTACAGAGGCCCAGAAAGCACTGCTCCTGCAAGGTGCCAAGAAAGACTCACTGAGTGGTTTTCCACTGCCCTGTGAGCGCCAGGAAGCTTAAGGCACAGACAAGGCCAGTTCTCAGGCAGACGCCACCCCAGCCAACAGGCCAGCCTTGACCCAAACCGGAACTCGTGCCCCAGCTGGCACTGCCAGCACCCGAGACAGTGAAGTACAGGGAGCTGCAACCCAGCCCAGAGCTCCAAGTGTGCGTGGCCAAGAAGCTGACTCCCGAAGGGGGTCTTGAGAGGGGTCCTGCGAACCCCTCCTCTCCCCTGGAGACCCGTCCGGGGGCGGGGCCTTTCCCAGCCTCTGCTCACAGCCTGCGCCGGCCCAGCCTGTAGTCACTCTGTCTCTGCCAGACCAGCCGTCATTAAAAGCACCAATTAATCTCCCAGGCCGTGCCAGGACGCTGCCAACTGCCCCACGGGTGCTCGGGATGCAGGGGCTGGGAGGCCCGGGCCAAGGCTGTGCACACACCGGCTGCCAGCGGGTTCACGCCCGCCGGGCCCTCCCTGTGCTTCTCAGAGGCCGCACAAAAGATGGGCTGCCTGCCGCAGGAGGAGGGCCGGGTTGGGGGTGGATGGAGGGGGACGGGGAGGACGGGCAGGGAGGGACGGAGGGGCACAGGGAAGGACGGAGAGGGAGGGACAGGGGCCTCTCCAGGGTGGCATTTCCCTGGGCAGCCCTGCTTCCTCCTCGTGCCCTGGGCCCAACACACACCACACACACACACACACCATACACATGCACACCACACATCACAAACACACCCACACCCTGCACACATACACCACACACTAAACACACACACCACACACATACCACACACATACATCATACACACGCACACACACCACACACCATACACACACCCCACCACACACATACACGCACACACACACACCACACACACACATCATACACACGCACACCACACATCACACACACACAAACACACCCACACCCTGCACACATACACCACACCAAACACACACGGACACACACACACCACACACCATACACACACCACACCACACACATACATCATACACACACACACACACCACACACCATACACGCACCCCACACACATACATCACACACATCATACACATACACACCACACACCATACACACCATACGCACTATACACGCACCATACACACTATACACGCACCACACACACCATAAACACACCCCATACATACATCCCATACACATATCACACATTACATACCATACAAACACACACCACACACACACATGAACACACGCGCCTCCGGGGTCGCCATCCCTAGGAGCCACGGGTAGGGTGGGGTGGTCTCTCATCTGGAAGCATCCCCCAGGCCATCCCTGCACCATCTCATGGGCAGCAGAGCCTGTCCACCCACATTCTTCTCTGCGGCTGTCCTTGGCGCCCAGGCCAGGGCATGTGGAGCTACAAATGTCATCTACACCAGCTCTCCACGCCCGGCACTCACGGCCCAGGGGACAGCCCTGGTCCAGATTCCCCCATCAGGGTATACTTGAAACGTACACTCCCCCTGAAACTGCAAGGCCCACTAGCAGGTGGTGAGGTCAGGGTGGGTGGGGCCATGCAGACACGGCGGAGCAGGCCCCAGCTGAAGGGGTGGGGCAGGGATGGGAGACAGGGGAGGAGGGTGTGTGTGCAGCTCCCCCCTGGATGAAGACATGGGCCCATCAGGTGGACTCAGAGGTGGCTCTGATGGCTGCCCCTCCACTCTCCACCCCCGGGTCCATCTCTTGTCATCAGACACTCTGCTCTAGCTTCCCCAGGGAACACGCTGGCCTCTCCCTGCAGGAGATCAGAAGCTTCAGGGCTCAGCTTAAATGACACCAAAGATGCTTTCCCAGACCATCCTTCCTGAAGTCCCCGCCTCTGAGAGGTGCTTTTGGAGTTACCTGCTGCCTGCCTCCCTCCACAAGGCCAGCGTCTGCAGGGCAGGAGCTGTGAGGGTGGCCCGGCTCCATCCTGTGTGGGAAAGTGCCTGGCACACAGCAAGTGCTTAATTAATACCTGGTGACCCTCAAGCCATCCCGACACCTCCCTCTCTGAAAGCTCCGTCCCGGCGTCCTCTCAGGCCTAGTGGCTCACACCCGCGGAGGACGAGGTCATTTTCCTGGGGACTTCAAGGTGGACCAGAGATGACTCTGGAAGGGGGGTTTGTGGGCACCACTCTGCATGGGGATCCTCACCCACATACCGCCCTCCCGGGAGTGCACCAACACGTCCTCAGCTGACTGGCCTAGGCCCCCACCACCCCGCCACAGAGACTCCCCACCTCCCCACCCCTCCTGTGGCAGCCTGCACGCCCAGCACCTCCCCTGGTGATCACTGCAACCTGGGGAAAGGAGCAGGCGCTGTTGGAGCCTGAGGCAGGGTCTCAGTTGCACAGACCACCGTGCCCCAGAGTCAGGGCCTGGATGCCACTCCCCAACCTCAGTCTCCCTTCCTCCAGGGGTGCTGGAGTTCCCCACCTGTGTCCCAGGGACTTGAAGCTTCCTTGGTGGATGGGGAGCCAGGAAGAGGCCACCCTGCCTGCTCGCAGACCTAATGCAACTGCTTTTCTTTGGCAAAGAGAGCTCTCCACGGAGGTCCTCACCCGGATGGCACTGTGAGCCCGAGTGGGCGATGTCTGCTCTCCCAGGGGCAGGGGGTGGAAGGTGGCACAGTTTGGACCGGACCCCCACCCTCACTGCTTCCACTTAAACCCCCACTTCTGCCTGCCTGCATCCCAGGCCTAACAGATGAGTTCCGCGGGCGCCCCAGGCGATGCTCTGAGGGCCACGGAAGGATGCGGGGACCCCGAGCGGAGGGCAGGGCCTCCAGGGGGAAGAGGCACTGCAGACGGAGGTGTGGGTCTTCCCAGGCAGGTGCCGGAGCCAAGCGAGATGGTGGGACGGGGAAGAGAGGGCAGGCCAGGCTGGCAGCCAGCTCTCCACCTACGATGCGTGGAGCCTCCCAACTCGCGCACTCCGTCTCCCCACCGCTGCTTCCTCTGACCTGGCTGCAGAGATGAGACCGCCCTCCGGGCAGGTGACACGGCCCTTGCTCTTCAGCCTGGAGGCCAATGCTTCCTCCAAAGGCCCTGGCCCCCTCAGCTCCGGGCCTGGCTCCGGTTGTTCCCAATGCAAAGCAGCAAGGGCCCCGGGGTCTGCGGACGGGGGCGGGCGGCCGCTGGGGGCACCAGCTCTCGGCCGGGCCAGAACAGGGGGTAGGAGGCGCGTCCTGTGCGGTCGGTGGCGGCCCCAGGTGGGTGCGGTGCGCTGGCAGGAAGCGGCAGCACGACCCCCGACTTTGCATCTGGACTTTTCTAGTAACGGACCAGCTCCTTCTGCCGACCGGGCCGGGGAGACCGCGTGGCTCAGTGGCTGCAGCGGCCACCGGCCCGGGCGTGGGGGCTTTGAGGGCACCGGCGCGGTAGGTCACCCGGGTTTCGCGGGCCGCAAGCTCGGAGACGCGCGTGTCCCGCGTTGGCTGCCTGACCCGGAATGGCGCAGCCCCTTCGCCTCCAGCGCGCTGGTTGAAAGGATCCGAGCCACCCTCGGGGACGGCCGGGCCGAGGCCACCTCGCGGGGCGGCCTTGGGCGGGGACCCGGACCCGCGGTTGGACGTTCGCCTCGGGGGGGGCAATGTCCCCTCTCCGACCCCGCGGTCCCCACCAGGGCGGCACACCCCGCCCTCTCCCCGCCTCCGCAGGCGCCCAGGGCTCACAGGCTCGGAGCGGCCTCCGCCTCTGCCGGACCACCCAGGGCCGCCCCGCCGGAGGGGCCTCCCCGCCCCCGAGCCCTAGGTCACGCCCGGAAGGCCCGGGGCCCCCGCGTCCGGCCACGCCATCCGCCCGGCGGCCCCAGGGACTCAGCGCCGGGGTCAGCGCAGGCCCCGCCCAGCGCTCCCGCCCCCTCCAGCTGGCCGGCCCCCGGGACCGCGCCCCCGCCCGCGCTCTCCACGCTCGCACTCGTATGGGCAGGGCGGCCCGGGGTCCCCCAGCTCCGAGCCGCGGCCCCTTGAAGCGCGTTACCTGGACGTGCGCTGTCCGCAGACTCTGGACGAGCTGGGCCTGGGCGCTGCGCGGCGGAACCGACCCTGTCCTGGACCGCAGGCAGCAGCTGACCCCGCGCCACCGGCCTGCGGGCGAGACCTCAGGCGCGAGACGGGCTGTGTGTGTGTGTGTGTGTGTGAGAGAGAGAGAGAGAGAGAGAGAGAGAGAGAGAGAGAGAGAGAGTGTGTGTGTGTGTGTGTGTGTGTGTGTGTGTGTGTGTGTGTGTCGGGGGAGGGGCCCGAGGACCCGCTTCCTAGCTGAGCGTCAGGACGGGGGGCGGACTCTCAGGAGCCGCGCGGCGCCCGCAGAGGAGAGGAAGCGCCGGAGACCCCCCTGCTCCCACCCGGCCTCCCTGCCCCGCTTCCTTTCCCGGGGCTCCAGAGAGGGGAGCTCCAGGCGTGGGGCGCCTGGCCCACGTGGTGCGGCGCCGGGCGGGGCAGGCGGGGGCGCGGCGAGAGCCGCGGAGCTTTCTTTATGGGTGGGGGGGCGGGGGCGGCCGGGCTCCGCCTCCGGGGGATCGGGGCGCGCTCCGCCAATGGGTAGCCGGGCGCGGGGCGGGGCCGCGGGGCCGCCGCTTAAAGAAACTTGTTGCGGGTCCCGCAGCGGGACCCGAGCCTCGGCGGCGGCGGCGGCGGCGGCAGGGGCGAGGGTCGGGGCCACCGCGCGGCGACCTCGGGTCCCGGAGCGACCGCAGGGCAGCCCCGGGCGCCGGCCCCGGTGCGCGTCTCCTGTGCGCGCCCCTCCGCGCGCGGCCCCGATGCTGGACATGAGCGAGGCCCGCTCCCAGCCGCCCTGCAGCCCGTCCGGCACCGCCAGCTCCATGTCGCACGTGGAGGACTCGGACTCGGACGCGCCGCCGTCTCCCGCCGGCTCCGAGGGCCTGGGCCGCGCGGGGGTCGCGGTGGGGGGCGCCCGGGGCGACCCGGCGGAGGCGGCGGACGAGCGCTTCCCGGCCTGCATCCGCGACGCCGTGTCGCAGGTGCTCAAGGGCTACGACTGGAGTCTGGTGCCCATGCCGGTGCGCGGCGGCGGCGGCGGCGCGCTCAAAGCCAAGCCGCATGTGAAGCGGCCCATGAACGCATTCATGGTGTGGGCGCAGGCGGCGCGCCGCAAGCTGGCCGACCAGTACCCGCACCTGCACAACGCCGAGCTCAGCAAGACGCTGGGCAAGCTGTGGCGGTGAGTGCCGGCGCCCCGGGGGCGGGGTTCGGGACCTTGGCCGCCCCTGGTCTCGGACTGCGAGCGGGGGCCTGGAGGGCGCAGAGCTCGCGGAGGTGGTGGCCACACGCAGGCTCCGGGCTCTGCACCCCGGGCGGGTGTCAGGGCGGGTCCCAGTGGAAAAACATCCTCTGGCCAGCCGGGGTCCGGCGCCAGCTATGGGAGTCGGGATCCGCGGAGGGCAGCGCCTGGGGTGTGCACCCTCGTGGCGGGTGCGCTCTGGAGCCAGTTCTCCTGGCGGGGAACACCCTGCGGAGGGCCATGGCTGGCACCCCGACGTGCCCTCCAGCCGTTGCGAGTGGCCCCAGCCCCGGGAGGCACGCCCGGCACGACAGCAAGTTGCATGCGGCTCTCTGGAGGTGCTCCCTCCTTAGAAAGGGCTCAGCTCCTCTAGCTCCTGGACCACCCATGGGGAGGGAGTGCGGCAGGCGGATGGGTGGGCAGCAGGTTTGCCTGCGAGTACCCTCCCCGCAGTTTCTCCCTCTCCTGGACACCCTCGGTCCGAAGCAGGGAGGGCAGGAGTGGAGATGACGGGGTGCGCCGTGTGCACGCCTTGGCGTGGTGGGGCCGGTCAGTTTTCCAGAAATTAGGACTGCAGAGTGAAGAACTTGTTGCTCAGGACAGGCCGCCCCCACCGAGTGTCCTCTGGTTGGGTTTCAAATGGTTCTCTTGGTTTGGGGCTCTGGTTCCCGTATCCTGCTCCTCACCTGGAAGAAGGGAGCTTGGAGCTTGCGTATTTGCACCTCCTGCCTTCTGTCTGGATCTAGGGCGCAGCCACGGGGCGCTGTGGACGGCAGGCCCCTGCTCCCCCAAGTCCTGCCGCACAGGCGGTTGGAGGTGAGCCTCGGGAAGAGTCCCAAGGAGTGTGTCCTGTGGCTCAGTGAGGACGGGCGCCTGGGCCCTGCCAGGGCTTCTGGGTGTCTGGGAATGGAGGGACAGCAGCCCAGCTGCCCGCCGAAGGCCGGCACCGTTCCCGGGAAGCCTCGCTTTTGTCCACCGCCGGCTGGGTCCTGCCCGCCTCCCCCGCCTCCCTTAGAAAGCCCCAGAGGGAGGGAACAGCAGGCCCGGAATAGGGGGAAATAGAAGGAGGAAGATGGGAGGCGTGGGGCTTGTTCTTCTTTGGCTGTCGTAAGCATACCAACCTTCCCAAACAGGCGCCGGCCGGTTCTCCCAGAGGAGTGTACTGCCTGGTGCCACGGGAGGCTCCGGAGCGCACGGCAGGCGGGTTTCCCTGGTCAGAGCCTCCTGGCCCCGGCCTCTGCTGCCGGTTCCCCCTGTGGTGTGTGCCTGCGCCGAGGGCACAGTGGGCGCCCTGGCCATCCCTGCCTCTGCCCTGTGCTGCAGCTTGCTGAGCGAGAGCGAGAAGCGGCCCTTCGTGGAGGAGGCAGAGCGCCTTCGCGTGCAGCACAAGAAGGACCACCCCGACTACAAGTACCAGCCACGGCGCAGGAAGAGCGCCAAAGCCGGCCACAGCGACTCCGACTCGGGCGCGGAGCTGGGACCCCACCCTGGCGGCGGTGCCGTGTACAAGGCTGAAGCAGGGCTTGGAGATGGGCACCACCATGGCGACCACACAGGTGGGCTCCAGGCCCCCCGCATATCTGAGGGTCCCTGTATGGGAGGCAGCTGTGGGGTTTCTGGCTGAGAAGGGTGCATGATGGTGGAGGGGGGCAGGCGCCCTCGAGAGAACCGGGCCTTCCCCGGGTTCCCTGAAAAAGCTCCCAAGGCCCCGGCCGCCCCTGTTTTTGGTGCACGAGGGACCTGCTTAGCCACCTTGAGTGCTGAGGGGCTGACAGCTTTGCTTGGCAGGGACCCCGAGAGGTGGTGTTTTCAGCAAGACTCAGTCCAATGCGGGCTCCTCTTCCCACACCGAGCTGCTGCCCACACGGCACTCAGCAGCCCCAGCTTCAGGGCCAGACTGACAGGGTGGAGTCCTGCCGGGGCCTCGGTCAGGCTGGCTGACGCCCGCCAGCCTCAGAGTGCTTGGCTGGCCCGGGGAGGAACAGGGTCTGTGTGGTCCCCCAGCGCCCTGTAAACCCCAGCTCTGGCCAGGCTGGGCCTGTCGGCTTCTTCCCCCCACCTTGGTCTCTGGGAGGGGCCTCGGGTCTTCTCATAGCACAGCGCTTCATGGAATTTTCTCGGCCGAGGAGTGAGGTCTAGGTCTGACTTTGCTGGAATTTCTGGGAAATGTAAAGAAACAAAAAGCCGTTGATCCCCCTGGCAGTTAGCGCGGGCGTCCCTCCCCTTCCAGCCTGGCCGGCCCCACCCGCCCCACAGAAGGGGCATTCATCCCTGAAGCCTGCTCTCCTGTCCCCAGGGCAGACCCACGGGCCGCCCACCCCGCCCACCACCCCCAAGACGGAGCTGCAGCAGGCGGGCGCCAAGCCGGAGCTGAAGCTGGAGGGACGCCGGCCGGTGGACAGCGGGCGCCAGAACATCGACTTCAGCAACGTGGACATCTCGGAGCTCAGCAGCGAGGTCATGGGCACCATGGACGCCTTCGACGTCCACGAGTTCGACCAGTACCTGCCCCTGGGCGGCCCCGCCCCACCCGAGCCGGGCCAGGCCTATGGGGGCGCCTACTTCCACGCCGGGGCGTCCCCCGTGTGGGCCCACAAGAGTGCCCCGTCGGCCTCCGCGTCGCCCACCGAGACGGGTCCCCCACGGCCGCACATCAAGACGGAGCAGCCGAGCCCCGGCCACTACGGCGACCAGCCCCGAGGCTCGCCCGACTACGGTTCCTGCAGCGGCCAGTCCAGCGCCACCCCGGCCGCCCCCGCCGGCCCCTTCGCCGGCTCACAGGGCGACTATGGCGACCTGCAGGCCTCCAGCTACTATGGTGCCTACCCTGGCTACGCACCCGGCCTCTACCAGTACCCCTGCTTCCACTCGCCGCGCCGGCCCTACGCCTCACCCCTGCTCAACGGCCTGGCCCTGCCGCCCGCCCACAGCCCCACCAGTCACTGGGACCAGCCGGTGTACACCACCCTGACCAGGCCCTGAGGGCCCAGCCGCGGGGAGGGACTCGCAGGCGTCAGGGGGCAGCCTTGTCCCGGCCCAGTGTGTGTGACCAGGGCGGGAGGGGCCCCAGTGGCTGAGCTCCAAGTGCCTGCTGAAGTCTGCAGGGAAACACGCTTGCTGCCCGTGGCCCTCGGCCTCCAGATGGCCACACCTCTGCCGACGACGGACCAGCTCCCTCTCCCTTCTATCTTTCTTTTTGAGGTGGTGGGATTATTCCACAAAGAAGGGCTGCCGTTTGGTCCCTCTTCCGTGAGGACTGGCGGCACCAGCACCTTCGCTTTGCATCTCGGTAGAGGAGAAACGGCAGCACAGCCCAAGGACCAAAGGAGGGGGTGGCAGGGGCCTTGCAGGGCGCTGTGAGGTCCAGGCCGGTCTTGGCGCCGAGAGCCCCTGCACTCAAGGCCACATTCCCTCGACAACGGCTGCACGGGCTGTCCGGGATCCGGGGTGTCTGTCCGCAGACTGGGATGAGTCTACTCGAGCATCTCCGGGACCTGCCTGTCAGATCTGAGGTGTCTCCTTGCTGGCAGAGTGCGCTCACGCGAGGGCTGGCTGTGATGAACACATCTCTCTTTTATTTTTATGTTTTTGATAATTTTTATTTTTGAAGCTTAAATGTGTTTCTTCTGAAAGCTGTTAAAGATGTATTTATGTTCTGTGTTATTTTATCTTTAATTAATGAGGTAATTCGGGCAAAGAGTAGAATTTAAGACAAAACGGAAGCTGGGAAGCTTCCCTTGAGGGCAGGCAGGAGGTGGAGTTGCAGCTGTTGGCCGGCATCACGTTGCTCGTTGCTCGGCTTATGGGAGGCCGCCCTGGAGGGCCCGGAGGTCCCAAGGTCCCTGGGAGGACTGGGCCCCTCATGCCTCGAGCTTGGCAACCGAAAACCCGAGGGAGGAGAAGGGACCTGCCTTGTGACATCTCTGATCAGGTTGGGGTGCCCCAGCACCCAGTACCAGTTTGGGGTTTGGGAAGCAGGACTCCGTCCCTGTCCCCGACTGTGCCACGTGGTAGGACACATAGGACACAGGAATTCCTGGGTCCTTGCCCATGACTGTGCCATGTGGTAGGACACAGGACACAGGAATTCCTGGAAAGTGGTGGCTTCAGAAGTGATCTTGGCTCGCAGGCACCAGTGCCACCTACCAAGCTGTGAAACTAAACCTTCTCCACTAAACGTCGTTAGGGCCTCAGTTCTAGACGAGTCATACCTGATTCACCTGCACTGCTTCCCCTGTGTGCTGAGCATAGAGCATACAATAGCGCCTACTTCACGGAAACTTGTGCCTTTAAACTTTGTAAACTTAAACACAGCCGAGAAGTTGCTTCTTTGTACTTTTTCTACTTTTCCTACTTTTTTGTAGAAAAAAAAGATAATGCCTCTGCTTCTATTTCTCTGGGGGTGGGGGTGGGGGCCGGGAGCCGTCGCAGACCCGTTTCATGCAGCGTCTCCCTTGGCACCGCGTTCGGAGGACGCACCCTCACTCCCCTGCTGCCTTCACTCCTTTCTGACCAAGCAACGCTAACTTTTGTACAGATCGATTTGATAAAATTAAACAAAGTGCTTTTTATGGACGTGGGCTGCATTTTGTGTGTTGCTTTGTGTGAGCCTGGGGCTCCCGGGGTAAAGATGTCCGGCAAAGGCAGGATCAGGCCGTGCCACGCGGCCGCCGGCCTCACCCCAGTGCCCTCCACGCTGGGCGGCAAGGAGGGCGGCCGCGAGCCCACCCGGACCCCCGAGCGGCAGGGGCAGCCCGTCGTGCCACCAGGCGTCAGCAGGCTTCAGTCAGAATGGAAACAGCCATGCCCTTCGCGAATCCCGTCGCGGCCTCTGGGAACCGAGCTCCTCGTCTTCCTTCCTGGAGGGCCTCCTTGGTAGGCAAAATGGGTCTGGACGGGCCCGATTCGGGGCTGTGTTTTTCCTCCCAGGCGAATCCCAGAGCTGGTTTCTGGGTGGCTGTGCAATGCCAGGAAGCCGACGGCATCTTTCGGGCCTTGGCATGGAGCCAGGCTGGGAGCGGATGAAAGCGCCCCGCAGGAGCCGGCAGAGCTGTCTGGTTGGAGGAAAGTTTCTAGGGAGAAAATGGCTGTGGGAGTGACAGCCAGTGAGGGGCAGCCGGTCCCTTTGCCAGGTCTCCCGGGCACCTGAGGCTGGTGCGGGGGCGTCTCGGGGCTGGGGGCCACCCCTGGGGTGCAGACACCCGGCTTCTCAAGGCATCTTGGTCGGGGGTGGCAGAGGATGCACTGCTCACAGGAACCCAAATTCGAAAGACAGCCGCATCTACAATTTTAACACGGTGGCCTGGGTAGGGGGCCACCCACCCCGTCTCCTTGCCCGCCTGGCCGCCCTGCCCCTCACCCCACAGTGGGGATCCCGTTCCAGGGCCTACCAAGAACAGCAGGGGGAGGGGCTGTGCGGATTTATGACGGTTCCTTGGGGGTGGGGTGTGCCAAGCCCCACGGGCGAGGAGGAGGCTGGGAGGGGGCTGCCGAAAGCCAGGTTCACAGACATCCGTCGCCTCTGTGGAACAGGCCCATCCCGTCCTGCGTCCAGCCAAGGGCTGTCCAGGCCCACACGTCCCTCAAAGCTCACACATTGACACCCCAGCTGGGGAGAACCCAGCGTCCGGCTAGCCGGCAAAGCCAGCTCTGCCCCTGGGCTGCCCCGGGACACGCTTTGGGGCTTGCCAGGTTCCCAGGGACTGGGAGGCCCTGCCAGTTTTGTGTGGACTTGGCAGGGCTGCTGTGAGTTAACTCCTGGGGTCCCGGGCCCTGCGTCTCACTGGTGTGTGCCCTAGAGGAGGAAAACCTCATGTCCCCGTCCCGGGTGTGCCTGGGTCCCGGGTGCGTTCCTGTGGGTTTTCCAGTATCTGAGTTTCGTGAAGGTCAGGGAGTGCCACACCGTCCTGGCGCGTCCACACCCTGCCAGGGTGAGGGGTGCATGGACAGCTCCTCCCCCTGCACAGCCCCGCTCTTTGTCCCTCCCTGCCCCTCCCATCCCTCCTCTCTGGGGGTCCCCCTCTGGCAGGGCTTGTGGCTTCCCCCTTCGGCACTGGATGCTGGCCCTGGGAGTCTCCAGGTGCCAGTCCCCCTCCCCAGGTGCTGCACGGAGGAGGGGGCCAGAGTCGGTGCCTTGGGGGTCAGGCCGCTTTGCCCCTGTTTCCGGCTGGTGGGGGTTTTGCTGGAGACAAGTCCTCCAAGAACACCAGGCTGATGACGTTGTTTCCAAGCTGGCCTCGCCCCAAGCCCAAGCTTCCCTGCGCCCGGTCCTCCTGAAAGCGTCGTGTCCCAGGCCAGGCCGGCCGGGAGAGTTCCTCATTTTCCACGTCCTCATCCTCCACAGAGAGCATTGCCTCTGATCTCAGCCGAACAGAATGCCCTGTTCAGCCCCAAAAGGGGAAATGGCATTGGTGATCCACCCTGGATTCTGATAGGCTGGAAAAGCCCCTCTGGTCTTCCTGGGACAGAAGCGGCCTTAGGAGCAGGTTATCGGTGTGGGCGTGAGTTCACAGCTGCGAGGCTGTTCCTTCCCAAGAGGGCCTGTGTCCTCCCAGCAGCTGCCTGGGAGGGGCCTGAGGTCCCATTTGCCCGCCTCTCCTGGGCAGTGAGATTCGGGGACCCGCTGGTCTGCTGTGGCGTTGGGCCACAGTCAGAGGACCATCAAGTCCGGGGTGTCATGGACCCGGGGTCCTGGCCTGCTGTCTGGACCCCAGTCTTGCCTCCCCAACCCAGGACGGAGGACCTTTCTTGACACCATCTCTAGCTACTCCACACCTGCTGGGGCTGCGGCTGGAGGCTTGGGGGTCGTGCTTCCGGGCAGTGACACCATAACCACCAGACTCCAGACAAGCCCTGGACACCTGTGTGGACGGCCGCAGGGGCACATTCCAGCGGGTTCACAGCAGACCGGCGCCAGTCAGGACCCAGTCTCGGGCAGCGAAGCCAGCACTTGGTTTGAATCCCTCCGGGGCAATGTAGACCCCAGATGAAGGAGATGGGTGGCCCCCCAGCAACTCAGGCAAAGAAGCACCCCTGAGGAAAGGAGATGCAGCCCAGCGCTGCCCCCAAGCTTCAGTCGGGCCCTTCCGGCAGGACCCAGCGCTGCACTCAAGCCTCAGCCAGGCCCTTCCTGCAGGACCCAGCGCTGCACTCAAGCCTCAGCCGGGCCCTTCCTGCAGAACTGCAGGGGCATCAGGCAGGTGATGGAAGCCAGAGGCTCAGATCGCCCACTGCCCAGGCCCTGCCAGTGACGACATCTGCTTCTCTTTCCTGGGACCAGAGGCCCCACCTCTGCTCCCCACAGCCTGGCTCTGCCGGCCCAGTCCTGAGGCCACTGCAAACAAGGGGGCTGTGGCCTCCTGATTACTCACTGGCCCTCGGCTGCCTGGGAGCTGCAGGGACCCACCCAGGCTCCCTACCACCTGCGAAGCCCAGTATTCCCAAGAGCTGGGGGAAGGGAAGGGAAGGGGGAGCTGGCTGTCCCTCCACCTCCCATCTGCCATTCCGAGGCATCATCTAACGTCCCCGGCGTCCCCTCTCATTCTGGTGTCCCCTGTGTTCTAGAGGAAGCATGGACTGTGTCTCCAGGATGGGCTGTGGGAGCTGTGGGGCTCCCAGGGGGGCAGGAGCCCTCAGGGGAGAGGGGTGGGGCACGTGGGTGCGCAGGTAGGCCGTCCTGGAGCAGAGCAGTGTAGGGCCAAGCCCTGTGTCTTCTGCTGCTTCTCACTGGCTCTGGGGCAGGTGGCTTCCTCACCTGCACGATGGGAATGACCCTGGAGTTCTGGGGAACTTGGTGAGATCAGGACCTTCCCCCAGCAGTGCCCCCCAGGTGCCTGACGTACTGTTGTGCTGTTGGTGGTATTATTACCACCTCGGGCCATGCGATGACCCTTTTGCTTATCTGCAAAATAAAGCGGGTTTGGCAGCAAGAAAATCAAAGTGAAACTGGCGAAGAAAGGGCCGGCCTCACGAGACCCCGGGGACTCAGACCCAGTGAGCGCACCTCTTGCTGCCTCCTGCTGTGTCTGGGGCATCCACACCGCCACCCCGCGGGAAGGCAGGACGAGCTGCTTGCCAGGTGACCTCCCGTGCCTCAGTTTCCCCCATGACCACGAGGCGGTGAGAGCTCCGCCGAGCTGCCCCAGGGATAACTGAGCTGGGCTTGGTGCGGCTGCGGCCAGTACGCTGGTCCTGCCCCTCTTGTTGGTCAAATCTCAAGCAGACTTGTCCCAGGACCCTGGGTCCTGTGTGTGGCAGATGGTCCTCCCTGCCTGCCCCGGCCCCCGCCTTCCCCATGGGCCTACGGCCAGGACTGGAGGACTTGCCCCAGCCTAGGTTGGCCCTCTGGCCAGGGGACCGTCCGGGATTCCCGGGCCCAGGCCCACTGAGGTCTGCCATGGACAAGTGTAAGATGCCCAGGACCCCCTTCCTTGGCAGTGCCCAGATGGGCCCAGGCCCGGCTTCTCCCCCAGGGCGGCTGGCGGCTGCATAAACCCTGCTCCCCCAGGGCCCTGGCAAAGGCCGGGCACCCAGCCCAGGAGACTCCACAAAGGGTTAAGGGGCGCAGGCGGCTGTGCCCACAGTGGGGCGGAGCAGCCGGGCTGGTGCTGGGCCAGGAGCACGGGCGAAGGCGCTGCATTTTAATGAATCGTTATTGCCGGCGAGGCCTTTGTCTTTCTTTATCCGGTGCACAATAAAAGAATTAATTAGACAGAAAATGGCAGGGCAAGGAACTGACAAGTCATTACGGGCTGCTGAATGACCGATGAGATGCAGCCGGGAGGCTCTGGCCGGCTCCGGAATGATAATGGCCGGCGGGTGCTTTGTATGCGCGACCAGCAGGCCTCTGTGCCGGGCACTGTGGCGCTGCCGTTGGGGCCGGCAGACCTGCGGTCCTGCCTCTCCAAGCAGGGCAGGGAGTGGGAATGCCGGACAAAATCCGAGTGTGAATTTCTGCGTCCGGACACAGCAATGAGTGTTCAGATGTGGAGGGGACTTGGGCAGGTGGTTCTCAGACGTGGAGGGGACTTGGGCAGGTGGTTCTCAGAAGTGGAGGGGACTTGGGCAGGTGGTTCTGTCCTTTGGATGTGACTTCCCAGCTTGGGAACAGACATGGCGGTGGGTTGTGGTCGGGGGGGCTCTGCACACTGCAGGCAGCAGGGGTGTGGGGAAGAGAGGGAGAAGAGGCGAGGAGAGGGGAGGGGAGTCTCAAAGGACCTGGAGAAGCCCTCCCCGGAGCCAGGCTGGGCCAGCGTCAGCTGCTGCCACCATGGTTACTTAGACGTCACCGGGAAAAAGGGTCCCCCCCAACCCCCCCCCCCACCCCCCCCGCAGACCCAGTTCTCCCACTCAGAGGCTTCAAGCTCCTCGTGGGTCTGCAGATTTCCCCGTGATCAGGAAGCATCCAGATCAGAGCCACCCAGCTAGGGGGGTGGAGGGAGAGGCTGGTGAAGGAACATACCCGGGGTCCTGCTGCCTGGCGTCTGTGTGGGAGGCTCCCGTCCTGTCCCTGTGATCTGTGGCCTGGGAGCTGGATTCAGAAGCTGCCCGGAGCCCCGGCTCTACAGCTCTCTGCTGCTGCTGGAAGGAGCATTTGTTTCCCGAGCTGGGCTGTAGGGAGGGGCAAGGCCCCAGACAGGCTGGAAGAGGGGACTCTCCCACCCCAGGGGGTGACAGGGACGTCAGAGGCCTCGCTGGGTATGTCAGCCTCCAGTCAACAGCCCTTCCTAGGCTGGGTGTGAAGAGCAGGTGACATTCATGTGACACCACCGCCGTGGGCTTTGTCGTGCAGCATCCCCTAACGTGGCTGGCCTGTCCCACCGGGGGCCGTGCCAACATCCTTTCCTGCGATCGGCACTGAGGTCCTGGAGAGGGACACAGGCAGCCCCAAGTGACAGATGACAGAGCCGCTCACACACACTATTCTCTGTTCACGGACACTAGCCCTGGCCGGGCAGCAAGGCCATGTCCAGGAGCTGCTGGACGCGAGTCCTGGGCCTGCGAGACCCTCATGGGGAGGGGGCTGCTCTGCCCAGAGGACAGTTCCTGCATGCGGGCAGGGGCCTGGGGGTCCCTGGGTAGAAGGGGCTGAGATGGACTGTCCGGGTGGGCTCCACGCAGAGCAGAGGCCGGTCCTGTTTCCGGGTGCTGAGCATTGCTGGGTGTCTGGACAGCATGGGGCAGCGTCACCTTCATGTCCGACACTTGGCCTCCAGCAGGGTGTGCGCCTGTGAGACAAGGGCGGGCCTGGACACCCTCCACATCACCTCCAAAGACGGGGTCTCTGCCCTCCTCCAATTTCTGGGGTCACTCTGGTCGCCCAGGGATTTTGTTTGCTAAAGGAAGAGGTGGACAGGCTGGGCATAGTAGCTCACGCCTGTAATCCCAGCACTTTGGGAGGCCAAGGTGGGCAGATCTTGAGGTCAGGAGTTCGAGACCAGCCTGGCCAATATGGTGAAACCCTGTCTCTACTAAAAATACAAAAATAATCTGGGCGTGGTGGGGCATGCCTATAGTCCCAGCTACTTGGGGGGCTGAGGCAGGAGAATTGCTTGAACCCAGGAGGTGGAGGTTGCAGTGAGCCAAGACCATGCCACTGCACCGCACTCCAGCCTGGGCGATAGAGTGAGACTCCATCTCAGGGGGAAAAAAAAGGAGGGGGTGGACAGAGGTGGTCAGAGGGCCTGGGGGACTGGCTCTAGAAACCCATGCCTTGTACCTTTTCCCCTGAGAGGAAAAAGGGTGTCAAGGAAGGGTCAAAGTTCACCCTAAGGTGTGGCATCATGCGTCTAGGGTTCAGACAGAGAAAGGAGTGAGACACTTGGCTCCCCAAAAACCCCCTGGTGTGTACGGCTTTAGACAAGCTGCTGGCCTCTCTGGCCTCAGTAGCCCACCTGCAAAATGGTGACAATGGTGCCCACCTCCCCGGCAATGGCGCTCAGGAACACAGGAGATGCTGGTGGGTCAGGTGCTTACACAGGGTTTGGTTAGAAACAGCTACTCAACACATATCACCTGAAGTTGTCATTGAGCTACAGGGACAGGACCCACACCTGCATATGATCAGCAAAAAGTCTGCCTGCTGGACAATGGTGACATATACTCCATACACCTGCCCATCCACCCAACTGCCCATTCACCTACCTCCCATCCTCCATCCACCCACTCACCCATCCACCCACCCATCCATCCACTCACCCATCCATCCATCCATGCACCCACCCATTTACCCACTCACCCACCCACCCACCCACTCACCCATCCATGCACCTATCCATCCACTCACCCATCCAACCATCCATGCACCCATCCATCCACCCACTCACCCATCCACCCTCCCATCCATCCACTCACCCACCCATTTACTCACCCATCCATCCATCCATGCACCCACCCATTTACCCACTCACCCATCCACCCACCCATCCGTCCACCCACTCACTCACCCATCCACACACCTATCCATCCACTCACCCATCCAACCATCCATGCACCTGTCCATCCACCCACTCACACGTCCACCCCCATCCATCCACTCACCCACCCATTTACCCACACACCCACCCACCTACTCACCCATCCACCCACGCATCCATCCACTCACCCATCCAACCATCCATGCACCCATCCACCACCCACTCACCCATCCACACCCCCATCCATCCACCCACCCATCCATCCACCCTCCCACCCATTCATCCACCCACCTACCCACCCACCCACCTATCCATCCATCCACCCACTCGCCCATCCACCCACCCATTTATCCATCCATCCATCCACCCATCCATCCTTTCACCTACTCATCCATCCATTCACCTACCCAACTACACACTCACGCACCCACCCACCCATCCATCCACTCACCCACCCACCCACCCATCCATCCACCCACCCATCAATCCACTCATGCACCCATTCATCCACCCACCGCCCACCTGCCCATCCATCCATCCAACCACCAGCCACTCACCCATCCATCCATCCATTTATCCACCCACCCACCCACCCATTCATCCATTTATTATCCACTGCAACCATACATCCATCCACTCACCCACCCCCTCATTCATCCATCTGTTCATCCACCCACCCACCTACCCATCCACCCATCCATCCACTCCTTCATTCATTCATTAATTCATTCAGTGACTGTTATGTAGTAGGTGCTGAGCTTTAAAGGAGAAGGAGATAGACTCAGCCCTGAGCTCCCTCAATACATCAGGAAAGGGCAAAACAGGACACATACAGGGGACCATAAGAACCAGTACAGGGACCCAACCTGCCTTGTGGTCAGTGGAGGCTTTCTGAGGAAATGGGGCCCTTCAGATGTTTCCACTGAGTCTTGAGCAGGGATCTGGTGAGTCTTGTGTTCACAAGGATAGATGTTTCCAATGAGTCTTGTCTCTGAGCAGCTCATCTCTCATTCAGTTAGACAGCATCATCCTTCATTTCTTCACTCAGTCTGAAGTATCCTACCTGGATGGCTCCAGCTTGCTCTTTTCTCTCTGAACCTGAGTGAGTGGTAGTGCTTAGGAGACACCTGGGACAGGTCTGAGACATGCCTGAGGCAGGCACAACCACCGGTTCCATATGCAGCCCTCTCACAGCTGTGGGTCCCAGGACTCAGTGAGCAGTAGGGTGCCAAACTCATCCTGGATTGCCTGGACATTTCCAGTTTCTGCAGTGAAAGTCCCATGTCCTGGGAAGCCCCTCAGTCCTGGGAGAAGCAGGATGGGTGATCATCTAGTGGGCAGGTATGGAAGGTTCCACACTGCCCGTGCCCATCTGTGGAGAAGAACATGCTTTGTGGTGTGGATGGTGGAGTGGGGGTAGAACATGAGCCATGGCTCACAACATGAGCCATGTGTCCCTGGGTGGCCTTACGAGCTCAACAAGCTTGGGGCCGTAACTGTCCTTGGCCTTCACCCACAACCTAAATTATCCTGGACACAGACCAGATACTCAATGAGTATTTGCTGAATGAACAAATCAGTGAATGAGTGAATGAATGAATGAAGGTGAAGCAGGGCATGTTTGCTCCAGGCAGAACAGATTCAAGTCTCTGAGATATTTCAGAGCATTGAACAGAGCATTGAACCAAATGAAGGCTCAGTGGTAACGGAAACAGGCTGGGCAGCAGCAGGAAGCTCAGGGTCATCATCGCTCTCTTTAAATTGCTCCAATGGTGAGAACAATTTCTACAGGAGACCCACTGGCAGGAAGGGCAAAGGGGTAGCTAACAGGGAGGTAAGCATGGCAGAGACCTCAGGAGCCCTAGGCAGATCTGTCATCTGGCAGCTATTGTGGGTTCTGTGCAGGTGGAGTCATTGCTAACTGGGGGGCCCTGAGTGCATGACATGGGACACCTGCCTGCTCAGCTTGAGTACATCATTAGGACTGTGGTTAATGCTAATGACTGTGACCTTGAGTTATCAAGACATGGTAGAAGTATGTGTCAAGCTCATTTCTCTAAAAGATGCAGCACCCACTAGGATGGCTGAAGTTCAGAGGGAAGACATCCAGTCCTGGTGAGGACATGGGCAAGCGGGGCCTCATCCTCCTGATAGAAGCTTGTATTGCTATTGCACAACCACTCCAAAGATGGTTTGTGGTCCCACCAAGAGCTGGCATGCCAGTGACCTATGACCCAGCAATTCTGCTGCTGGAAGTCCACCCGTGTGAAATGCACGCTTGTGTTCACCAGGAGAGAAGGTTCTTTGTAGATCTCAAACAGGGAACTTTCCACACACCCCTCAAGAGCAGGTAGATAAACTATGGTCTTTTCCCATTCTGAGATCCAGCTCAGTAACGAGGAGGAACCAGGCAGGCATGCTGAGCCCCTCCTGCAAAGGAGCATGCTATGTGGCTCATTTACATAAAGTTACAAGGTGATGTTTTTTTTTTCCAGACAGGGCAGTGAGAAAAACAGTTCAGGGCGGTTTCTTCCAAAATCAATTCAGAGCTATGCAGACCTACTGGAAAGCCAGGTCTCCAGAGCGGCTGGGGGTCCTCCCACTGAGTTGTGGGTGTATCCCCCCAGCTCCCAGCTAAAAGTCAGGCCACCTGCTCTCCAGAACCCAGGGTCCACGTTCTGAAGTCTTCACATTCTGGAATGTTCCTCTCTACTCTGCAGATGCGAATAAAATACCCCAAAACAGGTGAGCTGCCATGAGGGCGGCCATGGTTACTTTCCGAGGCATCGTGGGGGCACCTGCAGGAGTGAAGAGGAAGGGAGCAGGTGAGGCGGCTCGCAGCCACCCGATTCCCCTGCACAGTGAGTTTCTCATCTCTCTAAGTACCAGGGGATGTCTTGGCCAGGGAAGAAGATTCTGTTAGAAAGAGGAGACTTAGCCTCTGTCAGGGCTTTGGTGCTCACCTGTTCTGAAATGAGGCCCTGAGCACCCCAGGGTCAGGGCTGGGGCGGGGGCAAAGGGGAAAGGAAGGGAGTGGTGGCTGTGACGGTGACAGTGATGATATGTGGGAGGGCGTCTGGGTGCTTGGTCCTCCTCCAGCTTGATCTCAACAAAGGCATGGAGGGCTCATGGGGCTGGTGCGAGTTTTCACCCCATTTAACAGAAGAGGGCCCCTGACTCCACTTCTTGGTGATTTACCCACAGTCCACCCCTCACAGTCGGGGCCCAAGCCCAGGAAGAGGAGTGGTGGGGACGGGGCCAGGGTCTGCTGCCCTGCCAAGGCCGCAGCACGCCTGGGGCCACACCAAAACCTCCACCCCTGCATGGGGCTTCCTCCCTCTCAGGGAGGAGAAGGGAGCGTGCTGTCTCTGAACGGGAGGAGGCTGTTGGGTGCAGACCCCCAGAGCTCTGTCTCCCCACTGGACACACCCAGGCAGCATCTCCTGTGCCCTGTCAGCCCCCAGTCCCACACTGGCCCCTTCAGGGAAGCATCCTCAGGCATTTTAGGGAAGAGGAAGGTCTGTGGCTCAGAGCAGCCCCTGCTTCTCCCTGGGCCCCCGAGGGAGGGTCTGCAGGAACGGATGGCCGCCCAGGCCGGGTCCTATAAGCACCTCCAGTGACCAGGCATCTCTGAGAGCTGCCGGTGCCTGCAGGGGCCCTGGGTGCTGAGCCTGCCCGCCTCCTCCACGGTGTCCAGCGCGGGAGGTTGCCAGCGGCAGGAGCGGCAGGGAGGCTGGGCAACCTGAGCAGGAAGCAGCCGGCTGGAGCATTTCCTTTCATTAAATACCCGCCCAGCTCCCCTCCCGGGAAGGAGGCAGGTCACAGGCCGTCCCCGGGCCTCACCACTTCAGGAATGTACGCGGTGCCGGGGGAGCTGTGGTGCCGTCACCGGGAGGAAGACAGAAGCTGGCGTGGCGGAGGTGGGCGTCCCCTCCCATCTGGCAGAAGAGTCATCTTCTTGCAAAAGGCGGGGATGGAGCCCGCTGAGCTTCCTTTGAAAACGAGACAGATGACATTTCAATCTTCCATGGGGTCTGGAGGCCTCACCCCACCCCCGCCTCCCGCTCCACACGCCCGCCTGTGAGGTTCGGGGCGCGGCTCCCCTGGGGAGGGCTCCCTGTCACCTGTTCCTCCCATCTGAGAGCTCGCCAGAGGACTGTGGGTGGCAGCGGGTGCGGCAGATCCGGCGTGTGGGCGCCGACTGCTCCTGCCTCACTGCCACGGTGCCCTCGGTTACCACACAGCCTGCGCGGGGGCTGGTTTGCAGGAAGCCCCCAGAGAGTCCCCACCCGAATCCTCCTTTATTTTAAATCTGTGAAGCTCATGTCTGCAAAACGCACCCCCGATCCCCCAGCCTAAGCTCTGAAAATGCTGTGGGAGAAGGGGCTCTGCTTCGAGTCGGATGGGTGGAGGGACCCTGGCTGGGGCAGCTCCTGGTGGTCCCTGCTGGCTGGCTCGGGCCAGGCCTGCCAGGAGCTGGCTGAGACACCGTTACTGTGTCTGGGAAACGGGTGCCCTGGGCCCCCTGCATGGCGTGTCAGAGGGCAGCGGGACAGACAGCAGGAGAGGAGTCTGTGGCTGGAACCAGGCAGGTGGCGCCCAGAGCCAGCTGGAGAGGCCCACGGGAGGCGTGAAGGCTGCTGGGTGCCAGGGCAGTGCTGGGCCCAAGTCAAGAACCCCTGGACAGGGCTCAGACTCCAGATCAGGGTTCCAGGCCATGACCCTGGCAGGTCCTCACCTGCAGTGATGCCAGCCTCGCAGGACCCATGGGGGGAAAAGGGGAAGGGCATAGGTGCCCTCGGTGCCCACAGGAGGCCCTGGGAGCTCTGGAGCAGGCAGGAGGTGCACACCAGGTGCCACACAGTGGGAGCAGTTGGAAGCAGTGAACTAGATTTGGGGACTGCCTCCTGGGTAGGTGCAGGGCAGAAGGAATCCAGCGAGCAGCAGCGTGAGGGCCCCGGCCCAGCCCGTTTGTGCGGATGGCCAAGCACACCCAGCGTGGGGGTTCTCCAAGGCCCAAGGAGGTTCTTCTCTCTAAGGAGGACGGCAGGAAGGCCCGGAGGCCTGGGCAGCCGGTGCTGGTGGGGAAGCAGGCAGGGAGGAAACTGACAGGTGGCATAGGAGCCCAGGTAAACCACCTGGCCAGGACTGAGGAGGGAGGCCACGCAGCAAACTGCATCCAGATTTCAGAAAGAAAGAGGAAGGGGGAAAGAGGGAAAGCCAGCTGGTTCCACGGAGCAAGCCGGCACGGGCATTCGCTGGTTCCCAAGGGGCCGGATGGGAACCGAGTCGGATCACGTGCCTGCCCCTGGCATGTGGTAGAGGACAGGTGGAGGGACCCCAGGTGGGGCAGCTCCCGGTGGAGCAGCTTCTGGTGGTCCCTGCCGGCTCCACCCAGATCTTTCTAGAAACTGCTGCCTGAAGGGGACATTTCTCTTCCTGGGAGGAGGGAGAGTGGTGTCCACTACCCTGGGCCCTGGACTGTCCTTGGCCCTGAACCTGCCTCTCCTGCCCATGCCTCTCTCGGCTCACATGCTGCCTCCTCCTGGAAGCCCTCCTAAACTGGCCCAGACAGAACCCTCTGATGGTCTCCTTCAAGGCCATGGTCACTGTCAGTAATCACTGTGAGGGGTGGGACTGCGTGGGTCCCAGTTTCCCCATCCCCAGGCTGTTCCTCCGTGAGGTCACAACTGACCCTGGTGCCTCATGCCAGGCACACGGAGCTGCTCACCAGCCCCCATGACCAGCTGAGCTGCTTCAAGCCACTGAGGGGTGGATGGAGGCTGGGTTTTGGGCCAGAGTCTGGAGACGCACTAGTCATGTCCTGGCCCCTGGGCTGAGCTCAGGACAGGTCCCCTCGAGCTGCTGGAGCCAGCAGTCATGAGCCAGCAGTCATGAGCCAGCAGTCAGAGGCCGATGTGGGGTAGGGCTCTGTGGACCTGCAGGGATTCCCAAGAGCAGGGAGGCTCTTCCGGGGCAGCTCAGCCAGCAGGGGCCAGGCAGGTCCGGGCACTGTGGGCTCCCTGGGGCTTCTGAGAGCCTGGCCTGGGAGGGTGGCAGGGCCTTTGCCCCCTGGGGGTGCCCACACTTTGGCACACCTGCTGGTGCTTCCCTGGCCCTCCCTGATGCCCGCAGGCTCAGGGCCCTCAAATCAAGATGCACGAGGCTGGGACTCCATTTAACCTCAGACAACACCGAGGTGGGGCCGGTAGCTGCAGAGCTGAGGCTGCACCTGCCGCCCCCTGTGAGGGCCGCGTCCCGTCCCTGGGAAGTACCAGTTGGGAGGTCACTGAGCGCCGTGTCTCCCGACCCCAGGAAGGTTCCTGAGTTTGGGATGAATTCCTTCTCCCACCCAAGTTTCTTAGTGACCTTGACAAGTGGCCTGGACAGCTGGTTCTCCAGCCGCGGCCAGAGGAAGAAGTGCTGTCGGCCATGGGACCGGGGACAGGGACCCCAGTTCCCTGACCTCCAGCCAGGAGCCCCAGGCCCTGGCGATGCCATGTGCACAGCGCACTCCCCGTGGCCTCGGCTGGGTGATGACCTGGGTCTGGGTGGGAACCTCGCTTCTCGGCCATGTGGGTTAAACTCGGGGATCTCGGCCTGCTTTGGAAAATTGAAACCGTATTTTTGCTCCTGGAGCTCCCCAAACCATTTGCACCTGGACTCGGAAAGCTCATTTGGACACAGAAGCCGTTTCTCCCCAGGAGATTTGATTTTCCCTGGAATGCCAGCAGGAAAGTCGGTGGGAAGCCAGGTTGGGGGTGTGGGAGGGCAAGCAGAGCGGGGGTGCGGGGAACAGGTGCCCCCGGCTCTGTGCAGTGGCTGTGGGTCCTGGGCTCCTCACTCAGCCCATCTGGGTTGCTCCTCTCCTGAAGACCAGGCCGTGCAGAGCAGGTTTCACGGGGTGGACACACGTCCCAGCTCATCACATGGCGGGGGCTCCTCCTGGCCTGGAAGGAAGGACAGCAGTGCGGTCTCCATGACTGGGGAGAGGGAGCTGATGGCTCCATTTGGCGGGGGGGGGTGGCGGCCGGGAAAAGCCCCCGGGACCCTGACACTGGCAGCTGTCTAAAGTCCGTGAAATCCCAACCACTGCTGGCCACGGCATCCTGGGCCCCGACGTGCAGGCTGCCCAGTGGCGCCTCTAGGAAAAACTGCTGGGTGTGAGGGGCAGATATGGGGGCTGCGAAGTGAAGCCTGGAGGTTGCGGAGTATCCACTGGAGGATCAGCCTGTCGGGGTTAGGCCCAGGGGTCCCCAAGCTGAGGGATGTTCAGGGCTAAAGCCAGGAGAGTCCCAGGCAGACGTGTGGACGGTGGGTCTCCCCTGTTCAGCTCCCCAGGCGCTGGCCTTTCGGGTCTGGAGGTGCTGCCCCTCCCATTCAGTGGGGTAGGGCCCTGCCTCGGTGCCCCCGGGACACGGCAGCTATGAGCACCTGGCTGGAGTGCTGAGGGCCTCCCAGAGCTGGGGCCCAGGTGGCTTGGAGATGCCTCCTCAGCTCAGCATTTACCGCGGGGTAGGCAGCTCCAGATGCCTGGAGCTGAGGGCCTGGCTGCGGGGGTGTGGCAGTGCCACATGGCTGCCCAAGTAAAGTGCCATGAGCCGAGTGGTTTAGAAAACAAACCTGTCCTCTCACAGGTCTGCAGGCCAAAAGTCTGAGATCAAGGCTTGGGCAGGGCCACGCTCCCCAATGAGACTCCAGAGGAAGATCCTTCCTGCCTATTCCAGCTCCTGGTGGCTCCAGGTGTCCCTTGGCTTGTGGCCACATCGCTCCAACCTCTGTCCCGGCTTCACGCGGCTGTCTCCTCTGCATGTCTGTCTCCTCCTCTGCTTCTATGAGGACACTCATCGCTGGATTTAGGTCCCACCCAGATAACCCAGGATGACCCCACTGCAAGATCTTTTGATCAATTACATCTGCAAAGACTCCATTTCCCAACCAAGCCAGAGTCACAGATTCCCAGGGTCAGCTGTGGCCACCGTTCAGCCTGAAACATGCCGCGTCACCTCACCCAAGCCTCACATCGCCCCGTGAGGAAGCCACCGTGGAGGTGAAGTTCAAGTTCTCACCACCTGCCCTGTATGATTTCTCCTCCAGGGAACCCTGGGTGTCCACGGAGGGGCCGATGGCTGTCCCTGGCCCGTCATGGGGCCCCAGCTCTGACACCTGAGCTTCTGAATTCACTTGTTTAGTTTTTCAGGAACATTTTTTCCTTCGGTGCCTTTCCAGGGAGCCCCAGGGGTGGGGGCGTGGAGTTCTCCCCTGGGCCTCCGAGGGGCTTCTGCTGCCTGAGGGGTCCGTCCAAACTGTAGCTCAGATCCGCCGCTGCTGCCCTCCTGGCCCAGCGGAATGCTGGCACCTCCAGGAGCTCTTGGCAGTGAGCCACGTGGTGGACAGTCCCTTGCTCTGAGGGCCCTGTCACCTGGGCACAGTTCAGGGTCCCTTGGAACTGGAGATGTGGCAGGAGGGAGGCCCAGCCCCCTTCTGGGCTCCCTGAGGCTCCACTGAATCTTTGGAGGGGAGAGACGCTGGATTCCTGGTGGTGACCTGAGGGCTCACACAGGTAAACCAAGCAAGACCGTGGGTCTGTGGCACCCCACATCTGTGCACCTGTGCAACCGCAGTCTGATGTCCCTCCCCGGTGAAGGGACCCGCACATGTGCACCTGCCGCAGCCCCGATGTCCCTCCCCGGGTGAAGGAACCCACGGACGTGGCTCATCCATACCGCGGAACGTGAGCCATGAAAAGGGGCAGCCTCGGCTCAGCCACCGCAGGGAAGGACTCGACACACGCCGAGCAGAAGAGGCCAGGCCTGAGAGGCCACCTGCGATTCCATCTGCGGAAATGCCAGAAAGGGAGGTCCGCAGACGCAAGAGCTGGACTGGGGGGACGGCCGAGGGGCGAGGGGTTTCCTTCCGGATGAAATTGCCCCAGAACGACATGCAGGGCGTGGGGAGGTGGCTGCAAGATACTGCGGCCCCGCTGGATGCCACAGCACCCCATGCCGTGAACGGCTAATTCTACGCCATGTGGATCTCACCTCAATCAAACAATTGGAAGATTCCCAGCAGCTGAGATGACTCACGTTCGGGGGTGACTCATCCAGGCCACCGGCATCGCGTCGCTTAAAGACAAGCCTGACCTTTCCCCAGAAGCCTCAAGACCACAGTGGCCTCCCACGGCGGAGGGCAGTGCCCAGGGCTGGTGTTCATCCAGGGCACGGGACAGGCCTGAAGTGCAGACATTTCCTCTGCCAAGCAGTGGACGCAGGCTCGGCCCCCGCTGGCCAGGGGCGGCTCTAAGTTTGGAAAAACGAAAGTCCCGTGGCAGAGTGGGCCCCTGGGGTGGGATCCTGGAGCCAGGGCTGGGCCAAGGTGTGGGTTGAGAGACCCGGGGGCCTTCCCTGCAGCTGGCATGGAGTGATGGGGAGGGGGTGCTGGGTGGAGAGGGAGCTATAGAGGCCACAGGAGGGGTCCCTAGCCTCCAGCACCATGGCCGTGGTCTGGGGGGCATCCTGGCAGCCCCATGGAGTGGCCGTGTCCAGGGACTGAGCTCCAAATGAGGAACCGTGCGGGGTCCAGAGACCCTGCACTCACGCGGCCGGGCCCCACCTGCTGCCACAGCCCCCTCATGGGCCTCGCTCACACCCACTCCTGCACACAGCATGCGGCCCCACAGCCCCACGCCAGACAGTGTCCAGGCTTTGTGGAAAGTGCTGCTCTGACGGAAGAGGCCTGCGCAGGTCCTGCTGGCCAGGAGCCCGGTGGTGGTCCCGGGAAGGGGTGGATGGCTGCCAGCTGCTTTCCTGGGAAAAGCCCAGAGCCCCTCATGCCCTGCACTCCTCTGATGGCAGCCTGGACACGGCACAAGGGGACGCCCTGGAAAGCCCTCGGCACGCGGTCGTGGCGGCATCAGGCCTCACGAGCCAGGGCCCATCAGAGGCGGAATCTGACCTGGGCTGAACTCAGGCCCCCAAGGTGCACTGGTTGAAGCCTTAGAGGAGGGACACGGGGGGCTGCGACCCCACAGGCTGCTGTCCTTAGAGGAGGGACACGGGGGGCTGCGACCCCACAGGCTGCTGCCCTTAGAGGAGGAGGCAAGGTCCACGGCAGGCACAGAGGGACCAGCCCGAAGGCCCCTCAGGGGTCTGGAGGGCTCTACCCCCTGAGGTCGTCCACTGTCCTGGCCCGAGGACCCTCTGCTGCCCTGTGTGGACCCCCTGGGCATGAAGCACATAGGGCAGTGGGTGGCACTGACGGAGCAGCCTTCTGGAATGTGCCGCCCTGGCTCGTGCCGGCCCCGCGTGTGGCCCCGGGAGCTCAATTTCCTGACAACACTCAGTCCTGAGGTTTCCTGCCCCCTCAGAACCATTGATGAGTGTTTTGTGGTTAAGAAAAAGAAAAAGAAAACAAAACCAAAACCTGTTATTTTTCCCAAGGTGAACGTGAGCGCCCTGTGAGGAGGCCCAGGCGATTTCCCACCCTTCACATGCGTCTCCAAGCCCGGAGCACGGCAGGCACAGGAGTGACCAGCAAGCCTGGCCCCAGCCCCAGCCCCAGCCCCACTCCTGGGCCTGGGTCAGTATTGATTCAGGGAAGGTGGCTCCAGCCTTGCCCATGGTGCGGGGAGCATGTGGGGTGCCCCAGGAGGCTGTCCAGAGAGACCCCTGGAGCCGGGTATCCACACAGACACGCAGGCGGGGAGGGGGCAGAGATGGGGGAGTGAGAAGAGATGGGGGCTGGGCGCCGTGGCTCATGCCTGTAATCCCAGCACTTTGGGAAACTGAGATGGGTGAATTGCTTGATCTCAGGAGTTCAAGACCAGCCTGGCAACATGGCAAGACCCCATCTCTACAAAAAATACAAAAATTAGCTGGGCATGGTGGTGTGTACTTGCAGTCCCAGCCAATCAGGAGGCTGAGGTAGGAGGATCACTGGGGCCCAGGAGGCAGAGGCTGCAGTGAGCCAAGATCACACCGCTGCACTCCAGCCTGGGCGACAGAGTGAGACCCTATCTCGAGAAAAAAAAAAAAAACAGATGGGGAGGGAGAAGAGACGGGGGAGGGGGTAGAGATGGGGGAGGGGACAGAGGGAGCAGAGATGGGGGAGGGGGTAGAGATGAGGGAGGGGACAGAGGGAGCAGAGACAGGGGAGGGTGTAGAGATGGGGGAGGGGACAGAGGGAGAAGAGAAGGGGGAGGGGGTAGAGATGGGGGAGGGGACAGAGGGAGAAGAGAAGGGGAGGGGGTAGAGATGGGGGAGGGGACAGAGGGAGCAGAGATGGGGGAGGGGGTAGAAATGGGGGAGGGGACAGAGGGAGCAGGGATGGGGGAGGGGACAGAGGGAGAAGAGACGGGGGAGGGGGTAGAGATGGGGGGAGGGGACAGAGGGACAAGAGATGGGGGTGTTCCTGTAGAGGCCCCAGGTTCACCTAGCCCAGCTGGCTCTCTCCACAGCATCCTGAACCCAAGGACTTTTCAGCTTCTTGCTTACCTCCTAAGACAGAGAGCTCATTCCCTGTGCAGGCCTCCTGTGCTGGGGTTGGGGAGCTTGGAGTGTGGCAAAGTGTCTGATTCCTTCTTCTTCCTTCAGCTGTGCACCCAGGGTCTGGAGCGACAGAGCTGGGCGTGTTACAAAGCCCCTCACCGTGTCGGGGCAGGCGTGCTGGGGACGGAGCTGGGCACCAGCTTTTGTGGTCCTGTCCAGCAACCCCCGCAAGGCTAGCGAGGGAGGTGGGTGTGAACAAGTGAGTGAATGGAAAATGGGCAGATGGATGTGTGGTGTAGACCCAGGAGGACTTGGCGCTCCTTCTGTCTGGAGAGGAGTGAACCCTCCCCGCAACACCCGATTGGCAGATTTTCTTCCAGCCTCCACGGTGGCCGAGCCAAGTGTTATAAAAACACAGGAGAGTATGTCAGGACAGGCAGGGCCACACTTTGCCGCAAGGTGACAGGTTAAACAAATCCCTCCTCAGAATTTACTGCCTTCATTTTTGCTTCAGAGCAAGGCCCTGCCACGGGATGTATTTCATGCAGAAATATCTCCCCTGAGCGCCCTGGGGGGCAGGACGCCTGCTCGCAGAAGGCGGCTCTAGATTTTTATATGAACAAAGGGACCGTCCTGGTTGACACGGTGAAACCCCGTCTCTACTAAAAATACAAAAAATTAGCCGGGCGCGGTGGCAGGTGCCTGTAGTCCCAGCTACTCGGGAGGCTGAGGCAGGAGAATGGTGTGAACCCGGGAGGCAGAGCTTGCAGTGAGCTGAGATTTGGCCACTGCACTCCAGCCTGGGCGACACAGCAAGACTCCATCTAAAAAAAAAAAAAAGACAAAAAACTCACCCAAACCAAGTCCTCTACAGAAAGACATTTGTAAAACTTACTTTCCAGCCATGAGTAAATCAGCGGGTAAGAGGGAATTTCCATCTGAAGTGGGCAGTGATGATTTTATTTCTTGATTGTGTGCTGATTTTGTTTTTTGGAAATGGTGTGGGGAGGGGAGGTGGTGGCACTGGGGGTCTGTGCCATGCTCCACTGTCCACCAGGAGCTGGGCCCCTGCCTCCCTCCCTATCAGGAATGGGGTGCAGGCGTTGGCCCAAGGGCATCACAAGGCCGATGGGACTTTAGAGAGAGCTGGGGCGGAGCTTCAGGGACTGGGCACGTGGGGTAGGATTTGGGTTATGAGAGGTGGACCCCTCCCCTGCGCCCACCACTCAGCCCCCAGCCCCCAGCACCAGGGGAGGGCTCTGTGCTGGGACAGCTGATGTGGGCTCTTGGGACTGAAGGGACACTGGGCCTTGGATGGGTCCTGGGACCGGTCCTGACCCTGCAGCATGTCAGCCGGTTCAGCCTCACATCCCTGCTCCCTCTGCGGCCACCTCCCAGATGGATCCCTGGAGCTGCGCAGGGGACCTGGCCACCCCACCTGCCCTGTCCACGGAAACCATCACCCAAGCTTGGAGCTGTGCAGGGGACCCGGCCACCCCGTCCCTCCTGTCCACAGAAACCATCACTCAAGCTTGGAGCTGCGCAGGGGACCCGGCCACCCCGTCTGTCCTGTCCACGGAAACCGTCACCCAAACTTGGAGCTGTGCAGGGGACCCGGCCACCCTGTCCGCCCTGTCCACGGAAACCGTCACCCAAACTTGGAGCTGTGCAGGGGATCCGGCCACCCCGTCTGTCCTGTCCGCGGAAACCGTCGCCTGAGCTTGCTCCACGTTCCAGACCGGGGCAGCGGGTTCCCCAAGGCTCCATGGCCGTGGGATGTGAGGGCCTGGAGCCTTCCCGGAGCAGGATGGAGGGGAGCAAGGCGGGAGGGGTGGCGGACAGCGAGTCCAGTGCCTTCTTCTAGATGGGGACAGGCTTTGGTGCTGGGGGACAGAGGGCTGGGCCCTGGGATCGTGGCAAGACAGGCCATGGTGGCCAGCCCGCTAAGTCATGTCTCAGGGAACATGGCAGGAGTCCTCGTGCCTCTTGGGAGCAGACCTGCAAAGGCATTTATTTAGGGCTCTGGGGTGCGGCCCAGGGAGGCTGGAGGAGGCATTTCCCAGGTGGCAGCTCCTGTTCTCTCCTCCCCGAACACCAGGCATGGCCAAGGGGGATCCTGGTGCCTCTCTGCTCCGGTGGGTGTGAGTCACCAGGGCACACAGGCGAGGCCATGGGTGGTGGCTGTGCCTCGGTCTGGCCAGACGGGTCATGTCTCCACCAGGCGCCTGGAATAGCTCTCTGGGGCATCCAGCTCAGGGAAAAGGGTGTGGGCGCCCTGCAGGACGGACGTGGCTGGAGCTGCAGCAGCCCTGCCAGGTAACTGGGACCCAGCCAAGGGTCACACTCTCTGGCCCAGAAGCCAGGAGCCGACCGTGCCCCATCCCTCCCTATTACAGCCCCGCATCCTTCTCCCACTCCTGCTCGGCTGTGCCGTGCCCTTGAGGGGAACCTGGCCAGCTTGGTGCCAAGTGCTGTCACTCCCAGCAGGCAGCGTCCTTCCCATGGCCCAGGAGGGGTGGGGGTTCCTGGGATGCTCCCACCTGGGACTCCAGACTCTAGCAGGGATCCCTGCTGTCTGAACCCCTGTGGCTGACCCCACGGCCCCTGGCCCCGTTTCCTGGTACACCCCATCTCTGTCCCTGGTGGAGCTCCAGCCCTTCATTCCCCTCTCCTCATCACCAAGTCCCCGGGCCCAGGCTTCCCGGTTGGGCAGTGGAAAGCCAGGACATCCTTGGAGGACCCAGGAAGCCCCTTCAAGGGGGACCGTGATGGCTGAGGCCCCAGGACCTCGCGGGGTGATGGATGGGGGTGGACGTTGGTGCCAACCAGGCAGTCTCCAAGCTGGGCCGAGTTTTGGAAATGACCTCGTCTTCCAACCTTCCGCTTCACAGACGGGGCACAGAGGGCAGGGACCTGGGGCCCGTGGGAGGGGATGGCCTCTGAGAGTCTCCAGCGAGGACCCACGGGGCGGTGGCCATGATGAGGGCACCTGCGTTTGTGTCTGGAGCTGCCATACGAAGCACCACCAACTAGGAGGCTCAGGACAACAGAGAGCCCCTCACAGCTCTGGAGGCCAGAGGACCCCTCACAGCTCTGGGGGCCAGAGGGCCAAAGTCCAGCGGCCAGCAGGGCTGGTTTCTCCTGAGACAGGGAGGATCCTCCTGGCCTCTGCCAGCACCTGCTGCTGCCCGTGCTCCCTGGCTGGCGGCCACATCGCTCTGCCTGCGTGTTCGTGGGTCCTCCTGTGAGCCTCTCCTCTCCTCCTTATACGGGCACTCGGGCTAAGACCCACTGACCCCATCCTGGAACCAGTTACACCTGCCATGACGCTGTTTCCAAATAAAGGCACGTCCTGAGGCTCTGTGGACGTGAGTCCTGGGGGACACTGTTCAACCCACTACAGTGCCCAGTTGTAGTTCAGGAAGTTGAGGTCCAGAGAGATGGGGGAGCCCCCAGACTCATCCACACCAGAGACCTGTCACAGATGGGGACCCCAGACACTGGAGAGAGTGATCTGGTTTTAGGGGGTCACCCAGGGAGCTGGAGAACACAGAGAGCTGGAAAGAAGTGGTCAGGGCTGCTGCCTCAGGTGGGCGTCTGCCAAGGAGACTGTGGAGATCTCAGGGGTGGTGAGAGGCTGAGGGTCCATGAACCAGGCCGGATGGCAAGCCAGAATCGGGCTTTGAGAGGTGGCTTTGGGCTGTGATTTAAATAAAGGAAGGGGCCAGGTGCAGTGGCTCATGCTTGTCATCCCAGCACTCTGGGAGGCCGAGGCGGGTGGATCATATTAGGTCATGAGTTTGAGACCAGCCTGGCCAACGTGGCAAAACCCTGTGTCTACTAAAAGTACAAAAATTAGCCGGGTGTAGTGGTGGGCGCCTGTAATCCCAGCACTTTGGGAGGCCAAAGCAAGTGGATCTCCTGAGGGCAGGAGTTCGAGACCTGCTTGGCCAACATGGTAAAACCCCATCTCTACTAAAAATACAAAAATTAGCCAGGCGTGGTGGTGGGCGCCTGTAATCCCAGCTACTCGGGAGGCTGAGGCAGGAGAATCGGTATAAATAAATAAATAAATAAAGGAAGGGAGCATTCGGGGGAATGAGTCAGGGAGACTCCAGGCCTGGAGGATGGGGCAGGGGCCAGCACACCGGGGTCTGTGAGCAGTGGGGAGGCAGCCAGGGCAGGCCCTGCACGCAGCAGGTGCTCAGAGGATGCTAGCAGGAAGCACGTTGCTGAGAGGAGGGCGAAGTGTCAGCGTGGGGCTGGCAGAGGGAGACGCCAGCGAGGCAGGGCTGGTTGGCCCAGGAGCTGCCCCGGTGCCAGGAATTTGGGTGGGCAGGAGCCCGAGAGCTCCCATCTGCACCCACCTGTCAATCCCAGGCAGCCCCAGGCTCTGGGGTGGAAAAAGAGAGGAGCAGGTTGTTCCCAAGGGAGGCAAAGTGCCTCCAGGAGGCCGGGCGACCACACAGCCTGCAAGTAGCGGGGAGCCCGGCCCCAGTGCTGGCGGAGGAGCAAGTGTGGGGGCTCTGGGGTGCGATGGGGCGCTCGGAGTCCCCAGGAAGGGGCATGGGGCACAGGGATCCTGAAACTCAGTGTGTGAGGGAGAGGGGAGACAGGTCTGGAGGAGCCAGGGACACCAGGAGGGGCTGGGCGTGGGAGCCCTTCTAGCCCAGCCAGCGACGAAGGCCCACAGGGACCTAGGAGAAGAGGAGGTACCCCTCGTGTGGGGCGGGGGCCGGGC
The DNA here is from genome assembly GCF_000001405.40 of Homo sapiens. Lineage (NCBI taxonomy): Eukaryota > Metazoa > Chordata > Mammalia > Primates > Hominidae > Homo > Homo sapiens. Next base: position 1,010,046 of record NC_000016.10, read on the forward strand.
CGGCCTTGCACGTTGATGATGCTTGCAAGTGGGCCTCTGGGGCCGAGCAGGGCCCCCCGAGCAGTGCAGAAGCTATGCGGGGACCTCTGCAGGGTCCTGGGCTGCCTCTGTGCCTCTCAGCTGAGTGGGGGATCCAACGCTCCCAGGCTACTGTGTCCACTGTGGATGGAGGGGTCCGGCCTGAGGGGAGTGTGGGGGGCGTGGTGGGGGGAAAAGGCCACCAGGAAGCGCTGCTCTGTGGCAAGGGCGGCAGGGAGGGGGACACAGCTGCACAGGTGGGGAGCCTGGTGTCTGGTCCCAGCCCGCTTCTGCTTCCTTACCCGGCAGCTGCCCAGGCACAGCCGCAGGGAAGCCAGGCTGCATTCACGGCATCTCCGGGAGAGACAGGGCCCCTTTCCGGCCCCCTGTTCAGCAAGTCCTCCCCATGGCTGGGGGAGGGGCCAGGCGTCGCAGCGACCCGTCTGTGATTGTGAACCCATAAAAGTGGCTGGTGGGAGGCCGGGCAGAGGCAGCGGCGGGCTCGGAGGGGCCCTGAAGGACATGCCCCGTGAAAGTGGAGGGCCCAGGCGGCCACACGGTGGTGACCCCATCGTGCAAAGTACTGCCCATTCCCAAGCGGAAGAATGTGTGGAAACGTGTGTGGCTGTGACACGGAACCCAGCGGCAGCCGCTGGGCAGGAGGGGCTGCAGCGTGTGGCCCCCGGGTGGCTCCAACCAAACGGGCCAAGCTGAGGCTGTTCCCACTCGGGGGCCGCCCACTGTGTGTCCACATGGCCGTGGCCCCATCCCGGGACAGGGCTGATCAGGTTGCCCTGCACTGTTGTGGCTTCGGTGTCTGTGGCAAAATGAGACCCCCACCTCTGAGAGACGTGTGGCAGGCGGGGCAGGCGGCCTCAGTCCTGTGAGTGCCTTGCCACAGGCTTTTGGCTTTGCTGGTCTCCAGGCACATGGAGAGACAGACGCTGGCTGAGTGCGTCCTAGGCTGGGTTCCAGGGTGGTCCCAGGAGCGCCGGCAGTGAGCAGTTCAGGGCTGTGGGTGCGGGGCTTGGTCCAGCAGGCAGGAGCAGCCCCGCCCGGGCAAGCCTCCCTGGAGGGAGACAGAGGAGACACAGGGCAGAGACGCAGGGCAGAGACATAGGGCAGAGACACAGCGCAGAGCGGCCAGGGCAGAGACGTAGGACAGAGACGCAGCGCAGAGCGGCCAGGGCAGAGATGCAGGGCAGAGACACAGCGTAGAGCGGCCAGGGCAGAGACGCAGGGCAGAGACGCAGGGCAGAGACACAGGGCAGAGACGCAGGGCAAAGCGGCAGGGCAGAGACGCAGGGCAAAGCGGCAGGGCAGAGACGCAGGGCAAAGCGGCAGGGCAGAGACGCAGGGCAAAGCGGCAGGGCAGAGACGCAGGGCAAAGCGGCAGGGCAGAGACGTAGGGCAGAGCGGCAGGGCAGAGACACAGGGCAGAGCGGCAGGGCAGAGATGCAGGGCAGAGCGGCCAGGGGCCCAGAAGCTGGAAGAGGCGGGAAGGACCCTCACCTGGGGCTTCCGGAGGGAGCACAGCTCTGCTCACACCTCGATTTTAGGCCTGTCTCCAGGCTGCGGGAGAGGACATCGCTGCAGTTTTCAGCTGTGCCATTGGTGGTACTCAGAGCCGGCATTCCCTTCCTGCAGCAGCTGGCCTCGGCGACCCTCACTCCACTATGGCAGGCGTCCCCTGCCTGTCTCCGCACCGTGCCTCAGCCCTGCTCTGGTCCCACAAGGGCTGCAGCTGCCCCGACTCTCCCAGGGCAGAGAGACAAACGGGGGAGCAGAAAGCAGAGTGACCGGGAATGTGCCTGGCGGTCAGGTGGAAGGCCACAGACCCCCGAGGAAGCAGACGTCGTGTGTGGCCTGCCTTGGCGTCCAGGAGACCATCTCCTCCGGTGGGGTCAGACCACAGAGGGGCCCTCTCTGTCTCTGCCCCTTTCCCTGGTGTGAGCAGGAGCACCCGGGCGACAGGGGCGCCTCTTCCTTGCTGCCCCACCCAGAGGGCAGCACACAGCTCAGTGCAGGAGGGACAGAGACCTTCAGGCCCGAATTACCTCCGGCCAACACTCAGCCTGCCCGCAGGACCTCGGGCCACCGTGGTCCTGTCCGCCCGATATTCTTCCAAGTCACCCTCAGCTTCGAGTCTACTTTGAAAGGAGACTCCCCATGGCAGGTTTGAGACACTGCCGGGGTCCCTTCCTGTGCACATTGGAAGAGACGTGGAGGCTCCGGCAGAACGATCTGAGCACCTGATTCCGCACTGGGGCCGCAGCGCGGGCTCCCTTTCAGGGCGTTGGGGGCCACGCTTTGCCCCTCTGTTTAGTAACACTCAGGGGACCCTGAAGGCAGGCAGGCAGGGTCCGCGGGATGGGGAGTCTCACAGCAGCCCACACCCCAGCATCTTGCTGGGAGGAGCTGGGGAGCTGGGTAAATCGGGGAAAATCCATCTCCAGGGCTCCCCTGAGGCTGTCCCCATTCCCAGGAAGGCAGGAATTACCCCACCCTCGGCCAGCCTCTGCCTGCCTTTCCCAAGATGATTCCAGAGCCCAGCAGCTCCTCTGGGACCCACATGGACTAGGCAGGCGGCTGGAGTGCTGTGGAGCACGGGGAAGGGCCATGAGAGCCTGGGACCCTCAGGCTCAGGACACCATCCTGGTGGCTGCTGATGGGGGTCAGCATTCTGCCCCTGCATCCTGCCCCTCTGCCCAGGGTCCGGAGGACTCACCGGGCTGTGCCCCCACCTGTGTGCCCTCCCCATGTCAAAGAGCAGGCGGGGGCGCCTGACAGGGTGAGGCCGAGGGTCCAACCCTCAGCCCCATACTGGCCGCAGGTGGTTCCTGAAACTTGTGGGACTGGAACCTCCTGTTGGCTGAGACCCCGGGGGGTGGTTGCAGAGGTGGGGCTGGTCTGGGAGTAAGCAGGGCAGGACACCTGCGGGGTTGCTTGGCCTCAGGTGGGCAGAGGCTGTTGGGGGCCTGGAGAGCCTGGTGTGACCTGGGGGCAGGCTGGGGTGGGGGATGAAACCCACAGGTGCCCCCAGTCAGATGCACACCCAGGACACACATGCGCACACGCAGGACACACGTGTGCACACCCAGGACACATGCGTGCACACCCAGGACACATGCACGCACACCCAGGACACGTGCACACACAGGACACACGTGTGTGCACCCAGGACACACGAGTGCACACATAGGACACACACGTGCACACCCAGGACACACGAGTGCACACCCAGGACACACCCGTGCACATGGAGGACACACCCATGCACACACAGGACACACATGTGCACACACAGGACACACACGTGTACCACTGTGCAGCCCTGCGCCCCCTCACTGCGTCCTGTTGCAGGCCTGTGTTGCTGTTCCATGTGCTGCCCTCTGCCTGCACGCAGGTGCCCATCGCCAGCGGGGCTGGGATCTTCCTGTGGTGCTCCTTGGCCCCTGCGTTCTGCCCGCCTAAGTGGCCCCTCCGGCTGGTCCTGAGCATCTGCTTGCTCAGCTCTGTCCTGGGCTGGGCTGGTGGCATTGAGGAGGAGCTGGCTGGGCGCTGGGTGAGGCAGGACCAACCCAGGACAGGTGTCCAGCTCTTGACAGGAGCTCCTGGCCCAGGCTGGTGGCTGGGGAGGGGCTGTAGCTGCCAGGGCTGGGAGCGCCTCCTCCACCTGCATCGGACCGTGCTCCGGAGGCCACGGTGCTGTGGAGGGTGGTGGCGGATCTTGGGCAGGCAGAGGCTGCCAGGGGGCCTGGGCGGGGCCTGGGGTGACCCAGGGGCAGGCCAGTGGGCTGTGGAGACTGGTGGTGCTCCAGAGGCCACAGTGCTCTGGGCTTAGAGCAGCTGCACCCGGAGGCATGCCCTGGACGTGGGTCCAACTCTGCGTCATGCAGCTGGGGGGCAATGGACGCGCCCCCCTTCCTGGCCTCGGTGTCCTCCCTGTAGCTGGGATGGCTGAGAGGAGAGGGGAGAGAGAATTGGTTTAGGGGACCTCGCCCAGGAAAGCTCATGATCCACTCTGTACCCACTACGGGGAGGGAGCCGAGTTGTGGGCCCAGGACACCCCTTCTGGCTGGGAGGAAACGGTGGAGGGGCCTGGAATTCCTCCAGGCCTGGGGGTTGCTGGGAGCCCTGATTTACGGCCCCAGCGCCTGCAGCCCCCCTCCTGCCCTGACAGTTCTCGTTGCAGCCTCCAGGTAGGAGGTGTTGGCGGGGCTGGGGCTGGGGTGGGTTTCCAGGTCCCCTCTGCCCATCCTAGGCTCAGTCCTGTGAGCTGAGTGGGTGAGCTGTGTCTGTGGGGCTGGGCTCTGTGTGTGGGCTTCTGAGGGGTGGCCCCGGGCCCCTGTGAGTCTCGGTCTTCCAGTCCGTGGAGTGGGGTGGACTTGTTCTCTGATGCTGGCCGAGGGGGCCTCCTACAGTGGGGGCTGTGGCCTCCATGGGTCCACCTGCCCATCTGTCTGGCCAGCCTGCCCTGCTGGAGGACTCAGTGCCCGAGGCCGGCTTCCTTGTTCACCAAAGGGAGAACAGAGCCATGCCTCCCTCCCAGCCCTGAGCAGGGCCTGTGCCGGGAGGGCCAGTTCCCCTGGCCCAGAGTCGTCTCCCTGTCCCAGCCAGGCTGGAGGTGAGTGGGACGAAGGGGTCCCCAGGGCAGGTGCTGCCGGTGAGGAGGAGAGTGGCTTCTCCGAGGTTGCAGCGAAGGACGGCCAGGTCTGGAGAGGATGTGGCCTGGCCAGTCCTGACGCCGGAGGTGACGTGGCGAGGGCTGGAGGTGGCTCCTCCTGGGAGGCTGCCCCGGGACAGAGGTCTGGGCTGCGTGTGTTGGGCCTGGCCCACTCTCCGTGGCCAGATGCCACCCACCCCCACATCTGCTCAGAGCAGAGGGCAGGCCAGCAGCTCATGCCAGGGTAGGCAAGGCCTGTAGCCCTCAGAGCCTGCAGCAGAACATAGAGCACACTCAGCCCACTGTTTCCCATGGATCCCTAGAGCCCCAGCACTGCTGAGATAGTCCCCAGGCCTCAGTCCCACCCCCAGACACACACACGCACACACACACACAGAACTCTTGTCGCCCAGTCTAAGCCAGCTCACCCGGCAGGAGCACATTCCTGCAGGCCCCGGGGATGCTGGTGTTTCAGGATTGTGTCGAGTCCACTGCAGAGGTTTCCAGAAGAGCCGACAAGAGGCGGACAGGGCGGTGGACAGGGCGGAGCTGCACTCACAGGGGTGGGCGCAGCCGTCCTGGGAGCAGGGGTCTTGGCTGAGGACCCCGGGCCCTTCTGCTTTGAGCTGTGGGTCTGAGGGGCCTCCGTGCGGGGCTGGCCCTGGGAACTGTGGTCACTTGAAGCCCACTCCTCCTGCTGATGTCCACCCAGGGACAGGCCTCCTCCAGCAGCTGGCCTCAGAGAGACAGCCGTGTGCCCAGACCCACAGGTCGCGTGCTTCTGCTCTATACAGCCTTCATGGGAGACTGGGGTCTCTCCAGCCAGGGCACCAACAAGCGCCCAGACCCATTCCTGGCCCTCGTGTTCATAAAATCCTTGTGGCTTCAAATATTTTTCAGACTTTAGTCGTGGTGGTTGTTGGAAAGGGCCAGCTTCCTGCTGCAATGATCCCTGAATCCTCTCCCCAAGCTCTGCAGGCCTGGTCTGATAGGTCACCCACAGTGGCGTCTCCTTGAACTTAAGAGCAGGCTGCAGGCCAGGCGCGGTGGCTCAAGCCTGTAATCCCAGCACTTTGGGAGGCCGAGGCGGGTGGATCACCTGAGGTCGGGAGTCCGAGACCAGCCTGGCCAACATGGTGAAACCCTGTCTCTACTAAAAATACAAAAATTAGCCAGGCGTGGTGGTAGGTGCCTGTAATCTCAGCTACTCGGGAGGCTGAAGCAGGAGAATATTGAAACCAGGAGGTGGAGGTGACAGTGAGCCAAGATCACACCACTGCACTCCAGTCTGGGCAACAGAGCGAGAATCTGTCTCAAAAAAAAAAAAAAGAAAGAAAGAACCGGCTGCAGAGGGCCCTGGGTTGGAAAGAGGGGGCATGTGGTGGCCCCTGCAGGGGGTGACATCCTGCGGGGGTGACATCTGCCTTCTAGGGAATAAGACCCTGAAGCAGGCAGGTGGGCGAGGTGGGGAGGCCTCACAGGGTTGGGAGCAAAGGCTCCAATCCCAACCACTGAGGTGCTGGTCTGGCTTCTGCCGTGTATCAACTGGTGACCTTGGGCCTGCCTCAGTTTCCCCATCTACATAGCCCTCCTCCTGCCCGGACCTTGTTGGGATTAGCCAAGTTGACACCTGACAAACACCTGGGCACACTCAGCGGAGTGAATCGTCCACAAATGGTACCCCACAGCCCCCCATACTGCGGGTGTTTCCATCTTTGCTTTGCCCGCCGGGAAGCTCTGTGTGGAGTGTGACCCACCCTGGCACTGGCTGCCTCTTTAGGGTTCTGGGCACTCTCTGAACTTTGTAGTTTCTTTGGCATTTTTTTTCTTTCCTTGTTTGCTCTTTATTAATTTTTTCATAATTTTATTTCTCAGACATAATTCACATAAGAGTCACCATTTTAAAATGGACGGCTCAATGATTTTAGCACGCCCACTAAATGTGCTGGAATTGTGTAACCATTATCACCATCGATTTTATTTCATTTTTAATTTTTGTGGATACACAGTAGGTATATATATTTATGGGGCACATGAGATGTTTGGATGCCAGCATGTGGTGCGAACTAAGCATGATCCGTTTTAGAACATTTTATCACCTCCCAAAAGAAATCACCTAACCTTGGCCAGGCACGGTGACTCACGCCTGTTATCCCAGCACTTTGGGAGGCCGAGGCGGGCGGATCATGAGACCATCCTGGCTAACGCAGTGAAACCCCGTCTCTACTAAAAACACACAAAAAATTAGCTGGGCGTGGTGGCGGGTGCCTGTAGTCCCAGCTACTGGGGAGGCTGAGGCAGGAGAATGGAGTGAACCCGGGAGGCGGAGCTTGCAGTGAGCCGAGATTGCGCCACTGCACTCCAGCCTGGGCGACAGAGCGAGACTCCGTCTCAAAATAAAAAAAAAATCATAAAAAATAAAAACAAAGAAAGAAATCACTCAACCTTTAGACATCAGTATTTCCGGATCCTCCCACTCCTGATTCCCTCAGCCCTAGACAAACACCAATCTGTTTTCTGTCGCTGCAGGTTTGCCTATTCAAGACATTTCACATAAATGGGATCACACGATGCGGGGCCTTTTGTGTCTGGCTTCTCCCACTGAACTCATGTTTTTAAGGTTCATCCATCCGGTAGCAAGGGTCAGAATCTCTTTCCTCTGTGAGGCTAGTGTTCCGCTGCGTGGGTGAACTGTCCCCCATCTATCCATTCAATTGTTAGTGGATGTTTGGGTGGCTTTCATTTTTTTTTTTTTTTTGGCTATTGTGAATAGTACTATGAACATCCATATACAAATGTGTGTGTGGACATATATTTTCAGTTATCTTGGGTAGATGGCTAGGAACGGAATTGCCAGGTCATGTGCTAATTCTAGGTTCCGACTTTTGAGGAACCATTAAATTGTTTTCCAAACTGGCTGCCTCATTCTCCATTCCTGCCAGCAGTGCGTGAAGACTTGTTTCTCCGCATCCTCACCAACACCTACAGCCTGGTTTTCCTGACATAAGCATCCTCATGGGTGTGAGGTGGCCTCTCATCGTGGCTTTGATTTGGGTTTCCCGGGTGGCTGGTGACACGGAGCATCTTTTCACGTGCTTGTTGGCCACAGGTGTATCTTCTTTGAGAAATGTCTGTTTCGATCCTTTGCTATTTTAAATTAGGTGATTTGTCTTTTTATTTTATTTTTTTTCTTTTTTCCTTTTTTCTTTTTTTGAGACAGAGTTTCGCTCTTGTTGCCCAGGCTGGAGTGCAATGGCACCATCTCAGCTCACTGCAGCCTCCACCTACCTGGTTCAAGCAATTCTCCTGCCCCAGCCTCTCGAGTAGCTGGGATTACAGATGCCCGCCGCCACGCCCGGCTAATTTTTATATTTTTAGTACAGATGGGGTTTCGCCACGTTGGCCGGGCTGGTCTCAAACTCCTGACCTCAGGTGATCCACCAGCCTCGGCCTCCCAAAGAGCTGGGATGACAGGTGTGAGCCACCGCAACCGGCCTTTATTGTTGACTTGTAAGGGCTCTTGATGTATTATGGATATTATATATCCCCTTATCAGATAAATGACTTGCAAATATTCCCCCCATTTGGTGGGTTGTCTTTTTACTTTCTCGATGGTGGCCTGTGAGACACAAAAAGTCTTTAACTTCAAATATCTCTCTACATTTTGTGTGCCTTTTGTTGCTTTTGGTGTCCTTATTTATTTTCTTTTTTTGAGACAGGGTCTCCCTTTGTCACTCCCCCAGCTAGAGTGCGGTGGCGTCATCACCGCTCTCTGCAGCCCCAACCTCCCTGGGCTCAGCCATCCTCCTGCCCCAGCCACCTGGGTAGTCAGGGCTCCAGGTGCACGCCACCACACCCGGCTAATGTTTGTATTTCTTGTAGTGATGGGGTCTCGCTATGTTGCCCAGGTTGGTCTCAAACTCCTGGGCTCAAACAACCGTGCCTTGGCCTCCCAATGTGCTGGGATTACCGGTGTGAGCCACTGTGCCTGGCCTTTATTCATTTCTATGTGGCTGAACACATTTGGTATGGATCCCAGGCCCTTGGTGAGCTGGGTGGGTGCAGACACACATGTGTGGATGGAGCCCAGGCCCTTGGTGAGCTGGGTGAGTGCAGACACACATGCGTGGATGGAGCCCAGGCCCTTGGTGAGCTGGGTGGGTGCAGACACACATGCGTGGATGTGGGCATGGGCAGGCACAGGTGTGGTGGGAAGAGTGTGCCCAGCGTTAGGTGTCAGGGGAGCTCAGGAAGATTGAGGCAGTCAGGGAGGACTTCCTGATGGAGGAGCCTGGTCCTTTGAAATGTGGGGTGGGGACCTCGCCCCACATTCAGTCTGGTTCGGGGGTGGGGCCCCCAGCCCCCCTCACATTGGGGGTGTGTTCCCCTCCTCCTTTTGGAGCCCAGCCCCAGGTTGCAGGAACAGTGAGCAGCGAGACCACAGGGCTGGAAGCCCACGGGGTAATTAATTTTGACTTACAGGAGCTGTCTTAAATTGGATAGAAACTGGCGAAAATAGGATTAAGAGGGAAGCTGAGCCAAGAGCAAACAGAAGGAAAACTCCCCGAGAGCCGGGCGCCTGGCGGGGCTCTCGGAGCCGCTGAGCGGGAAGAGGCACAGGACATTGCTGGGCGATCGCGTCATGTCCGAAGGCGGCCTCCCCGTGCCACCCCACGGGAGCGGCGGCCGCGCTGGCTGGGAAGATGGGAACGCGGCACTCTGCCCTCCCTGCAGCTGGCTTATCTGCGCTGAGCTCACTCGATTCTGAGGATTAATTTGGAAACAATTAAAATTCTGTGCAAAACAAGCAGTGGGCTGGGCCGGCCAGCAGGCTGGCACGCACGGAGCCCTTTCATCACCAGCGCAGAAATCTAATTAGTGTGGGATTAAGCCGGCCACAAACCAGCGAGCCGGGAAGGCTCCGGCAAGGGCAGATGAAGCCCCGGGGCGAGGAGCGCCGTACAGCACGGGTGTCCGGCCGGCAGCAGCCCCGGCCCTGGCCCTGCGCTGGCGTCTCGGCTGAGTCGAGCCGGAAGGCCACCCCCACAGGCGCTGTCCTGACCCCCCGCCGTCCGGTCACCCCCAGCCCACGGGCCCTTTCCCGTCCACGTGCTAGGAAATGGCAAACCCATCAGAGCCCTGAGGGAAGGCAGCGGAGGGCGCAGGCGCCTGCAGGCCTCGCGCACGGGGACCCCACTTCGCAGCTGGGCTTTGCGGCTCCTAAATATGCCTGGGACCTGTCCCGTTGACTTTCTCTTTCGAAGTGCCTTTGAGTGTCTGGCAGCCGTGACTTTCTATCGGGCCGCCTCTCTGGCCGGCTTCCTGCTGCAATGATCGCTGAAGCCTCTCCCCAAGCTCTACAGGCGTGGTCTGTTGGGGTCAGATGCATGAGGCATGTGGCTGATAGCGCGGGGTGCATGTGGCTGTTTTGCTGGTGTCTGGAGGCGCTGGGTTTGGCCGGGACACGGTCGAGAACTCCCCGTCGGGCCCTCAGGTAGCAGAGGTGACAGCCCTGTGGGTTCGCCTGTTGGCCAGATATGTGAGGACCACTGGCTGCAGTGGAGCTGACTCCACGCCTTGTAAGCTACCCCTTCTGGGTTCTGCAGGGCACAGCCAGAGGGGGGGCAGGGCAGCTGTCTGCAGAAGGTCCCTCCAGGCCACCTCTGGGGCAGTAGCTGGCTTCCCAGTGTCCCAGGAGCCAGCAGACCCCTCCCAGAAAAACGCATTCCCGCAGCCCCTCTCCACCTGCAGGACCCGTTCTGGCTGTGCCCTCGGGCCCCAGAATAACAAACCCTTTGGGTGCTACCGGGCACAAGGACGATTCTCTGGGGGCATCTGCAGCTCCCTGGCAGCTCTGTGCGGTCCTGGTGCACAGGGAGGGGTGTGAGTGCGTGTTGCTCTCAGGGCGGGTGGGAGGGGAGGACCAGGCAGGCTCAGGGGCCTGAGGGCAGCAGCCCTGGGGGGGCCTTTTGTAGCACGAGGGTGGAGGGAGGGCAGGCGGTGGGGAGGCTCACCCCACCCATGGCAGGGGGAAAGCCTCAGGGGGAGACCAGACTTCTCACCTCCCTTCTGTCACCTCCGGTCACCCCACAAAGCCAGTGGGCACCAGGGCCTGCGGACGTCCTGGGGACAGGACTGGGGGTGGCAGATGCTACCTGAGCTAATGAGTTTGACCTCTGGCCCTGGCTCCAGCCTGATGAGGGGTCACCCTAGGAGGGGTTTTTGATCGGCTCCGTGCGAACGTCCATTATTCCTTGGCTGTTTGAAGCCAGACACGGCCCAGCTGGGTAGGGGCAGGGGGCAACCCCGTCCCAGCTCACGCCAGGGGCTGATAGATAAGCAAGGCCGCAGCCCACTCCCAGCAGGCAGGCGGGGCGCTGGGAAGCATGGCGTCCACCCCTGCGGATGCTGCCCCCAAGTCGGGAGGGGGACCCAGGTGGAGGCGGGAGCCGGCCTCAGGGAGGAGAAGTGATTCGCCCGAGTCACACGGCGGACAGGGGTTGTGCCTGCACCCGCCTCCCCTGGCCTTGCCCCCATGGCCTGTGTCCCCACACCCAGGAAGAAAACCCGGGCTATGCTGTCGAGACCCCCTGGAGACCCCCCTCTCACCCCTGAGCCCGGGAGCTGGGAGTTCCCGGAATTTGCTTCCAAGGCGTCTGTTCCCAAGGCCCACGGGGAACTCGGGAGCAAAGGCCTGCAGCCCTCACCCCGCCGTGACCCTTGCCGGGGGTTTCGAGGTATCTGAGCAAACTTCTGCTTCTGCAAATTCCCCGGCAAAGGAGGGACGTGGGGGTTTCCTAGCTGGAATGATGCACTCGGCTGCGGAGGTGGCCCTGCTTGCGTGGTGGGGCTGCCGTGGAGGGTGCGGCAGGGGTGCAGGGCCGTGGTCCGGGTGGAGTAGGGCCTGCCTTGGGCTGGCGGCAGTGCTTGCACACAGAGGGAGGACGAGGAGAGCCGAGGACGGGCCACAGGAGGACTCTGGGGTCCACCTGCCTTTGAGCCGTCCCCACTCTGGCCAGCGGCCCGGCCCTTCCTGGCCCAGGTCCTGGTATTGGGCTCATAGTGGCTTCCACCCCTTGGCTGGGTCCTGGACCCCGTCAGCAGCTTGTTCACCCCAGGTCTCCGTCCTTCCCTAGGGAGCGGGAGTCTTCACACGTCCCCTGGGGGTCTGGCACCTCAAGTATAAGCACCCCCTGCGATCGGCCCCTCCCACACCCCAGCGCGGGCCCAGCTGCTCCTGCACCCCCTGGCGCCTGTTCCTGTCCCCTCCCCAGCTGAGGTGGGGACCTGTACTTGTACAGAGCCCCTGGGCACGTGTGGCCGGACCGTGAGGGCTGCAGGCTCGGAGTCCAGCTGTCAGGGACCCCGGCGAAGCAAAAGCTGGTTTTTCTTTTCTGAGGAGCTGGCCAGGGCTGGCTGACCAGGGGAGGAAGGCCTGAGTGCTGCTCTGTGGGACCTGCAGCTGGGGGCCGTCTGGTCCTCTCACCGGGGAGGCAGCCAGGTGGGGCCCCTCCTGGGGGCTGGATGAAGGAGCCGATCCCACTTCCTGATTTGCCTGGAAAACACCCTTGGAATCCTCTTGGCCAGCAGCCGAGCTACCTCTGCAAGAGCTTCCTTCCGCTTCCAGCGTGATGGGCCCACCCAGTCCACCCAGGCATACAGGCGGAATCCCTGGGGCAACGCCTGGTGCCCCTGAGAAGCTGCGTCTCCCTGTCGGAGTGTCCAGACAGAGCTGGGACCGGCTGACGACCCGGGTGCCTGAGGCCAGGACACGCTGGTTCCTGCTTCCTGGGGAAAGACAGCGTGACTGGGGGAGCCCCACCTGAGGGAGTCTGGGTCTGACGGGTGCCTCAGGGGTCCCCTGTCTGCACTCAGCCCGGGCCCTGCAGCAGGGGGTGGAGGCCTTTGACGGGGCGCACCGGCTGCCAAGTCTCACGTAGGCATGGAGGCTCAGGTTCGGGTCGCCTCCTGGGCCTGGTGGGTGAGCCGCGTGGAGAGTCTTGGGTCCCGGTCCAAGCACGGGCAGAGGGCTGGGTGCGGTGGGGCTGCCGGGGGCTGCACGCTGAGCGGCACCAGCTGAGGCTTGGTGGGGAGTGACGAAGAGCAGGCCACGCCCTCCCCCCCGTGCCTCAGTTTCCTGGTCCCCACGGAGTCCTTCCTGTCGCAATGCAGGGAAGTCCCCCTGAACTGAGTCCATTCCCGACACAGGGGCCAGGAGCGGGGGTGGTTGGAACCCGCCTCCAAGCTGGTGTCCTCGGCAGACCCCTTCCCGCTCCTCCGAGTCCCAGCACCTACGTCCGTGAAGTGGGCAGAGTAGAAACCACTACTCGGGCCTCGCGGAGCAGAGTGGGGGCACTGGGTGGGGCGGGGGGCACGGGGCGGGCCGGGCCTAGGGAGGGGTCAGGGCGCCGCACCACTGGTGTTACGAATATTAATTAGCAGGCAAAGAAGACCTGGCTGGGAAAACCCTGGGTCCAAGTCCCAGCCCCACGATACCGGGCTGGGGAGACCCTGGGGCAGCGTCCAGGCCTCTGTGCCTCAGTTTCCCGTCTGTGAAAGGCAGGGGAAGCGTCAGGGCCAGGGCAGGAGAAAGGATCTTCGACATCAAATCGGCTCCCCTGGTCCCTCAGGTCACAGCAAGACGCCGCAGCTTCCAGTAAGAAAGGCCTTTGCTGGTTGGAGTTACGGCCCCTCCAGAGAAGTCGGGGTTGGGGCTCCTGGCACCCATGTGGCTGGTGTGGGCTTTTGCTCTGAGGTCTGCTGGACAGGTTTAGGAGGCGGTCGGTTGCATGTTTAGGCTGGCGCTGCCAGGCACGTTCTCCACCCACGTCTATCTCCAGAGCACAATCTCCCCGCGTCCCAGGGTCCTGGCTCCTTCTCCTCTTCCGGGTGGCGTCCCCTTGGTTGGGTGGCCCTTGAGGGAGGCAGCCTCGGAGGAAGGTGCGTCTGGGACCCAGCTGGGGTGGTCAGAAATCTCCAAGTCCCTGGAGCTAATCCTAGTCTCAGGATCTAAGTCCTCCCGGCTCCAAAGCGTAGGTTCCTCTAACCATGAACAGAGGCTGAAAAGAGCACCTGACTTTCCCAAGCCTGGCTGTCCGGCCAGTCCACTCTGGCCATGGCAGCAGGAGGAGGGCCCTCGGGGTTCAGGCCCTCCAGGCACCCCATGCATGACAAACCGTCACACTTGTGAAGTCGGAGTGGGGAAGCCCCCTCCCTGCCCTTTCAGGCAAGGGTGACCCTGAATAATGGTCTGTTCCTCCATGCCTCAGTTTCCTTGTCTGTAAAGGAGGCGACATCTACAATCTAAAAGGACTGTGGGAATGTCAGCACAGTCAGCTCCTGCCCCGGGCTGGCCCCCACCAGCAGCCGCACACGTTGTTGGGGGTCGGGGACGTGGTAATTCCTCAAGGCCTTCATGTTCTGGGGGTCCGGCTGCGGGCTCAGAGGAGGCAATGCATGGCTGCCAGCCATTGTCGGTGGAGACGTGGCTCTGGCCTGACTCCCACCGCTGCCCCTTCTTTGCTCCCTGGCAGGGCCCCGGGAGAGGAGCGGGCACCACCCGATAGGTGACATTGTCCCGTCACAGGTGGGGCTCAGCTGACAGTGGCTCCCAGGCCTGGACGCCTGATATCCCTGAGAAGGTTGCCTTTGCCCTGTCGTCACCATGGAGATGGCCACTGCTCAGCACAGAAGGCACTCAGGGAGGGGACAGCGAGGGCAGATGGGGCGGGCCAAGGACGCAGCCAGTCCCCACGCCGGGCCCTGCACCACGGCAGCTAGCGCGGCCGGTGCTTATTCCACCCCAGAAGATCCGGAATGTTTCCTCCCATGCTTCCCCAAAAACTTACAGCCCATTCTGTTTAGAAAACCACACACAAGGCCAGGCACGGTGGCTCATACCTGTAATCCCAGCACTTTGGGAGGCCGAGGTGGGCGTATTGCCTGAGGTCAGGAGTTTGAGACCAGCCTGGCCAACATGGTGAAACCTCCCTGTCTCTACTGAAAATACAAAAATTAGCCGGGCGTGGTGGCGGGCGCCTGTAATTCCAGCTACTTGGGAGGCTGAGGCAGGAGAATTGCTTGAACCTGGGAGGCGGAGCGTGCAGTGAGCCGAGATTGCGCCACTGCACTCCAGCCTGGGCGACAGAGCGAGACTCCATCTAAAAAAAAAAAAAAAAAAAAAAACTATACTTGAGTAGCCGGTTAGAAAACATCTCTGGAGGGAGCACCCTTTCTTTCTTCTTGGAAGCCAGAGCCTTTGACTCTTCCTGGCTGCAACACAATCTCTTCAAGGTACTGCCGGGGTCAGCCATCGCCTGCTGAGGCTTGGGCCGGAGCCCCATCCTGCCTGGGTGTTCACACGGCTCCAGCTCCACTGTGATGCTGAGACCCGGGAACGTGGCCGGCCGGCAACTCCGTGAAGTGCCAAACGCAAAAGGACATACGGCGGCAGCCATCGTCCCTCAGTATCCGTGAGGGGTCGTTCCAAACCCCAGAGGACACCAGGGTCCGCGGGTGCTGAGGTCCCCGGCTTGGAGGGTGCTGAGGTCCCCGGCTTGGAGGGTGCTGAGGTCCCCGGCTTGGAGGGTGCTGAGGTCCCCGGCTTGGAGGGTGCTGAGGTCCCCGGCGTGGAGGGTGCTGAGGTCCCCGGCTTGGAGGGTGCTGAGGTCCCAGGTGTGGAGGGTGCTGAGGTCCCCGGCTTGGAGGGTGCTGAGGTCCCTGGTGTGGAGGGTGCTGAGGTCCCCGGCTTGGAGGGTGCTGAGGTCCCAGGTGTGGAGGATGCTGAGGTCCCCGGCTTGGAGGGTGCTGAGGTCCCCGGTGTGGAGGGTGCTGAGGTCCCCGGCTTGGAGGGTGCTGAGGTCCCCGGTGTGGAGGGTGCTGAGGTCCCCGGTGTGGAGGGTGCTGAGGTCCCTGGTGTGGAGGGTGCTGAGGTCCCTGGTGTGAAGGGTGCTGAGGTCCCTGATGTGGAGGGTGCTGAGGTCCCTGGTGTGGAGCGTGCGGTGTCCGCACATGAAACAGGGTGTAACTTTACATCATCTGCAGTCCCTGCTGACCCCAATGCCAGGCACACGCGCAGAAGCCGTTCTCACACCGTGTGGCTTGGGGAAGAGCAACAACAAAAATGTCTGTCCGTGTTCAGCACAGACGCAGCCCTCCACTAAAAGATATATTTTCCATCTGAGGTTGGTTGAATCCCCAAAAGTGGAGTTCACGGACGCGGCCGGCTGGCTATATCATGCAGCCATAAAAGGGAAAGACGTACAGACACCCCACAGATGAGTCCCGGAAACACGGCGCACGATGACACGAGCCAGACACAAAAGGACGCACATTGTGACTCCATTTACACGACAGGTGCAGAGAAGGAAAGTCCGGAGACAGAACGGAGCCCATTGGTTGGCGGGGGCTGGGGAGTGGTGGGAGTGCCTGGTGGTTTGGGGGGGACTCCCTTTGCGCTGATAAAAATGTTCTGAAAGCGACAGTGAAGACGTTCGCACAGCCCTGCGAATACGGCAAAGGCCCCTCGAGCTGCGTGCTTCCGTGGCTGGGTGGCGTGCTGTGTGAATCACATCTCAGTAGAGCTGTTAGGTAAAGAATGTAAGCATCTCATTCATTATTTTTATATTGACTGCACGCTGCCACGATAATATTGTGGATAAACTGGGTGAAGTGAAATATTAGCATGAATTTGAATTTCACGTCTTCTATTTCACCTTCTTCGCTGTGGACACCAGAACGTTCGCAGTTGCACATGTAGCTCGGATTCGTGGCTGGAGTTCTGTTGCTGGAGCTGCTCCAGGCCCTGACAGCGCTCAGGCGGTGTGGGGAGCTCCCCTGTTGCCGTGGTGACAGGCCCCAGCCCCGCAGGCTGCCAGCAACCCATAGGCTGGAGTCTGTCTGCAAGGCAGTGGTAAGGGGGTCCTGCCCGGTGGGCCAAGGACACAGCCGGTCCCCACGCCAGGTCCCCCGCACCGCGGCAGCTAACGGGGCCGGTTCAGCCCTCATGCAGCAGTGGGGGCGTCTTCTGTTCTGCTTGCCAGGTGGGCATGGCTGGGTGCTGCTGTGTGCCAGGGTCCTCACCCCAGTGTGCCTGTGGGACGTGAGCGTGTTCGGAAGCGGGGCCTTGGCAGGTGTAATTGGCAGCATTAAGGTTATATTGGCTGAGAGTGGGCGTGGATCCAGTGAGTGGGTCCTTAGGAGAAAAGGAGGTGACACAGGTCCAGGGAGGCCGAGCACAGATGGAGGCAGAGACTGGAGCGAGGTGGCCACCACCAGGACCGCCCAGGACAGCGGCAGCCGCCAGAAACCAGGAGAGGCAGGAGGACACCCAAGGATCCCCACAGGACCCACAGAGCGGCCGACACTGTGGCTTTGACTTCCAGTCTCTGGAGCTGCGAGAGCAGGGATTTGTGTGGTTTGAGGCCGCCCAGCGTGCGGTCATTTGCCACAGCAGCCCTAAGAAAGGAATGCGCCTCTGCCTGGAGATGCTGCCTGGGCAGGGCTGGAACAACCTCTCAGGCCACGTGCCGCCCTCAGTCCAGACCGCTGGAGCTCACTAATCCCGAACCATGTGGCACGGCTCTCTGCACCCGCATACCCTGAATAACTCACCGGCCTGGGGACCTGCCACAGTCTTGTCTCCTACCTGACCATGGAGGTTCTGGGAGGCCCAGAGACCTGCCCAAAGACCCCGTGGGGGAGACGGGGCTGGGGGCTGAGCTGGATGAACCCTCACACACACTGAGAATCCTCGGCAGGGAGATCACAGAAAGTCTCCCTTTGTTCACATTCTGGGAACGCGTTACAGTGAACACGGATGCAAATTTATTTCTGAGATCAACGCCTGCCTCAGGGAACAGTTGTTCCCGTGCTATTTTTTACCCCCGTGGGCTGCGAGTTCTGGAACGTTCCAAACGACAGTGACAACGGTGACGGTGGTGGGGGCAGGGAGGGTGGCGTCCTTCCGTCCCTAAGCGCACGCGGGCCGGGCGCTGCTGACCACATCACCGTAGTGAATGACTTCTTTCTCACGGCGGCTGGCGTCCTATTGGCTATTAAATATAATCATTACAATAATTATTAAATATAAGAATGTCATATTGTATTATATTCTTTTACGGATGGGCAAGGTGAGGACCTTGGGCCAGGCCCTTCCTGAAGGCCAGAGACCCCGGCATGCCCTCGGGGGAGGAGGGAGGTGGGGCCGGTTGGTCTGGGGCCCCGCTGGCCGGAGCAGGCCCGGCCACTGGACACGGAGCGGCAGAGGCAGGCGTGGTGCAGCCGAGGGTCCCAGGGGGTCCTGTGGGCCCCACCTCCCACAGGAGCAGCAGGTGCCTCCTTCCCACGGTGGAAACGATGGAGGATTCCCATGGATGAAAGGAGAAAAAGGACAAGATCCTTCTGTGGCTGCTTGAGTCCTGTTGGGAGTTTGGTTTCTCTGTGCTGATGTTTCCCTTTTCGTGAAGTCCCATCCCCAGCCCGGCTCATGTGAAGGGAGCTGCTGTGATCGGGGTCTGTGCTTGGCCGTCAGCTCCTCAGGGCACACGCCCACACGCATGGTGACTCAGCGCGGCTGTCTGAGGAGCCCTACACGGGTCCCACAGCGGGTGAACATTTCCCCGGAGCCGTGTACCCCAACACTGGCTGGGGACCTCCACCCCCACGCCCCACACTCTCCTGCTTGGATGGAAGCTCTGGCCCCTCCAGGATACCTCACTGAGCTCCTTTCTCCCAGCAACCATGGAGCAAGAGCAGGAGGGTCTGGGGGCCCCTGAGAGACTGCCGGACACCATGTCCAAGACCCTGCCCTGGGACCAGCTCATATGAGGCGAGGCTGAGAAGCCGGTGTGGCTGACGGGAGCGGGCGCTGGGACTGAGTCTCGGGGACCTGGGGACACCTTGCTGCCATCCTGCTCCTGCATGGCACCTGGGACCTGCCGGAAGGCTCAGCTTCCTGACCGCAGGGCGGGGACGTGGACTGTGCCCATGGGGCGGCCGAGGAGGACGGAGGGGAACCCGCCCTGACCTCAGTGCTGCCGGCCCTGCTCTCACCATTTCCTCACGTTCCTGTCGGGGCGGGCGGCTGGTTTGCAGAGCCTCCCACCTGGGAGGGGCGGCCCCTCGACTGTCTGCCCGACGGAAAACAGATGGCCCCTCTTCCTGCAGAGCCTGGGACCGGGGTCCTGGGATGCTCTGTGCGGGTGTGGGGGGCCGGGGCCACGTTCCAACATGCACCGCTGCTTCCCCTCAGCCCAGCGCCGTGCAGCCCCGGGAGGACGTCTGCAGACACTGCCGCCTGCCAGACACTGCCCCTGCCCCTGCCCCAGCCCATCCGGACGGGCCTCTGGAGGCCTTGGCCCCCTTCCCCAGAGTGGAGCCCCCAGCCCCACCCATCCTCTTGCTCACCACTGGGAGGGTGGACGTGGCTGTTTCCGGTCACCAGGGAGGCTGACTCCGGACTCTGGTTCACTGTCCAAAGACTCTCCTGGCCGTCCCCTCTGGGGCCTGCAGCTGCTTCCCCAACCCCCCGGCGCTGAGCACGGCTGCTGGGGTCCCAGGGCTCACCCCACTCCGCCTGCTCCCTTCCGCGGGCACTGCTCAATTCTCAAGCCCCGACTGGGGGCTCCCTGCTGCCGGGCTGCACGGGGAGTGAGGCTGCGGGGCTGCGGGAGTCCTGCCCACTCTCCCCCTACCCCGAGCTTGGCAGCCCACTACCTGCCACGTGCATCAACTCCAGTCCAGCCTTGGGACCCCGGGGCCACCACCTCCCTCCAGCCTGTGCACCCAGGCCCAGTAGACGCTGCCTGTTCTCCAGACGTTGCCCACGGTAGGCTGGCTTGAGGCCTCAGCGCACCAACTCTCCCAGGGTGCTGTGCTGAGCCCCCAACATCCACATCCACACAGAACCTTAGAACACAGCCTAGTGCGGAGGTGGGGTATTCGCAGATGTAATCAAGGCAGGGGCGCGCACGCAGGGTTCAGGGTGGCCCCAACTCCAAGGACTTGTCTCTATAAGAAGTGGAGAGAGGCCAGGCTCTCCTGGGTGTGAGCAGTGGCTCACACCTGTAATCCCAGCACTTTGGGAGGCCGAGGCGGGCGGATCACGAGGTCAGGAGATCAAGACCAGCCCGACAAACATGGTGAAACCCCGTCTCTACTAAAATGCAAAAAAATTAGCCGGGCGTGGTGGCACCTGCCTGTAATCCCAGCTACTTGGGAGGCTGAGGCAGAAGAAGTGTTTGAACCTGGGAGGCAGAGCTTGCAGTGAGCCAAGATCATGCCACTGCACTCCATCCTGGGCGACAGAGTGAGACTCCGTCTCAAAAAAAAAAAAAAAAAAAAAAAGGAAGAGAGAGAGAAAGGCAGATGCTGGCCGAGGACCCCTGAGCGATGAGCGTGATTCCTGGACACAGGCGGTGCCCAAAGCTGGAAGCCGTAGGAGGTGTCCTCCCCAGAGCCTCGGAGCAGCACTTGATTTGGGGTGTCTGGCCCCCAGCGCTGAGAGAGAACGCATTTCTGGCATCTCAAGGCATCCTGTCGTGGGGCGTGCTCCCTGCAGCCCCGGGAGAGATGCGTGGCCCGGCCACTCGGCTCCGGGTCTGTCCCCAAGGCTGGCCCTGCGCACAGACGCAGCACGGCACAGCCCACTGGGCTTGAACGCGGGTCACGCCACGGCTGGGATCCTCCACGTGCATGAGCTCCCGCATCTGTAAAGTGGGGGTGGGGGAGGGGCCCAGACTGGGGCCACGGGAGGGCTCAGGGCTGCTGCCGGCTCTGGCGGGCGTCTCTCGCCACAGACCCCGCCCCCGCCGTGTCAGTGTGGCCTCCCTGGAGGCCTGTCCTTGAGCGGAGCCAGCTCCCGGCCTGAGCACCCCGCCATGAGGCCCCCTGACAGCCCGCTCCCTGGCGGCCGCTGC
This sequence comes from Homo sapiens, assembly GCF_000001405.40. Taxonomy (NCBI): domain Eukaryota; kingdom Metazoa; phylum Chordata; class Mammalia; order Primates; family Hominidae; genus Homo; species Homo sapiens. The sequence continues at coordinate 1,030,647 of NC_000016.10, forward strand.
GCCTCCTGTTTAAATTGCCACCTGGTCGGGTTCCCACTGCCTCCTCCGCCCCCCCGTGGCTCCCCTCCGGCTTGGCAAGGCGGGCGCCCTCCTGGTTCTGGGCTCTCTTTCCAGTGGGTGTGGGCCGGCTGGAAAATGACCTCAGAGGGCGGGGTGGCTAACGGGCCTGGGGAGCTCAGGGGGCTCCGGGGCGTGGGTTCCCACACCATGGGCTTGCTCTCTGAGCTCTGTGCCTGGCACCCTCAGGGATCCATGTTGTGGGGGCACCCGAGGGCCTGGCGCATCACAAGGCCCCAGCATCGCCACTGCCCGATGCTGCTTGCGCCTGGCTCTGCTGCCCGGCGTGTGTTGTGGACCTGTCTGGAGGGCATGAGCCGGGGCTGGCAGTGGGCTCTGTTCCCCCAACCTGGACCCGAGAGCTGGCCGGAGGGGGCCTGGGGCTGCCCACCATGCAGGCCACACTGGCAGGACTCAGCCAGGACCTGGGTGTGGGGGCTTGGCTTTCGCCACCGGGGCTCGGCTTTCCCCACCGGGGCTCAGCGAGGGTGTCTGTGGTCCCTTAGGCCAGATGGACAGTGGGCTCAGAGGCTGCGATCCCACTGCAGGGTGGGAGACAGTGGCTTCCCGTTAACAGGATAACAATATTGGTAACAGTGGCCTCTGAGTCAGGGACCTGCCAGGCAACTGCTCCTCCCCAAGGCATGTAGACCAAGGGAAGCTGGGGGGCCCCTGATGGGGGCTCAGAGGAGGGGTGAGGCCTCCATCCACCATGGCCATCGGAGGGCGAGACTGGTCACCTGGCAGAGTCTGGGACACTGTTCCTTGTCAGGTGGGAGCCAGGGCTGGAGCCCTGATGCTGCTGAGACAACTTCAGGGGATCCCTGTCTCCCCCACCCCAGTCTCCCGAAGAGCCCACCTCCCTGGAGACTGCCCAGGGCTCAGCAGGGCAGGGAGGGGAGTTGCCATCTTGGGCACCGGCCAGGTGCTGGACTCAGGGGGAGCTTCCAGGCTCTGCCTCTGCCGGTTACTGCCTCTACCATACAGATGGGGAAACTGAAGCTCAGGGAGGTCAGGTGCCCAGCCTCAGCTACCCAATGCAGCGCTCGGTGGGCAGTGTGGGGCTGACCACCCGCCCTGGATTGCGGGCACAGCGGCCCCCACACCGGCTGCCGGGGCTGCACAGGCTCTGGTGGGCTTTAGGGTGGCAAACATGCCCAGGTTGGGGCCTACACCCCCCAGGTTGAGGGAGTGGCTCCCTGGGGTGGCTGCCGCCCATCCCGGCGTTTCTGGGCTTGTGGACGTGTCGCCCCAGCCCTGCCGGTCTTCACGCGGCCTTCTCTGTGTCTGCATCTTTCCCACCGCTGTCTCTTACAAGGTCACCCTGTGAGGATTTGGGGCCCACCCAATCCAGTGTGGTTTCATCTAGTTATCTTTAATGTACCCACATCGGCAAAGACCCTTTCCCCAAACAACGCTACCTTCACAGTTTCTGGATGACGTACCTTTTGGGGGCCACCCTTCAGCCCAGGGCCACCGGGCACACAGGCAGGGCCCAGGGATGACCTCTAGCTGACGGAAACTGGAGTCCACCCTGACTTTCCAGATGGACTGGACTGCTGCCCATCATCCTCAGCATCAGGGGATGGAGGTGGCTGCCCCAAACTCCAAATCCTTGCCAGGAAGAGGCCAGAGCCAGCATTTCGCTTACATGGGATGTGCCCTGTAGAACCACCCCCCAGGTCCAAGGGCAGAGCCAGGGTGATTCCCCCGGGACCAGTCCAGTGACGGCCAAGGACTGGCTCACTCCCAGGCTGGGGATTCCGCCCCAGACAACCCCACATCCCAGGGAAAGGAGCTGAAGTCTTGCCCTCCCAGACACCATGCCCTGTTAACTGTTTATCCACCCACCCATCCGTCCACTCATCTATCCACCAGTCCATCAATCCATCCATCCATCCATCCATCCATCATCCATCCATCAATCCATCCACCAGTCCATCAATTTATCCATCCATCCACCTATCCACCCTTCCACCTATGCATCCATCCACCCATCAATCCATCCATCCATCCGTCCACTAGTCCATCCATCCTTCCATCCTCCCGTCCATCCATCCATCAATCCATCCATCCATCATCCATCCATCATCCATCCATCCACTAGTCCATCCATCTATCCATCCATCTACTCATCCATCCATCAATCCATCCACTCATCCAGCCACCAGTCCATTCATCCACCTATCCACCCATCCACCTATCCATCCATCCACCTGTCCATCTATCCATCCATCATCCATCCATCCATCCATCCACTCACCCACCAGTCCATCCATCCATCATCCATCCACCATCCATCCATCCACTAGTCCATCCATCTATCATCCATCCACTCATCCATCCATCAATTCATCCATCCATCATCCATCCATCCACTAGTCCATCCATCTATCCATCCATCCACTCATCCATCCACCAGTCCATCCATCCATCATCCATCCACCATCCATCAATCCATCCATCCATCCACCATCCATCCACCCATCCACCCACCAATCCATACATCTATCCATCCATCCACTCATCCATCCACCAGTCCATCCATCCATCCATCCAACCATCCATCCATCCATCCATCCATCATCGATCCATCATCCATCCATCCACCATCGATCCATCATCCATCCATCCACTCATCCTTCCACCAGTCCATCAATCCATCCATCCATCAATCCATCCATCCATCATCCATCCATCAATCCATCTACCAGTCCATGCATCTATCCATCCATCCACCAACCCATCCATCCAACCATCCATCCATCCATCCATCAACCCATCCATCCATCATCCATCCATCCATCATCCATCCATCCATCCATCCATCAATTCACCTATCCATCCACCCACCTATCCATCCATCCATCATCCATCCATCCACCAGTCCATCAATCCATCCATCCACCCATCCATCCAACAGTCCATGCATCCACGCATCCATCCATCCAACAGTCCATGCATCCATGCATCCATCCATCCATCCATCCATCCACCAGTCCATCCATCCATATCCATCCACCTATCCATCCACCCACCTATCCATCCATCCACCATCCATCCATCCACCAGTCCACCCATCTATCCATCCATCCATCCATCCACCTATCCATCATCCATCTATCCATCCATCCATCAGTCCATCCATCCATCTATCCATCTATCCATCCATTAATCCATCCACCAGTCTATCCATCTATCCATCCATCCACCCACCCAGCTATCCATACATCCACCCAACCATCCATCCATCCACCTATTCATCCATTCATCCATCCACCAGTACATCCACTCATCCATCCATCCATCCATCCATCCATCCATCCATCCATCCACCTATCCATCCATTAATCCATCCACGAGTCCATCCATCTATCCATCCATCCATCCACCCATCCATCCATCTATCCATCCATCCACCCAGTCATCCACCTATCCATCCATTCATCCATCCACCAGTCCATCCATCCATCCATCCATCCATCCATCTGTTGGTTCATCTTTCTATCTATTTGACCATCCATCCATCCATCCATCCATCCATCCATCCACCAGTCCATCCCTCCACCCAGCAGTCTATCCATCCATCCACCCATCGATCCATCTATTCATCCATCCACCAGTCCATCCATCCATCCATCCATCCATCCATCCATCCATCCATCCATTCATTCATCCATCCATCCATGTACTCATCCATCCACCTGTCCATCCATCTATCCATCCAGCCAGCCAGCCAGCCAGCCACTCATCCAACCATCCATCCATTCATCCACCCACCAGCCCATCCACCTATCCATCCATCCATCCATCCATCTGTTGGTTCATCTTTCTATCTATTTGACCATCCATCCATTCATCCACCCATCCATCCACGCATCCATCTATCCACCCACCAGTCCATCCATCCGTCCTTCCATCTATCTATTGGTCCACCTATCTATCTATGCAACCATCCATCCACCCATCCATCCACCCATCCATCCATCCATCCATCCATCCATCCATCCATCCCTCTGTCCATTTGTCCATCTGTCCATCCCTCCACATGTTTGACTTTGGTGAGCAATGAATGGGAGGGGAGGGGAGTCTCAGTCATGCCCCAGCCCCTCACAGCCCACCCTCCTCCCAGGGCCTTGGCCTCTCTGCCGACACCAGGCAGTCAGCCCAGCCTGCAGCTGTGAGCTCCGGGTGGGAGGCTGAACCCACTGGCTCCTGCCACTGCAGCTGAAAAGCATTTCCAGTTTACAGCAACCTAATTATTCACCCCTCCTTTGGATGGGGAAAGCTCGGGGAGGGAAGACATGGCTGCTGGTCCAAGCAGATTCAGACTCTAGAGGACAGGCTTTTGGATGGGAGTCCTGGGGTGTGTGGAGGTGGCTGGGCCAGGGTTGGGGGGTTCGAGGTGGAGTGGCTCCCCCTTGCCTGCAACGTCTTAGGCTGGGGCTCTGCTGGGGCATGAGGGCACAATGCCACAATGCCAGGCTGGGTGGCGAGGGGGTGGGCTTGGCTGAGATGCTGGCCCACACGGCCCAGCTGCTCAAGCCCTGGAAGCCAGTGTGGGGCTGGGCAGAGGAGGGGCAGAATCTCTGGGGAGGGGATGGACAGGCAGAGTCCTGGGGCTGCCTGGTTCCAAGCGGACGCTGCCTGGGGTGCAGGGACCGACACCCTCTGACCCTGTCTTGGCCTATTTTCCAAGACTCATGGGGCTGGCAGGGCTGGGGGTCTGAGGCTGTCGACCACAGAATTGACCTTCAGCTGTCTGGAGGAGCCAGTCTGGGGACTGTGAGGAGTGGGGAGCCAGAGGCTACTGCCAGGCCTTGAAACCGTGGCTTAGGAGGGGCTCCTGGGTTCTGGAGGGCCACGGGGAGTGAGGGGATGCATGGTTAGTCCTGGGCCAGTTCAGCATCAGCCACGTAGCGTCTCTCACACTCTCAACCTCCCTGGAGGTGCAGATGGGGAAACTGAGGCTTGGCGCCATGCAGGTCGGAAGTGGTGGGGCCCACGTTCTCGGCTGGCCTATGCCACTGCTGTGGACAGAAGCCAGTGAGGAGGCGGAGGTGATGGGCCTGGCCAGAACCCTGTCCTGAGGCCCCCACAGCCGCCAGCCCAGGGTGCCACTGAGCAGGGACATGGCCTACGTCCCATCTTCCTGGCATGGGCCTCAGTGGACAACGGGGCCCTGTCAGGAGCTGAGTGAGTGGACAGGAGGGGAGGGGGAGAGCCTGAGGGGTTGAGGACCCCACCACCACCATCATTAACCCCCCAAGGCCAGTCGTGGAGGCAGGGAGGGCACACTGGCCACTGCTGGGGTGGGGACCTTAAATTTCTTCACTGCCCCCACCCCAAGAGCGTCTGCATTTATTAGGTGCCTCCTGTGTGCCTGTGCCTGGCTGCCTGGCGGGGCCTCCACCTATGGGATTGCTCTGCAGTCCTGCGACTGGGGCCTCGGTCACTGCCCCTGCACCAGGGCACCAAGGCCTGGCGGGAAGAGGCCCCGGGGAACACAGTGGGACTCCCCAGGAGCTCCGTCAGCCTGAGGTGCCCTTGAGTCACCAGAAGGGCCTGGGAGCGGGTGCACAGAGCCCGGCCAGCTTCCTCGTCGCTCCCTCCTCCTCTGCAAATGAGCTCCTGGCACTGAGACCTTGCCTGGAGTCTGACCCTGATCGGGGCCCCACGGGGCTGAACAAGACATGAGCTCTGCCCGTACTGTCCCTGTGTGTGGCTGCTCCTCTGGGGGTCTGGGAGCGGGGAGGGACCCAGGAAGCCTTCTTCCTCCCCCTCCAGCCTGAGGAATCCCTGAAGGAGGGGTTCCCCGGGGAGGGGCGTGGGGTACACCGCCCGGGGGAGCTTGGTGCTGTGAAGGAGGGGTTCCCCGGGGAGGGGCGTGAGGGACCACAGCCCTGGGAGCTTGGTGCTGTGAAGGAGGGGTTCCCCGGGGAGGGGCCTGAGGGGCCACTGCCTGGGGGAGCTTGGCACTGTGCCCTGTCCTGGATGTGGGTTTCTGCAGTTTCTGCCCCCGAGGGGCCTTGGTGGAGGCTCCATCTTCAGAGCCAGAGACCCCCAGATGGTGATTCTCCCACTGCACCCTTCCAGGGCAATGAACTGCACCCAAGAGCGGCCCACGCCGTCCCATGTCCCTGCGGTCCAGCGCTCCCGTGGGGCCCCACCTGCCATCCCCCCAGTAGGGTCCTGCCCACACTGGCTCCACCCTGATCTGTCCCCCACTCCTCAAGGGACTCTCCTTGTGTGTGCTGTGGGCAGCGCAGGGGTCAGTGTGGTTTCTTGCCCAGGGTATCCTACCTGGGGTTCTGTCAGGGAGTCCCTGCCCCCACCTAGGAACCTCAAAGCTTAGGGGACACACTGTAGCTGGGACGGGGCTGTCACTCCCCAGGGGCCAGGAGCCCCGTGTGTGGGCAGCCAGCCGAGGCAGCAGCGGGCAGAGACATGCAGGGAAGTGGCCCTGCGGCCATGACTCATCTCAGCGCTCAGCTGATGGTGCTCGGCAGCTCCTGAGCCTGGAGCCTGTAACCTGTATCCCCTGCCCCCCACCTCCGTGTCCTGGAGCCAGGTCTTCAGCACGCTGGTGATTAGGAGGCCCCACTCCCTCCTCGCCCGCTCCAAGGAAGCACCCGCCGCCTCCCAGCCAGGATGATCCCGGAATCCTAGAGTTGCCCAAATCAGGAGGGAGCCAGGAATCCCGACGCCGTGGGGTGGAGGGGGGTGCCTGGGGCCGCTCGTGGGGGGTGGGGTGGAGGGGGGTGCCCCAGGCTGCTCATCGGGGGCAGGAGGAGCCTGCGGCTGGGACGGGATCCGCCTGGAGACTGCCAGCCCTCCCGTGCCGCTTTGGGGATTCAGGAGATTACGTACAGTTGTTTGTGGTTTGTCTTTGGTAATTGCCAGTTGCGGCCTGTGGCTGAAAGAAGCCGAAATCAGAGGTAGGGACAGATCCTGAGCTGGTAGTGCCAGGAAGGTCCCGGTCCCGGTCAGGCCTGGGCCCATGAAGTGGGTAACTGCTGTGAGGGGGCTCAGCCTCTGCCTCCTGACCTGGGGAAGCCAGCAGCCATGTCGGGAGGGCCCAGACAGCGCCATGGAGGGGCCATGTGTAGGGGCCAAGACCTCCTGACTCCCAGCACTGATGGAAGAGGGCAAGGTGGACCCCAGGTAGGGCTCCCCCAGCCCCAGGCCAGCCTTCAGGTGACCTCGGCCCTGGCTGACAGCTTGATGGTAATGTCTCCCTAAGCCACACCACCCAGCCAAGCCCTTCTCGATTCTCAGACCTCAGAGGCCGTGTGAGACAGCGAGGTCTTCAATTGTTTAAAGCAGCTGCATTTGGGAGCACCCAAAACAAAATACCACAGACGGGGCAGCTCACATAGCAGACATCGCTCCCCTCACCGCACTGGAGCCTGTGAACCAGGGTGGGCTTCTCCCGCCGTCTCCTCCTGGTTCACATATGGCGCCTTCCCAGGTCCCCACAGGCCTCTCCTCTGTGTGCGCGTCTCCAGCCCTCTGCTCCCTGGAAGGGCACTGTGAGGCTGCATTAGGCCCCCGGAAGGCCTCGTTTTAAAAGAATTGTGTCTTTAACGGCCTGTCCTCAAGTACAGTCACATGCGGAGGTGCCAAGGGCTGGGACCTCTGGGGAGACACACTCAGCCCACGGCAGCAGCAGAGGCTGACGCTCCCACCACCCTGCCTTCTGCTCCAGCCCTGGCTCCTGGGGGCTTCTTTCCACGAAGCCTCACGTCGCCGGCTGCTCTTTCAGGGGCGCCCCACGTCTGCTTGACCCCGTAGCCCATCACACGCACCAGCGTTCTTTCATTTACTCAACCAAGGGTGAGGGCAGTTCCCTCAATAGCTGCCCCGCTCGGACCCTGGCATTGTCCCTGCGTGACGATGTCCTGGTCGCCTGTGAGCTCCCGGGCGGCTTCTCGGGGGAGTTGCTCTGCAGCCCACGCCGGGGGTTCTCCTGGGACCCCGTCCTCAGGGGCGCCAGGCATTGAAGCAGCCTCGGTCAGAATCTACCCTGCCGCTTCCGGCCCCGCAACACAGGCAGTTCGCACCGCGTCTGGGGCCGGAAGAGCCACTCAGCCTTCATGCTCCACTTGTGAATTCCACTCACTCACCCATTCACACAGGCGCTCATTCACGGAGCCCCCCGGGGGGCTGCACTGCACCAGGCACGGCCCTGAGTCCCCTGGGCTCTGCCGCACGGAGCTTGCTTCTTGGTGTGAACTACAACCTGGTCCTCTGAAGGTCCCTCAGGATTTTCCAGATAAAGGGCTTCTAGCCAAATGACCCGGGGAAATACAGGTTACGCAGCGCTAGCTGGACCTGTCAGTGCAGGCCTTATCAGAGCCTTGAGTGTTCGAATGGGTACCAGGCAGATTCAGAGGGAGGCAGAGCCATGGGCTGCTTGGGAATGTCTGTCCTCTGCGTGTATCAGGCCGGGTTGAGGGGGTGGCACCATCCCTGCTGCGGAACGAGAGGCAGGCAGGTGTCCCAGACTACTTCCTTGTCGCTTCTGGAAGCTTGTGCCTCCAGCCCAGCCCTGCATGGAGAGAAGGAACCGGCCCACCCCGGCTGCATCCCTGGGGCCGGCCTGGTCCCACCTAGGTCTCAGTGTTCCCTCTGAACCAGGGGCTGGGACCTTCTCTAGGACCCCTGGCCCTGCCACTCTGTCATCACTGGCAGGAAAGGGGTGCTAACCCCAGCTAGCGTCCCCTCAGTCCCCGCCCCCAGGCAGTCATACGCACACACGTGCAGAGACACGCAGGTGGACACACACACACATGCACACGCTGACTGCCCTGGCTCCAGGCTCCGTCCATCCAGGGACCCTGAAACTGCCCAGGGCCTGTCCCAGTCTTTCCAGCCCTGCCCATGCTCGGGGATCTGCTGGGTCCCAGAACTTCATGGAACTCTCCAGACATCCTGCTCCCTGCCCCTAAAACTCCAAGGTGGGGCCATGTCCAGGTTTCCCCACCACGGGCTGCTGAAGCACCTACGGCTGGCACCTCCCTTTCCAGATGGGGAAACTGAGGCAGGGGCCGAGTGATGTCCCCCCATGTCAGGACCAGAGTGCAGCAGAGCCGGGACTCAAACCAGGCTGCCTTCGAGTCTGGGGTCTTAAGCCCCATGGAGCCCTGGGCAGCCCACACCCTCGCAGGCTGGACCTTGCGGGAAGCAGCTCTCACACCTGGTGAGACACTCACCTGTGAGGCCCCGGGCCTTCCTCACTCTCAGTTCTCACGGGAGCCCAGAGATAAGGTTCAGAAAGGTTACGTAGCTCAGCCAAAGTCACACAGCTGGTCTGACGCAAGTCTCACAAAAGCCAGTTTCATTACCTGAACGTGGTGAAGCCTCTGTCTTTGGGTCTTAAGGGCAAAAAAAACAAAAAAACAAACAAAAAACTAAACAAACAAAAAAAAAACGTTGAGGAGGAAAGAGGCGACCTGTGCCCGGGACCCGGGCCTTGGGGCCCCGGGAGGTGGAGGTGGTCCCATTCCAGTGAGGGCAGTGGACGTGCCAGGGTCTTCTGGGGCCCAGAGGCTGGAAACGTCCTTCCAAGAGAACAGCCAGGCCCAAGTTGCCACAAGCCTGGCCCCGCTGAGGTTCACGCCGAGGTCCCCCCCGAAGTTCCCCCCTGAGGGCCCCCCAAGGTTCGGCTCTGAGGTTCCCCCCAGAGGATCCCCCCCGAGGTTCCCGCCGAGGCTCCCCGCCGAGGATCCCCCCTCAAGGTTCCCCCCGAGGTTCCCGCCAGGGTCCCCGCCAAGGTTCCCGCCGAGGTTCTCCCCGAAGTTCTGCCCGAGGTCCCCACCGAGGTCCCCGCCGAGGTTCCCCCCGAGGTTCCCCCCGAGGTCCCCCCCCGAGGTTCCCCCCGAGGTCCCCGCCAAGCTCCCCACCGAGGTCCCCACCGAGGTTCCTGCCGAGGTCCCCCCGAGGTCCTGCTGAGGTTCCTGCCGAAGCCCCAACGTGTGATTAGGAAAGCGGGGCTTTGGCTGTGGGACCACAGAGCCCCAGTAGGAGCCCCCGCCCCAGCACAGTGAACCCAGGACAACGTCGGGGCTGCCTGAGTGCCAGCGCCCCTGTCCCCAAGCTGGGGTGCCCCTCACCCCACACCAAGGAGGGAATGTGGCCCGGCTCCCAGCCCTGTGCCTGCACAAGCCTCTGCCCTGTCCCAAGTCATGTCCTGCTTCTGTGACCCTCCTCTGCCCAGACCCCCAGCTCCCACGTCCTCCCCAGACCCCCAGCTCACACCTCCTCCTCCTGACCCCCAGCTCCCATCTCCTCCCAGACCCCCAGCTCCCACCTCCTCCCAGACCCCCAGCTCACACCTCCTCCCAGACCCCCAGCTCACACCTCCTCCCTGAGACCCCCAGCTCACACCTCCTCCCTGAGACCCCCAGCTCACACCTCCTCCCCGAGACCCCCAGCTCACACCTCCTCCCCGAGACCCCCAGCTCCCACCTGCTCCCAGACCCCCAGCTCACACCTCCTCCCAGACCCCTAGCTCACACCTCCTCCGAGACCCCCAGCTCACACGTCCTCCCAGACCCCCAGCTCACATCTCCTCCCCGAGACCCCCAGCTCACACCTCCTCCCCGAGACCCCCAGCTCACACCTCCTCCCAGACCCCCAGCTCCCACCTCCCAGACCCCCAGCTCCCACCTCCTGCCAGACCCCCAGCTCACACCTCCTCCCAGACCCCCAGCTCACACCTCCTCCCAGACCCCCAGCTCATACCTCATCCCAGACCCCCAGCTCCCACCTCCTCCCCAAGACCCCCAGCTCACACCTTCTTCCCTTGAGACTCTCAGCTCCCACCTCCTCCCCAGACCCCCAGCTCCCACCTTCCCCTGACACCTCCCAAGCTCCCACTTTTCCCCAAGGGTCCCCCTCTCGTTATCACTGGATCCTCATCCTCTGAGGCCTTCTTTCCTGGGCTCTGTCCTGGTTCCCCATCCCCTGGCAGCCTGGGAGCTCCAGCAGGGAAGGGCAAGGCCTGGGATACCTCTGCCCTGGGTGCCAGGCCTAGGGCACACTTGCTTCATGGACCACCCTGGGATCACTTGGGCCTAGGATTTTGAGGCCAGCCTGGCAACATAGGCAGACCCCATCTCTACCAACAACAACAACAAAAAATTAGCCAGGCGTGACTAGTCCCAGTTACTCAGTAGGCTGGGGCAGGAGAATCCCTTGAATCCAGGAGGCTGAGGTTGCAGTGAGCCAAGATGGCATCATTGCACTCCAGCCTGGTGAACAAGAGCAAAACTCCATCTGTGCTTGGTGTGAGGTAGGGATCTAGCTCTATGTGTATGTGACGGACAGAAAGTCATCCCCATGGTGTGGTCACTGTGGGGTCTGTCCCCTCCTCCACCGAGCCCCAGTGCGCCAACTGCCCCATCTGCTTGGTCCATTACTGAACTCTCTGTTCTGTTCCATCAACTCAAATCAACCTACAAAAATGGCTGTAATCAGCCTGGGTATGCGTGACCCCAAAACAGCTGGTTAATTCCCTGAAAAGAATTGAGTGCCAGATGTGGGGGATCGTGTAACCTGAGGGCTGCTTCTCTACTTTCAGTTTTGGCCGGGGTGGGAGTTCTAATAATCACTCATTTGCTGCTTTGCAGGCAGACACTCACTGCATGCCTCCAGGGTGTCAGGCACCAGGATGGGCCATGGTGGGTGGAGCTTAAGAGCAGTACACACTGGAAGGCAGGGAGGGATTGACAATGCGGCAAAAACACACGCCAGGTCATTTTTGTGAGGGACAGGCACTACTGAGAAAACCACACGATGTAGGCACAGGTGGCTGTCAGGGAGGGCTTCTTGGAGGAAGTGATCTTTTTGTCTGGGTCTGATGGATGAGATGGAGTTCACGAGCGAAGATCTAGGGTGGAGGAATTCCAGGAATAGCAACTAAAACGGTCCCGCAGCAGGAATGGGCATTGCGTGGACACTACCGGTGGCGCTGGAGCTGGGAGGGAGGTGGGGGCTGCAGAGAAGCAGGCAGGGCCAGCCCACCAAGGAGAAAGCCTTCAAGGGGTGGGGCGGGTGGCGTGGACACTAGGACCTCGCCACGTGGCTGCCTCGAGCCAGAGCACTGTGGGGAGGACCCTCCCTTCTGCATCGACGGTGCCACAGTGGGAGGAAGGTTTATCCACCGAAGTCCAGGCCGGCCCATCCCCATCCCGCCCCTTCCCGGTGCTGCTCCAGCTCCAGAGCCTGCAGCTCCCCAGTCAGCACTTGGGGGTCAGACCCTGGCCCAGGCCACGTTTGCCCCCACGGCCCCAGGATGCCCGGTCCTTGCCTCCCTGGAAAGCCCAACCCTCTGCCCGCCCCTCGGCCAGCAGAGCCTTTCACGGAACTGGAGGACACCTGGCTGAGCTGCCTGGAAGGTCTGCAGCTCACAGCCTGAGGGGACGCCTGGAGCTGGCTCAGCACAAAACAGGATGTGCCTGATGCTGAGTTCGCAAAACTGCGCATGAGCACGGGCGGCTGAGAGCAGCAGGAGGACCGGGGCCGTGCAGGGGGGCGGTCAGGGACCCCTCGGGTCAGCCTTGGGGCCGTTCTGGGGGGTGGTCAGGGACCCCTCGGGTCAGCCTTGGGGCCGTTCCAGGGGGGTGGTCAGGGACCCCTCGGGTCAGCCTTGGGGCCGTTCCAGGGGGGTGGTCAGGGACCCCTCGGGTCAGCCTTGGGGCCGTTCCAGGGGGGTGGTCAGGGACCCCTCGGGTCAGCCTTGGGGCCGTTCCAGGGGGGTGGTCAGGGACCCCTCGGGTCAGCCTTGGGGCCGTTCCAGGGGGGTGGTCAGGGACCCCTCGGGTCAGCCTTGGGGCCGTTCCAGGGGGGTGGTCAGGGACCCCTCGGGTCAGCCTTGGGGCCGTTCCAGGGGGGTGGTCAGGGACCCCTCGGGTCAGCCTTGGGGCCGTTCCGGGGGGTGGTCAGGGACCCCTCGGGTCAGCCTTGGGGCCGTTCCGGGGGGTGGTCAGGGACCCCTCGGGTCAGCCTTGGGGCCGTTCTGGGGGGTGGTCAGGGACCCCTCGGGTGGGTCTTAGGGACCGTGCAGGAAGACAGTCAGGGACAAGCGATGGCTTGGTACCCTCCGTAGCCCGAAGCCGGCCGGCAGGGAGCTCTGGGCAGCTGTCCACAGACCTGGGGGAGCCCTGTCCTAAATGGACAGCGGGGTCCCCGCCAGGCCCAGCTCCCGCCTCTCCCAGGCCTGGGGGCAGTGGGCAGTTGGCCACTTCAGCCGCTTTGCTGTGGTCCAGGCAGGCGGGGACCCTCAGGGCCCCAGCGGGGCATCAGGGTGTTCGGGAGGCGGCGCCGGCTGTGAGTGGGGCCCTGGGCCGGCGGCGGCGGGGGCGCCGGTTTTCTCGGCATTAAGCCTGGCTCCGCTCTGCCGGCTGTGGAATTCCTGGTCTGATCCGTCTCCAGATTGGCCCTGGAAGAAATTGGGGGAGAATCGATTTGTGCCACGTTCTAGCAGCACGGCCTCATCATGACAGACGCCAGGCAACCACGGGCAGGGAGCCCCCCGCCCTCCTCCTGGGACCCCTGGGCTCCTCGCTCCCCTGCCCCACCCCCTTCCCGCCCCCACGCCCCTGGCCGGCCTGCTGGCGCCTGGGAAGGGGAAGAGGGGGTTGCCGCTTGCCGGGAGTCACGCGGCACTGCCCAGAAGCTCAGCGGGGTCTCCCGGGCGGCACTGCCCAGAAGCTCATCCTGCCCCATGCGGCCCAGAAACGAGAGTGTCCCCAGCACAGGGACACCCGCCCGGGGCCGCCTGGGGGGCCGAGGTGGGGCCAGGACAGCTCCGGGCCTCTTCCTCTCCCTTGGCCTCCTTGCTCCAAGGCTCCTCTGGGAGCCCAGGGAGGAGAGGGAGAGGCCTCAGGAGGGCTTCCCGGAGGAGGTGGCCCTGAGCTGGTGCTGGAGGAAGCCCTCACGTGGCCCGGAGCCTGGTTCCGGCATCGGTAAATTACACGTCCCTTTCCGGCGCCCAGTGGCGTCAGGCACTGCCTGTGGCTCCGCGAGGGGCGTCCGCGCGTCGTCGGGCTGAGTGTTCTCAGTCACCTAGAGCTGCACCCCCTAACACCGGCTTCCCCAAGCCCCCGGACAGCCCCACAGCTGGCATGGTGCTCACAGCCCCGAGCGGAGCCGCCAGCCCCAGGTGGCCTCTTTGGCCTCCCAGGCCCAGGGCTGGGTGGGGCCGGGAGGAGCCTGGAGGGGCGGGGTTCGCTTTCAGAGCCAAGGCTTCCGGCCTCTCCCGGCCACTGGACTGTGGGTGCCCTGCGTAGACCCTGCCCTGCCAGGCAGCTGGGAGGCACAGAAGCCTCTCCAGGGAGGGACAGAGGGGCCTGGGTGGGCCAGGGCGTCCGCACTGCAGGCGAGGGCTGGGCCTCAGCTTCCTCGTCTGCTAAGTGGGGCCCCCTGGGCTCTGGTCAGCCTCCCAAGGCTCCTCACCACCTCCGGGAAGCCGCCTGGATTGCTCTGCTCAGAATGGAAAGTGAGGGCCAGAGCCAGGGACTGCAGCCTGAAGGCGCCTGTGCTCCCTGCTCAGCCCTGCCCGCTTGGCCGTGGCCGTGGCTGGGGCTGCAGCTTCACAGCTGTGCTGAGGGGCCCCGCCGACGGTGGGGTCCAGACCTGGTCCCACCCAGATGTGGCAGCGCTGAGGCCTGGGGAGTGGCTGGAAGCTCACACAGGGCCAGAGAGGAGCCGCCACGGCCGGCGCTGGGTCCAGAGTGCTGCTGGCCGGCCCTCCACAGACACAGTCCGCTCCACCCTGGCCCTGTGCCCCTGTAGGCACCGAGCTGCCGAAGGCTGGGCCGCTGCCGCCATGACGATTTCGCATCCACCCTGCTCTGGGGGCCCAGGGAGCGCCAGGCCCAGCCGAGCTTCATTCTGACACAGACCCTGTGGTGGGGGCCGAGTTTTTGTCACCTCCTGATGACAGCGAGGGACACAGCACTAACCGGGACAGCCTCTTGCTCAGGGGAGCAGCTGCACCAGCACCGAAGCCCAGGCCGGGTGGGGAGGGAGGGGCATGGCCTGCCCTCCAGGTGCTCCCGGTCTGCTGGGGACGTGGGAGGAGTGTCCTGGCCCTGGGCCCCATCGTGAATGAAAGGGGTCCAGCGTCTTGTTGCCGGGCCGTCCAGCCAGCTGTTCGTACCTAACACTGCTGCAGGGAGGGGTCCGGGGGACTTGGCATCTGCCTCTACGTGTGTTCCCAGCCGGCAAGCGGGGTCCCCCGCCTTTGCCAGAGCGGGCTGCCCAGGGCCCCGGGCGGCCACTCTGCACCACTCGGGGTGGGGTGGGGTGGGTCTCGGGCAGGGGCCGGAAGAGGGGCTGCTGGGACCCAGCTAGCTGAGGAGGGCAGCTCGGGGAGGGCTGGGTGGCCCAGGGGAGCCGGGAGGGCAGGCGTGTGCTGGGCGTAGTTCCAGCTTGTGACTGGGCTCTGAGAGGAGTGACCATGGAGGGGTGGCCCATGTTATCCTCTCAGCTGCTAACAGGTTCTGCCACCCACTCCTGGCCACAGATGGGGAGACTGAGGCACACAGCAGGGCCGTCAGCAGCGCGAGGCTGCAGGCAGCCAGTGGTGTGGAGGTTACCCAGGAGTCACCCAGCACGGCGGGGTGGTAGGTTCGGGCCGCCCCAGCGTGAACTCTCCCGCTCCCGCCCTGCTCCTGGGCCCGTGGTCTGGCTCTTCCTGCTTCCTCCACCTCCAGGAAGCCACCAGGATTGCTGTGCTCTGAACCAGCCCTCCGTGCCCAGCCCAGCCACTGCTCAGCCACAGCGATGCCACATCCGAGTGCAGCCAGACCCTGGCCTGGGGCCCGTGGTGGGCAGGGGCCGCCTCACCACAGCTGTCCAGGCTGCAGCCCCCAGCCACGGCGGAGCAGGCGGGGCTGGGACCGGAGAATAGACGCCTTCATGCCACAGCCCCTGGCTCTGGGCTGTGCCTGGGCCCCACCCTGGCCCCCGTGCTCCCCCCACCGTGCCCGCGGTGCCCTCCTCCGCCCGCGCGGCTGGTGGCAGGGCCTCCCCGTGTGGGACCGGGCAGCCACCTGCTGCCCACAGCCACAGCCGCACAATGGGCCCTTGTGAGCCGGCGGGCAGCGGGTGGCGGGCAGCGCCTCTCGGCCCACCCCGGGCTCAGAGCCCCACTGTGTGAGGCGGCTGCCCTGACTGAGGATCACGGAGCCGGCCAGGCTGGCCCCACCCACCCTCAGCCACAGGGACGGTGGCTGCTGCCCCCACCCTCTGTGGTTCCTGCCCCGGCCTCCCCTTGGGAGAGGGTGGTCTGCCTGCCTGAGGGTGGGGGTTTTCCAGAGCAGGAGTTCCGTGCCAGAGGCCACCTCCCTAGGGTGTCTCGGGCAGCCTGAGGCTGAGCGGTGGCTGGTCTGGGGGTCCAGGAGCCACTGTCCCCTCCAGGCCTCCACGTGGCCAGGGTGTGGCAGGAAGTGCGTTGCAAATGCTCAAGCCATCCCAGGCACTGTCCTGCTCCAGGGAGAACTGAGCTGCCCCAGAGCTGGGCAGGAGAGATGGGGCCTCTTTCCCGGGGAAGCTCAGTGCATCGGGGAGGCCCTGTCCGTGGGACAGCGAAGGCATAGAGAAGCCAAGCTGAGCAGTGGGACAGGCGGGAGAGCCAAGTGCCTGGATCCAGCCATGCCTGAAGCCATCCCTCAAATTCATGACTGATTTTTAAAATGTATTTTATTTTATTTTTTTGAGATGGGGTCTCGCTCTGTCGCCCAGGCTACAGTGCAGTGGTATGATCATAGCTCACTGCAGCCTCAGACTTGCAGGCTCAAGCCATCTTCCTGCCTCAGCCTGCCAAGGAGCTGGGAATACAGGCACACACCACTGATCCTGGCTTTTTTTGGTATAGACGGGGTTTCCCTATGTTGCCCATGCTGATCTTGAACTCCTAGGCTCAAGTGATCCTCCCACGTCAGCCTCCCAAAGTGCTGGGATGACAGGCGTAAGCCACCGCCCCGACCCGTGGGTTTTAGTTGAATGGGGACACTGGTGTTTGTGTGGTTCACCTCAGAGGCCCTCGAGGTTTTGTGTGGACCCTGGGTGGGAGGCGCTCAGGGAGAGCTCAGAGGCGACCTCCTTCCCGCCCCTGCTCCTGGGCGCCCAGGCTTGTGTGGCACAGGTCAAGCCTCGGGGCACTCTGGCCTGGCAGAGTCTCTGCCCACTGTGGGGCCACTCAGGCAGTGGCTCCTCCACGGGGACCAAAGACAGGGCCCTCTCCCATCAGGGCAGCGTGTCCGGCCTGTGCCGCGGCTAGGGGCTCCTGGAAGACACCTTTGAGCAGCGGGACCCGCTGGGGTGTCTGGGCAGGGGTTTGCCCCTCGTCCAGCTCTCCGGCACACGGTTCTTGACCTCGAGGCCCCAGCTGACCACGGCCTCACAGGCCCCAAGGATGGCTCCAGGGCAGCTGGGGGAGGGGCCACACTGACTTCTCCCACCCCACCTCCTCCCTCTGTCTCTGGCTGTGCCCTGAACCCTGAGTAGCAAAGGTGGCTCAGTGACAATTCCAGACGGGGCGTTTCCTTCAAGGGGAAGGTGGGAACACTCACCCCTAGGTTGGGGGGCCTGGGGCCCTGTGCAGGGTGAGAAGTCACCTGTGGATGGTGACACAGGCCCCATGACCAGGTCCCTTTGGTGGGTGGAGGGCAGATCCCTGAGCTCAGGGGTGCAGTTCTCCTAGTGGGGGTCCCTGGGGAGCAGCTCCTGCCCTGCCCCCCTTAAAAACCATGCCCCCAGCCAGGTCCCATCCAGGGTGGGAGAGCAGCCCCGCCCTGCCTCCCCAGCTGCGCTCCCTCCCGGCTGTTCCAGGCGCACTCCGAGTCCCCAGGGCCTGTGCAAAGCCAAGGATTTCCTCGGAGCCGGAGCCGGCGCAGCTGCAAGCACACGTCGGGGGAGGGGCCGGGCAGCAGAGGAGGCGGAGTCCCGCACTCACAGGGGCGGGCTGGGCGGGGCTGGGCCGGGGAGGCGGGCTGGGGCCACAGGATCCTCCTGCCCCTCTGCCTGGGAACCTGCATCTGGGGCTGACGGGTGGGGCGGAACTGCGGGACACAGGGCTGGTGCCCCAGGTGGGCCGTGGGTGCGGGCAGTGCCGAGGGTGGACGGGGCCTGCACGTGGACACTTCCTGAACGCGTGTGTCCGGCCCTGGACTGCAGGCCCAGGTCAGAAGGTGGGGCCTGAGGAGCCGGGAGCCCATCCCCACCCCCGGGGCTCAGCAGCCTCAGGCAGTTACCCTTGGTCCACACCGCCTGGGGCTCGGTGCCCTCGGAGTTCTCAGGGCAGGCCGCAGCTGCTGCTGTCTTACGAGACAAAGGGGGCAGCTCCATTGTGTTCCCCGATGAACCCTCACCCCTGGGAGAGTCAACAGAGCCAGAGATGCCCGGGCCACCCCGCCCTCCTCGGCCGCCTGCTGCACCGCTGCCAGCCTGGGTCCTCCGAATGTACCAGGTCCCAGAAGCCCCGCCATCCACTCTGCCGGCCTCACAGAGCCTCTGCTCGGCCCTGGGGACCTGGGCAGGGGCAAGGCCGGGCCGATCCGGGGCTGCTCAGCAGGGGAGAGAGGGACACCAAGTGCCCCCAGGATCAGCGCAGCGCCCAGTGTCCTGAGTGTGACTCACAGGGTCACCGCCAGGCTACACGAAGTTAAGGACCCCTGCCCTGGAGGTCACAGAGCCAGCACTGGGGGGTGGCCCTGGCTGCTGGTTTCAGGACCCACTTGGATGGTGCTTGGGCAGCATGGCGCTGGGCTGGCAGGTGGGGGACCCTGAGACAGGGACGGTCCCATCCTGGGCCCCTCAGACCCATGAATGCAACACTCCGGCCCGCCCCTCCTGCCCTGCACGGCTTGCGACTCCCACAGACCTGCCCTGTGGACCTGGGCCAAGTCCAGCCCCAGGGGCCGCTGGGAGACACTGTGGTCAGTGGGGCGGGGGGCTCGGGCACTTGTCCCCAGATCTCCGGCCACCTCAAGTGACAGGAAGGGGGGCCAGTGAGGACATGAACAGTGGCCGCCCCCACCCTCAAGGGCTGGCCTCACTGCCCCTTCATCTCTGCCTGGCCCAGCAGCTCTGGGAGCAGCCACCCTGCAGCCCATGCGTGTGGGGACCCTGCCGTGCCCTGAGCTGTCGAAGCAGCCTCCCACTGGGTGCTGTGCTGGGCCCCTGTCCCCATCCTGCAGGGAGGAAGCACAGCTGGGGGAGTGGCCCCCCGAGGGCCCCTGGGAGCTCAGATCCTACCCCTGGAGGCAGCCCTGGGGAGGCCCGGTGGAGACTCTGCTCTTCTGCTGAAGCTGCTGCTGAAGAGTGACAGGCCTGCCCAGCGCCGGGGGAGACCCGGGACTCTCAGAGGGAGTGCAGGACAGGGCAGGGCAGGGCAGGGCCATGATTCCCGGTGACGGCCAGGCTGCCATGGGCCGAACTGCCATCTCTGGGCCTGCGGGCAGGCGCTCAGCTCCCCAGGCCTCATTTTCCTCACCTAAGGAATGGGACACGCACACCTTCGCCCCCAGGGTGGTGCAGAGAACAGGACGGTGCCTCCGAGCAGTGCCTTCAACGCCGTCTGGGGCCTGGGAATGCACC
The DNA here is from genome assembly GCF_000001405.40 of Homo sapiens. NCBI lineage: Eukaryota > Metazoa > Chordata > Mammalia > Primates > Hominidae > Homo > Homo sapiens. The sequence goes on from NC_000016.10 coordinate 1,050,312, forward strand.
AGGACTTGATAAATAAACACCAGCTCTCAACACCTCGCCCTCTGCAAGGAGAAGGCCAGGAACGTCCCGTTTAGAGAGAAGGCGAGTCCACGAGCAGCAGACAGTCGGTGCTTAACAGGTGCTCGCTCTTCTTCAGAGCCTTAGGGTGCCAGCTGGCCAGAGTGAGCCTCGCTGACCAGGGAGCTGTGGCAGCCGGCCGGGGGTCGGCCCCTGGGGCAGGTGGGATGCCTGTGGGGCCGGCGTAGGCTCAGGCTTTGTCTGGGAGTGCCCTGCCCCGAGCACTGGCCTGGACACCTGAGCTGAGCCTCAGACAGGCGTTTCGGGGCCGACCCGGCAGGAGCAGCCGCTATCCCCGGGCAGCTGAGCCCAGCAGCGAGGGCTGGTAGAACGATCTAGACGAAACACTGAACTTAATAGCAAAACCACTTCTTTCGAGGGAAAACACGATCCGCAGCCAGCCGGCGCGTACACATGGGGCCTGGAAAAGAAGAGAATTCCGGAGACACAAACGGCCCTACGCGTCGCCGCCTCGGCCCGGCTGCTAAGTTATTAAACTCCTGCACAGGGAAAAGCGATAAAGTAAACATCCACCTCTCCCGTCGCTCTCAGAAGTGAAAGGTTCCTGAGATGGGAAATGCAGACGGCCTGCAGAGTGCTCCATCCAAATAAAATCATCAGATGCTTGAAGACCCTGGGAGAAATGGGCCCAGATGAATCACCTGCGCAAAGCCACTTAGCACTTCGCAGGGGCCCCGAAGCCCGGTGTCGGCAAGGTGTCCGTCGCTGGAGCAGGGGTGGCTGATGGATCTGGTGCGGGGTGGGCGGGAGGAGTCGCAGACTCAGATGTAGGAGGTTTGGTGGGGCCACTGATTCACGTCTGGCCCGGGGCTCTGTCCCTGGGGTCGGGAGGGGACCAGGCTGGGGAAGTTGGGGAGGGGGTTTCTCCCTTCTCTTTCCCAGCTGCCAGGCCGTCAGTGGGAGACACAGGTCTTGGGGACCAGGCCCTGCAACCCCTTCTGATCCCGACGTCTGAGACTGGCCTGGTGCTGGCTCTGAGGCCCCTGTGCAACCTCAGCTCGGGCTGGCTGCGGAGGACCTTTGAGGGTTTCCCGGCAAGGCCTTCTCCCTCTCAGCTGGCCATGGCACATAGGACCCCACTCCTCCGTATGCCCAGGGCAGGCATCGCTAATCGAGCCCTGCACTCCCTCCAACCCTTTGCATCAGGGCCCACCAGGCCCACCCACTTCTGTGCCCAGACCACCTGGCCGATGGGCGGCCCTGCCCCAGGAGGAACAGGGGTCTTCCTGCTTCCCCAGAGCTCCCGCTCTGGGTCCTGCATCCACGTCTCGGATGTGCCGCCCTCCCCACACCTGGGAGCCACGCCGACCCCCTCTGCGCTTTCCTGGGGAGACACCTCTCTGCACCAGAGATCGGCCCCCCGGGGTCTGGGCGTGGGGGCGGGGATTTGGATGTTGGGGGTGCAGAGGCCATGGCCTCGTCATCTTCTCTGACTCTGCCATGAGAGCATGACCAGGGCCTGTTGGCCCCCTGGGCCCTGACGTCCCCGGGCCCGGCACCTCCCTGGAAGCCCTACCCATTCTCCTCTTTTCCTTTTCTCACAAGGACCCTTTCACCGTAATCCTGCATGACCTCATCTTAGCTGATTAAATTTGCAAAAATGGCCAGGCTCGGTGGCTCATGCCTGTAATCCCAGCACTTTGGGAGGCTGAGGCAGGCAGATCACCTGAGGTCAGGAGTTCAAGACCAGCCCGGCCAACATGGCGAAACCCTGTCTCTACTAAAAATACAAAAAATAGCCGGGCGTGGTGGCAGGCGCCTATAATCCCAGCTACTCAGGAGGCTGAGGCAGGAGAATCAGTTGAACCTGGGAGGCGGAGGTTGCAATGAGCTGAGATAACGCCATTGCACTCCAGCCAGGGCAACAGAGTAAGACTCCATCTCAATAAATAAATAAATAAATTTGCAAAGATGCCATCTCCGTGTAAGGTCACACGCTGAGGTTCTGGGTGGATATGAATCTGGGGGACACCGTTCAGCCCAGGACAGGAACCAACTGTAGCAGGGCAGCTGTCCCGGGCACACAGTCTGACTGGCACTTACCCCTGGCAGGTCCCCCGGAGCCTGGCCCCTCCACCATGGGGCGGGGGCTCCAGTTACTTCCCTGGGGGAGTCCCTAACCTGAGGTCTCCTGTGCCGGGGTCTAGTCAGGGTGGGGGCTGCACCCCATCCCTGGAGCAGGTATGCTGGGCCCTGATAGCAAGCTGGGGAGGGTTCCAGGGCCAGAGGAGGACTCAGGGGCTGAAGGCAGTGATGGGTCCAGCAGGCAGCAGGGAGGGCAGGGCAGGGGAGGGGTGTCAAGGCCCATAAGCGAGAGGAGGCAGGAGGGAGGACATGGTACCCACAGCTGTGGTGGAGGAGGGAGGGTGTCCACAAGGTGGGTCCCCAGTTTGGAGTCTCAGGCACCCTCCGCTGTGGCCACCGACTGCTGGGGAATTGATCAGCCTCATAGCATGGCATGGAGTTGGGCCAGGCAGGGCTGGATGCCCGCCAGGGGCACTGCAGGTGGGCTACCAGGGGCTGGCCTGGGGTTCAGCTGTCACCCAGCTGACACGGGATCACCAATGGCTGCCATGGCTCAGGCATCCCTCTCCTGCCACGCTGGGGACACTGTGACACAGGCTCTCAGGTCAGTGAGGACAGTGTGGGTGTCGGAGCCTGGAGGGAGGGGAGTGGCATCGGGGAGGCCCCCGCCGAGCCTGGACAGTGGGGCAGGTGGAAGGGTGTGTGCCCGGCCGTGCACTTTGGGTCTGGTGAGCGTGGCTGAGGGGCACAGCTGCTCTTGGTCGGGGCTGCAGTGAGTGCTCAGCCCACTTGGCCACAGGCTGGCCACCAGGGACTTGGCGTCTGCTACCCACAGGACTGAGGACTCCAACAGCAGTCCCAGCCCAGGCCCCGAAAAGTTGAGCAGAGAAGGGCAGGAGGCCCCCGTATCCCTGGGACCCATCCTTGGCAGGCTGGGTTGGGCTGTGGGGGACACACCTGCTCTGGGGGATGTGGGAGGGGGGCGCTTCCGGGCCTGCAGCTGTTGGCCCCGAGGACAGACGCAGCCTCCTCAGCAACAGCTGGGCCGGAGGCTCGGGAGCCAAGAGAGACCAGAGCCCAGGCCAGCCCGGCCCCCACCAGGGATCAGTTACCTCGGCTACAGATGCCAGCAGGGGGGACTTTCAGGGGGTGGGCACCAGGCTGGGGTGGGCAGCTGGGGTGGGCCGGGGCTGCAGTGCTCTCCCACCCAGCCTTGGGCACAGGACGAGCCAGCCCCCACCTCTGTCCACTCAGCACTCCGCAGGGGCTGCTGTCTTGCTGAGTGCAGGACGCTGACCCCAGGATGTCACCATCTGATGCTGCCCAGGCTCTCCCCTCAGAATACCTGCTTAGTGACCACAGCCACCCCAGCCCCTCCCACTGACCCCAGGCAGAGCAAGGGGCCCCACCTGCACCCAGCAGGTGCAGACTGGGCAGGGCAGGGTCCCAGGAGGGTGCATGCTTGGGGAGCCCCCGCACGCAGACAGTGGGGGGCCAGGGAGGAGCCACGTGCTGGGCACAAGGCAGTTTCCGCAGGCCCCTTGCTGGGTCTGTCTCAGCACGGAGGGACCGGCAGCACACAGTAGGTGCTCAGCAAATGCCGGGGGGCGGGGATAAGCGAGCACCCACGGGGGGAAGCACTGGCTGCGGTTTCGCCACCTGCCTTGGCAGCACCCCCACCTAGGCCCTGGATGGGCGGCGACCACCGCCTCTCTGCTCCTGGGGCTCTGACTCCCAGCATCCGGCAGCCGGGGACCCGGCCTCCCCCAAGGCCTGGGAGCAGCCAAGTGGCCAGGTATCAAGTGGCAAACTCAGGCCAGGGTTGGGTGACGGCTTGGAGGGCCCCTGTGGCAGCTGAGCCCCGCTCCTCCTGGTCCTGCCCACCCTCCTGGTGCTGCCCACCCTCCTGGCCTGCACACCCTCCTGGCCTGCACACCCTCCTGGCCTGCACACCCTCCTGGCCTACCCAGGCTGCCACTGGCCCGAGGGTCCCAGTGAGGATGAGCCGGAGATGGACACTGAGGGGGTTGACGGGCCTGGGGCAGGCTGGCCGGGGCAGGGGGGCTGGGCCTGTCCAGCGGCCGCCTGCCCTCAGAAGAATGACACCCTGCTTTCTCCCCTGCCCGAGGAGGTGGGGTGAGGGTCAGACCCCAGCACCCATGTCTCTGTTTTTCTTTCTCCTGAAAAGCCTACAGACTCTCATCTGAATTGCTCCAGCAGAGCCCAGGCGGGGTACCACCCCCACCCACACACACAAAGGGCTGAGACAGTGCAGCCTGGCGTGTGAGCAGCCCTGGTGTCTCCAGGCTGGGGTGCTGTCCGCCTGCCCACCTGGCCACGGTCCCCAACAGCCGGTTCAGCAAAGGACAGGCAGACCCTACGGGCCAAGGATGCGCTGGCCTGGCCGGTGCGGGGCCAGGCGGGCAGCTTGCCAGGATTTGGGGATTTTGAGCCAGCTGCTGCAGCAGGTGTGGCCGGCCCAGCCAGGCAAGTCCTGCTGCCGGGAGGGTCGCCCACCAGCTGCTGGAGGGTGTGGGGCGGCCGGGCTGGCCACTCGCCGGCAGCAAAGCCAGCAGAGAGTGGGTGGGGCTGGGGGAGGCGGGAGGGTCCCAGTCCCACCCCCAGGGTCCAGCTTCCCTGGGCCCTGCAGCCAGGCCAGGAAGGTCAGCTGGGCTGGTTCTGGGCCCTAGGTCTTAGCCTGGAAACCAGGGGTTTCAATCTTGGCATGAGAAAGCCCTCGCCACAGGGCAGGAGGAGCCCCACATAGAACCCCCAACCCCTGTCCTCGGGCCTGAGCCTGGCAGGACTGGACGCCGGACACCGGCGCTGCTGGGAGCCTTGAGAACTGCACGTGTGCCCCCCAGTGGCCAGCGCCGGCCGTGCTCCGCCTGATTCTTCAGGCCCTGATGCGGGGTCCTGGGGCTCAGGGAGCCGAGGCCCGGGGTGGGGGCTGCACGGTGGTGTGGTCCTCTCAGATTGCAGGATCAGAGGGCAGTTCTGAAAGTCTCCTTGGTCAGGGAGCTGGTTTGCAGAGCTGAAGGGGAGGAGGGGGCCAGGAGGTTGCTTGCGGCCGTGGTCCTGAAAATCAGGCCCTGCCAAGGGTCTCTGAGGGCCAGCTGGGGAGGGAAGGGCACACAGTGTGTTCAGAGCAGGACCCCAGGGCGCTCGGGCTCAGCGCTTCTGGGGACAAAGGGAGATGGAGCAGAGGGGCCTCAGGGAGGCCCGCCCCGTGGTGGTATAAGAGCCACTGCGAACACCCTGCTTTGGTGAGGCTGCGCCCCAGGTGTTAACAGCCACACCCCAGCACACCAGGTGCAAGCCACTCTCCATAGGCCCCAGCCTGTTGCAGGAACCCTAAGCTCCAGGCCGGGAAGGAATGGGCAGGGCTGCCGTAGGGACTGTGGTCTTGCAGGACGAGGGTTTGTCAGGGGTGCTCAGGGGACAGCGGGCCGGGACGTGCTGGGGCTGCTGTAGGGACTGTGGCCTTGTGGGGTGAGGGTTGGTTGGGGTGCTGGGGCTGCTTTTGGGTGGCCAGGCCCTACCTGAGAGCCCGGCCATGGGACCCAAGGTCAGAGGGTGGCCGAGCTGAGGGTTGCCTGCTTTGGGGGGGTCCCTGGCCCCAAACCCATCTACCTGGGGGGCGGCACTGAGGCAGGTCCCCAAGGGCAGAAAGGGGAGTGACCTGGTAAAGGCAGCCCTGTGTTGCCCCTCCTCTCCCGTCCATGCCACGCACACCCCAATGAAACAAGAAATTTTCCTTGACCCCTTTGTGGGCCTGGTGACAGCGGTATCTTGCTTAGCCCAGAGCTCTCAACCCCTCGAGGCAGCAGGAGCACGCAGGTGGGCGGGTGCAGGAGCTGGAGTGAACACTTCTGGGCACAGCAGGAGCAGAACTCCGTGCAGTCCTGTGGCAGTGTCTAGGGCAGTGCCTGTGACCCGTGAAGCCTCAGAGGGTGTGTGTTACAGTGCTTTTAGCTTTGCTGTCCAAGGATGTCTGGAGTGTTTAACAGCTCAGTGGACCCTCTGCCTTTTCTCGAGGGCAGAGGGTCAGTGTGACAGCTTTCTGTATCCCAAGCTCTTGTCCAGCATCCAGGAAATATCAGGTTGCATGAAGAAATTGAAGGATAGTAAATGCAAGGGATTTTATGGCCGATGGAGGGAGGGGGACCTGGAAAGGGGGGTGGAGGGGGAAGGTGATGGAAGAGGCTCTCAGAGGGAGGGAGAGCTGGAGAGGGGGTGGAGGGGGAAGGTGATGGAAGAGGCTCTCAGAGGGAGGGGGAGCTGGAGAGGGGGTGGAGGGGGAAGGTGATGGAAGAGGCTGTCAGAGGGAGGGGAGCTGGAGAGGGGGTGGAGGGGGAAGGTGATGGACGAGGCTCTCACAGGGAGCGGGAGCTGGAGAGGGGGTGGAGGGGGAAGGTGGTGGAAGAGGCTCTCAGTGGGAGGGGGAGCTGGAGAGGGGGTGGAGGGGGAAGGTGATAGTCCCCTGAAGTCCTGCCGTCTCTACCAGACTCTTCTCCAAAGTCCTGCTGTCCAGCTGTCCCTCTGAGGTCACGCTGCTCCTCTCTGATGTCAAACTGCCATCTCCGATGGCCAGCTGCTTCTCCTCTCCTTGCCTGCTCTGTTCTCTGCCAATAAGGTCAGGAGTTTTTATGGGTACAGGATGGGGGTGGGGCGAGGCAGTGGTGGTTTTGGAAAAGGCAGCATTGGAGCAGGGAAACTGGAATGCGTGTTCTCACTCAGGGCTATGCTTCCAGGCTTGAGGGTGGGGTTCCTCAGGAACCCCATCTTTTTCTACCTAGAATTTCTGTCTCCTGTCCCTATCACTGAGGGCCCGTGAGGCTGACAGTACCCATCCCCAAAGAAGGATTGGCCTGGGCAGGGCTGTCAGGAGCACCAGGGCAGGGCCTGCCAATCCAGAGGTCCCCGAGGAACAGATTCAGGCCTGGGAACGGGCCCACGGCAGGGCTTTCCTGGAAATGCCTGGCAGAGTGGGCAGGGGACGTCATTGTGACCCCGTATTGCCGGGGACACCAGGCTCAGAGGGGCTGACTGACCAGCCAAGGCCGCACAACAGAGCTGCTGGGAGCGGGTCCCTGCCAGGCCGTGGGACACAGGGACCCCGGCTCTCGCTGCCTCTGCCCCAGCCCCAGTTCAGGACCCACTGTGGCTGTCACTGAGCTCCAGCCTCAGAGCCGCCCACCAAGCCCGACCTCACGCAGGGCCCACTGTGCCCACCAGAGGGCGCCAGAAGCCGGCGGTCCCGACACCGCGGTTCAAACGCAGGGACCGTCCGGTGGGGGCTGCTGCAACCCCCCCCCCGGCGTGTCCAGGCCCCTCCTCGAGGGTCCCCAGGGTCGGGGCCTGGTCGGGGAGAGAACCAGGTGTGGTGGAGCTGGGGAGTCCGGCGCTGGGCAGTGGGCGGCCTGTGCCTGGGGACCCCGGTGTCACCCGCCAGGTGGCAGGGAGGCTGGTCCCCTCCAGGAGCCCCCACTTTCTGAGGTGGCCCTAAGCCCCTGCTGCTGTCCCTTCTGCCCCACGCCCCATCCCCCTGTTTAATTCCCCCGACAGGGTCCGGGCAGGGACGAAGCAGGGTCCCCCCACCCTGGAGCTGGGAGGAGGGGGGTGGGGGCGTCACCAAGCATGGGGTCCAGGCAGATTCAGTTCATGGGGGACATGGGGGTCCCAGGGTGAGGACCCCTGGGGGGCTGGTCGGGGGGCGCTCAGAGCCCACGGAGAGCGGCCTGGTGGGGGAGGCCTTGCCAGCAGACCCTCCCTTCCCCCACCCGGAGTCCCGGCTCCCATCAGCCCCCACTTCCTGCTCAGTGTCCGGCCTCTGCCTGCCCCTGGTCAATGCTGCCATTTGTCTCTTCAGCCAAAGATCCCATGTCCACGTGACATGATCATGACAGGAGCTGTGGGGGGTCCCAGGGAGGCCGGCGCTGGGCTTGAACTTGCCCCGTGAAGGCCCCGAGCCCCCGGCTGCCGCATCCTGACTGCTTCGTGTGAAGGGAAGGGAGTCACAGCCACGCCACAAGAGAAGGGGCTGCTGCCTCCCCAACCCCCGCCCTCCCGTCTGCCCCAACCTGCCTGGGACCCCCCAGAGTCGGCTGGGGGCCTCAGCCCAGTCACCCAAGCTGCATCCTGCCCCAGGAAACCCCCACGGGCCCTGACCAGTGCCCACCAGGGTCCCCAGGACATTCTGGGGGCGGGAAGTGGGGGCAGGCTTTATGCCTGCATCTCATCTGCGAGCTTCCGGAGCCTCTTTGCACACTTCACAGGGCTGGAGGGGTTTTGTGTTTCAGACGGAGTCTCGCTCTGTTGCCCGGGCTGGAGTGCAGTGGTGTGATCTCGGCTCACTGCAAGCTCCGCCTCCCGGGTTCAAGGGACTCTCCTGCCTCAGCCTCCCAAGTAGCTGGGACTACAGGCACGTGCCACCACGCCTGGCTAATTTTTGTGTTTTCAGTAGAGATGGGGTTTCACCATGTTGGTCAGGCTGGTCTTGAACTCCTGACCCAAGCAATCTGCCTATCTCAGCCTCCCAGAGTGCTGGGATTACAGGCGTGAGCCACCACACCAGGCATGTTTTTGAGACAAGGCCTCGCTCTGTCCCCCACACTGGAGTGCAGTGGTGCCATCACGCCTCAAGGCAACCTCAAACTCCTGGGCTCAAGTGATCCTCCCACCTCAGCCTCCCCAGTAGCTGGGACTGCAGGTGTGTGCCACCATGCCCCACAAGTTTTTTAATTTTTTGTAGAGATTGGGGTCTCGCTATGTTGTCCAGGCTGGTCTCTTGAACTCCTGACCTCAAGTGATCCTCCCACCTTGGCCTCACAGAAAGTGCTGGGATTACAGGCGTGAGCCACTGCGCTCAGCCTAGGGTTAGAGGTTTTTTTTTGTTTTTTTTTTAATGTGTAGGTGTTTCCTGATGTCTCCCACCCTCTTTGTTGGGTCTGGGTCTCGATTCATTTTTCCGATGTTCTGAGCAGGGATTGGAGAGTGTCTTCAATGTGAAAACACTGGCCTTTCTGCAGCTTAGTTTCAGTCTCTTACCTGCTACTATATGGGGAGGCATCATCTGGGTGACTTCCTCAGGGCTGTCTTCCAACTCCCATATTCTCTTTTGGCCACATCTAATCTGCTATTGAAGCCATCAGCTGAGGTTTTTATACCAACAGCCATATTCCTCGTGTTAAAGGTCCTGTGTGGTTGTTTTTCTAATCTGCTGGGTCCTTTTCATGCTATTATATTGTTTTTCATTTCTACTTTTATCTCTTTAGTCATTTTAAACTCATGTATAATCTTTTTTTTTTTTTTTTGACAGATTCTCACTCTGTGGCCCAGGCTGGAGTGCAGTGGCGTGATCTTGGCTCACTGCAACCTCCACCTCCCAGGTTCAAGCCATTCTCCTGCTTCAGCTTCCCAAGTAGCTGGGATTACAGGCGCCCACCACCATGTCCCGCTAATTTTTTGTATTTTTAGTAGACATGGGGTTTCACCTTGTTGGCCAGGCTGGTCTCAAACTCCTGACCTCAAGTGATCTGCCCTCCTCAGCCTCCCAAAGTGCTAGGATTACAGGCGTGCGCCACCACGCCTGGCCTATAATCTCTTAATTGTTCTATTATTATTTCTGGTTCTTAAGATACTATTGACTGGGTGCAGTGGCTCACACCCGTAATCTTAGAACTCTGGGAGACCGAGGCAGGTGGACTGCTTGAGCCCAGGAGCTGGAGACAGCCTAGGCAAGCTGGTGAGACTCTTTCTACAAAAAAACAGAAAACGTTTATTGGACTTGGTGGCACTGCCTATAGTCCCAGCTACTTGGGAGGCTGAGGCAGGAGGATAACTTGAGCCTAGGGGTCCAAGGCTGCAGTGAGCTATGGTTGTGCCACTGTATTCCAGCCTGGGTGACAGAGCAAGACTTCATCTCTTTAAAAAAAAAATGGAACATTAAAAATTAGAAGATGGTGCCGTGTCTGCCAGTCCCTCGGGGTGTGAGCTCACCATTGCGGGCCATTTCTTCTATGGAGCCCAAGCCCCAGGGGGACATATCCCCACGGAGGGTGCATGTTTGCCTTTGCTGGAGCCTGGGTGGCCTCTAGGTCCTGGAACCAGACTCCATATCCCCCACCCCGCCCACTGGCTGCCAGTGGTGCCCCATCCGTGTCCTGGTGACAGAGGCAGCGCCCCGGGGGTACAGGCACCGGCGTCAGCTTTGAGTCTGAACCCCAGCCCGGCCCCAGTCAGCTGCATGGCTGAGGGTGGGTGGGGGATGCCCCTGCCTTGATCCCCCACATCCTCACCTATAGTGCAGCCTCACCTCCCTCACAGGAGTCGGAGGGCCACATGGGAAAACAGGCATGGTAGACGTAAAAGGCCCAGTGGAAATGCCGGTTCTCCTTGCTGCCATTACTGCATTTATCTGGCAACCCCGCACCACAACCCGAGACCTAGAAGACCCTATGCCCCAGGCGGGGCTGAACAGGACAGACCTCGAAGAGCCGGTCCCCAGATCGGACCGCCAACAACCAGGCCGGATTCCGCGCCTCCAGCCGGTCAGTGCCTTGGCAAGGCAGGAGCGGGTGAAACTCCCAGCCCTCCCAGGGAGCAGTCAGATGATGACACATCCACACCCGTCCACAGGGAGGGAGTGCGACAAGGCCTGTGGCTTTCTGCGCGAGAATCGGCCAGTGTCCTTTGGGGCCCGGGATGGGGTTTCAGCACCCACTCTCACTACCGGGGCTCGGGAGGGAGGGCTGGAGAGCCTCCATCTGGTGCCGTCGGTGGCCACTCCTCAGACAGCGCGGGCGGGTTCGCAGGCCCTGGGCAAATGTGGTGTTGCCACAGCCCCGCCCTACAGGGACAGCGGTCAGCAGCTGCCCCTGGCCCCGCCGTCCCTAATGAAGTTATAGATGGCAGCTCTTAAATGTCTCCAGAAATGGCAGAGAGGCTCCCAGAGCTGACGTGCAAATAAATTGCTTCTCAGGCTCGGACCACACAATTCTGCTGGGACCAAGCACAGGCCTGGGCCCTCCGGCTGCCCCTCAGGGCCTGGCTCTGCTGAGAGGAGGAAGCCTGGCTCTTGGGAGGGGGTCTCAGGTGCCCCCTCCATGGAGCCCAGCAACCTGGCAGGTGGGGGTGGGCACCGCCCCTCCCCCGGGACTCCATCTCCCCGGCAATCAGCTGCCTCTCCCTTCTCTGGGGCCCCAGGTGGTCCTCATGGAGGGGTGGGTGGGACTGAGGCCTGAGCCCCGGGGAGGAGCTGGCTGGTGAGCCATGTATCCCAGTGGTCACTGCGGCCAGCCGGGGAGGTTGAATCCCAGGCCCCAGCACTCAGAAGCTGGTGGAGTGGGTTGAATTGAGCCCCTCCAAAAACGTATGTCGAAGCCCTGACCCCGGGTACCTGCGAGCACTGGAAATGGGGTCTTTGTGAATGATCGAGTTAAGATGAGGTCGGACGGGGAGGGTCCCAAAAGCAACGACCGGCACCTTGTAAGGAGGCTGCTGACAGCAGGGAGAAGTCGGGCGCGTGACGTCAGAGGCAGAGACTGGAGAGAGGCAGCCCAGGAACACCACGGGTGGCTGGCAGTGCGGAGCGGTAGGGCCCTCCCCTGGAGGCTTCGGAGGGAGTGTGGCCCTGCGGACACCTCGATCTCAGGCTTGCGGCCCCAGGGCTGGAGGGGTCGCGTTTCCGTGGCTTTAGCTCCCAGTTCGTGGCTCTTTGTTATGGCAGCCCCGGGAGACTCACACAGGCGGTGACTGTGGACAGGACCCCTGACCTCCGGGCCACAGTTTCCCCACCGGCCCCTGCCACGGGGTAAATAGGTCTGGGGTGGTGCTTAGGCCGGGGAACTGCCCCAGCTGCCTGCCGTCCTTGCTGTGGCTGACGGGGTCGTCCCGGCTGCAGCTCCGGCCCTGGCTCCTTGAGGCCTCGCACCCTTCCTGGCACCCACTGGCTGGGCTCTCGGGGCCTCTGGTCACCCCGTGGGTGCTGATTGAATCGGGACAAACGCTGTGTGCAGCTAAGGGGTGACTCAAGGCCGGCCAGGCCCAGAGCTGATCCCAGGCCGGGAACAGCAGCAGTGATGGTGTCGGCATCCACCGTGTCCCTCCCAGGGCCCGGCCGTGGGAGCCGAGGGGACGTGTCTGTGGCCTCTGTGGTCTGAGTCTGGAGGTCAGCGCCCAGCGGTGTGGCACCTGGGCACCTCTGTCACCTGCCTGCAGCCAGTGTGTCCTCGTGGGGGGCAGCGAGGTGACCGGGTCTCTGTTGGGTGCCCCTGGAAGGCTCAGAGGCAAGGATCTTCAGGCAGAGAGTTTGGGGGTGGCCCCAGGAAACACCCGTCATTGAGGGGGTGCTGTGAAGGGAAGGGGTGGGTGCCAATGGGCAGTAGTGAGCAGGTCACCGCTGTGGGCAGACCCCAGGAGGCAGCACCCCGGAGCTGTCCCTACCATAGGGAAGTGGCCAGGCTGTAGTGGCTGTACCCCAGGGCATGGACTCACCACACTCCTGGCCGTTCCCACGCCCAGGCCAGGCCTCCTGTGGTCAGAGACGGCCAGAGTCACAGGGGTTGCAGGAAGTGGCCGCAGGCATGGTCAGGGGCAGGTGGCATCTGCTTCGAGGGCCTGCACGTGGCTTCCCTGCCCCGCCAGCCTCTGCCATGTGGGTCCCGGGAAATTGGCGCCCAATTCCATGAGCAGCCCTGGGCTCTGGGGCCTCAGATCCCCCAACGCTGCCGTGTCCGTAGGAGGTGCTCCGGGGCCTCAGATCTCCCAATGCTGTCGTGTCCGTGGGAGGTGCTGTGGGGGCCTCGGACCCCCCAACGCTGCCGTGTCCGTGGGAGGTGCTGTGGGGGCCTCAGATCCCCCAACGCTGCTGTGGCCATGGGAGGTGCTGTGGGCAGGGCTGACCCCGGGGCCCAGCTGGTTCCTCCCCGCCTAATGCTAGAGAAGGGAAGTGCTGAGTGTTTGAGGGGGATCAGCAGGGGAAGGGGGTACAGTCAGGCTCATGGGGTGACCAGGAGCAGAGACCCCACCCCACCAAAGCACACACACTGGCTGCGTCTGAGGGGAAAGGAGCCCAGGGAGGTGGATGAGGTGGGCAGGGGGTGCCCGTCGCTGGCCTGGACGCCTAGGGGGGCATCTTACTGTCTTTGGGGCTGGCAGGCTCCAGACCCCCTAAGCTCACGGTGCCAAACGTGACCCCCCATACTGGGCGGCAGCGGCTACAACTGTGAGGGGCAGGCAGTGGCTGCCTGGACGGGGACGTGCTTGTCCTTTGACGAGGAGTTTGCGCCTCATTCAAGTCCCCTACCTGCATCCCTGGCGGGGCATCTGCGGTCCAGCCTGGCAGGGACCCTGAGTTTGGGTCTGTGGGGGTGTGGCCTCTGGGGGAGGGCAAACCCCGGTGGGCACTGGTCACCGGTGAGCCGGCGTCGTGGCCACAGCCTTCACACTCCCAGCCGCTGCAGGTCCCCGTTTCCGTACGTCACCCAGCGCCACGCTTCTGCACCCACGCAGAGCCACGCCCCACCTGTGCGTTCATGCTGACTTATTACCGACTCTTCTCGAGTGAGGAGTTCTCGCCAAACGCCATTAGGCTTTCAGCTTCCAGATGAAATGAAATGGCTGATGAATCACTATATTTCAACATATTAGGAAAGATGGACCTATTTGCATCCGATGAGCAAAATGCACTTTTTTATTGATTGAAAAGTTGATGAGGCAAACAAATCAGGGAAAATGGCTCCCTTTTCATTTCCCTCTGAGCAGCAAATTAAGCGACTTAAAAGAGCTTTGAATGAGTCAACAACAAAATGCCCCTAAATGTGGAAATGTGAAGTGCAAACATTTCAGCCTCACTGTCAGTGCCCACCGAGGACACAGCCTGCCTCCCGCCCTGGGAAGCTGGGGGCTGTGGAGGACCCCGGCCACTTGGACATCCAGCCACATCCCAAAGTCTCCAAGGGGAGATGGGGTCCCCAGCAAGCCTGTCCGGATTAGCCAAGATGAGGGGCTTCAGGAGTCAACACAGATGGAGCTGCCAGGCGTGGTGGCTCAAGCCTGCCATCCTAACACTTTGGGAGGCCAAGGCGAGAGGATCACTTGAGCCCAAGAGTTCAAGGCCAGCCTGGGCCACATAGGGAGACCTCCCCCATCTCTAAAAAGATTTTTAAAAATTAGCCAGGTCTGATGGCACCTGTAGTCCCAGCTACTCGGGAGGCTGAGGTGGGAGGATCGCTTGAGCCCAGGCATTAGAGGCTCCAGTGAGCTATGATCACACCACTGCACTCCAGCGACAGGTGAGACCCCGTCTAAAAAATATCTCACAACAAGAGAGAGAGAGGGAGGGAGGAGCCTGCACCGGCTGAACTATTTCAGCGTCCTGGGGCTGCTGTAGTGCAGGCTTACAACATCAGAAATTTATTCTCTCCCAGTTCTGGATGCCACGAGTCCAAAATCACGGTGTGGGCAGCACGCAGCACACTCCTTCCGGAGGCCCTGGGGAGGATCCCTCCCTCTTCCAGCTCTGGGGGCTCCACGCCCCTGCTGCGGCCGACGCTCCAGTCCCTGCCTCTGTCCTCACAGGGCCTGCTCTGTGCATCTGTCTCTATTCTGCTCTGCTCTTCATGGAGGAACACCAGTGACTGACTTGGGACTCAGCCTCAATCCAGGGTGACCTCGTCCCCAGATCCTTAATTACATCTGCAAAGCCCTACTACCAGGGAAGGTTGCATTCTGAGGTTCTGGGCGGACATGAATTTTGGGGGCAGGACACTGTCCAGCTCAGTGCCGGGCGCCGCTGTGGGCCAGGCCCTTTGACTCTTGCAAGCCCACGATGGCTACAGAGCTCCAAGGAGGAGGCTTCCTGGAGGAGGCGGCCCAGCTCATCAGAGAACCAGCATGTCTTCCCCTTGGGTTCTGGGACCAGCACTTTTAACGATAAGTCCTTTTGGACCACGCTGATCCGGGCTGAGACCTGTCGCCTGCCGCGCGCCTTGGGCGGAGGTTAGACAGGCCGCGCACCTCCAAGCTTTGACACGTCCTTCCTCCAAAGGGTGGAGGCCCCACAGGGTGAGTGCAGGTTGGGGATGGGCCGTGGGGTTGCCGGGAGGGGACCAGTGGGGGCTTGCAGTGTTCTCGGGAGGGCCCGGGGCTGGGGGCAACCGAGACCTGCTTCGGTGGGTGAGTGGAGAAGCATCTGGGGGGTTTCCTTCAGCGCTGGAGAGAAATGGGTGATGAAGCCTGGGAAAGGCGTGGGGGGCCCGAAGCGTGCACCACGGTGAGAAGGCTGCGCGTGGTCGGATTCCAGCTCCCCCGCGTCTGCGAAAGGCTGAGCTGCGCCGGCCGGGGGAGGGTCGGAGGCTGCCGGGGGTTGGGGGATGAAGAGCCGGGGGCAGTTTAGGGCAGCGCATCCTCCGCGGAGGCAGGAACGGCAGGCGGTGCGATTCCCACCAGGACCTCTGCCATCGGAACCGCGGGTTTCTGCCGGGCCGGAGGCGCCTGAGAGATCTCCGCGGAACGGCGCGTGAACCTGCGGCCGCGGCGGCGGGTCCGGATGGAGATGGACGCTGGATGGGCTGTTTCCTGAGTTTGGTTCCCGTGGCGGGGTCGGCCCCTCGCCCCTGCATTTGGCAGACCTGATGCGGAGCCCGAGGGTGGCTGTTGGCCTGGGGCGGGGAAGGGGCTCTCTAGATCGGGGGTCCCACCTGCTGGGCTTGGGGAGCCCATTTGGCCTTCTCTGATTGGTCTGGAGTTGCAGGTGAGGCCACCTCAGGAAGCTGCTGTATCTGAGGGAGCCCGGGCCGCCCTGGGGGACGCTGGGGTTTGACTTCTGGGGCTGGGGGCTGCACGGGTGGGTCGGGGTCTGTCTGGGTTGGGGTCCGCGGCCGCGTGGGGTCTGGATTGGCGTCTGCCTGGCTTGGGGGTCCTCAGCCGCATGCAGTTTGGGTCGAGGTCGGGGGTCCGCGGCCGCGTGGGGTCTGGGTCGGGGTCTGCCTGGCTTGGGGGTCCTCAGCCGCATGCAGTTCGGGTCGAGGTCTGCAGCTGCGTGGGGTCCGGCTCTCATGGCCCCTGTGCCTGGACTTCGCTCTCCAACCATTTCCTCTGCACGTTTCCCTGGAAAAGGACATGGGGTTCAGGGTGGTGGATGTGGACACCCCCTGAAACCCACCAGCCCTGGTCTGTGATGCCTGGATGGAGGGGCCACAGCCACGCCGGCTCCCAGCCTCTTCCCAGACACCCTAGCCCCTGGAGGCAGGGTCCCCCCGTGAGGCGTATCATCCCTGAGCGCCCCACACGCCTGCTCCTGGGCATCCTCCTGGGTGGTGGTGTGGTGCGGCTCTGCGTCCCCACCCAAACCTCACATGGAAATGGAGTCTGCAGTGTGACGGTGGGGCCTGGTGGGGAGTGACTGGGTAGCAGGGGCGGATTTCTCGTGAATGGCTTGGCCCCGTCCCTCCTGGTGCTGTCCTCGAGATTGTGAGTGGCCATTTAACTGTGTCCCGCACCTGCTCTGTCTTTCTCGTTCCCGCTCACGCCATGTGAGACACCTGCTCCCGCTTCGCCTTCCACCACGGTTGGAAGCTTCCTGGGGCCTCTCCAGAAGCAGAAACACCTGTGCTTTCCATATAGCCTACAAAGCGTGAGCCAATCAAACTCTTTTCTCTATAAATTACCCAGTCTCAGGGTTTTTTTTGTTTGTTTGTTTGTTTGTTTTGGTGGAGGCGGGGGTGGACAGCGTCTCTCTCTGTCGCCCAGGAGGGAGTGCAGTGGGGCGATCTCAGCTCAATGCACCCTCTGCTCCTGGGTTGAAGTGATTCTCCTGCCTCAGCCTCCTGAGTAGCTGGGATTACAGTTATGTGCCACCATGCCTGGCTAATTTTTATACTTTTAGTAGAGACGGGGTTTCACCATGTTGGCCAGGTTGGTCTCGAGCTCTTAACCTCATGATCCCCCTACCCCCAACGCCCCGCCTTGGCCTCCCACAGTGTTGGGATTACAGGCGTGAGCCACCACGCCCGGTCGTGGGTATTTTCTAGCAGTGCAAGGACAGACCACCGCACCTGGTGAACGCCCCTGACGGCAGTAATGAGGCACACCTGGGGGTGCCCCGTGGCAGACACACCTGAAGGTGGTTGGGGTTGCCAGCGAGGGAATCTGGGAGGAGCCAACCGGAGACCCAAGTCCTCTCTATGAGAAACATCTGAGCCCTGGCCTGTCCTGTGGAACCCGGGCCATGCTGGGGATTGAGGTCCTCTGTTTTGGGTTCAACGGAGGCTGCGGGTGGAGGTTGTTGGGGGAGGGTGCTAAGTGAAAATGCTGTAGGGAGGGCGTGCTTCTGGCGGGGGTTGTGGTTTTGTGGTGGTCGTGGTTTTTGTTGTGGTTGCGATTTTTGCGGTGGTTGTGACTGTGGGTTTTGCGGTGGTTGTGGTTTTTGAGATGGTTGTGGTTTTGCAGTGGGTGTAGTTCTCCCACCCCACCTGCTGCCGCTGGACCCTCTCCCCTGTGTGTAGCCCCCGCTAGGACCCCATGTCTGGATCCTGGCTCTGGGTCTCTTCTCTGGCCTCGTGAGACTGGCGCCATCTCCACTGGAGCCAATAGGCGTTCGGCACAGCTACCCCCAGCTCCCTCTGTCTCTGGACGAGTTGGTGGCCGCTCCCACGCAGGAATGCCGACAGCCTTTGGCATCACACAGGGTCAGGATCCTGGCTGTGACCCCTCCCCCAGTGACTTCCTGCGGGACTGATGGCCAGAGAGGGGGCCTGTCGGCCCTGCAGTGCCCCTCCCACCATCAGCCACACTGAGTTCTGGGCAGGAGTCCCCTGGCCTTGGTCCCACCCACCCCAGGAGGATCCAGTGAGTCCAGTCTCCACCTGGGACACCGCAGAGGTCAAGCCCACCACTGTGAGGCTCAGTGGGTGCCGGGAGCCATGGCAACTCCGCAGGGATGGTCCTCGGTCCCCTCTCCAGGGACCCCACCCTAGCTGTGACCTGTCCCACGGCACCTGTACCGTGACACCCTCCTTGCTGTCCATGTGGCTATGAGGGCTGCCCTTTGCACGTCCATTCCCGAGCCCCAGCCCTAAAGCAGTGCTGGGCTCACCAGGCCCCTCTGTGGACGCCGCCTCTGTCTGTGCGGTGGGATGTTAATAGTCTCCGCGTCATGTGGCTGTTAATTTTGGAAGCTCGCCCCCTTCCTCCTCCCCCCGCTATGGTCCTGCCTTCACACCCCGCTGCCTGAGTCAGCGCCCACGGCTGCACCAGATGCTAGGTTTGGCCCCAGCTGAGGGGCTGGTGTCGCGCACGCAGGCAGGGGGCCTGGTAATGGGGCTATACCATCTGCATGAACGGCTTTGCTACTTCCCCCTGCCCTGCCCAGCACAGGCTGAGTCCACAGCCCAGACAGCAGTGCCCCGAGAGCTGCCTGGCACACCCCGGGAAGAGGATGAATCTTGCCGTATGGGGAGGCTTTGGCCCCGAGAGCTGCCTGGCACATCCCGGGAAGAGGGTGAATCTTGCCGTATGGGGAGCCTTTGGCAGGAGTGGGGCTGCCTGGTGACCGCGTGAAGCACCTCCCGGGATGAACCAGGGCCCTGCCAAAGCTGAGGCTGGGCCGGGACTCCTGGGGCCTCATTGTCTGGGATGAGGCGGGTCCCAGCTGGGCTGCGGCAGGGGCCAGGAGGTACCTGCATCTGCCCTGATCTCCCTCCTCACACCTGCAGAGCCCCTCCACTCACTGAAAAGCAGGGTGTCCTGGGTGGGCCCCGGCCTGAGCATCCAGAGACTCAGCTCCAAGCCAAGCCCTTTACCCTCTCTGAGCCTCAGTTTCCCCATCTTCAAATGAAGATGCCCAAGGAGAGCAGGCCCCGCCCCCCAGCTGGACCTATCAGAGTGCACAGAGGTGCCCAGGAGAGCAGGCCCCGCCCCCCAGCTGGACCTATCAGAGTGCACAGAGGTGCCTAGGCGAGCAGGCCCCGCCCCCCAGCTGGGCCTATCAGAGTGCTGCTGCAGGCCTGAGGCCTCACCTGGGTGGTACAACCTGCTGGCGGAGGAAAGAGCTGCCGTAGCCCAGGTGGGACTGGGGGGTCCCCATGATCCCCCAGGAGGGTGGGGGTCTTGTGTGGGAGTCTCTCACCAGCTCCAGACGCGGTTTCCAGGGCATATTCACTCAAATTCCTCATCCTCACCTTCCCCCAAGTGCAGGCCCGGCAGTGGCTTCTACCTGGGGCTGGGAGGGGGCAGGTCTTTGGTGCTCATGGGACGTCACTCCACACTGGGCACTGGTCCAGGTGCCAGGGGACAGAGTGGGCACCCCAGCGGGTTGTGTGGGTGAGGGCCTCAGCACTGCCCCCGCCTCCCATCCTGAAGGCTGGAGTAGCCTGGGAAGCTGCATTTTAATGAGCACCCCATTTTAACAGAGTGCCCACTGAAGCTCGAGACCACGGCCAGGAGGGTCAGCCAGGGCCCCAGGGGCGGGACTCAGGCCCCTGCAGAAGGCCCCATCCTTGAAACCCTTTGAGGGTCTCCCTGTTTCTGTCTGGACCCCGGGCCACGCTCTGCCCTTGGCAGCTGCAGCCTGCATCTCACTCCAGACGCCTTGGTGGGAAGCCCCTGCTGCCGGGTCCCCAGGCTGGAATCCGCAGGATGTCAGGGCACCCTGTGCTCTTGGGGACGCTCTGCGGTAGCTCCCTGAGGCTCTCAGACACCAGGACACCCTCCCAGCCCAGTCCCAGCAACACATGCCGGCAGCGCCTGCGCCAGTGTTTTCTTCTCCTGTCGGGAGGCTGGTGACCCGCTGTGCTGCCCCGGTGGGGGGCTGATCTCTGACCTCCTGTCTGGCGGGCTGTGCTGCACCAGCCAGGGCCGGGAGGTGCACGTGGACCCGTGTTTATTGGAATCCTGCTGTGATCAGACCCGGGGGCGACGTCGAGACCCACCAGGCCCCGTGGCCTCCTGTGAACATCTGCAGGCTGTTGGGGGCAGCGGTCGACGGAACAAGTGTGGGGCGGCCCGGGCTTCCCGGAGGAAGCGTTGCTTGAGCTGCCAGGGGAGTTACCTGCAGAAAGGGAGGTGGGGTGCACCAGGCAGGGGGGCAGCCAGGGCAAACGCCTGATGCTCAGAGGGTGACAGTGGGCAGCGGGGCCCTTTGGAGGAGCGGAGGGAGGGCCCTGTTGGCTGCAGGGCAGAGTGCCCCACACTCCTCCTGGCCGCCACCCCCAGGGCCCAGCCCAGTCTGGGGACTAAGACGAGAGGCCTCTGGGGTGTTCCAGGTGAGCTGGAGTCAGCCCCTGTTGCTTTTGAATAATTACAGGGGAGTCAGCCCAGTGACCAAGCCTCTGCCTGGTGGGGGAGGGGCACGGGCTTTGTGTCCGGGAGCTGCTGTCCTCAGCCTCAGGAGAGGGGGTGTCACGGGCCGTGGGACAGGTCACAGTTAGGGTGGGGTCCCTGGAGAGGGGTCTGAGGACCGTCCCTGCGGAGTCCATCCAGCCACCATCGGTTGCCATGGCTACTGGCAGCCCCTAATCCTCACGGTGCTGGGTTTGACCTCTGCAGCGTCCCAGGCGGGCATGACCTCATTTGATCCTCCTGGGGTGGGTGGGACTGAGGCCAGGGGACTCCTGCCCAGAACTCAGGGTGGCCGATGTGGGGAGGGGCACTGTGGGGCCGACAGGTCCCCTCTCTGGCCATCAGGCCCCCAGGAGGGCCCAGGTGCTTGGAGGTGGGGGGTGTCCCAGCTTGATGTTGGGGATGTGAGTAGATCCAGCGCCCACCCACCCGCAGGGCTGAGCTCCCACTGGGCGCTGGGCCGTGACTCGCACACCGGACCCTGCACCCCTGGGGCACCCAGTGATTCCAGAACAGTGGGACCCCAGAGGCTTCTCAGGGAGCCCCAGAACATGACAGATGGGGGCCCAGGTGCGAGGCAGTGGGAGCTGGAGGAACACAGCCAGGGGCTGAGGCGAGAACCATGAGGATGGTGGGCAGAGGCTGAGGGGAGGGGCAGCAGATGGAGATGGGGGAGGCGTTAGGGGTCACAAAGGGGGTTCTCAGAGGATCTGCCTTGGGAAGCCACTGCTGTGGGAGGGTGGGAGGGATACAGCCCAGGTACCTCCAGAGAGGATGGAAAGGCTTATGGGGCGGATTCTGGGCAGGGGACCTGGGACCAGCCTGCAGCCTCCCCTGAGGGCCTGGCCATGGCCGCAGGCTGGGGAGGAGGGGAGGGGACCTTGGGGCCAGGTGCCATGGTCCTCTAAGCACTCTTGCTCGATGGTAAACATAACACGCGCTGCTTGCAGAACATGTGGAAACACTGAAACGCTTAAAGGAGAGAACATGGTCCCGGTACCCGGCCTTCAAGGGAGCTGCTGGCGCCTGTTCAACAGGAGCCGACCCCACCTGTGAACAGACGGCAGGCGGCTGCTCCCATGTCCCCTCAGAGAGGGGCCCTCCGAGTTCTGCTGTCACCTGGGGGCGCCTCACTTCATTCAGCCAGTGGCGGGGCTCCCTGGGTCGGCACAGAGTCAGGGGAGGGGGCTGGGGGACCTCCTGGTGGGAAAATGTCCGGTGATCCCCAGCCTCCGCGCTCAGCGGGAGGAGGCGCTCGGTCCCGCTTCTTACAACCAGCGGCGCTCACGGCGGGCCCGGGGATCAGCATCCCGGGAGCTTCTCAGGAATGCAGATTCCCAGGCCCTCACTGCCTGGGGAGTCGGGGGCCCAGCTCGAGGCCCAGGAATCTGCTTTGAGGACCCAGGTGACTCTGCTGCCTGCCTGAGAACCCCACCTTAGGTGAGGGACTAAGGTGTACCCATGGATTCATTTCAGGGGAAATAAAAAGAACAACTTAGCAGGTAGTCTATGCTTAAATATGTGTAGGATCCACAAATAAGGCATGGATAAAACCCGAGTGGAGTGTCCTGGAAATCCCACGACCACGGACCCCCCTCGCTGGGGCTGCCTGCCGCCCCCACCAGCCTCCACACACCCACTTATCTCCACAACCCCAGCCCACCCCTCAGAGACGTCTGCAGAGCCCCTGACCCTCTCCCCTTGAACAAGGACCCTCCACCCTCTTCAGACTCTCGACGAGGGACCCCCTGGACTCCTGCTGGCGGCAGGACCCCCACCCCAAGCTGGGGTCTACCACAGAGCGGACAGCAAGAAAATAGGGTGGGGGCGCAGGCGATCATGGGGTCACTGCCAGTGGGACCAGGGCTGTGGGCGAGTGCGCCAGGGTTCCCGGAGGCCAGACGTGGGACCCGGGAGTCGAGCAGGTGAAGCGGCCCTGCCCCGCCCCCACCAGGCACTGCCCCGCCCCCGCCCCGCCCCGCCCCCTCCCAGCCGGCGCCCGGGAGCCCGGAGCCAGTGCCGCGCGGACATCGGGGCTCCCCCGTTCAGAGGGCGCCGCCGCCCAGGTGAGTGCCGCCCGCCCCTGTCCCCCTCCCGCGCGGGCACCCCCTGCCCTCGGCTGTTATCCCCACTGGGGGTTTCACCCTGTGTGCGCAGCCCCGGCCCGGGGTCCCGCCGTGCGCCCCCAGCCCGCTGCACGCACTGTCCCCCACGCGCCCTCCGCACACCCGCGGGGCTCTCCTGCCGCCGCCGGGGGTCCCTCCCCTCCCGTTCCATCCACTCCCAGCAGCTCCATCCCTCCCATCTCCTGCCCCCACCCCACAACTCACCATCTGCAGGCACCCCGTGTGCCAGGGTCAGCCCAGAAGCCACAGGGGACCCAGATGGCCCCACTCTGCCCACCGCGCCGCTCCCGGCCTCTCCTCCCCACGACGGGGGCCACAGCGGGGCTGGCTCCTGGAGCTGGAGGAGGGTGGGTAAGGCTGGGGAGGGCTCGGAGCCTGGGGCTGGGGGCCGGAAGTGGCACTCAGGCCACAGGGAACCACTGGGCCACGGAAGGAGGGTCCCAGGGTGCCCGTGGCACCCAGCGAGGGGAGGATCCGCAATTTGGGTGCCGGGGGAGGCAACTGGTGCCTGCGCGCAGCTGGGTCGGTGAGCTCCTGGAAGGCAGCAGGCAGAGGCCAGCACCCAGGGGCCCTGTGACCTGGCACTCACAGATGGGTTCCCTGAAACCCAAGACTGGGGAGGCTGGGGTGCCACCCCGCCCGCTGCGAACAGAGCCCCCTCCTGTCCAAGGCACCGCGTGTACCTGGAATCCTCCTGGCGTCTTCACCCTCTCCAGAATAGAGAACACGCCACTGGGGTGTGTGCCCTTGGCCCTCCTCCCCCACCCCAGACCCACCCACGTGCCCGACCCGCTGTCCCCAGCCTGCCAGCCTGCCTGGGGCCCCCTCAAGGGCAAGAGAGCGGAGTGCATGGTGACAGAAGTTGGGGATGGTTCCAGTGAGGCTGAGCCCTTTCTGAAGGCAGTGATTCTGGACTATGTAGGTGGGGACTGCCAGAGCCTCCTGGGCAGAAACTGGTCAACAGCACCAAGGACAGGCGCCTGGCGTTGATTTCCAGAGCAAGACCCAGCGAGGCTGTCAGGAGGTGCCTGGTGTGGAGGGTGCCCCGAGAAGCGTTCGCGGAGCACGCGGGACCCCTGCTGCTGCTGCTCCAGGCTGGCCCACACCTGCCTCAGTTTCCCTCTCCTGGGGAGGGTATGTGCCCCTGGCCACAGGCTGCCGCAGGGACAGGTGGCGTGTATGTGGGGGACAGGCAGGGGTGCCATTGGCTGCACTCACAGAGCTGGACCCCAAGGGGGCAGTGGCCTGCCACCAGGCCACCCTTACGACAGAGGAAACAGGTCAGAACGCTTGTCCTGGGAGCACAGGCCTGGCTCCGGGGCCTTTGGAGGGGCTGGGGCCTGTAGTCTTAGCTAGGGTGTCCCCCGACGTTTGCCCCTGCCCAGCACACAATGGAGGAGCCCGGGTGGGTCTGCAGCCTCTCCAGGGTGCGGCGTGGGCCCCGGCCGTGTGAGCCGCTGCCTCCCCGAGCAGCAGGTTCCGCAGCCCCTCCAAGCTGCAGCCGCATCGCTGCCCCCCATGAAGGAGCCGACTCCCCGACCTCGTGCTGGGTTAGCCTGGAAGGAGTTGGCAGGGTGCAGGCTAGACCTCCACCCAGTCATGGAGGACTTGGTGCTGAGGCCCCGCCTCTGGTCCCAGGCCCCTGTGAAGACTGCCCCCTTCTCCGAGGAGCCCAGCGGCCTCCTGGATGCTGGGGAAATGCTGGGCTGCTTAGGGCAGCTTGTGGGAGCAATCGTTGAGCGCCCAGTGTATGCCAGCCCCGCTGTGGTCCCCGTCGTGGGGAGGTGAGGCCGGGAGCGGTGCTGTGGGCAGACTGGGGCCATCTGGGTCCCCTGTGGCTTCTGGGCTGACCCTGGCACACCGGGCACCTGCAGATGGTGAGTTGTGGGGTGGGGGCAGGAGATGGGAGGGATGGATGCTGCTGGGAGTGGATGCACGCAGCACCCTGCACACAGAAGCTCACTCAGTTTCATCAGCTCAGCAACCCTACAGTTTGCAGGAGTTGCCTATCCCAGAAGCTGGGCTCAGAGAAGCCCGTGACTTACCCCAGACCACGCAGCCCGTGTGGGGAGTGGTCAGGGGCCGGGGTCTCTCCCAGTGCCATGTCAGGCTGAGCAGATCCCTTCGTGGCCGAGGGCTCGGGATCAGAAAGCTCCTACTGCTGGCTCCCCCTCCAGTGAATCCCCCACCCACAAGGGACAGGGCCACCGGGACAATTCCCCGTGAGTGCGTAATTTTATGATTCAGAGGATACTGCTTCCAAATAACGGCTCTTGCAGAATTATGTTCCAAGAGTCAGGTACAGCAATAATGGTCTATTTGTGTCCTTTGCTGCTCTGAAGTCTAACTCCGGAGGTGGAGCACTGGGGGCCGCAGAGCCGGGGACCTGGCAGCCTGTGGAGCCCCTCGCTGGGCTCTGGGCATGGGAGTGGCCTTGGAGGAACCCTGAGGCTCCTCTGAAGCTAAGAAGCTACAAAGACAGGGAGGCTGAGGCAGGAGGATCACTTGAGCACAGGTCGAGGCTGCAGTGAGCTGTGATCACAGCACCACTTCGATCCAGCTCGGGCAACAGAGCAAGACCCCATCTCGAAAACAAAAAATCAAACAGGCATTTGGGAACCACACGTGCTGGGGACCCAGGGCCTGTGTTGGAGATGGACCGGAGCCCGACAGCCGCCCTCTCCCTGTCCCACCATCGGTGGCTCCTCTGTCCCCTCCACCTGGCCTCCTTGCTACGGAGGAATGGGCCGAAAGTGCCTCCCCAGGGAGGGTGCAGCTCAGAGGCCTCTGCACCTGGGCCGCCATCCCACCCACCTGGACTCCCACGCAGCCCGCGGGCTGTCTCCAGACCACTGTCCTTCCGGAATGCATGCTCCACAGGCAGCCAGAGGGAGCCGCAAACATGGCGTGTTGGATTTCCATGCTGGTCCCTGGGGAGCGGAGAGCCACAGGCCTCTTCCCCTCCCTCTCCCTCTCCCTCCCTCCCTCTCTCCCCCTACCCTGTCTCTCTCTCTCCCCCCCCACTCTCTCTCCCTCCCTCTCTCCCCCCACCCTGTCTTTCTCTCTCCCTCCCCACCTCCCCCTCTCTCTCCCTCCCCCTCCTCCCCCTCCCTCTCCCCCCACCTTTTCTCTCTCCCTCCCCACCTCCCCCTCCCTCTCCCTCCCCCCTCACCTCCCCTCCCTTTCCCTCCCTCTCTCCCTCTCTCCTCCCCTCCCCCTCCCTCTCCCTCCCTCTCTCCCTCTCTCCTCCCCGCCTCCCCATCCCTCTCCCTCTCCCTCCTCTCTCTCTCCCCCTACCCTGTTTTCTCTCTCCCTCCCCGCCTCCCCCTCCCTCTCCCCCATACCCTATCTTTCTCTCTCCCTCCCTGCCACCCCCTCCCTCTCCCTCTCCCTCTCCCTCTCCCTCTCCCTCCCTCTCTCCCCACACCCTGTCTTTCTTTCTCCCTCCCCACCTCCCCTCTTCTCCCACCCCGGGGTCTGCGTGGAGGCCACTGCTCCGTCCCTGCTGAGGATTCTGCTGCACTCTGGCTCCTGCCTGTGGGAATCCGTCCTGTCTCTCTGGCTGGTGTCTCTCTGGCTGGCGTCCCTGCCCAGATGCCGCAGCTTGATGGGGATGCTCTTTCATTCCTTTATGCTGCTTGGGACAGGTGCGCTCCCAGAAGGGATCCTGTCGCCAGTTCTGGGGGAGCCCAGCCATGCTCTCCCCCTGCCCACCCCACAGAGCCCTCTCTGGACCTTGTGCCAGCACCCTGCTCCAGTGAATCTTTCAACCCTCTTCCCATTCACCAATTCTCTCTTCAGTGCTGTCCACACTGGAGTTGGTTCTGACCACTTTTGTAGTGTTTTTTTCCACTTAAATGATTGTATTTTTTACATCCAGGATTTGTAATTTTTAAAAATAGATGCCTGTTCATTTTACTCCTTAGACAGAAGCCAAATGTATTTCCTAACATTTTATCCATGCTGTCTCTGTGGATCCTGCACATATTTAAACATAGCCTAAGCGTACCTGTTTGCTCGTTATTTTTATCTCCCTGAGATGGATCCATGGGTCCACTGGCCCTGTTGATTTTCTGAGTCGTATTTCTTAGTGTGTTTGGGCCATGCGAGCTTGGGGATGTTGATTTCTAGGTTTGTTGGGGACAGAGGGCTTTCTCTTTGTGCTGTCAGCCTTGTGTTCTGGGCTCCCCCGTCCCCAGCTCTCCTTTCCTTGTCTACCAGATTTCAGTGGCCTTGGCCCAGCCCCACAGCCCCCAGCCAGGACTGTGGCCTTTCCTGGCAGCTGCTGGGGTCGTCCTGTGCTCTGAGGTGCCTCCAGGGTCAGGGCCGGTCAGCTGAGCAGCCCCAGGGCTCCAGACGGCACATGCTGAGGTCACCACAGCCGGCTCCACCCCTGCTCAGGCCGAGGTCCCCCAGGGAGGGGCTTGTCCCTGGTCTGGATCCTAGGGGACACTTTGATTCTCTGCTGGCCACCCCCAGAGTCACACAGCTCCAGGGTCAACCCAAACATCCGGACTTCCTCCGCCCCACTCGTCAGGGGAGGCATTGATCTTCTTTTTGAGACAGGGTCTTGCTCAGTCACCCAGGCTGGCGTGCAGTGGTGTAATCACAGCTCACTGCAGCCTCAACCTCCTGGGCTCAAATGATCCTCCTGACTCAGCCTCCTCAGTGGCTGGGACTACAGGCGCCCGCCACCACACTTGGCTAATTTTTGTATTTTTTGTAGAGACGGGGGTCTCACCATGTTGCCCAGGCTGGTCTTGAACTCCTGTCCTCAGGTGATCCACCCGCCTCGGCCTCCCACAGTGCTGGGATGACAGGCTTGAGCCACTGCACCCAGCCGGAGTATCATTTTTATGAATGATTTCAAACATGCAGAAAAATACAAAAACAATATACGAGGTACACACGTGCCCATGGCCTTGGACCCACAGACGTCACCATTCCCAGCCCACCCTTCTCCATGGACACCCCTCCCTCCCCTCCCCCAAGTCTCCCCTGTTCTCTCTCTGGGCCACAGTGGGGGGTTCCAGGGCCTGGGAGGGGGCTCAAAGCTCCGATGGGACTGGGCAGTGTCAGGTGGCTGCAGCCCCCATACGCTATGCCTCTGACCCGCCCACACCCCCCACCGCGGCTTCTCCTCCGGGCTGCAGGGTGTGCAGCCCCCGCCCGCAGTCCCCCCTCCTTCGCCCTGTGTGACTCCTGGGGCTCCGTGTGACCACTCTGTGTGGTTTGTGTGTTTGCTTCTCTGCAGCCGCCCCGTGGGGAGGGTGGTGTCTCTCTGGCCCTGTGCTGTGCCCCCGCCTGGGTTTACAGATGTCTGTCATTGCTGTGGGGGTGACGGTCCCTGCGCTGGCCTGGAGAGAGGTTCGGGGCCAACGGGCAGCGGGCACCCCGGTGAAAGTCCCTCGAGGCTGCGGTGGCGACACCACGTCCAGCCACTTCTCAGGTCGTCCTAGCCAGGTGCCATTCATCCCAGGCGGACAGGGGGCCGACCACCGGCCCCATCTCTCTCCACTGCCACCTCTCCCTGTGTGTCCCGGGAGGGGCCGCCCGCTGGGCCTCGGCTCCTTACCTGGTAGACGAGGGCAGCAGCACTGCAGGGCAGGCTCTGAGGGGCTTCAGGGAGACGCAGGTGCTGGCCTCAGACTCCAGGATGCTGCGGCCAGGCCAGGCGCCATCTGGGTGCAGGGGCGGCCACAGGGCAGCTGTCGCCATATCGACAGCAGCCGTCCGTCTGGGCTCCCGGGGCCACCTGCCCGCCGCTCCTTCCTCTCCTGGCTTATTTTCCAAACAATTTGCTTAACGTGATTCCCGGCCAAGCTAAACATGACTAATCGTGTTTACCCGGTGATCCCGCGCCTCCTGGCAGGCGGGGCTGGGGCCCAGGAGGAAGGAATGCCTGCATGTGCTGGTTCAGGGACTCACCACCCTGGCGTCCTCCCTTCTTCTCTTGCAGAGCCTGACGCACCCCAGGGCTGCCGCCATGGAGCCCCTGTTCCCAGCCTCCACGCCCAGCTGGAACGCCTCCTCCCCGGGGGCTGCCTCTGGAGGCGGTGACAACAGGACGCTGGTGGGGCCGGCGCCCTCGGCAGGGGCCCGGGCGGTGCTGGTGCCCGTGCTGTACCTGCTGGTGTGTGCGGCCGGGCTGGGCGGGAACACGCTGGTCATCTACGTGGTGCTGCGCTTCGCCAAGATGAAGACCGTCACCAACATCTACATTCTCAACCTGGCAGTGGCCGACGTCCTGTACATGCTGGGGCTGCCTTTCCTGGCCACGCAGAACGCCGCGTCCTTCTGGCCCTTCGGCCCCGTCCTGTGCCGCCTGGTCATGACGCTGGACGGCGTCAACCAGTTCACCAGTGTCTTCTGCCTGACAGTCATGAGCGTGGACCGCTACCTGGCAGTGGTGCACCCGCTGAGCTCGGCCCGCTGGCGCCGCCCGCGTGTGGCCAAGCTGGCGAGCGCCGCGGCCTGGGTCCTGTCTCTGTGCATGTCGCTGCCGCTCCTGGTGTTCGCGGACGTGCAGGAGGGCGGTACCTGCAACGCCAGCTGGCCGGAGCCCGTGGGGCTGTGGGGCGCCGTCTTCATCATCTACACGGCCGTGCTGGGCTTCTTCGCGCCGCTGCTGGTCATCTGCCTGTGCTACCTGCTCATCGTGGTGAAGGTGAGGGCGGCGGGCGTGCGCGTGGGCTGCGTGCGGCGGCGCTCGGAGCGGAAGGTGACGCGCATGGTGTTGGTGGTGGTGCTGGTGTTTGCGGGATGTTGGCTGCCCTTCTTCACCGTCAACATCGTCAACCTGGCCGTGGCGCTGCCCCAGGAGCCCGCCTCCGCCGGCCTCTACTTCTTCGTGGTCATCCTCTCCTACGCCAACAGCTGTGCCAACCCCGTCCTCTACGGCTTCCTCTCTGACAACTTCCGCCAGAGCTTCCAGAAGGTTCTGTGCCTCCGCAAGGGCTCTGGTGCCAAGGACGCTGACGCCACGGAGCCGCGTCCAGACAGGATCCGGCAGCAGCAGGAGGCCACGCCACCCGCGCACCGCGCCGCAGCCAACGGGCTTATGCAGACCAGCAAGCTGTGAGAGTGCAGGCGGGGGGTGGGCGGCCCCGTGTCACCCCCAGGAGCGGAGGTTGCACTGCGGTGACCCCCACCCATGACCTGCCAGTCAGGATGCTCCCCGGCGGTGGTGTGAGGACAGAGCTGGCTGAAGCCAGGCTGGGGTAGACACAGGGCAGTAGGTTCCCCACCGTGACCGACCATCCCCTCTAACCGTCTGCCACACAGCGGGGGCTCCCGGGAGGTAGGGGAGGTGGCCAGACCGGTGGGGGGCTCCGCCATGCCGTGCAAGTGCTCAGGGCCGCCTCACCCTCCATCTGGCCCCAGCCCATGCCGGCCTTCCCTCTGGGGAGCGACTTTTCCAGAAGGCCGGCCAGGCGAGAGGGTCTTCCTGACGGCGGAGCTGACCTGCCCGGCCCACCAGCTGCATGTCAGCTCCGAGCCACCGGGTCCCCGTCCAAGGCTGCTCTGCTAAGTTAAAGACACCCGAAAGCGCTTGACTCAGGTCCCCGGAGTCCCTGGCCAGGGCCCCAGCCCCTCGCTTGCCCTGCACTGTGTGGACTCTGGGGATGCAGGTGTAAGGGGAGTGTGGCTGGGCAGCCCCTGGTCAGCCAGGGTCACGCCTGTCCTGGGGGCCCCACCCTGCTGCCCGACACCCCCCATGGGAGGCTGCGGGCGGCAGTTGCTGTCTCAGAGAGGGGAGTGTGGGGGCTTGGGCGCTGGCCTAGCCAGGGGCGAGGTGGGGAGGCGGCTGGTGCAGAGGAGAGCTGGGGGCTGAGGTTGGGGTGAAGGCTGCAGCCCTCCAGGCTGCTGGGGGTGCAGATGGCTGTGCCGTGCTGAGATTGGCTCTGTCTGGAGGGGTCCAGTGTGGGGTGCCTGAGGGCACTAGGGAGAGGTGCTCCTGCTGCAGGAGGACCTGAGGGTCAGGGCTTGGAGAGGACAGGGAACCTGCGGCCGTCTCTTCTGCTTTGGGGCAGGGGCTCTGGCCCGGGAGAGGGAACGGGGACAGGAGCAGAGGACGGTCATCCAGGCGCAGCGGGGAGCTGCTCCCCAGGCCACAGCAGACAGCACTGCTGAGAGGCAGCGGCCGCGCGGGTGACGCAAATGGCAGGCCCTGGGAATCCCGCCGCCTCCCACCTAGAATTGTCCTACCTCCCCCACCCCAAACACCAGCTTTTCCTGGCGCCCCAGGCCCAGAACGTGGGCCCAGAGAGCCTTGCTGGGGTCTCTGGGGCACCTTGGCCTTGCTCTGAGGCTGGAAGGAGAAGGACCAGGGTGCGGCATCACTCGGCCTCAGGGACCCCTCTGCCCTGCCCAGCACTGGCCCCGACCCGTGCTCCCGCCGTCTGCCCAGAGCAGGACCTCAACCTCCTGGAGGGCACAGGGAGCGGCTGAGTGGGCACAAATCCTGGCAGGAGAAAGGCCCAGGCTGAGGCCAGGCCTGGGAAACATCCAAGCAGTGAGGACACGCGTGTTTGACAACTGCTCCCCTGAATAAATGCGAGGATAAATGTTTGATTCTTTCCCCGAGCAAATATTGTCCCTGGAGCCGAGTGCAGCCAGCGCAGAGTGAGCGGAGCCTGGGCTCCCCCGAGGCCCGACACAGGGCCCGCCCCCGGCCCCAGCCCCGCTGAGCCAGACAAGGCCGGGACGGGGGCGGCCAAATGCCCAGCAGGAAGCGGGAGGCGTGGAATTCGTGAACAGGGTGAAAAATGATGGAAGCTGCCTGGGGTCTTAGGCTGGAGCTGCCCCTCACAGCTTCTTGACAGCTCTGGGCGGGGCAGGGTGGGCTTCTGCAGGGGGTCCACAAATCTCTGCCTCTTGAGTCACCAAAGAGGGGTGCATCCAGGGTGCACTGGGGGAAACCGAGGCCCGTTCACACCGCAGCACCCCCCTCGACCTGCCTCCCCAGGGATTTGGGTGCCATGTTCACCCTCTCAGAAGGCTTTGGGGACCGAGCAGATGGCTCGGAAATCCCTGCCAAGATCAATTTCTCCAATTGATTTGACACCGGGCGCTCTCCCTGCAGGGCCGGCAGCCACGAGGGGCAGACAGAGGCGCCAGTGCCCTCACTCTCGGGTGAAGACGCCCTTGACCCCCAGCCCATTCGACCCGGCCACAAGCCTCGGGCCACCCTGCTCCCCACCTTGTCCAGCCTGAAGCCCCCAGGACCCCGGTCCCTGTCCGTCCCAGGCCCCAGCCTCATGGCCCTGCCGAGCTCCCCAGTCTGGTCCCGGCCACCCACAGCCCACATCTGTGCCTTTGGTCATAGCCTCGTCCCCATCAGGTGCACACCCTCCCCACAAACCAGACCTGCCGGCACAGCCTCTTCTTCCCTTGACCCCCAGGACGCTGTCACGCTGACCTTCTGGGGACGGTGGGCTCATGACGGCAGCCCCACAGCTGGGCCTAGGACTTACTGCCCTTGACCCCCTGGGCTGGCTGAGCCCTGAACACGTGTCTCCATCGGACAAACACACCTGCAGGGCACCAGCATGGGGCTGGGTCGTGGGATCAAGGTTGAACCGGAAGAGCATTCCAGGCAGAGGGAACAGCCTATGGGAGGGCTCAGAGGCAAAGGGGCACAGGGGGGTTAGCTGTGGGGGTCAATTCAGAGAGAGGAGCAGATCCAGGCCCCTCAAGTTCTGCCCCCATGCTGCCCCAGGGAAGGACGAAGCTGCGCTCACTCCAGCTTGAGAGAGGAGACTGGACGAGAGGCGGGAAGAGGCACACACAGGGAGTGTGCGGAAGCTGTGAGTCATCCAGAACACGCAGCGGCCTGGCCCGGGGCCGGGGCCCCAGGGGTGCTCACGAGGCAGGGGCAGCCCCTGTCCAGGCCTGGAGAAGGGGGCAGTGGCACCTGGCTGGTTCCTGCTTGGAGCACGTGGGAGGACAAGGCCCCGGGGTCTGATGGCCTCAGTGGGCTGAGAGGGCTGAAGATGTCTGGGGAGGTCCCAGGCAGCCCATGGACCAGGCTGGGCAGAGCCACGGGGAAGAGGACAAGGCCTGGATGCCCCCAGGGCACCAGCATGAAAGGCCGGGTGGGGTCAGGTGAGTGTCTGGAAGGAGCATGGGCCCTGGACCCCTACATCCTCACCTCCCGGGGCAGTGGGGGCCTGTGGGTGGCAGGGGCCGCGGAGCCGAGACCCCTTGCAGGCCACCGGAGAACCCGGTGGGGGTGGGGGGTGCGGCGCGGAGCAAACATCCTGGGCGGGGTGGCTTCCCGGCCCGCGCGCATCACTGGGTTTTATTGGCTCTGGGCTCCAGCGACTCCAGTGACCTTGCTCAGGAAACAGGCCCGGGCAGGACGAGGAGGGCGGGAGGGATCTGTTTGCCTGGCAGAGTGGGTGTGGGGAAGACGGGGCCAAGGAGAAGCAGCCCCCACAGGCAGGAGGAGGTGTCGTTAGCTCCACAGTGAGGGAAACTGCGGCCGGGCCGTCGTGGATGCTGACAGACCCCAGCGGGCCGACCCTCATCCCAACCCAGCCCCATCAGCAGGGGTGCCCTGGGGCGGGATGTGGGGGTCTGTGGAGGACCTGGAAGGCCTCCTGGGGAGGGAAGGGGGCAGAGGCGACCGGCAGCCATGGGGCCCCCAGAAGCAGCCACTGGCCCAGGGCCCCGGGGAAGCCGTTTCCTCCCACCAGACGAGACCCCAAGAGAGTGGGTGGGGTGGGGACGGGGAGTGGGACCAGCTGTGGGGTCTCAGGGAGGCAGTCTGGGGGAAGACTGCCCCTAGGACAGGCCCCTCTGCCCTCCCAAGGCCGGGTCTTGGCAGCACAAGCAACCGCTGTGGGTGCAGCAGAGGCGGGCGCTGGCCACGCTGCCCCGTGGAGGCCTGGAGCCACCTCGGGCTCTGCACTCCTGTGGGTGGCAGGAGCCGCCCAGGGCCCCTGGCAGGCTGTTAGGTGGAGTCAACCTCCTGGGTTCATTCTCTTCTGTCCCCACCCTGGCTCGGCCACAGCAGCCACCGCCTCTGGCTACGTCTCCCTCCTTACTCCCAACCCCACCTCCACTTCCAGCCCCATTTTATCCCAAACACAAATCTGTTCATGTCCCTCTGCTGCTCACGAGCCTTCTGTGGTTCCCACTCCTCAACCCACGCTTCCCAGGGCTCTGTCCCCGTCCTGGGAAACGGGTGTGATCACGTAGTGTGGTTTGAGGAGGGCTCACAAGGATACCGTCAGGACCAGGTGCCAGGTGCAATGGTTCATACCTATAATCCCAGCAACTGCTGAGGCTGAGGCAGGCAGAGAGCTTGAGCTCGGGGGTTTGAGGCCAGCCTGGGCAACATAGTAAGACCCTGTCTCTACACAATCTACAAAAATTATTCAGTGGTGCTGGTGCATGCCTGTCGTCTCACATACTGGGGAGGCTGAGACAGGAGGACTGCTTGAGCCTGGGAGGCGGAGGCTTCAGTGAGCTCTGATCATGCCACTGCACTGCAGCAAGACCCCGTCTCAAAGGAAAAAAAGGCCCTTTGTGAAGTGAGGAGTACAGTGCCCTGGCTGACACCTTGGCTTTATCAGCCTAGAGGTTCAAGGTTTGGGGCAGGGTCCTCAGAACCCGGAGATGAGACGGCTGGGAGAGGAGAGGCTACCTGTGGAGCAGAGACAGCCAGGGCCTGCTGGACTCCCCAGTTCTCCCTCCCAGGGCCTGCTGGACTCCCCAGTTCTCCCTCCCGGGGCCTGCTGGGCTCTCCAGTGGCCGAACGCAGCTGGAAGCTCTTGGTTTTGTCTATAGTGGTCGGCAACTCATGTAGAGCAGTGGGATGGGTGAGATGGGGCTGTGGAACAGAAGACACTGGCCCCTCCACCTGAGTCCCTGTTCTGATGTTCATCGCCCCAGAGAGGGTGGCCGGAGAGTGAGGGGATGCCCAGGATCTGCCTTTGTCCCAGTCGGAGCTCCTGCCTCTCACCGCACTCTGGTGCCCAGGTCCTGCCCATGGGTGCCTCCCTCCATGGGGGCTTGGAGCTTCAGGAAGGCAGTGCTGGCCATGCCTGTGCCCTCAGACATGTCCTCTCACTCCTAACTCTGCCTCCAGGAATCATGGTGGGGGCAGTTCCCTAGAGCGAGGCAAGGATTCCATGGCTGCCAGTGCAGTGGGGAGAGGTTCACAGGAGAGGGAGGTCTGGCTGCTGTTCCTGTCCACCTGGCTATGGCTTTGCCCAGCTCTCTGTACACTGGGTCTGCCTACTGTGATCCCCTGCCAGGCCCTGCCCATGTGTTTCCTGAGGGACACGGACGATGGTAGTGACCAGGCAGCTTGGAGATGCCTGTAAGCCACACGAGAATATCTAGACACTGGCACTCATGATGGTGTGAATCCACGATGATTTTTCATTCCTTCCTGTATCTTCCAAATTCTCTATTTCCTCTCAAGTTTTCCTCCTCCATCTGTGCAAGACCCCTGCAGGGCAGGAAGGCCGTCCTTTGCTGTCTATGGGACAGCCCTTCCTAGGGTCCCATGTTTTAGTTTCAGGATTGACACAAAGTAGAATGTTTTACTTTCATGAAGTCCAACCTATCATGTATCTACTTGGAAAATTATTCTGCTTTTTATCAGTGGGAGGTTTTTCCCCATTCACAGATTAGCCAAATGTCCCCACGTATTTTTTAAAATTTTGGTAAAATACGTATGACAGATTTTTACCACCATAACCATTTTTGTGGATGGTCCTATGGCATTAAGGACACTTACACTGTGGTGCAACCATCACCCCCATTTATCTCCAGAACTCTTCTCAAAACCACAAACTGAAACTCTGTCCCCATTAAACGACTCCCTATTCCCACCCCCAGCCCCGGCACCTGCCCTTCTACTTTCTGTCTCTATGAATTTGAGTCCTCTAGGTGCCTCGCGCAATTCGAATCAGACAGCATTTGTCCTTTTGTGACTGATTATTTCACTCGGCGCACTGCCTTTGAGGCTCATCCACGGAGCACGTGCCAGAATTTCCTCCCTGTCTGAGGTTGGCCACTGTCCCCGTGCATGCGTGGACCACATTTGGTTTTTCCATTCATCATCAGCAGACACCTGGGCGGTGTCCACAGTCTGAGTCCACTCCTGCTGCTGTCATAGAATACCCCACCCCTTAATACCATCACAGTGACCATCAGCTTCAGCATAGGAATTCTGGGGGCACATTCCGACCACAGCACCTACCTTATGGCTACAGTGAGTAACGCTGCTGTGAACATGGGTGTACATCTCACAATCCCACATGGGTTTTGTTGGTGGTGGTTGTGTGTGTGTGTGTGTGGCAGGATCTCGCTTGTTGCCCAGGCTGGAGTGCAATGGTGCAATCTTGGCTCACTGCAACCTGTGCCTCCTGGGTTCAAGTGATTCTTCTGCCTCAGCCTCCTGAGTAGCTGGGATTACAGGCACCCACCGCCTCACCCAGCTAATTTTTGTATTTTTGGTAGAGACAGGGTTTCGCCATGTTGGCCAGGCTGGTCTCGAACTCCTGACCTCAGGTGATCTGCCCACCTCGGCCTCCGAAAATGCTGGGACTACAGGCGTGAGTCACTGCACCCGGCCTACCCCACCTCTTAATACCATCACAGTGACCATCAGCTTCAGCATAGGAATTCTGGGGACACATTGTGACCACAGCAGCTACCTTCTGGCTACAGTGAGTAATGCTGCTGTGAACATGGGCGTACATCCCACAATCCCACATGGCTTTTGGTGGCGGTTTTGTGTGTGTGGAGGGGTGAGGGGCAGAGTATCGCTCTGTCGCCTAGGCTGGAATGCAGTGGCGCAATCTCAGCTCACTGCAACCTCTGCCTCCCGTGTTCAGGCAATTCTCCTGCCTCAGCCTCCCCAGTAGCTGAGATTACAGGCGCCCCCCACCACACCCAGCTAATTTGTGTGTTTTTAGTAGAGACGGGGTTTCACTATGTTGGCCAGGCTGGTCTCAATCTCCTGATCTCAGATGATGCACCTGCCTCAGTCTCCCAAAGTGCTGGGATTACAGGTGTGAGCCACTATGCCCAGCTGGTCCCACATGTTTCTAAAGATTATATGGCTGAAAATTATTTCATTCAACTGAAATTTGTATTATCACATGACATGAATTTTTTTTTCTTTTTTTTTTGAGACAGAGTTTTGCTCTTCTTGCCTAGGCTGGAGTGCAATGGTGCGATCTCGGCTCGCCGCAACCTCTGCCTCGCAGGTTCAAGCAATTTACCTGCCTCAGCCTCCCGAGTAGCTGGGATTACAGGCATGTGCCACCACACCCGGCTAATTTTGTAATTTTAGTAGAGACGGGGTTTCTCCATGTTGGTCAGGCTGGTCTTGAACTCCCGACCTCAGGTGATCCGCCCGCCTCGGTTTCCCAAAGTGCTGGGATTACAGGCGACATGAATTTCAAATGAAAAATACCCCTCCTTGTGGCTGCCTCTGCCTTCCTGGTATATTTCCTGGTATATGGGGCGCCCTCTTGTTCTTTGGGGGCGAGGAGCTCTGGCAGTCTGGTGTCTGCTTGGTGGCCACTGTGTTATGATATCTAATAGGGAAAGTCTCCACCCACCACTGAGCTGAGCTAAAATTGTTTAGAATCCTATCCATTCTTTCAGGTTCTCTTCAACACTGCTTTTACAAAAATTTAAAAAATGGAATTTGGGCCAGCGTGGTGGCTCATGCCTACAATCCCAGCACTTTGGGAGGCCGAGGCTGGAGGATCAGTTGAGCCCAGGAGTTCAAGACCAGCTTGGGCAACATGGCGAAACCCCATCTCTACAAGAAAAAAATTTTTAAATTAGTTGAGCGTGGTGGCATGTGCCTGCAGTCCCAGCGACTTGAGAGGCTGGGGTGGGAGGACGGCTTGAGCCCAGGAGTTCAAAGCTGCAGTGAGTGACTGTGTCACCGCACATCAGCCTGGGTGACAGAAAAAGACCTTGTCAAAAAAAAAAAAAAAAAATGGAGTGTTTACAGAAATGTTCATAGTAGCATTATCTATAACCCATAATAGCCAAAAGGTAGAAACAACCCAGGTGTCCATCAATAAACAATGGACAAACAAATGTGGTCCATCCACAGGACAGAATATTACTTGTGTGACTCCATTTCCATGAAATGCCCAGAACGGGGCCGTTCACAGACACAGAGAGGAACAGTGGCTGCCAGGGGGTGGATGGGGAGCGGGGAGTGACTGCTGAGGGGTGCCCGTTTCTTTCGGGGGGACGGAACCGTTTGGGAACTAGACAGAGGTGACGGCTGAGTGTGCAGTGCCATGCAACTGTTCACTCTCGAATGCTCAATTCTACGTAATATGAATTTCACCTAAACATTTAAAATTGGATTTTTACTGGAATTCCACTAAACGGATAAAGTTACATGGGATAAGCTGCCTCCCCAGCCCGATGCTTGCCTGGAATGTCACAGGGATGTCCCCGCGGGAAGCCGCGTTCCCCAGTCCCTTCCTGTGCGGTTGACTCATGATTAAAGCCAGCACGGGCCGACCACGGGGGTGCCCGGTGCGGTTCTGATGGGGTGGCTCCCCCTTGTCTCCTAAGTGGCCAGGGCAGCACGAGGCTGTCGCTGCTTTTCGTGTCTCTGGCCTCTACCAAGCATCCCTCTTTCCGCTCCCACCTGGCACTGGCAGCGTCCCTCAGGCTTTTATCACTTGGCAGAGAATCGTGACCGTATCTTATCTCACTTTCAGTTCTCAGTCATTGTTTTTTAAACAAATAAACCTGGAAGGTTGGCGGGATGCAGGTCCTGCTGTCTGAGGCTCTCACAGGCATCTCCCCACCCCGGTTCTCTGAGAACCAGGGTCGCCACTGGCATTCATTAGACACCCCCGCCAGCTTCCAAGAGACCTTGCACCCCTGCCCGCCTGACCCCTGCTGCAGCCCGACCCCTGCCCGCCTGACCCCTGCTGCTTCTTAGTATCCGCAGCTGCAACTACCTATAGGCCACGGCGACGTCTGTGCGGGGAGGTCCAGCCTGTCCCTCGGAATAAGCGCCTGGCTTCGGGGCTGCTGTGGTCACGTCTGGGTCCTTGGCTGGGCCTGGTGACGGGCACTTTCTGAGCTCCCTGGTGCAGGGGCTGGCGTCTTCCCGGGACTCTCTTCCTCAGGACCACCTGCCACCCTGGCAGCACAGGCTCACTGGAATCACAGAGGCTGGAGACCCCAGGGCAGCCGGGCCAGGGCCAGGGCCAGGGAAAGGAACGGTTGTCTGGGATTCTGGGGTGCTTCCCCAGCACAGAACAGGCAGCCTGCGAGAGGAGATGTCCTCCCTGGCCCTGGGGTGGTCCGGACCCCTGGCTCCCATCTCCCATCCAGCCCTGCTCTCTCACCGGGGCCAAGAACCTCTGCATGGCCAGCCGGGACCCCCACCCCCAGCAGCCCATACCCCCCACCTCTGGTTCTTCAAGCACCTGCCACACTTGACCCCAACAGGCTCCTCCTGGGGATCCCCCCAAGCAGGAACCCCTGGAGCCGTGCAGCTGTCCTCCGGGGCCTGGACACCAAGGGCTCGGCTCTGGGCAGTGCCCACTTGGGACCTGCAAGCCCAGGGCCCCTCACAGCTGCTCTGGGGTCCCCGACAGAGGCCTTTGCGCACCCCCTGCTGCACGGGAAGCTGAGGCGACAGGCAGAGCTGGCAGGGACACGGGCTCTGTGTGGGGTGGGCGGGACGTGGCTGCAGCCTGGCTCTGCCTGCGTGGCACTGGGTGTCCTCACTTGGGAACGGGCTGAGTGAGCACAAGGCTCCCCAGAGTGCTGACCAGGCGCCCTGCTGCTGCAGCCAGGACCAGGCTGTGGGCTTCTCTCCTGGCACCTCTTAGCGCCACCGGCCGTCAGCACACGGGGTAGGGCTGGGGGTGTCCCGGTCGGGGTGGGAGGCCTGGGGTCTGCCAATCTCCCCTCGGCCCACCCCTTCCTGTTCGGGCGCCTTTCTCTCTAAGGCGGAAGCCTCTGTGCCAAGGCCCCGTGAGTGCCCGGAGATGGCTCCGACCCCTGCCGGTTGCCGGGCGCCCTGGGTGTGTCCCGCTATCCCAGCCAGGAGCAGACTCAGGCCCTGGGCCAAAGTGCAGCCTGAGGCCCCGCCCACCTCAGTGTGGGGCGAAGGAGAGGGAAGGTTCCGGGTCCAGCCCCAGCGCCAGTGCCCCTCCTGTCTCTAGCAGGGCCAGGGTTCACCAGCCACGGCCACCGGCCCCAGCCCCTCCTGTCCTTGGTTGTCACCACACTTCCAGAAGCCCTGCTACCGCCCCCCCACAGACACACAAGGTGGGACTTGAGTACGGGGCCACTTGGGGGTGCTGAGGGGCAGCCTGGCCCCAGGGACAGCCTCAGGGAAAGAGGTGGATGCCGGGCGACTTGGGAGGCAGCAGGCTTGGGCAGTGGGTGGGGGTGGCGCAGCCGGGACAGAGCCCCTCTCCCTGCAGAGGGGCCATGTGTGCACAGCAAATGGCGGGCCCCTGTAGCCGCCCCTCCTCCTGTCCTGCGCTGTTGGGGGCCACGCTTGTTCCCCCGCCTGCCTGGGGAGTGGCTCCAGCACACACACGCGGGTTCTGCAGACTCTGGCCGGGCCTCAGAGCACCATCTCCCAAGGGCAGGGCACCCTCTGTCCCAGGACAGGAGTGAGGCGAAGTGGAGAGGCGGGCGCGCCAGCCGGGGCTCCCAGAGTCCCCACAGGCGGACGTCTGTCTGTAAGGAGGGGACGGCACTTCCTGAGGGTGGGGCTGGGAGGTCCGGAGTCTTCACACAAAAACGGCGGCTGTGTTGGGAGATGGCCCCTGACCCCCATCTCCTGCCACCCTGCCCCCTCCTCCCCCGGTTCCTTTGCCCGACGCCCACTGCCGGTTGCCCCCAGGCCTGGCCCAGTGGTGGGTGGTGGGGATGACTGAGCAGCCCCTCAGGCTGGGGCCCCACAGCAACAGGGAGGGTCACTGTTCCCAGCTGCTTCCTCCCAGCCAGTGTGTGCTGCCAGATGGACAGACAAGGTCCCCCTGACCTGGGGGCTGCAGCCCGTGCCCTCCTACCTCCCTCCTCGGCTGGCCCCACCCTGCAGGGTGCACCCTGATGTTGGGGGCTGTCCTCTCACAGACCCTCCTGGGGCAGGCTGTGGGCCCAGCTGCTCAGAGATTGGTCAGTACTGGTGGGGGCCCCTGTGGGGAGGGAGTGGGGGCAGGGCAGGCCCTAAAGAGGGGGATGGGCGAGCCGGGCACTCCATGGGCCGGGATGTCCCAGAGTGGACAAGGATCAAGGGGCCGTGGGGGCACCTGGGACCCCGCATCCCTTCATCTGTTCGGCACCCATGGGCCCCCATGAGCCCACGCTGGGTGCACCTGTGGGGGCTCTCCTGCCCCCACCCGGGGATGCTTTATGGAAGGCCTTGTGAGGGTTCCAGGCAGCATGGCTGAGCTGCTCCTGATGCTGCTCCTGCCCGGGCCCAGTGGCCGCGCTGCCACAAATAGCACACCAAGGAGGAGGAGGCGGTGCGTGGGAGGCTGGGCCGGAGGGGCTGGGAAGAGGGGGAGGGAGGCCCAGGTCAGGTGGAGGTGGTTCCAGAGACAAGTGAGCACGTGGCTGGGAGAGCTTCCGGGAGGGGCCACAGCTGCTCCAGCCGGGGAGGGTAACAGAGGCTTCCAGTGACCAGAGCTGGGCCAGCCTCTTGCCTGGAGGGACCGACCCACCCACACTCCCAAATGGGGCCCTCTCTGCCCCCACAACTGCAGCCAGGCCATGTGGACCTGACTTTCATCCCTGTCTAAGCATAAGGCAACTCCGTGGGGGTCTGAGGCTTCCTCCGGCTCTGGTGCCCATCAGGGTCCAATCTTCCTCCAGCCCCCACACATTCAGACAGACTGAGGACCCATGAGCCCCCAAAACTGACCCCCTGCGCTCAGCCGCGTGTTTCCTGCCAAGGACAAGCCACCACTAGAGCAGCCCCACCCTCCCGGCCACCGTGAGTGCTGGGTGCCCCTCACACCGCCTGGAAGTGACCGTCTTCCTTCCACCCTTTTGGCCTCCCCTGGGTCCATCCACACCGGGCAGGTGCTTGGCAAATACGCAATGTCGAATGAATGTCTCCTCAGCAAGGGTGCCTGGCACAGCTTTTATAAGCAGAATGGCCCCTCGGCCGTGAGGGCGAGTACCTGGGTGAGCAACCGGGCTCCGACCACCCCATGAGGAGGCACCCAGCTCGCTCTACCACCTGGCTACGCCCACCGCACACCCAGTACCACAGGCCTCCGTCCATGTGGCTTCATGTGGTCCTTTCCTGTGCGCCAGCCCCTGTGAGGGCAGGTGCGGGTCAGACTTGCTCCCAACACACCCAGCACTCCACATGGCCCAGTCCCTGCACACAGTCGGCACTCAATCAATCCCTGCACACAGCTGGCACTCAATCAGTCCCTGCACACAGTCGGCGCTCAATCAATCCCTGCACACAGTCGGCGCTCAATCAATCCCTGCACACAGTCGGGGCACAACCAATCCCTGCACACAGTCGGCGCTCAATCAATCACTGCACACAGTCGGCACTCAACCAATCACAGCACACAGTCGTCGCTCAACCAATCACAGCACACAGTCGGCACTCAACCAATCCCTGCACACAGTCGGCGCTCAACCAATCACAGCACACAGTCGGCGCTCAATCAATCCCTGCACACAGTCGGCGCTCAACCAATCCCTGCACACAGTCGGCGCTCAACAAATCACTGCACACAGTCGGCGCTCAACCAATCACAGCACACAGTCGGCGCTCAACCAATCACAGCACACAGTCGGCGCTCAACCAATCCCTGCACACAGTCGGCGCTCAACCAATCACAGCACACAGTCGGCGCTCAACCAATCACAGCACACAGTCGGCGCTCAACCAATCACAGCACACAGTCGGCACTCAACCAATCCCTGCACACAGTCGGCGCTCAACCAATCACAGCACACAGTCGGCGCTCAATCAATCCCTGCACACAGTCGGCGCTCAACCAATCCCTGCACACAGTCGGCGCTCAACAAATCACTGCACACAGTCGGCGCTCAACCAATCACAGCACACAGTCGGCGCTCAACCAATCCCTGCACACAGTCGGCGCTCAATCAATCCCTGCACACAGTCGGCGCTCAACCAATCCCTGCACACAGTCGGCGCTCAACCAATCACTGCACACAGTCGGCGCTCAACCAATCACAGCACACAGTCGGCGCTCAACCAATCCCTGCACACAGTCGGTGCTCAACAAATCACAGCACACAGTCGGCGCTCAATCAATCCCTGCACACAGTCGGCGCTCAACCAATCACAGCACACAGTCGGCGCTCAACCAATCACAGCACACAGTCGGCGCTCAACCAATCCCTGCACACAGTCGGCGCTCAACAAATCACTGCACACAGTCGGCGCTCAACCAATCCCTGCACACAGTCAGCGCTCAACAAATCACTGCACACAGTCGGCGCTGAAGCTCCGCTGCCCGCCCACCCCACCACACCCACACCCACCCACACACACACACCCACACCCACCCCCACACACACACACACAGACACACACACACACGCGCGCGCGCGCCCGGTGCTCAGCCGCGGGGCCCCTCACCCGGCTACAGCTCGGCGGCCGGCTTGACCAGGTGGCCGCTGAAGGTGATGTAGAGGTCTCCGTGCTCGCCGTAGATGGCGTTGTCCCGGTCGCGCTGGAACATGCGCACCCAGACGGCGTCGCCCGCCGCCAGCAGCAGCATCAGGCTCTGGGCCTGCATGACGCTGCGCTCGCTGGGCTGCGCGTAGAGCACGGCCGCGGGCCGCCGGTTCAGCATGATGTGCAGGTAGGTCTCCTTGTAGTTCCAGGTGTGCACGTTGAGGCTGAGGAAGTAGACGCCGGGCACCGTGCAGAGGAAGCGGCCCGCGGCCAGGTCGAAGGCGCCGTCCAGGTTCACCAGCTCCGTGTCGAAGGGCACCGCCTGGAAGTGGTCGGAGCTGTGCAGGCCCTCGCGCCGGCCCACGGAGAAGGCGGCGTAGGCACGTCGGCACGCGGCGCCCGGCGGCCCCACCTGCCCCTTCTGGCCTCTGCGGCCCTGCAGGCCCCGGGCGCCTGGCGGCCCCTCTTTCCCGCTCCTGCCGGCCCGACCTCGGACGCCGGCCTCACCCTTCTCACCTGCAGGGGACAAACGAAAGCCACGGGTCGGGGCCGGGCTGGGCAGGCCTCCCCCATTC
This sequence comes from Homo sapiens, assembly GCF_000001405.40. Lineage (NCBI taxonomy): Eukaryota > Metazoa > Chordata > Mammalia > Primates > Hominidae > Homo > Homo sapiens. The sequence continues at coordinate 1,094,111 of NC_000016.10, forward strand.
CAGCACCCAGGCCAGGGGCTGGGGCTCAAGGGTCACTGTAAGGACACACTCTTTGCAAGTGACGGCCCCTCTCCCAGTCTCCGCGTCCACGTCTGTAAGATGGGGAGAAGCCGTTCTCCAAAGGTGTGGCTAGACCAAGGCCTGTGGCAAGGCCGTCCCCACCGAGAGGGTGGGGACATGGGTGGTCAGGGCCAGCTACGGTCTGCGTTGGGTGTTAAAGAATGAGAAGGCTGGGAAGGTCCTACCCAAGCCTAACCTTAGTACAGCCTTCGGGACAGCGCAGCCGTGTCAAGGGGTCTCAGAGCAAGCGGGCTGCCCAGGCTCCCTTCCCAAGGGGCTGCTACTTTGGGGATCTCAGGAACCCTGGCCCCCTTCCCCAGGATCCTCAGCACCCCACTTTGGTTCATGGGTCCCTCCCCAAGCCAGGCTTCTTCCTGCTTGCGGGGGGAGCCCAGGGGTCCCTGTGCAGGGAGCGCTGCCAGGGCAGACACTGGTGCTCAGCGTGCCCCTCCCGCCCCTCCTCCCAAGCCCCAGGTGCTCCCCACTCCCTGTGGGCTGTTGGGTCCTGGTGGGGGAGCATGCAGGCAGCACCCACGGGCCTCACCTTTGAGGATTTCGATGTCTATAGTGGGCCGTACTCGAGGCAGCCCCCTCCACAGGTCCCCCCTCCACAGGTCCCTGTCACTCACCCGGGCATAGGGTCCAGGGGGCCAGGCCGGGCGGCAGCAGTGCACACAGGGCCTCCTGGGCAGCCCGGGCCAGGCCCCCACGGGCAGCAGCAGTGCTAGGAGCAGCAGGGCGGGGGCTGCCATCTTGGCCAGGGCTGGGGGAGAGGAAAGAGGGGAGGGACTGAGAAGGAGGTGCCCCAGCTGGAGCCCCCAGACCCTACGGCAGCCCGGCCCTGCCCCCGTTGGGAATACAGCCAGTGGAGGCGGGAGCTTCTGCCTGGGCACGGACGGTCCTGGCCCAGTGGGTGAGGCCAAGGCCGAGGCTCAGGGGCTGCTACACTCTGGGCCGCACCAGGCACCCTGCACACCTGGAGTCGGGGAGTCCTGGTCCCCAAAGCTGGGGCCCCCACACCCGGCAGATGGTGGGGAAGCCGTTGTGGGACACAGAGGTCTCTGAGACAGCCCTCTAAACTCAGGAGCGGGTAGCCGCCCAAGGCCCCACCCACTGTGGCTGGGCAGAGCCCTGGGGCGTGGTGGCTGGTCTGCTCCAGGGAAAGGCCCCCCAAGGCTGGCCTGGGGTGGGGGGCCCTGCACAGTGCACAGAGGCACCGTCTCAGCCAGGCCCAGAGAGCCTCTCGTCCGGAGCCCCCAGGGCAGGGCCTGCAGGGGCCTCGGGAGGCCACTCCTCTGCCTCCCCCAGACTAGGGAAGGATGGTCCCACCTTGGTGCCGAGGGGAAGCCAGAGCCAACCTGGGTCCCCCTGAGCAAGGTAGGCCCCCTCCCAACAGCAGCTGCCCCAACAAGCCTGGCCCCCCTGCCAGGTGGGCCTTGCCTACCCCACTCCCCTCACAGCCACATCTGGAGGCTTGGCCAGGAGTGTCTTCCGCTAGGGCAGGTGCACGGGTCGGGATCCTCAATATTCCCTGAAGATGGGCTCTGCTGGACAAAGATCTAGGCTGCCTCCTTCAGGAAGCCCTCTGGGATTGTAGCACAGGGCAAGGTCCTTCCTCCTGCAGTGGGTCATTCCAGGTGGGTGGAATGTCTCTGGCAGTTGAGACACCCTCTGCCTGCCTCCCCATGAGCTCAGCAGACCCTGACTCACCCCCTGGCCCCACTGGACACCACAAGAGCCCCCCTGGACTCCTCCGGCAGAGGGAGCCTGGCAGGAGTGGGTGTGTGCATGCACGGAGGCCTGCAGGAGCCCCCACGGAGTTCCCGGCCGTCCCAGCCCCTGGCCCTGCCTGGCAGACAATCAGGGCTGGATCATGCTCCGCTGGGGTTCAGGGGGAGCCCGACCTGCCCAGGGCGGCTGTGAAGACTCCCACAACCAGCCCCAGGCCCTGTGCTTCCTGTTACCGTCTCAGGGATGCTCCCTGCCTGGCCGGCCGTCTGTGTTACTGTCCCAGCAACCCAGCCGTCAAAGAGCCCTTTCATGCCCGCCTGGGCGCCCGTGGCTTCCTCTGGGCTGTCCAAGAGCAACAGGCCGAGAGGCCAGCTCCGCCGAGCCCTGGACAGGATCCTGGCAGGGCCCCTGTGTCCACTGCGAAGCCTGCCTCGCGGCCCCAGGGTCCTCCTGCCAGCCCCGTGCCCATGAGCGGGGCTGGGGCCCGGCGTCTTGGCCGGCTGGGTTGGGGGATGGTGCCGTGGGCACGCAGCTCTCCTCCATCGGGAAACCAAGCCTGCTGCCCGCCTGGGGTGCGGCGCCCTGAGGAGAAGCAGGCAGATGGAAGCTGTGGCTGGGCGGGCCCGGCGGGGGGGCTGTAGGCCGAGGCCCGTGTTCGGGGCCCAGACCAGGGCCTCCATGCTGCACGGGGCCCCCATGGCCACCAAGCCACCGGGTGACGCACAGCCCTCATGCTGCTGGCGGGGAAGCCAGGCTGGATGGAGCCCAGGAGCGCAGCCTCCCCAGGCTCCGTGGGGTCTCTTCATTCCCTCATGACACCCCTGGGGAGGCCCCGCACCAGCCCCGCCTCTCAGCGGATAAGGACTGGGCCGGACGACTCGCGGGAATGACTTCTAGGCCTCCCAGGCCTCAGCGGGCGGGGGCTCCATTCTCTGTGGGCCCCAGGCCAAGCCCACACAGCACCTTGGCCTTGTCCCGCTCCGACCCTGGGCCTCTGGACACGGACACGCGGCCATTCCCCACAGGTCCTTCCTCCACAAGCCGGCCCCTGTTGTGGGAGGTGCTGGACGTGGCAGGAGAATTGTGGCGGCCTTGCCTGAAAGCAGGCTGTGGGCGGGGAGGGGCCCCGAGCTGGCTCAGTCCCCTCGGCAGATTTGTGTGCGACCTGGGGTCCCGCTCTCCCCGCAGCCCCTCAGCTTGGCCTGGCCCTCAGCACCCCCATGCTAAAGACCGAGGAGGAAAGGAGGACAGGAGGTGAGGGGAGACCAAGGGGTCCCCCCTGTGGGAGCTTCGTGTGCCAGGCTGCGGGCAACGGGCTGGGGAGGGCTGTGGTGGGGACCGCACCAGCTGTAGCCGGTTCCAGGCTCCCCCCTCCAGGTGGCCCTGGGCGGTGACAGCTCACCCTTGGCAGCGGCACCCACTAGGCCCAGCGGCCCCCTCTGGGGACAGCCATCTTCACCCTGTTGGCTGTGGTGACACAGATGGGGTGTGAAGACCTGAGCGCCTGTGACTATGGCACCTGCATCCGACCGAGCCGGCTCAGCGTGGCTGTGCCCTGGGCGGCGAGAACACAGCTCTGCAGATGTGTCCCAGTGGGACAGTGTGCTCCTGGGGCTTGCAGAGAAAGACGGGCGGACGCCCACACTCTGCTGTGCCCTGGGTCTGAGCCTCAGCCTCCCATGCCCGTGAAATGGGCACCCATGGAGCTCAGAAGTATCCAGAGCGTCCCTGAGGCCTAGACACAGGGAACCCTGTGCCCCTCAGTGCCCCCCGACGCCAGCAGAACTGCCCCCTAAAAAGAGAGGCATGTTCCTGACAGTCCCCCTTGAGGGCAGGTCCCAGAGCCTCCCCACGCACAGAGCAGGGTGGAGGGAGGCTGAGGGGTGGGTGAACGGCCCGGGAAGGGTGCCTTTGGGTCCCTTGGGTTCGGGTGGCCCGGGATGACCCGTCCTGGGGAGAGTCCGTCTGGGCAGGCGGCTGGCAGGGCCGATGCCTGAACTATGTGGCACAGAAGCTGCAGGCCAGGCCTGAGTGGGGTGGGCAGGGAGCGCGGGGGGTGACTCAGTGGGGCAGGACAGCATGTCTCCTGGACAGAAATAGCCCTGGCCAGGCATGACCGCGGCATTGCCGTGGCGACGGGGGAGCGGCTGCTGCCGGGTGCCCTGGGGCCCACCCCCCACAGACACCCAGCAGCGTCCCAGGCGGGCCCCGGGAGGGCCGCCCCCTCTCCGTGCTGCGGGGCGCTTGTGCCAGTGAGGTGCGGGTGGAGGTGCCAGGCACTGGGGGAGGGGGCCTCAGCAAGACCCCCGACTCCACCCCTCTCTCCCAGCCTTCAGCTCCCTGCTGTACAGACTGGGGGCTCCTGGACGCCTGGGCTCACTCAGCCCCCGAGAGGAGTGGATGATCTTTCTAAAGGAAGGCGTTTGGGGTCCACCCAGAAAGTGGGGAGGGCTCCATCCCTGGGTTTCAGGATTTTACTACTAGACTGCGAAAGTCTGGGCCTCCTTTTTCAGCACAAGGCGGGCGGCCCCCGCGTGCCCTAGTCCAGTGGTCTGCCTGCACGTGGGGGAGTGGGGAGGTCAGGAAATTGGGGGCGGGGGTGTTGGCCCCTCTCCAGCCGGGGAGTCGCCCCCATTGCTGCAGCCATCAGCCTGGCCCTGACGTGGGAGCACAGTGGGCGCAGGGACCCCTGGGCTCAGTGTCCCCAGCTGTAAAGTGCACGTGAGGCCTGACATTGGAACCTGCCTTGTGCTCGGAACAGCGCCTGGCTCCGTGTTCCCAGGCTGGTGCCACCAGCCAGCCTCAGCGACTCCTTCCAGGCCCCCTCCCCCGTGCCCCAACCCTCGGCTTCTCATCAGCCACCCCCTCCCCGAGGGGACATGCCAGAGCGCTGCCTGGGCCTGGGCAATAATGAGGCCTGAGTGCGCGGCCGGCGCGGAGGGACCATTATCTCCCAAGGCTCTTAATGGCCACTGGCCGAGAGTACATGTGATGAGCCGCCACAGGAGGTGACAGCAGCCGGCAGCTCCCTGTGGGGCTGGAGCAGACACGGCACGGGGACCTCACCCCAAACCCACACCCACGGAGGCTGGCACGGGGTCTGAGTTCCACCCAGAGCCCTGGATGCGGGATGGGGCAGTGCCAGGCCACCCCTCCTGCAGCTGCCACCCACCCACACCCTCCCCCTCCCTGGCCATGGTGTCCCAGGTGGCAGGGAGTGAAGCCCCCACCCAGGAGCCTCCCGTGGCTCAGGGGCCTTTGAGTTCACCAGCTTCTGCCTGGCTCCAGGCCCCCCCATGCCAGGGGGACTGCAGAGAGGCGGTTCCTCGTTCCCCCGGCAGGTCACTGCTCCAGACCGTCTGGTGCTCTTGAGCAGCTTTGAGGGGCTGCGTGCACAGGACATGAGCTGCCTGCAGCCCCCGGGTGAGGCTCCACGCTGGGTCCTCTTCTCTGTTCCTGGCTGCTCAGACCCAGTGGCAACAGCACCCAGGGTGAATTTTAATGGCCCCAAAGAATGAGAGTCGGGCCCTGGTTGTCGCCGTGGTGACCGGCGGCTCCTAACGAACAACATGGCTTCCGTGGTGACAGGAGGTGACATTTTCTCTGGAACATCCTGTGCTGGAGAGAAGGTTCTGGAAGCTCTCAGGCCCACCTTTCAGGGTCAGGGTCTGCCCCTCTGGGAGGGGCCAGGTGGGCAGAGGAATCGTTGCTGCCCGGCAGTGGGGCTCCGAGCTGGTGGGGGGCCCGGTCCGGTCAGCAATGAGCCTATCGCAGCACGGCCTCTCCCAAATCACAGCAGCTGCCCTGCTCCCTGGGCGGTCCCGGGGCTGCAGGAGAAAGGGCAGGAGGACCCATCCGTGCTAAGGCTTGGAGCTGAATCACGTGGCAGGGCCTGGGCTTTCCCGGGCCTCGGCGTCCTGTCTGCAAAACGGGGATAAGTACCCTCTCTCCGGGGTCACCAGCATGGGCTGGGGCCTGGCCACTGCCTACATGCAGCTCCCCCCACCACCAGACAGCAGGGGGGACCGCCTGAGTCCATCCCACCTGCTGGGGGTGCCCTCGCACGCCCCCGCCACACACACCTCTTCCTCCCACAGGGCCCAGGGCTGAGGGAGAGGGGCTGCCTGGGCAGGCACCCGGGTGAGAGAGCCCAGAGACCTGAAGGGCTTGGCCTCAGTGAGCTCCAGATGAGGCGAGAGGCCCAGCCCTTGTACCTTGGCCTGTGCTGTGGAAGTCAGGCCCCCTCCTCCAGGAAGCCCTCCCTGCCCCACCTGCTCACACACAGCCTCGCCCAGATTTCTCCCCGTGCAGGCTCCGCCCGCCAGGTGACCGTGCTGGCAGTCAGCACCGTCCCCTCCCCACAGCAAACAGCAGGAGACTTGGGGTGGCGTTTTTCCTCTCCAGCAGTGGCCTCTGCAGGGGGTGTCAGCAGGTGGGGGAGAGAGGTCCGGTAGCCCCACTTGAAAGGCGCCCCACTCTCCTCCCAGCGCCCCCCGCGCAGCATCTTCCACCTGCTGATCTCACCCAGCTCACAGGTGTCCCAGTGGGTGGTTGAGGCAGAGGGGCTTGTACCTGTTACCTCCCCGTCCCCTCCAGGCTGGTATAGGAGCCCTATGGGCCTGGGTCTTGGAGACGGCACCCCCACCTACATGCTCTCCGGGTGGGCCCCATCCTGGGGGGTGCGGGAGGGACCCCCTGCCGATCTGCCTGTCTAAGTCTGGGAGTCCTGGGGACAGTGGGGCTGCGGAAGGGGGCAGTCTGGGTGGGACCCACCTGGAGGATCCTCCCAGCTGGTGCACCAGCAGTGGGAGGAGCTCCGGGCAGAGCGAGTGCCCAGTCTCAAAGGATATGAAGTTGAGGCTGGGGGCCTAGAGGTGCAGGGGGAGGAGGTGGGGAGGCGCGGGGGGAGGGGGCGGGGAGGTGCGGGGGGAGGGGGCGGGGAGGTGCAGGGGTCCCAAAGGATGTCCCAAGGCCCCAAGACTCTGGCGAAAGGACGGAGGAGCCAGCACTGGTGGGGGAGCGGGGAGGCGAGCAGGGAGCGGAGCCGGATGGCCAGGCTCTGGGCTGGACACGCCATCCGTGGCTGGGCTGTGCTGTGGAGCCCCAGCCCTCACCTGCTCTTGTCCTGCCCTCTGAGGCCCGGGGGCTCCTGCTCCTGGGCTCTGACACCAACCCTGTCATCCCACGGATGAGTCCGTGGGTAGAGCTGCCACACGGGGGACTGAGACTCCAGCCCAGACGGACAGTGAGGGGAAGCCCCGCCCTGGCGCACACGCCCCGTGTGGAAAGCTAACGTGCTCTTTATTTGGGAGACGGGACAGAAAACGCAGGACGGCGCCTGCACGGTGCCAGATACTCACTGGCAGCCAGGCGCAGCTGCAGGACCGTGGGGTAGCGGCGTGGTGGCCATGCACGCCTGGCGGTCGACATAGAGGCTGTTGGTCTTGACGGCGATGTTTTTCTCCAGGCTCCTGCACGTACTCCAGGTTGCCCAGCGACTGCTCCACTTCTAGAAGCTTCTCCCGCAGCACCACCAGGGACGCATGCAGCCCCTCCACCTCATTCCCCAGCCTGAGGGTGCGGGGCATGAGTGGGGCTGCAGAAGGGAGCAGCAGGCACCTTCCAGTCTGGGAGGGACAGGACCCAAGGCTCACAGGCTGGGACTGGGGCAGCAGGAGGTCCTGGCAAGACCCCGTGAAGGATCCCTAAGGGAAGTCCACCAAAAAAAGCCCCGGTCTGTGATTTTCCGCAGCGTCTGCAGGCAGCACAGTGCCTGTGGGCCTACACCTGGGGCAAGCAGGGTGCTGGCGTCCCCGTGCCCCGGTGTGTGGGCCGGGCCAGGCCAGCGCTGTTCTCCTTCACCAGCTCGGTCACCGGAACCCCAGCCAGAGGCACCCAGCCCCTGGGGCTGTGTCGAGGGCGGCTCTGTCCAGGGCCCAGGGGAGGTGCAGATGAAGGACCGTCGTTCATGGCCACCCAGCCTTCCCGGGGCACCCAGAGGGGTCCGGAGAGTCAGCACAGCCTGTTGCCCCCCAAGCTCCAGCCCCAGAGCCCCCAGCCCCCAAGACCCCAGCCCTGCTCAAGGACTCAGGGGACTCAGGCAGCCGAGGCCACGCTGAGACCCTAGTCAGAGCCCTGTGGCTGGGCCAGGATGGCTGGGGACAACCACGGTGGGTGGCCCATGCTCCCTAAACCTCCTCCTGCCCCATCCTCCCCCACACCCCATGCCCAGCTGCTCAGTCGAGGGTGGAACACCTGCCAGCCATGCCCAATGTCACCTGGTTTCACATCCTTGGAAGGGGAGCCCAGAGAGGTGGGGCCTCTGCTTCTGGAGTCCCTCGGGGTGGGCAGCCAGGGGACGGGAGGTGCTGGGGGCTCAGGCCAGGTTGTGAGGGGGCAGAGTGGCGGCCGGCCTCAGGGGTCTGGGAGTTTAGGGCGCCCCACCTGGAGCAGGCAATGCTGCACCTGGTGCCACATGACCTCTAGGTGAAGCCGCAGGCCCAGACACTGTCGCACAGGACGCAGTCACGGCACCGCCCAGGTCCTCCTGCCAGAAGCTGGCTCCTGGCCCCCGGCACCCCCAGGCCTCGAAACCCCGCGTCCCGCCCACGACCCCGCCCTGCGCCCCTCGCAGACCCACGCACCCCTTGTGCCTTCCTTGACTCCGTGGCCCCGGTGGTCCTTTGCCTCCCACAGCCCCCCACCGCCCACCCTTGCGCCCTCATGCCCTGCCTCCCTGTGGTATCCAAACCCCCCACGGTCCCCACGCTGCAGCCGCCCCCAGCGCCCCGCCTTCCCGCAGCCCCCCTCACCTCCCACAGCCCCCACCTCCCTCCACAGACCCCCGCAGCACTCACCGCCCCCCAGACGCCCTCCCCCAGCCCCCCTCACCTCCCACAGCCCCCACCTCCCTCCACAGACCCCCGCAGCACTCACCGCCCCCCAGACGCCCTCCCCCAGCCCCTGCCGCCCCCCTACAGGCCCTCCTAGTCTCCGCACCCCCCCCCCCGGCCCCCCTCCCGGCTCCCTCCCCGGCCCCGAGTTGGCGACGCTGCCGTGGGCGGTGGGCGCTCGCCCTCTGCCGGCCGCGCGCGGAAATGCGGTCTCGCCGTTGCCTGGGACTGACCCCGCCCCGCCCCGTCCTGCTCCGGGCAGCCCCGCGGGTGAGCTGGGTGCGCGCTGGGTGCTTGGGGTCTGGCTCGCTCTCCCATCCCCGGGCAGACAGCTGCACGGGTGGCCTCGTGGTCCATGGCCTCCGGCTGGGCCGGGGAAAGCCGTTTCGCGGAGCACGCCCGGCGGGTAAGGTGAGACCACAGCCAGGGCCGGGGCGGGGCAGGCAGGCGGGGGCCACCTCTCCTGGCAGGCGGTGGACGGGGGCCCTGCGCCTCGTGCTCTGGCTGGGAGCGCGCAGAGCTCCTCCATGCTGTGGGCGCCACATTGTCCGACCAGCCCCGACTTCAGGTCTTCTTGTGCAGGCTCAGCCTGGCGTTGGGGGGCAGTGGTGGGGTCCCCTCCCCACCGCGGGCTGGACCCGAGTCCTGCTTCAGGAGGCAGCTCCGAGCCTGTCCCGGGAGGCCCCTGTTAGCAGAGCCCGGGAGCACGGCCAGGCTGGGAGGCTGCAGGTCAGGGGCGGGGCTGGTCTCTAGCCCCTCAGGCCCCCAGGCTGGGCCTTCGGAACCTGCGCCACCCAGCCCTTCGCTCTGCTGTGACCTGGGGCAGCCCCAGCTGTTGTCCATGTCCTGCCTCAGGGCCAGCCGGGGGTGAGGGTCAGGGGCCATCCCCTGGGCAGCCCTCAGGTTGCAGGACCCTCTGGATCTGTTTCCGGCTTGCACGGTGGGCCTTTCCAGCAGCTCCGGAATGCTCCCGATGAGCTCAGCTTCCTGGATGAGGAGGCGCCCCTGAGCCCCAGACCCCGGAACCTGCCAAGGGTCCCAGGAGGCCCGGAGGCTGCAGGCCTTGGTCAGCACTAGCTTACTCGGGAGGAGCAGAGTGTGGGGCCTGAGTCCTGGCTGGGTGTCCGGGCCAGGCCCCACTTGTTCGCCCTCAGGCCTTTCCCCTGGAAAGTGGCACACAAGCCCAGCTCCCTCCTCGGTTTATTCCGGGCTTTTGGATGTTCTTGGTGGGTTGGAAGTGGGGTGCTTTCCTCCAGGGGCCTCTCCGGGCTGCTGGGAGGGTCCCCTCATGGTAGTTCCCACGCCCCAGGCTTTGGGGGTCATACCTGCCGTTCCCCGTGGTTCACCTCCCTGTTCCTGCACTGGGCAGGCAGGGCGAGCGAGGGCTGGGCCCGGGGTCTCTGGGCTCAGGGCGGAGGGGTTAGCACGGGAACCACAGGAGTTCTTGAACCACTGAGGGGGTGCAGAGGAGGGGCCTGGGGAGGGGAAGGAAAGGGGAAGGGAAGGCCTGGGGAGGAAGGAGGGATGCGAGGTCCTGAGCTCGGGGGTGCAGCAAGGGAACCCTGAGGCTCCTGCACCAGCTGCCCCCACCCACATATTTTGCTCATAGACCTAACAGTGCGTTCACAGGGAGGCCCCAGGCTCTGAGAGGTGGCAGAATTCTCCAGAGCGAGCACTGGGGCCAGGATTGGTAACCCCCTCACCCTACGGGGCTGCTTCACGGACAGGTCGTGCTGGATTCGGAAGGGACAGAGCGTTCGGAGGAGAGGGCACTGGGGGTGCAAATCTTTGAGGTCAGGGCTCCATACAGGATGAATGGGTACCAGTGGCCCCCAGCGCACTCTTCCTGTCCACACCTGCAGCACTGACCTGGGTTCCCAGCTCGGGAGCAGTTGTCCCAGCAAGAGATGCCTTTGGGGAGGTGCCCTGTGGCTCAGCCCCGGGAGCTCAGGGCTGAATGTGCCTGGACTCAAGGGGGCAGGAGGAGGGGAGGGGCCCAGAGGAGACACAGCTGCTTGCAAGCCAGGTGCCCCTTGGGGCAAAACCAGCTTCTGTGGTTAAGGGGCCAGATTTCGGGACTCAAGGGTCTTGTGTGCCTGTAGCAGCCACGTAGCTTGTCCACATGAACGGCCAGGCTGCTCCTCTCCGTGGCTGCACGTCCTGGCCACCCCGAGGCCGCAGCACTTTCAGCAGCTCCGTCTCCACGTAGTCGCCCACGAGGTAAGGGTGCCAGCATTGCTCGTGGTACTGCAGGTTGTTGGTGGCGATGGAGAAGGGCACGGTCATGGTGTCCGAGGCATGACACAGCTGCGGCTCCGGGGCCAGCAGCAGGCGGGTCTCAGCGGCGGTGCTACCACCTCCCACTCAGGCTCCAACTTCCAGCCGCGCGTGTCCTACGGCTGCCGCCCACCCTGTGTGTGTGGAGTCCCTTTGTGTGCACTGTGCCGCGGCCTCGGTCTCCGCTGCCCACTGCTGGCTCTCATGCTGCTGCTATGCCAACGGTTCGAAGGTGATGGTGGCCGGCGTCATGGTTCTGGAGCCACTTGTCCAGCAGGTGCTAGGCCACTGGGAGCCAGCGGTGGCCAGGCTGGAGGACGTGCAGGCACCTGTGTTTCAGGCCACGTCGCACAGCTTTGGGGGACAACTGGAATGGTCTGTGGGGCCGGCTGCTTGGTCAGGAGCGTGTCCATCTGTGCCATGGTGTCCACCAGGGCCGGGGGAGTGAGGGGTGGGGTCAGCCCAGCCAGGTCAGTGGGGAAGCTCCAGCCACTCAGTCCCAGAGCAGGATGCGGCTCCCAGTTGCCTGGTACACACCGACGGCCTCCATTACTGGGCACCAGGGATCCCCCCGAAGTGGCTGAGAGAGGCGGCATTCAGGGTGGGCAGAGCTGCCCCCCAGAGGCAGGGGGTATGGGCTGCTGGGGGTGGGGGTCCCTCTTAAAGGACCAGGCAGGCCCAGCCCTACGACCCCTGTCCCCGCCATGGCCCAAGCAGCAGTGGCCAAAGGTTCCTGTCACCTAGAGGATCCTGGGGCTGGCCGGTGCCCGGCTTCTGTGTTCCATGCTTGGGGGACAGGCCGTGGGTGGGAGGTGGCCTGCTGCCCTGACACCTGTGCCCCTTCCTTGGTTTACCCCCTGCTGTTCCTGTTTTGTTCTCTGATCCCTTTCCATGCTGAGCTCCAGACAGTGTGAACGGAAGGCTCTGCCCACCTGCAGTCCCCGCGGGGCAGAAGGCTGGGGCCGTGGGGGGCCTCGGGTGGGTGTTGGGACCCCTGACAGTGACGGTGATTCCCAGTATCTGCCACCCCGCGAGTGGCTTCCCTCCCTGTCCCCCGGGGCCCCAACACCAGCCTGATACCACACCAGGACCCCCAGGCCAGGCCCTGAGGGGCAGCCTGAGCCCCACGCACAGTCCCAGGGGACCCAAGACTGAGGCAGTTCCTGTGGAGACTCTGCCCACTCGGCTCCTGGGACCGCTACCCGAGAGCTGGGCACCCGCTTCCCTCCTCCTTCCGTGTCCCAGCCAGGGTCCCCCCCAGTCCTGTGCTGTGGAGGCCGCCCCCATGGCCCCCCAACCCCTGGGCCAAGCTGCCTGGCAGAGTCTGGATGGGCAAGGAGTGCCCCGCGCACCACGTGACCCCGTCCTGGGCCAGGGGAGTCCCAGCCCAGGCGCGATGCCCCCTGTGGCCAGCAGAGTGTGGTGTTGGCCGCGAGATGCCAGCGGCTCCCAGGCTCCGCTCAGCCAGCCTGGCCCATCCTGTTCTGGGGACCCCCCACCCCAGGCCCAGGTCCTCCCCAGCACAGGCCCCTGGGTCCCCACCCCCACCCCCTCCACCTCCACCTCCAATCCTTGCTCCGGCCACAGGAGCCCAGGCTTTTCCTGGGCCACCTCCCTCCCTGGCCATCTTCCTCTGGCATCCCCGCCCATGCCCCCACTGTGGCCCCGCCGTGCCCTCCCCCTGCCCATGCCCCCACTGCATCCCTGCCATGCCTTCTCCCAGCCCTGACTGACCTCTGACCCCTGGCCCTGACTGATGGGTGGCCGGATCCCCACTCACACACTGCTATGACCACGGTGAGCCCGGCCTGACAGCCTCCCGATGGCGGACGTGGAGGCGTGCGCCGCACTCCCGGGCACACTGGAGGCTCCTCATGAAATGTGGGCTTTGGGGACAGCAGTGCCAGGACTGCAGGCTGACCCAGAACCGGCGGCAGTGGCCTGGGCCTCTTCTCACCGCCCTTCAAAGGTGGGATGTCAGGGAACCTTCCGGGACTGATGTGGCCTGAGGACCGTCCTGGAGCCTCGCTGTGACTCGGTTTCCCCAGATGGCTGCAGGCTCGAGCCACACGGTGGCGGGGGGGGGCGCCCAGCTCCACATTTTGTCTTGAACCTGCTTTCACTTGGCACCTCCCTGTGGGCTGAGCCGAGCGGAACTGCCCGTGTTTGTCCCCTGACCTGCAGACCCGGGGAACCAGTGGGACCACCCGGGCCGAGGAGGCGAATTCTGGGCTCTGCGACCTCTCAGCCTCTGCCTCCAGGTGCCCTGGGGTGCGGCGGGGGCACTGCCGCATCGAGCTCCCAGGCTGACGGGACACAGACTCACCCGTGACCGCAGTCGGCCCTGCAGGCTGACGGACAGGACTTGACTGAGTGCCTGTCTGAGACAGGGGGCTGGGCCCTTGACCCCTGCAGCCACAGAGCCCCGCAGCCCTCAGCCGGCTCAGGGGGTGAAGACACCCCAGGAAGAGCTCCTGGGTCAGAGCCGCCCGCTGTGTCCACTGTGTGGCCAGGCAGGCGGCCCCTCCCAGACCGTTTCCCTACCTGCTGGGAGTGGGGCAGCACCGGCCTGGGGGGCACGGCCTGAGGGAAGGACAGAGAGTGGCCGAAGCCCCCCACAGTCCCCCGCCCCACCTCGTGGGCCTCTGCACACATCCCCTTGGGCAGACACAGGGCCGGGGCCAGGACAGCCCCAGGAACGGGTGCCCCCACCTCAGGGCAGCCCCCAACACTCACCTCTCTGGTCCACCAGCCAGAGAGTGGGACCCTCCACCTCACAGACCCCAGGGTCACGGTGTCCATTAGAGCACCTTGGTTGGGTACCAGAGGTGGGGAGGGCAGGGCCGAGGCCACCCGGGCAGTCGCCAGCCCAGGAGGCGGGACAGTTGTGTGACTAGCGTCCCTGTGACAGGGACGGTTGGGGCTGGGCTGGCGGACGAGCTGGAGGCCACAGAAGACACCTTGGACATGGGGTGGCCCCTGGGAGGCCCCTGAACCCCATCCTGATTTGCGGGGCAGTGACCCTGGCCCAGCCTGGGGCCTCAGGCTCCTCCCTGGAGATGGTGTGGCCGCCCTGGGCCTTCCCACACAGGGCTGGTGCAGTGGTCACCCTGGAATGGCTGTGACCCACACCGCATCGCCTCCCCCAGGACCCATGCCAGGCAGCATGAATAGGGCGGGCCCGGTGAGAAGCCCCTCCTGCTGGGTCCAGCCTCGCCCACCTCAGTGGCCTGAGGCCCCTTCCTCAGAGTGGCCAGTGGGGAGGTGGGCGCCCATCACTTCTGTGCAGCCTCGCCCCTCCAGCCACCGCCAAGCACACCCAAAGCAGCCTAGATGAGCCAAGGTCACCGGGATTCCATGGGGGAAGGGAGAGCAGAGACTCAGACCATCTGGCTTCCTCCGACCCCCGGCCACACCCCCTCGCTCGCTCCCGCCTGGAATGACAGCTCGAGGAGCCCTCCCGGCCTCAGAGCAGGTGCCCTTGCCGGCTCAACAGGTGGCCTGGTCCTGCGCTTTCTCCCGGGGCCAACGGAACATTTTAATGACGGGGATTTGAGGCACCTCAGGCAGCCCTGAGGCTTCCCCCGGGGGTGAGTAGGGGCCGGTCACGGCAGAGCAAGAGGACTGGGTGCACAGGGTGGCAGTGCCCTGGGCGGGAGGGCTAGGGGGAAGATGAGGGACACCAACAGCCCAGCACATGGACAAGAGGCTGAGAGGGCAGGCTCTGGGAGGAGGCTCCGGAGGACTTCTTGGAGGAAGAGTCGGCCAGGCTGAGCCTCCATGAACACGGCCCCCCGAGGCTGTGGGAGGGGGTGAGGGACTGTAGAGGCGGCGTCTCCCTGGCGGCCCCAGACAGCTGAAACTCACCTTCCCTTGGGAAGTGTGGGGCCCCACAGAGACAGGGACACAGGGGCATGGACGAGGAGGTGAGGATGTGAGTGTGGTCAGGCGGGCAGGCAGTGAGGCTGCAGCTCGAAGTCCTGGCCTGCTGTCGAGGTGGGCACCGAGCCCAGTTCTCTGCGCTTGGCAAACTGGGCGGAGGGCGGGGCGGCCGACAGAGGCTGACGGCTCACTCCTGCTCAGCTCTCATCCTGTCCTCCCAGGCAGTGGGCAGAGCTGGGGACCCACGACCACGGACGCTTTTCCGTCTACCCTTGGCCTAGGGAGGCAAGGCTCTGACACTGCACGTGTGACTCAGTTTACCTGCCTGAAGGCCGGGGGCTGGGGGGCGGTGCAGGCAGCTGTGTGCCTCTCCAGGACTCAGGGCCCTTTGCTGGCCTTCAACAGCAGTTGGCATCCTGGCCCAGCACCCAAGACGCCCCCACCCACCGTGGTCTGGAGCTGCTAAGTGGAGTCTCTGAGGTCCATGGTATGGGCGGGGTCCAGACCCCAGCCTCTGAGGCTGCATGCAGGGCCCAGAGCTGTCACAGACTGTGCCCTGAGCTGCCCGCTGCAGAATGGAGACCAGGACAGTTCCTCCCTCCTGGGTGTTTGCGGGTGAAGCAGGAAGGTGTGCAGTTTCCTCCAGGGAAAGTCCTGGGCGTGCTTGGTGGAGGGAGAGGAGGCTGGGCACGCAGGGCCAGGTAGGGTGACGGTCCCACAGGCTCCCCATCCGAGGTCCCCCCGGGGCTATGCTGGCTCCCTACCTGGGGAAGTCCCAGGCCGCGGGGACAAGCCCGACGCCGTCCCATTCACCTTCACCACCCACCCGGAACCGGCCTTCCAGATACGGCCGAGTTAAACCACGTTCAGAGGGAGCCATAAAACTCCAGGGTGAGATGAGATCACACGCTGATCCTGACTGCAGATCCCGACTGCAGCGGGAAGATAAATGTCTGAGTGTTGAAGGGATTGGAGGAATCGTTGGAAGCAAGATGGATGGTCTCATAGATATGAAAGTGACTTCACGAAGAAACTTCTGCCTGGTGGAACGGAGTGGGACAGAGAGGAAAGGGCAGGGGAACAGGGGCAGGGGGCTGAGGCCCAGGCAGGTTCTGCTGCAGCCCACGCCCACCCGCCAGCACGCAGGGAAGCTTGACTTTCCTACCTCAGCTGTGCCAGCTGCCTGCAGTGCCTGGGCCTTCCATCCATAAGTCAGTGACAGTGAGGGCATGGCCTGGGAGTGAAGGTAGACACAGAACAGTGCCCGACAGGCGGCAGGTGCCTGAGAAGCATTTGTTATCATCGTCACTATCATCACTGTTTTTTTGTTTTTTGGTTTTGTTTTTTTCTGAGATGGAGTCTTGTGCTGTCGCCCAGGCTGGAGTGTAGTGGTGTGATCTCAGCTCACTTCAATCTCCGCTTCCTGGGTTCAAACAATTCTCCTGCCTCGGCCTCCTGAGAAGCTGGGACTATAGGCGCCCACCATCACGCCTGGCTAATTTTTGTATTTTTAGTAGAGACAGGGTTTCACCATGTTGGCCAGGCTAGTCTCGATCTCCGGATCTCATGATCCACCCGTTCAGCCTCCCAGAATGCTGGGATTCCAGGCGTGAGCCCCCGCTCGCGGCCACCGCTATGGTTTTATTCTGGTGTAAATCACGTAACAGAAACCTCACCGTTTTAACTGCCGTAAAGCGTGCAGTGTGGTGGCGTCTGGCACATTCGTAGCACTGTGCAACCATCGCTGCCATCTGGTTCCAGAATCTTTCGTTGCCATCCCCAAAAGGAAGCCCTCAGCCCATGCGTGGTTACTCCCATCTCCCCAGATGCTGGGAACCGCAACTCACTGCTCTGAGCACAGTGTGGAAGAGGAGTCTCAAGCATGTGGTCCTCTGTGTCCCGCTCCGCCCTGATGTGGTGACTTGAGGCCGGTCCCCTCTCCTGGCTGAGTTGTGTTTGCACTGTGGAGACTGTGAGCTGCACTCTGGTAATCATGTCTGTGCACGTTTTTGTCTGAAGACCCGTTTTCAACCCATTTGGGTATATCATTATTATTTTTTTGAGACAGGGTCTCACTCTGTGGCCCAGGCTGGAGCACACTGGTGCAATGGCGGCTCACTGCAGCCTCAAACTCATAGTCTCAGGCGAGTCTCCCATCTCAGCCTCCCAAGTAGCTGGAACTACAGGCACCTGCCACCGCACTCAGCTAATTTTTATATATTTTGCAGAGACAGGGTTGCCCAGGGTGGTCTCAGACTTCTGAGCTCAAGAGATCCACCCACCTTGGCCTCCTGAAGTTCTGGGATTACAGTCGTGAGCCACTACACTGGGCCAATTATTTTTAAAATCCTGCTAAAACCCACCTGAAAAGCCTTAAAGACCGTGACTTTCAAAACATGGGAATGGACCCCTGGCAACGTGAGAGGGCAAGCTCCGCCTTCCTGGTGTCTTTTTTTTTTTTTTTGAGACGGAGTCTTGCTCTGTCACCCAGGCTGGAGTGCAGTGACATGATCTCGGCTCACTTCAGCCTCCACCTCCCAGGTTCAAGCAATTCTCTGTTTCAGTCTCCTGAGTAGCTGAGATTACAGGCACCCACCACCACACCTGGCTAATTCTTTTGTATTTTTAGTAGAGACGGGGTTTCACCATCTTGGCCAGGTTGGTCTTGGACTCCTGACCTCATGATCCACCCACCTTGGCCTTACAAAGTGCTGGGATGACAGGCATGAGCCACCGTGCCCGGCCGGTCCTGCTTTCTAGAAAAAACTGTAGTGCGCGCTCCAGAGACGTAACCCGTTCCCACACCTGAGTGGGCAACTCTAGCCTTTGAACACAGCCCTAGGAAATGACTGCAAATGAGGGGGAAGCTTTTTAAATACAAGGAAAAAGGCATTTGTACCAAGCTACATCGCAGTGAAATTATCATTGGAAAACAGTGGAAAGAGGCTGTGTGTCCCCCCACGGGTCAGGCGCAGTCCCAGGGAGGTCTAGACCCCAAGAGCAGAGAGGCCTACGGGAGGCACGGCTTGTGCCAGGAGGTGGGGTATGCGGCCACCAGGCACTCTAGTTACACAGCGATGGGCTGAAGGCTGTGCATCCCGCAGGGAGTGAGCCCTCCGACCCTGGAGGAGTTCAAGCAGCTGCTTGTCAGGATGCAGCGACAGGAGGGACACCGTTGCAGCCGATGCCCGAGACAGCCAGAGGCTGCCGGCATCCAGCAGCAGAGAGGCTGGGCCTGGAATGGACCCCCAGAAGCTGGCCAGAGGCCTGGCAGTTGGGAAAGGCTCGGTCGTCCTGGGGAGGGAGCAGCACCAGCGGAGGCCCCGCCTGGGTCTTCATCAGAGACACTCCAAGCTGGTGGGGGATTCCTGGGACAGTGTCACCCCCGGCAGGCCCCAGGTGCCCACCGCCCACCCGGCCACAGTGGGAGCAGCTCGGGTCAGGGAGGCCGGGCTGAATGCAAACCACTGCTGAGGAGACAAACGCGGCGCCACGAGCAGGTCAGGAGAGAACTCCCTCCCGCGGGCCGTCCGCGGACCCTGGCGTCAGCCAGCATGTCCTGAGCCACAGACGAGGCTGTCCCAGGTGTGAAAGAGGGTCTGTGCCTCCGAGTGGAGGCCGGTCCCACGCTGTGGACTGAGCTGCATCCCTCAGATGCATCTGTTTCAGCCCTAACCCCAGTGTGAGGGGACGTGGAGGTGGGGCCTCAGGGGTGATGAGGGTTAGATGAGGTCAGGAGGGAGGAGACGCAAACACAATTGGCCGGACCTTGATCTTAGACCCGCAGCCTCTAGAACCTGCAGAGAATGCTGGAGCTGCCCAGGGTGTGATTCTTGTTACGTCTCCCCGAGCTGGCTGAGACATACAGCTCCACTCCACCGGCCTGTGCCCAGAGACCCCGGGGTACAGGAGGAGGACGCCGCAGAGGTGCGTGTTGATGAGTGGGTCGCACCAGGGTGGAGCCTCCTAGAAGGGCAGGGACGCACCATCCTTGGGGAGTGGCCTGGAGAGGCCTCGGGAAGGGGGTCCAGGGTGGCTGAGCCTCAGCCATCACCCCATGCCGTCCAGCCCTGCAAGCACATGCTGTGCCTTGGACCTGCCTTCTGACGGGGCCGGGGTGCCCGTGGGGTCCCAGTCCCCGTACGAGCATCTCACTTTCCCTTCCATGGTGCTGCTGGTGGCCGGGAGACCATATGTCCCAGCCATAGTGGCAGATGCTCTCCAGGCCGGCTAGGGGACACCGGCCCTCATGGCAGGTGAGGAGGCAGTGCACTGTTTTGGGGGCTCTGAAGCCCGGCCTGCCCGACTTGAAGTGTCCAGGGCCCACCACCTCCTTCCTGGTTGAGGAGTTTCTGGGAGAATGGTCAAATCCCCAATGTATCAACTCAGCTTTATCTCCAAAACCTACCACTTCCCAGAGAACAAAATTAAAGAAGATTTCCCAGAGATTTGTCATCTGGCGGAGCAGGACCAGGGACAGGCTGATGTGGTGGAGGTGGTGGACACGCTCTCAGCCCCACTCCATCCCGGAGGCTCAGAGCCCACAGCAAGGACAACTCCTGGGTGAGCGGGTGCCAGGCAAGCAGCCCACACGCCGGGAGTCCCCAGGCTCCGAGATGTGCCCCTTCCCTCAGCACACAGATGAGGAATCTGAAGCTCCAGGAGGCCAGGTCATTTCCTCCCTGAGCCCCAGCAGCCAGCGGGTCTGCAACGTGGCCTCGAACCCAGACACCCCCGTGGGGGCTCACAGCTGTCCGAGGGCTGGCCACTCTCCCAGGAGCTGTGGCCGCGTCGTCCGGGGACCCAGCCCCAGGACAAGGTGGAGACAGCCCAGGGGGTCAGCGCTCACAAACCCCCCCACCCCGAGAAGATCCAGTGCCCGAGGCTGGAATAACCTCAGCCCCACCCACTACCCTCACCCCACTCACCAGCCTCACCCCCACTCACCACCCTCACCCCCACTCACCACCCTCACTCCACTCACCACTCACCCACACCACCCTCACCCCCACTCACCACCCTCACCCCCACTCACCACCCTCACTCCACTCACCACCCTCACCCCCATTCACCACCCTCACCCCCACTCACCACCCTCACCCCACTCACCAGCCTCACCCCCATTCACCACCCTCACCCCCACTCACCACCCTCACTCCACTCACCACCCTCACCCCATTCACCAGCCTCACCCCCACTCACCAGCCTCACCCCCACTCCACCAGCCTCAGCCCCACTCACCAGCCCTCCGGACACGGGGCTCTCAGCACCCCTTCCCCTGGGGGGCGGAAGCCCAAAGTGAGCATCAGTGGCCAGTAGCCCCTGGCCGGCAAGGGGAGCCCTGTCCCGCAGGCCAGGCGAAGGCAGGATCCTGTCCCCGGAGGGGAGCACTGACCTCCCTGATGAGCGTCCTCCAAGTTCAGTCATGCATCCTCCGCCCGCCTGGATTCCTGTGATACTGATTTATGTACGTTACTCACATTTTCACACACAGCTCCCCCAAACTCTCCCTGTGGAAGACGCATCCTCGGTGAATCGTGGGGATCCCACCCTGCCGCCCTGCTGGGCCTGTTTTCTCTGCCCAGGCCTGAGCCACTGGGGGCAGGGGTGGGGGCTGCTTCCTGGGGTCCGCCCACACCTCGGCTTTACCAGATGTGGATGGCCCCCGGGGGATCCTGGGTGGGCCTTGGCGGCCCGTGGGTCTGTGTCCACCTCTGGTCCACCTCCGCTCCACACCCGGGGCCTCAGGCCAGCCACCCACCACGCATGGGATGTGGTTTCTGGTGGGAACAGAGACAGGCAGGTCCCAGCACCGCTGTCCTGCCCACCCCACACCCTGTCATCGGGCAGAGCCAGTGGCGCAGCCTCCAGGATCCCAGGATGGGGTGCCCATCGCCCTGTCTCTTGCTGGCAGAGCCGAGGGCGCAATCGGGGAGAAGCAGGTATGCCACCCCCTGTGGAGCCCCACAGAGGCCCCGGGTACAGGGTGGGTTTCTGTCGGCCTCCGTCTCCGTCTCACTTGCTCCAAGCAGCATGACCTCAGGGGGCCTCAGGTGCACCCTGAAGGCCAGAGTCCTGGGGTCTGCTGAGGGGGCACCAGGCCCTGGAGTGCTGGAGGGTGAGGCTGGGCGGCCTCCTTCCCCGGCCTCTCCTGGCTGGCCTCTAGGTGTGGCCACATTCCCTGATCTCTGTTCTCTGGCACTCCCTGGTGTGTGGGTGGCCGGGGCACCTGTGGGCCTGTCGGTGAAGGCGTCAGGGAGGGGCCGCCTTGGAGCTCTAGTGCATCTGGGGTTAAGAGGCTCCAGTCTGGCTTCTGAAGATGCTCTGGGCAGGCGGAGCCCATCAGCTGCTGCCATGAGATAAGGCCTGGGGAGTGGGTTGCAGAGCAGGTGCCGAGGACCAAGAGAGTGCGTGTTCTCCCCACCCGACCGTCACACCCCCACCCGCCCTGCACCCCCCAGTCCTGCCCCCCGGGAGGCCACCGGTCAAGGGCACAGAGCTGCCCTGGAGCCCGTACCTGGGTGAGCCCTGCCCCCTGCACACGGTGTGTGACTGCTAACAGATGCTGCCCTCTGTGCCTGGACCTCAAGCTTGGAGCCCCATGCCACATCTCAGGCTGTGGGCAGCGCCGAGCCTCTGTGGCTTCTGTCCTCCTGCTGCCGGCCTCTCGTTCTAGGGCCGCCTGAGGCTTGCTCAGCAGAACCATGGAGGAGACCCACACTCCCCCACAGGCTGGTGGTGGGGTCGGGGCCCCTGGGGGACCTGGGATGAGGAGTCCTTCTCTTGGGGTGTTGGGGGGCCTGACGCCCACCAGAGCTGGGCTATAACAAGGCATATGGCTGGGCAAGAGGGTGAGAGGCCAAGGCCAGAGGACAGTTTGAGCCCAGGACTTTGAGACCTGCCTGGGCAACATAGGGAGACCCCGTCTCTACAGAAAATTTCTAAAATTAAAAACTTTAGCCTGACGTGGTGGTGCACGCCCAGGGTCCCAGCTACTCGGGAGGCTGAGGCGGGAGGATGGCTTGAGCCCGGGAGGCCAAGGCTGCAGTGAGCCGAGATTGCACCACTGCACTCCAGCCTGGGCCACAGAGCGAGACTCTGTCTCAAAAAAAAAAAAAAAAAAAAAAATGGAAGAACTGTCGTCCATGTGCAGTGTGACCAGGCAGGGGGGTCCCTACACCCCAAACACACCCCCACACGGGGTCCCCTCAATCACCTTCCGGTGGCTTCCCAAGCCCCAGGGAGCCCCCCACACCATGTCCTACTCCCTACAGCAGTGACTGCCAACTGGGGTGACTCTGCCCCCACAAGGGACATGTGGGGGTGTCTGCAGAGGATCTCAGCTGTCATGACGCGGGGGCGGGGGAAGAGGCACTCCTGGTACCTGATGGGTAGAAGTCAGGAATGCGGCTTAGCTGCCTGCCACAGGGCCCAGGACTGCCCCACCATGGGGGTGAGCAGCCGGAATCCCGGCAGTGCCCAGGTGGGGAGGCCGCTCCGGGGACAGCCCCCTTTCCTGCTGGAGGTTGTGAGGAAACGGTGGGAAAGGAGCGTGTGCTCCCTAGAACTGGAGCACTCCCTGGGCTCAGCAGGCCCGAGGGCAACTCCAGTGCATCGGAGGGACGCCAGGTCTGCGGGCGGCAGGCAGATAGCCTGGCCAGGCCCTCACATGCCCACCGCCAGCACCAGCCTGGAAATGGACCTGGAGGGGCCGGGCTCCACCCGGCACTTAGACCAAAGAGCCCTGAAAATAGACGCAGAGAAAATCAGCCACGGCTCCCAGGCCCCAGAGGTCCTCCCGGGAGCAGGACGTGGCCTGGAGCCACTTAGCTGATGGAATGGGGCGTTCAGAGCTGTGCTGTGGTCTCCACCTCTCTACCGAGGAAGCAAACAGTCTGGGGTGCGGGGGTTAGCAAGGTCACCGCGCCTGGCCCCTTCCCCGCCCCCCTCTGCTCCCCCGGCCTCCCCCGTTCGCTCCCCCCGCCTACCCTCCCCAACTCAGGGTCCTCAACCCCCAGGATGCCCCCCCACAACCTCCAGCCCATGATCTGTGGTCCAGGGGACCCTCCCCGCCCCCACCTTCCTTTCCACAGGGGCGGCCTTGCCCTGGAGGCCCCACACCCTCCCCTCTCCCCTGCCTGGGTGCTGGATCACCCCTCACCCTGTCCCCACAGGCCCAGGATGGCTGAGGCCCTGCCCCCACCCCTGCCGAGGTGGGTCCCCCCAGCCTCCCACAGCTCCATGTGGTCACCATCGACCCCACAGACGAAATTGAAGCTGGAGTACGGGGAAGGGCCCCCCCAGCTGCGGAGCCTCCACCTGCAGGAGCTGCCAGGAGGGAGGGGCGGGGACGAGATCCCAGGCCGAGCCCAGCCATCCCGCGCCCCCGCCTTCCCCCAAGGCCCTGTCTGACCCTGCAGACGGACTCAATCTCCAATCCCTGCTTCCCTGGACAGATGCTTCTGGAAGGTTCCCTCAAGGAGGACAGCTGCCCCCTGTGCCTGGTGTTCCTGACTCTGAGCCAGGGCCGGGAGGGAGCCCCTCCCCTCCCTGAATGCTGGGGACGTCCCTGTCACAGGGTCTGCTGGAGGCTGCAGACTTCCCGAGGCCTCGTCTTCACCAGCCTGAGCCAGGGAGTTGGTCGGACGGGAGAGGGACAGAGGGGAAAGCAGGGAGGGACGCCAGGGAGGAGCCCCCGTGCCTCTGAGTGTGGCTTCTGGGGGCCCGGGCGGACCCCCACTCCCCACCGCAGGACAGGGAGGCGGTGCCACCTGGCCCTGGACCACCGAGGCCAAGGTCTCACAGGAAGCTCAGCCTCCAGCCCCTGCAGATCCGCACGGCAGCCGCAGACATCCTGAGGACGACGCGTCCTGGGGTCCCAGCTGCACGAGGCTCAGGACAGAGCTGGGGGTGTCAGCGACAATATTTCCCTCGCTCGTACATTCCTTGGTAATAAAAACACAAGCGGAACACAGTCTGATGACTCCTTTTGAGAATCAGGTCAGATTGTTCCCAAGGCCAAGAGCAAGGGAGGAAGGGAGCCCGGGGCCGCTCAGACGACCCGGCAGGAGAAGCCCCGGACACGGCTGGACACCGCGGCCACACAGGGAAGCAGGGGCTGGGTGGGGTCTTCCAGCTGGGAGAGGGGCCAGGTGCAAAGGTACGGAAGGGTGTCCCCGAGACCCCGGGGGCTGGGGCTACAGGGTCAGGAGGGCCTCCGGCCAAGGCTGTAGACCCGGCTGCGCCCACCTTCAGCCACCCCCACCGCCTGCACCCCCCCAGGCTCCCCCGCCTGTGCCCAGACCTCCAGAGCTGGCCAGGCCACGTGCCCGGCTCCACAGGCCCATGTGGGTCCATCGGGAAGGGACCAGGAGGGGTCAGACGGGCTCCTGCCCACCTGTGGGGGGGCCAGGAGTTCAGGTCACTGCGGTGCCCCCACCTCCTGGGGTCCCAGGGGAGGCCTGGGAAGGCGTGGCTGGCTGGGGGGCCTGGAACCTAACCGGAGGAGGAGGAGGAAAGATGAAGGCTCCACTCCCATCCCAGCCTGGCCTTGTTTCCCATCCGTAAGGGTCAGCTATCTCCAGCTGCTGTGCCGGCCCCTGCGTCAGATCCTCTGACGTGGGCTCAGGTGTGAACGCAGCCCCTGTGCGTGGATGCCTCTCCCGGCACGAGTCCTGGTGAGTCTCCACCTCCCCCAGGCTGGGTGGGGAAAAGGACCGAGAAGGCTTCCAGACACTGGGGCCCGGAGCAGAGCCTCCAGGGAGGCACAGGGAGGCCCAGTCTTGGGTCCTGAGCCCTCTGGAGGCCAAAAGGGCAGTGAGGAGGCGAGAGGGGTGCTCTCAGCCCTGGCCCCAGGGTCCCCAGGCCCCTCTGCCCAGCCTGGCACCTTCGCCAGCCCTGCCTGCTGAGCGTGGAGCAGCCTCCGCGGAAGGTGAGCTCTGCCCAGGTCCTGGAGGTGCGGCCTCTGCTCCATCGCGGCCTGGGGCCCAGGAGGCCAGGAAGGAGAGCGAGTGGGCGCTGGCAGACAGTGGGCAGGGCCAGGGCCTGCGGACAGGCTCCAGCACCAGCCTGTGAGCAGCTGCCCAGCCTCTTGGCCTGTGAGCCCTGAGCAGGTGTGAAGACGGAGTTGAGGTGGGGACCCCCACCCGTCACAGACACCAACGACAGTGATTGCAGCCAATTCTCTGAAACCGCTGGGCCCTCGACAGTGTCTCTGGGTGCCGCTGACCAGGTGCCTGGCTGGCGTTGGCCCTCTTGGGCCCTCGAGAGGTGCAGGGAGGGTTCTTGGAATTGGGGCCCTCTTTCCTGGGGGAGAGATGCAGGCATGGCCTCCCCAGTAGCCACCGGGGGAAGGTGAGGTCTCCCCATGGCCCTGCGGGCCGAGCAAGGCCAGAGTCGGGCCCCTCCCTCCAGGCCCCGGCGCGGCTCTGTGTGGATGTTAGTGAGGGATCGCCCCTTGCCCGCAGCCCACACAATGAGCCTGAGATGATGTGGCCGATATGGCCAGCAGGGTGGGAGCAGGCCCCTCCCACGGCGGTAACGCACTTCACGTTGTTATAAATCTTGATTTCCTTCACAAAAGAGGAAAGGGCACTCTGGGACCCCGCCTTGGCAAGGGACAGGCGTCTTGGTCTAACAGACAGCACTTACTCTGGGTGGACAGGAAATTCTTTCCCAGTAGGGCCACGGCTGGGCTCTGAGCCTACCCCCAGGGACCAGCCACACACCCCCAATCCCCACTCAGAATCCTGTCTCCCTCCTCCCATCTCTCTGGCATCTTCAGGCCCACCCAGGACCCCCTCCTGATGCATTCCACGGCTGCCCCAGCTCCCCGATGCCCCCCTGCTGCCCCCAGCTCCATCTTGTGCACCGAGCAGCCCCGCAAGGCACAGCTGAGCTCGCTCCTGACCAAGCAGAGGGTCCTCCAGGGCTTGGGGCGAGTGGCTGAGGGCCCCCCGCTGCAGCAGGCCTGGGGCCCTCCTCCAGGGCACGTCTTGATCACGGCCAGAGTCCCAGAAGTGCCACCACTCAGCCCTGGCGTGGGCATGAGGCACGTCAGGTCTGGAGGAGCTGCCTGCACACCCTGGCCTGGAGAGGCCTGGCCACCTGAGGCCACCAGACCCTGGACAGAGGCCCTGACGCCACCCACTTCCCCAAGGGCCGGCAGGAGTCATAGGATGGCAGCGGGGGCTGCGGGCCCATCTCATCGGAAGCGGGTGGGTTCCCTTGAGATAACAGCATTTGCATTTTTTCACATTTGCCATAAGCTGCCAGCCACCTGCTCTAAGGATTTCCCCGATAATCATTGCTCAGGGCAACAGATTAGCTTCCTAGGGCTGTCCTGACCGCAAGCCACAAACCTGGTGGCTAGAACAACAAACTGTCCTCCCAGGCGCTGGAGGCCGAGTCCGATCTGGGCATCGTCAGGGTGCGGCTTCCTCCAGAGGCTCCAGGGAGGATCCTTCCGGCCTCTGCCGGCCCCGGGGCCCCCAGTTCCCAGCCTTGTGGCTGTTTCCGGTGCTGGGGCCCAGAGGGGCTCAGGTGTGGCGTGTCCGGCCAGGGGCTGCAGCCGGCGCGGTACAAGGCTGTCGTGGGAGACCGGGTTGGGTGGAGCTGGGGCCACAAGATTTGATTTCCGTGCCGTGGGAGACGCACAGGTGGGGCCGGGTGCCCCCAGGGGCCTGACTCTGTTTGCCCGGTTAATAGACCTGAGGACGCAGGGGTCCCCACCCACCGCAGGCCCTGGCCAGAGAGGGACACAAATGGCCACGGTGTACTCTGGGAATGTGGCCTGTTTCTATGACGACGAGGCCCTCCTGATCTCAGCGGAGAAATGCTCGCCAGGCTGGGGGTGGGGGCCGAGCCGGACCCCCACTGCCAAGCAAGGGTCGGGGCTCCCACAGGGCCGCCTCCCTCCCGCCGGTGTCCGGGGCTGCCTGGGGTTCCTTGAGCTGGGGGGCCTGCCATGCAGTCCCGTCTCCCGCGGGTCCCCTCGCCCCGACATCCCCTCAACATGTCCCGCAGGCCCGGGGTCCTGTCAGGGGAAACCGGCTCCCCCGGCTCCCGGGTCTCAGTTCCGACATCACCTGCACCTCAGCCTCCCGGCTTGTGGGCTGGAATTCTCCATCTTGTCCTAAATGTTTCCCATGAAACTCCCTCCCATGCACAACAGGGAGGCCTAGAAGCTAAGCCCCTTTCCCCGGAGCCCCGAGCCCGGCCGGGGAAGGTGTCGAGTCAGTGGCAGAGTGGAGGTGAGGGCGCGTTTCAGGGGCGACACCCCTCCACGCACCCGTAGTGGCCAAGCCCACCTCCGGGGGTTCCCGGGCCCCAGAGTGGACACGAGTGCCCAGGGGGCTGGGCCCAAGCCAGGGAGGGTCTGTCGGCCCCTCCCCACCCCGGGGACCAAGCGTGCCTTTCCGAGGGCCAGATTCACACATCCCCCGGCCCGGGGGGTGACTTCTCCGTGCCCTGGGGTTCTTAACAAAGCGCCCGATGTCCTGCCTGAACTCTGGTCTGCGGTGTCGGTGATAAATTGATATTTTTAAACTCTTTAATGGTGTGCGAGTGACATAATGGCGCTCACCATCCCATAATTGTCCCGGATCAATAGGGACCATTCAGCTTCAGCCAGGCCGCCCCTCGGGGCCCCCGCCTATCCCCACAGCTCCGTCTGGATACCCCGGACGGCACCGGAGACTCAGAGGCCAGGAAAATCATTTCTGGGAGGACACAGTTGCTGGAGTCGAGAGAGGCCCAGGGAGGGTTTGGCTGGGCCTGGGTCCCCGAGGGGCTGGGGGCTGAGGGCCACAGCCCTGGGCAGGATGCATGTCCTCATCTGGCAGCCGGGGCCACCCCAAGGTCCAAGCTGAGGCAGGTTCCCGTGCAGCCCCGGGGGTCCCGCCTAGAGGCCCTGGTGAGAAAGCACTCTGTGTGTGAGGGGCACAGGGATGCTGGGGCCTGGGTGACCAGCCAGCCCCTCGCCGAGCCCTCTCGGGTCCCTGGGCCTGTCCCCAGCTCTCCTGGTGATGTCAAAGGCCTGAGTCATGCATGAGAGGCAGCCTGGAGCGAGAGGGGACTCCGTCCGCAGCCTCTGCTTCAGCCAAACATTGAAACAATCGCTCCTGAGGGTGACGTGTGAACACGCTCAGGCAGACAAGACATTGTTTGGGCCCCGATTATCTTCAAGAGAGAGAAACAGGGTACTCTGTGGGGCTGCTCTGACTGGACGGACATGAGAGGAGGTCCTGATGCCGGGCTGATGTACCCCACGCGCAGGCGTGAGGCGAGGACGTCCCAAAGCCAGGGGCCTCCTTGTGCTCCTCCCTGCCCACCTAGAGACACAGGTGCGTCTTGTGACCTGCCCACTGGCCAGCTGTTTCCCACAGTTCCAGGGTGGGCAGGGCCGTGTCTCAGCTCAGAAGGAAAAGTCCTAAATTCTCTGCCCCAAGTGGCAAAAGTCCTGGGCCCAGCTCTGCGGTACGGTGTGAGGGAGGGCAGGGGGCAGGGACCCCAGAGACCAGGGGAGTTTCTGCAGGGGGTTCCCCGGGAGGATTCCCAGAGAGGCACCAGGGTGGGTGCTGGGCGACTGGGGGAGGGCCGCCTCCGTGACACGGACATTGGGGAATGGAGGGAGAGCGTGTGGGGGGACGTCCCAGCCCTCTTGTTCGGGGTCTGAGATGGGGGAGGACTCGTCCCCACACGCCGCTGGACCCCCCTGCTTGCCCTCTCCATACCTGGACAGGCCCAGTCCCTGGGAGCTCGCAGCCTCCTTCAGGAATCAACTCCTGATCCCTTCACTCAAGGACCATCTATGGCTCCCCACTGCCCATAAGAAAAATGTGCCCTCCCCTTAGCTGGCACCCAAGCCCTTCGATGACCTGCAACAGCTCTTTCCCTGCTGAGGCCTCAGGGCTGCTGTCGCCCCGTCCCGCCTGATCAGTCTCCCCCCAGGCCTGAACAAGCATATCAGCCCTGGTCCTACCTCCATACCCACCCACAGCCCCTACCCAGCCTCCCCTGGCGCCCTCCCACACTCCTCAGCAGCGCGGCCCTGTCCTCTGAAGGCCCCTGGAGAGGCTGAGGTCCTGGGGTCTCCCCCATCAGTAGAGGGGGCCAGGCCAAGCAGGCTGGGAGGGTCCTGGGGATAGGGGGCTCAGCTCCCGCTGCCACAGGGCTGGGGGGCTGAGCCTGCGGGAGCCCCGTCCCTGGTTGCAGGTCAGCCAGTTGGGATGGGGGCCCAGGTCCCAGGCTGTGGGGCAGGCTCAGGGCCCTCCCTCTGCAGTCACCCCGCCCCCCAAGTTCTGAGCAGCCCCCGGCACCTGGGGCCGATCTACAGGTGCATTTTGTACATAGAATCTGACCCACAGGTTGTTTGTTGGATAAGGGGAAAATCCCGGAATCCAGGAGGCCCGTGCGCCTTCACCTCCGGCCTCCCGCGCGCCTTCACCTCCGGCCTCCCGTGTGCAGTTGAGGGTCTCGTCGGCCTGCAGGTCCAGCGGCTGCAACTGGGCAGCCCCTCCTCCTGGGAGTGGCGGGGACTGGCATTTGTGGTCTTCGGAAGCCCCTGGACCCTCTGCAGGAGCCTTGGCTTTGGGCTTCTGGGGTTCCCGGGTGCCCGGATTCCTGGCTGCCCTGTGCCTCCAGGACCCCAGGAGGGAGAGATGGCCTGACCCAGGCCTGGCCCCAGTGGGGAACCCAGCAGTGCCAGAGGGCGGGGGCAGGAGGTGCCCTGTGGGGCTGCCCTTTGAGCTGTGCCAGGCCTCTGGGCACTGCACGCCTGGGAAAGCCCCTCTGTTGCCCCCAGGACAGACCCTTGTACAAAGCTGGGACTTCCCTCCAGGGACCCCTCCCTGCCCGGCCAGGGGAGCCTCCCCCGACTGCCTGCGCTGCCCCCGGGACCCCAGCGTCCAAGGTGGGTCAGGCTGGACTGTGGGGCTGGGGGAAGCCGGGCAGCTCTTCTGATCGGCTCCTGGGCCAGCGCTGAGTTCAAGTTTAAGTTGCTGGAGCAGGCACTGCAGGCCTGGGGGAGGGGCTCGGCTCTGTTCTGTGGGTGAACCCTGGGCCCAAAGCTGTGACGTTTAGATTTAACAGCAGGAGGTGAGGGTGGTGGCGGGAGGAGCCCTGGCCATCTGGTGGATGGAAGGACAGGAGGCCACGGGGGCTCCAGGCACAGCTGTCCCTGCGTCGGCGGGTGGAGGGGCAGGGTGCAGAGGTCCCCATCCCTGGACGTAGAAACCAGGGCCAAGGGGTCACCATGCACCGACACCTTTCAAGCCCACCCCACCCCGTAATCCTCTCCGCCCCTCAGCATTTCCTGCCTCTCCCTAAAGCTCCCAGGCCAAGGGGAGAGAAGAGGGAGGCTGGGGCCAGTGTGGCCTGGGCCGAGCCCCCGTTGGGCTGGACGGGAGAACACAGTAGAGGGGTCTTGGTGCCAATGCCCCTCCGCCCTGCTGGCCGCCCCAGCTGGTACCTGAGCAGGGGACCCCCCCAGGCCCAGGAGGCCCTGGTTGGCACAAGGATTCGGAAGCACAGGTAGCGGCCCAGGTGGGCAACCAAAGCCCAGGCCACCGGGGGACCCGGGGGCTTCCCCTCGGGGCGGGCAGGTCGGGGCACCGGCCACTGGGCCACAGCTGTTTAGAGCGGGTTGGGCCCCCTGTTGCCAGGGAAGACTGAGGCTCAGCGTTGCCTGCAGCGTGGGGGGCTGGGGTCCCTCGAGGTCGTCCCATGGAAGGATGGGGCCACACCCAGAAGCCCCCACCCACATGGAGGCCTCCCCTCCACCCAGGCCCTGACCCTTCCGGGGGATCTGCAGGACTGACGTGCAGGGAGCACCCCACTCCTAGCCTGAATTGGCAGGAGGTCTGAGTTCAGGAGAAAATGGACCACGGAAGGTGCCGGAAGACCCTGCCCCCCACCCAGCAGGGTCCTGAGTGGGCCCAGCTGGGCGCTCCAGCTCCCCTGGCCAGGTGTGGGGCTCGGCCCTCAGGGAGTGCACCACGCTGGACCCCTGGCCAGCAGGATTGACATCCTGGGGCTCCCATGCCTGGCTGGAGGCCCCCACCGCCCTCACCACAGGAAGCCCTGGAACAGTGTCCCAGGACAGTGGGGACCTCCCGGGTGGGGCCGCCTCTGACACCCTGATGTTCCTCTCTGGGAGCCTGTGGGGCCCCCATCCTCTGGCCTGCAGGGCCTCTGGGCTGTGGTCACCCCGGACTGTCGGAGCACCGCCAGGCCACCCAGGATGACCACTGCACTTTTGGGGAAGCTGAGGCCTATGGAGATGGGGCTAAACCCTGGTAACCCCCCAACCCTGCTCTGCACAGCGGCCCATGGAGACCTGGCCTTGCCCGAAGTGGCCCAGGAGGGGCTGCACCCAGCACGGCCTCTCCTCACTGTGGCCCAGGCAGAGGGGACAGGCAGCTCCTGCTGTCATTTTGGGTCCAGCAGGAAGGTCCCCTACCACCCCCTGAGCCTGGAGTTCCACCATCGAAGCTGCTTGGCCTCTCAGCTCTAAGCCACAGCAGCCGCTGGGAGAACTGTCAGCCCCTCCCGGGAGCAGGACTGGGAGTGGGAGCCTGGAGCTCCCAGGGCCACCCCTTCCTCCAGGGCCGGCGGGCCACGCCTCCCTCTCCCAGCCATCCAGTGTTAACACCGCCTCGCCTTAGCAAGCGGCAAGACATAAATATTGGAACCTGGGTTCCTCCGCCCTACGGAGATGGTGACGCCGGATGCGCGAGGCAGTTGCCTGGCAACCCTGCTGCCGGCACCCACGCAGGCCCAGCCCTGCCTCCACTCAGCACCTCCTGCTCGGGGCTCCAGCTGGCCAGGCTCTGAGGGGACTGGGTGCAGACCCCCTCTGGAGATGGGCCAGGCTGACTCCCTGTCCCCTGGGGTGGGCTTCGGCCCATAGGCCCCAATGGTGGAGCAGAAGGGGGCCCTGGCCGAATCCCTCTGGACGGGTGGGGTGTCTGCCAGCCGACTCTCCTATCCACAGCGGCCTGTTGCCCCAGGGCACCTGCCCCCAAAAGACAAAGAGAAAGCCAGAGAGTCCCCACCAAGAGCACCCTGGCCCCACTCCAGCCTGAGTGACCTCTGGAGCTCCGGCCTCTTTGCCATCCTCGGATGAGGAACTGAGGCACAGAGGCTGGGCCAGCCCGTGGCCAGGTGGCGGGTTGGCCCCATCAGGGGCAGGACCGGCTGATTTGAGAAGTGGAAACCCAGTTTTAGACCGGAGGGTGATGTTGCCCGTCCCCGTGTGATGAGTGATCCGAGGCAGACCTGGGCGAGGGGAGGCTCCCAGTGAGACATCAGTGACATTGCAGCAGAGGCTGAGGGGCCCTCGGGCTCCAGCTCCCCGGTGCTGGAACCGACTCCATGGTCACCTGGTGAGGGAGGCCCAGGTGCTGAGAGCCACCTGCAATCATACGGCCGGGCCAGAGCTGGAACTGAGAGGCCCCTGCCCCTCTCCCCACCGCCTGCTGTCCGGAGGGGGCTCTGGGGACCGAGGAGCCCTCTCCCCACCCAGGACTCACCCACCTGGAGTCCCTTTGCTGTTTCATCTCTGCAGAGGCCTCTGCAGCCCCACAGCCCCACTTGCTCCCCCTCCCAGAGGGGCTCAGGGCCCTCCCCCCGCCCTCCCCCCACCACCCTCCCCCCTCCCCTTCAGGGCTCCGGGCCCCTCTGCAGCCAGTCTGGATGGTGAAGACACTGTGGGGACAGAGTAGGCAGAAAGCCCTGCAGGAGAGAGCTGGGGACGTAAATCTGGTGACAGACCCCAGGGACTGGTTCAGGGCAGGGAAGGAGGCGGCCAGGCATTGGGGGTGGGGCCGTCCTGAGCCAGGTAGCGGAGGCCCTGGGGAAGGTGCCCGAAGGTCCCCGAGGAGGGGGAATGGGCTGCATGGGGAGGGGATGGCGAGGGCAAAGGCACAGGGTAGCCTGAGCTCCCTGTGCAGGGGGTGGCCTGAGGCCAGTGCAGACGGGGCCACCCCATCTTCAGGAGGAGGCGGACATGAAGGGTGCAGGGCTGCTCCAGCTTTCTTGGGACAGGCCACCAGCAAGCTCAGCAGGCTCGGGGAGGGGCCGTTCCTCAGCTCTGCTTCCCACAGATAAAGCTGGACAGAGACCCCGCGCCACCCAGCTCCAGGGACAGAGCCGAGCTCCAGGCCCAACCGAAGCTCCAGGGCCCAGCAGAAGCCCCACCACACCAGGGCCTCCCCTCCCTTAACTTCCACGGCCCTGGGCGCCCTCCTGTAGCCCCCACTGCAGTCTGAGGCCCTCTGCTGTCGTCCCACCTCCAGCCCCCACTGCAGTCCGAGGCCCCCTGCTGTCGTCCCACCTGGACGGGGCACAGAGTCCAGCGTTTCCCTCCTCCTCCCAAAGCGATCGAAGTGGCCTTCTCAGCCCCGAGAGCCCTGTGTCCCCTGATCGAGGAGGCGCCCGGCCCTGTCCTCCTGAGACCCTGTGGCCCCGTCTGTAGGGTGGGGGGTGAGGGCCTGTGCTGGGCCCAGGCAGTGGTTGGTTCTCAGATCCTGAGCCTCTGTGCCCTCTACTGAGGTGGGGACGCACCACCCTCCCGTGTGGATGGAGCTGGGGCGGGGTCTGACGTCCACTGCATCCAGGCTTAGCCCCGGAATCTCAGGTGTCCACTGGAACCCGGAGCAGAGGCAGCTGGGGGCTGTGGGGATCACCCTGATGGACCCCCGTTCCCTACTGCAGGGCCCAGGTGCCCTCCCAGGACCCCCTCGTTTTGCCCAGGAGGTTGGCAGGGGCAGTGGCTCAGCCCAGGGTCGGGAGACAGCCTGTAGGGCCCCTCGATGCCCAGGACCCTTCCTGAGGCCAGCCTGGGACAGATGCCCCTGAGGGACCCTGCACAGCAGGCATGACCCTCCAGAAGCCCCTCCCTCCAGCCTGGAGAAGGCACAGGTGCGTGTGGGGGTCCGGGCAGTTCTGCAGTTAGGGTGGTGTGTCTCCATATGGGTCTTGCTGATTAGGAGGAAGCCACATCTTCCAGTCTCGGGTGGGCAGCAGCACCAGGCCCTGGTGACAAAAGGACCCACGATAGGCTTTGCAGATCTGACACTTGCCTGGGGACCCCTCCATCTTATTTGAGAAAGTGCTGTGGGCTTTGCCGGGAACCCCCCTGCTGTCCTGCACCTCTTCGGCGGAACATCTGAGCATCCAGCATGAGAACGTCACCAGGACCCTTGGAGTTGCCGCTCACTAGAGCACCACAGTTCTCCCAGTCCAGGAAGGCTTCCTGGAAGAGGAGGCGCTGAGCTGAGCAGGGTGGGGAGTGACAGTTGGGGGTCCTGGGGCTGGAGGGGGTGTTCATTCCTGGGCCACACCGCACACTCTGAGCACCTACTGAATGCGAGAACGGCTGGGCAGGGTGCAGGGAACGCTCCGGAATGGCCCGATTCAGGTGGGGGGAGGGACCGGACAAGACAATAGAGGAGGTGTTGATAAGGACTTGGGAGAGCGCAGGAAGGAAGACGATGGGATGAGAGGCGCCCCAGGCGGCCCCCGTGTCCCCAGGACACCCCCATCCCCACTGCTGTCCATGGGAGCCATCAGTGTCGCCGGGCTCTGGGTCCTGGGGGGCCCCTGCCGAGGTGCGTGGCTCTCCGTCCACGTGTTCTAGCCTCACCCGTGGTGACCAGGCCCCACGTCCCAGCCTCGCCGTAGCCTGGGCATCAGTTTCTTGCGGGTTCTGACTGTGAGGATGAGGGGTGGGGACACGGCTCTGGAAACACCCTCCAAGTAGGCCGCTGTGTCCCTCCCTGGTCTCCCATAGGGCCCCTCCTGAGAGCCTGGGGTCCTTGGGCAGACCCCAGGGAGCCCAGGCTGACCCCTAGAACCAGCCTTTTCCAAGGTCCTCCAGGGCCTCTGGGTCTGAGCCTGCATTTCTTCACCCATAACACGGGCAGTGGGGGCCACGCCCTGACTTCTGGGGTCCTCCACGCAGCAGCAGCAGATGAGATGCCCTGGCCTGGCTCATCGGGGGACGGGCACAGTGGATGTGGGAGGACGGGACAGTTACCCGGCCCAGGGATCCTGCACAGACGCCTCCCGGCCCAAAGAGGCGAGTTTTGGAAACAGAGGTGATATTTGCCTTTCAAGGCAGCAGCCCCGGAAGCCGAATGTTTTACTTTGGGATCAGGCTGCCCAGGCCACACCATGCCAAGTCCACCTCCAGCCTGTTTGCGGGGCGGGGGTGAGGACTGAACCCCACAGTCCTGAAGCCTTGGTGTGCCTGCCTGCCCCGAGGAGGCCGGGCGGGACTGGGGACACGTCGCTCATTAGCAGGGTAGTGCCCGGGGCCTTCCCCAAACCTCCTGTGCCCGCATGGTGAGCCCCAGGGCGCTGAGGGCCCTAGCCAGGGACCACTGGGGTGGGGTCTAAATATCCCAGCTCCCTCCTGAACAGACACGTGGGGAGGCCCGTGCCCACCGCTCTGGGGCCTCCTCTGTGGCCCTCGCACCCAGCCTGGCCGCCCTCCGCCCGGGCCTGCCCCTGCTGCGGGGTTTTCCTGGGAAGGCTGTACTGAGTCAGGATCTGCTTCCGGGAGGATCTGCTTCCGGGAGGATCTGCTTCCGGGAGACCGGCAGATACACCCAGGGACACTCAGCCTTCCTGCACTTCAGACTCCCCTCCCTCTGCTTGCCCCCGCTCCGTGCGGGCTGCCGCCCCTGCTGGTACCTGCACAGCGGCTGTTTGCAGCCCCCCACCCCAGGCTCCGGCTGAGTCCACAAGGCGGGTAGCGTGCTTCACCCTCAGGTGAACCCCGGGGGCCTCGTGCCTCGCTGCTGGGGCGTCTGCGCCATCGTGCGGGCTGAAGACGGTGTGCGTGGAGGGCTCCCAGCTGGTGTGTGTCTCCTTGCTGGGTTCTGCCTCGCCCACCATGCCCCGGGGCCCCTGCGGCCGCTGTGGAGAGGGCAGACCCCGGCAGCTAGCCCAGGGCCCAGCACCCGTGAGCGCACATTACGTGCCGGTGGACTGGGAGCCTCACTCCAATGCACCTGGGGTCCCTGTCTCATCCTGCCCCCGCCTTCCTCCAGGCTGCACGCCCTGCCCAACTCTGCTTGCGCCCCTGGGAAAGGGCTGGCCCTGCCCCCAACTCCCCGCGAGCTCGCCTCTGCCTCAGGGGACAGCTTTGCCCATTCCCTGCGGCACTGGATGGTGTTTCCTGGGGGCCAGAGGCACAGCTCATTTAATATGAACAAATGGATGGAGGGCCCTCAGGGACCCCTGCCCCTGTCCTCCAGGCCCCTAGCCCGCCCGAGGTGCCTCAGGGCCTGCGGTGGCCACAGCCGTCCCTCCTGGGCTGTGCACCCTCCCAAGGGACAACCCATGTGGAGGCTGGGGACGCCTTCACTTCGTGAGAGCTGGGGCCAGGCCAGGCTCCTCAGAGACCCCCAGAGGCTGCCCAGGAGGCTGGGGGAGAAAGACCAAGGGTGTGGTCTGGGGTCCATCTGGCGAGGGCCGGGGAAGGCTATGGCTGAGGGGCCAGAAGGTCCCCGGGGCAAGCACTGCCTCAGGCCCCTGCATCCCTCTCCTCTGAGGCCTGAGTGATGGGTGGCCCCACTCCCAGGTCACACTGCAATGACCTTTGACCCCCAGTTTATCCATCACCCCGATAATGCTGCCCCCCCAGGCCACCAGCACCCAGGAGGCTTTCCTGGGCCCACCTGTGGATGTGTCCCCCAGCCCCACACCAGGCAGGCCCTGGGAAAGACAGCGGATGGGGACGGCAGAGGGGGCCCGGTGCACGTCAGCTCCTTCCCAAAGTGCCTGGCCCCTCTCTTGCTGTCTGCACCTAAATCATCCTCCAAGCTGGGTGAGGCTCCCCTGGGTAGGCCGGGGGCAGATGCAGTGGGGGGGGCCGGAGGGTGCAGTGGGGGTGGGGGGGGCCGGGGGCCAGATGCAGTGGGGGGCCGGGGGTGCAGTGAGGGTGGGGGAGCAGGGATGCAGTGGGGGGGGGCCGGGGGTGCAGTGGCGGGGGAAAGCCAGGGGCCAGATGCAGTGGAGGTGGGGTGGACAGGGCACAGTGGGGGTGGGAGTCCCAGGGGCCAGATGTAGTGTGGGGGTGGGGGTGGACCGGGGACGCAGTGTGGGTGGGGGTCAGGGGATGAGCTACCCTTGTGCCCGCCCCTGGTCCACCATACCCAGCAACACCCTCTTCCTGGCATGGGGCTGTTCCTGGCTCCAGAGACTTCAGTATCGATCCCAAGACCGAGACTGCTGTCCGGGCCGCCTGCCCACTGCCTTGTGGGAACCTGGGGCCAGGTCCCTGTCATGTTCCCAGAGCCCGGCTCCAAGGAAGCTCTGAGGCCTAGGCAGCCTGGACAAATATGCCCCTCGGGTCTTCCCCAGGCCTGGGCCTGCCTGAGCTAGCGGCTGCAGAAAAGCCTTCCTGGGGGTGAGGTACCCATGGGGCAGCCCACCCAGCCTGCAGCCCCCAGACCAGGCTGCGGCACGGAGATCCCCAGACTCCCACCCACGCCCCCTGAGCCCATTCCTGGCCTCTGCTGACTGGCCGCCAACCGGTCCCTGGCCTCTCCTGCCCGTGCGCCGGCCGGTCCCTGGCCTCTCCTGCCCGGGCGCTGGCCCGTCCCTGGCCTCTCCTGCCCGTGCGCCGGCCCGTCCCTGGCCTCTCCTGCCCTTGCGCGTGCCCTTGGCGTGCTTCCCCTTGGGCAGGAGCGACACGCCACCTTCCAGTGCAGAAATCCAGGTGTCTCCGGGCGCTGGGTCCCCACCTTCCTTCCAGGCCTAGGGACGGTGTCCCACACAAGAGAAGGCACACGTCCCAGGTGAGGGTCCAAGTGCTAGGACCCCCCTG
The DNA here is from genome assembly GCF_000001405.40 of Homo sapiens. Taxonomy (NCBI): domain Eukaryota; kingdom Metazoa; phylum Chordata; class Mammalia; order Primates; family Hominidae; genus Homo; species Homo sapiens. The sequence continues at coordinate 1,131,791 of NC_000016.10, forward strand.
TGCACACCTGGACAGGCTTCGGGGCCTCCCTTGGCCCTGCTGGGGCCCACGAGCAGGGCTGTGGCTGCTGGTCGGGAAAGCTCTGCGCTCGGCCCGTGACTGGAAGCTCGGGCGATGTGTTGGGTTCCTGGGGCTCCGGTGACACAATGCCACCCCCGGGGGGTGTCAAACAGCAGAAGCATCCTCTCTCCCAGTGCTGGAGGCCAGAAGTCCAGCGTCGGGTGTGGGCACGGCCGCATGCCTTCCGGAGGCCGCAGGGGAGGTCCCTTCCTGCCTCTTCCAGCTCCGGAGGGCTCCTGGCGTCCTGGGCTCTGATCTCTGCTCTGACTTCTGAGGACGCCAGTGTGGGAGCGAAGGCCCATGTGGACGGTCCCACCTGGGCCTAGTCCTTGACTAGGCCGCGTCTGCAAAGATCCTTTTCCCAAGAATGTCGCCTCCACAGGCTCCAGCTGCAGGGTGTGCTCACGTTCTGGGGGGTCCACCGCCCACCCCTCCGCAGGTGACAGATCAGGACTGGTTTGCAAGAGAAGGCACAGCCCACAGAGAGAACAGCCCACAGCCCACATGCTGCTGCTGTGCCCCTCCCCAGGCTCCCCACCCCACCAGGACAAAACCCCCCAGCACTGGGACCACCTCGTGTCCCCTCCTGCTCCCCGTGGGGCAGAACCGCCGGGTCTGGGGCCACCTGCTTATTTCCAGAGCAGCTCCCTCCTCTGATCAAACAGGGGCGTGAGATCAAACAATTCATTAGGAACCCGTCCTGGGGGAGCGTCTGCTGCCGGGAACTGACTAGCCAGCGAGGGGCGGAGGCCAGGCTGGGGCCGGGAGACGCAGAGGGGACTCAGTGGGGATTTGGTGGGGGGTGTTGGGGCTTAGTGGGGCCGTGTGGGAGCCACTTGGTCTGCATGTGGAGGCTAGGAGGGGGCGCTTGGGGGCACATGGGATGCCATGTGGGGGCTGCATGTGATCTGCCTGGGATCTGCGTGGGGTCCCCATGGGGTCTGTGGGCCCACATGCTCAGCCACGCCTGCAGGACCACAGCACCCACTGCCCCATGTGCACGGCCACACGAGGTTAACACCTTCTAGCACATTCTGGGGCTCACCTCCTGTTGGCCCACGGCTGGGACAGACGCTGTGTCCACCACTAGCTCTACCCTCCCAGTGGGACCAGCGTCTGCCCAGGAAGGCCCCCAGGGAACCCAGCCTGGTGGGTCCACCTAAGCCCCTGAAGCCCCAAGGGCAACGGCCGCCCCTCCAGGCTTGGCTCAGAGCAGGCCCAGGCAGGCTGGGCCAGGGGTGCTGCTGGGAGACAGACCAGGGCGGAGGCCTCGGCGGCCTGGACAGGGACTCGGGCTGGCCTCTGGGTGCTGGGGGAGCTGACCGTTCCACTCTTGCTTACAAAACACAAGAAGGTCCGAGTAACAGGCTTCACACTGCCCGGGTCCCCTCTGCGTCCCCCTTCCCAGGCCTGCGTCCACCCCCAGGTGAAGGGAGTGAGGGCCAGTCCAGTCTAGCAGAGAGGAGACCCCGTCCTGCACCTTCCAGGCCACAGGCCCCCACCTCTGCTGTCCCTGTGGCCCTGGACGGCGGCTGTGCTGCCAGGACACCAAACCAGAGGCGTGGTCCCCTGGGAGGCTTGCGGCTTCCCCCAGCCCTGCGGGCCTGCTAGCGCGAAACCGGGTTGTCCAAACGCACCTTACCTGCTGGGTGTTCCCTGGGGGTGGGATGGGAAGACCCCCAACCGCAGGGCCTCGCTCCTTCCCGGGCTCTGCCCAGCTTCCCTCTGTCTGTCCTCCGGCAGGAAGGCCTCCAGAGATAACCAAGGCGTGGACACGCCAGGCACCCAGGTCTCAGCCAGGCACACGGTTCCCGTGTCTCACAGCCGTGGCCACCCTCTGCACAGGAACAATGACTACACCCCTGTCACAGGTGAGGAGACCAAGGCTCAGGAGGTAAGGACACCTGCCCAGGTCACGCAGGCAGGAAGGCCATCATGCCTCAGACCCAGATCACCTCTGAGCGGCCCAGAGAGGCCAGGGCCGGGGGTGCCTGGTCCCCGCGACGGTGGGGCTGTCAGAGCGTCCGTGAGGCTCGGGCTCCCGCTGTCTTGAGGTTTCTTCCTCCCTGCCCTGTTTCTCCTCCAGCCCTGGTCACGCCCTGAGGGCCAGCCCAGGGCCTCCAGACACAGGAGGCCTCAGGAAGCGCTGGGTCCACCTGGAAGGCAGCCACGGGCCTGGCCTGCGTGTGGGTTCTGTCTCCCGTTCCTGGGGCCGGCAAGACATCGGGAGGCCTGCTCACCTCTTACTTCCTCCAGGCTGATACTCTGCAGAGCCGACTCACCCCAGCCCTGGGGGCTCTGTGCCAGAAGCCACCCCACAGGGAGACCCAGAGCAAACACCCCAGGGACCCCATGGTCACGAGGGCCCGCCTGCCAGGCAGTTGGAGTGGGGACGCAGGACACCAGGACTGCAGGGCCCCCGAGGGGTTCCTGACACCACACAGCCTACCATGGCAGAGCCGGCCAGGCCACGCTGGGAGGGACTTGGCTGAGAGCACGGGGCATCCTAGGCCCAGGACGGGCATTGCCTCCCCTCAGTGTGTGGGCAGAAGCCCTGCTGGGCGGGGTCTTCAGGGATCACGGAGGGCAGGGGGACCAGGCACCTGCCCCACCCCACCCCACCCCGCTCTGCGTCCCTCTAGGAGTCCGCTCAGGAACACTTTTGGGGAAGGTGGGTGGGGCGGTGGCTGCCATCTGGAAATTCTAGGAGAGCCCCCACCCCCAGCCCTCTCCGGGGGCCAAAGATGCACCATTCCCAGGTGTGTGAGGGAGGATGAGAAGGGGCTGGTGGCTCATCTTCTCCTTGGGAGAGCACGGTGAGGGATGGTGTCTCTGAGGAGCTGACTAAGGTCTGGACCCTCCCCAGAAGGAAGCCCCAGCCTCTCCCGCCATCTCGGCTCCAAATTCAGGGGCCACACCCTCCCAATCCATCCATGGACTCTGACCAAGAACTTTGAGTGAGCCAGCCCCGCTGCCACCTGCACACAGAGACAGAGAATGAAGTCCTCCCCTCAAGCCCGCCCCTCTGAAGGGAGGTTGGGGAGCACCTGCTGTATGCCCGGTAGGCAGGGCCCGGGTGCCCCACACTGGCATCCCTCCTCCCAATTTCAGGGCCCGTCCCCGCCGCCTCCCTGGCCGCCGTGCTCCATCAACTCCTTCTGTTTAAATATTTAATCCAGTTAAATATTAAACCCCTTCCAAGTCCCAATTATAGCCAATCGATTCTCCACCACAGCTGTTGGGGCCAAGCTGGCACTCTGCCTCCCCGCCTGACGTCGGGGCAGCCTGGGGGATTGGGGTGGGGGGTGCCTGGAGGCGGGGGCTCCTGGCGTGGACCCATCGCAGCTCCGCCCCCCTATCCTTGACCTGTGAGACCCCCGCCCAGCACGGCTGCCCCACACACAGACGGCTGGGCAGGGCAGGTGAGCCGGGGTCCCAGCCCTAGGTCCCCTCTAGGTCCCAAGGACTCCATTGACTAGAAACACGAGAGAACCGTTCTCCGCAGCTCACTCCACGGTCTGCCCTGACCCCGGGGCCTGGGATCACCCGAATTATTCGCAGGGTTCCTGTTTTCGTAATCAGGGCCGGAGCTGGATGAAACCTTCCCTGGGGTGAGGCTGGGCCACAGAGGGGGGCCCTGAGAGCCAAGACTTATTTCTGTTCAAAATTGGTTTTTTTCTTTTCTTTTTCTCTTTTCCTTTTTTTTTTTTTTTTTTTTTTTTGAGCCAAGGTCTCACTGTGTCATCCAGGCTGGAGTGCAGTGGCGTAATCACAGCTCACCGAAGCCTCCACCTCCTGGGTTCAATTAATCCTCCCACCTCAGCCACCCAAGGAGCTGGGCCCACAGGTGCAGGCCACCATGCCTGGCTAATATTATTATTATTTATTATTATTATTATTATTGAGATGGGATCTTGCTTTGTTGCCCAGACTGGTCTCGAACTCCTGGCTTCAAACACTCCTCCTGCCTCCACCTGCCGAGGTGCTGGGATGACAGGTGTCAGCCCCTGCGTCCAGCCTCTAAGATCTTTTAAATATATTGAAAAGTACGGAAAACAACCGTACTAACCGTGCACCCCCTCCAAGGTCTAGGCCCCCATGGTGGGGCTTCAGGGGTGTTTAAATTCCCAGGAGCGGAAACCCTGGACTTCACCTGCCTTTCGCCGGCTGCCCTTCTCACCCTTCACGTGAGGGAGCCCCCCACAGGTGCATAAATGTGCGCATTTGTAGACGTGCAGCAGCTTATTGTTAAGCTTTACTGAGGTAAGGCATGTGTAGCACATGATTTACAAACAGTCATAAAATATGGGATAGGGCTCTGTCGTAAACCCCACATGGCTGATGGGTTCTGACGGGCGCCTCGGCTTGCTTCGGCCCGACTCTTAACGTTGCAGCCAGCCTGAGACTCCACAGCGCGAGGCTGCTCCCCACCTGCCGATTCTTGCCCCGATAAGTGTGTCATCCGTAAATCTGATCTGTGATCCACTGTTCAACTCTTTCTCACCCTGGTACAAGTGCTATTCGTGAAACGGAAGCTTCTTCCAGCTTCAACACTAATTGTAAGTGTATATGATTTAATTTTTAGTTGTAGCTGTTTAACAAGCAGCTCACTCATTTCTTAGGTATTTAACCACTGGCTCTTATGAACTGGTACATGTCGGCCCCACACGTGGTTGAGTCACCTGTGCAGACACCTGCTGGCCTGGCTCTCCCACGTCCCTGCACTGCGACCCTTCTGCTGGGGGTGTGGGGACGCCTGCCCAGCGTTAGTTCTGCCTCCTCCTCTCCTTGTCTGTTCCCCTGGTGTTTTCATGACTTTGGCTTGGCGGTAAGCCTTGAAATCTGCCCTTGTTATTCTTTGTTGAAATTGAAATTGGTGGTCGGGTGCGGTGGCTCACGCCTGTCATCCCAGCACTCTGGGAGGCCGAGGCGGGCGGATCACGAGGTCAGGAGATGAGACCATCCTGGCTAACACGGTGAAACCCCGTCTCTACTAAAAGAAAAATAAAAAAAAAATTAGCCGGGCGTGGTGGCTCACGCCTGTCATCCCAGCACTCCGGGAAGGCCCAGGCGGGCGGATCACGAGGTCAGGAGATCGAGACCATCCTGGCTAACACGGTGAAACCCTGTCTCTACTAAAAAAAATACAAAAAAATTAGCTGGGTGTGGTGGCGGGCGCCTGTAGTCCCAGCTACTCGGGAGGCTGAGGGAGGAGAATGGCATGAACCCGGGAGGCGGAGCTTGCAGCGGGCCGAGATCGCGCCACTGCACTCCAGCCTGGGCAACACAGCGAGACTCTGTTTCAAAAAAAAAGTGTGATGTATGGGCCGGGCACGGTGGCTCACGCCTATAATCCCAGCACTTTGGGAGGCTGAGGCAGGCAGGATCACCTGAGGTCAGGAGTTCAAGGCCAGCCTAATCAACATGGTGAAGCCCCATCTCTACTAAAAATACAAAATATTAGCTGGGCATGGTGGCGGGTGCCTGTAATCCCAGTTACTCGGGACGCTGAGGCAGGAGCATTGCTTGAACCCGGGAGGCGCAGGTTGCAGTCAGCCAAGATGGTGCCATTGCACTCCAGCCTGGGCAATAAGAGCAAAACTCCTTCTCAAAATAAAATAAAATAAAATAAAATAAATAAAGTGTGATGCATGTACATGCCTGTGAAACCACCACTCCACCAAGAGTGAAAACGTCCATTGCACTGAAAGCTGGAGCCCCTCGCTCCCCACCCCACCCCCAGAAGCGGCCCCCCTGCTCTCCATCACGGTGGGTGAATCCGAGGCCCCAGGATGGCGTGTGAGCGGGATCAGCCGCATGCGCTGTTTTCCTCTGGCTTCTCCCACCCGGCACAATGGCCTTGACATTCACCGCACTTCCGCGTCCGCAGCTCACTCATCCCTGGTGCGGTTGAGTCATGTCTCATGGTCTGAACGTCCGCGGTGGTTTAGCTGTTCTCCTGTCGGTGAACACGTGGGCCGTTTCCAGCTCGGGGCTACTGTAAGTCAAGCTGCCACGAGCACTGACGTAGGGAACAGCGTGTGACACATGCTTCCATTTATCCAGGGTCAACACCTACCCGTAGAGAGACGGGATCATGCACCCAATACACATTTTTTTTTTTTAGACAGAGTTTTGCTCTGTCACCCAGGCTGGAGTGCAGTGGCGCGATCTCGGCTCACTGCAGCCTCCGCCTCCTGGGTTCAAGCAATTCATCTGCCTCAGCCTCCCCAGCAGCTGGGATTACAGGCACGCGTCCCCACACCTGGTTTATTTTTGTATTTTTAGTAGAGACGGGGTTTCACCGTGTTAGCCAGGCTGGTCTCGAATTCCTGACCTCAGGTGATCCACTCGCCTCGGCCTCCCAAAGTGCTGGGATTACAGGCGTGAGCCACCGCGTCTGGCCAGTGGGAGCATATTTAACACTTTAAGGAATCCCAGCACTTTGGGAGGCCAAGGCAGGTGGATCACGAGGTCAGGGGTTCGAGAATAACCTGACCAACATGGTGAAAACCCATCTCTACTAAAAATACAAAAATTAGTCAGGTCTGGCTGCGGGCGCCTATAGTCCCAGCTACTGGGGAGGCTGAGGCCAGAGAATCGCTTGAACCTGGGAGGCGGAGGTTGCAGTGAGCTGAGATCGCACCACTGCACTCCAGCCTGGGCAACAGAGCAAGACTCAATCTCAAAAACAAAAACAAAGCTGGGCACGGTGGCTCATGCCTGTAATCCCAGCACTTTGGGAGGCCGAGGCAGGCAGATCATGAGGTCAGGAGATTGAGACCGTCCTGGCTAAGACGGTGAAACCCCATCTCTACTAAAAATACAAAAAAATTAGCCGGGTGTGGCGGCAGGCACCTGTAGTCCCACCTACTCGGAAGGCTGAGGCAGGAGAATGGCGTGAACCCGGGAGGCGGAGCTTGCAGTGAGCCGAGATCGCGCCACTGCACTCCAGCCTGGGCGACAGAGCAAGACTCCGTCTCAAAAACAAAAACAAAAACAAAAAACCACTTTAAGGAACTGCCGAACTGCTTTCCAAAGTGGTTGCACCATTTCACATTCCCAGCAGCCGTGCCAAGAGCTCCGCTTCCCACGTCCTCACCAACGCGTGGTGCCACCGTCCCACCCTTGAGCCCCTCCGACAGGCAGGAAGGGTCGTTGAGTTGTGGTTTCCCTGCGTTCTCCCCTCATGACCTGTGACGTGCAGTTTTGCTCCTGTGCTTATTTGCCATCTGTAAATCTTAGGTGGCATATTTATTTCAGTCTTCTGACCATTTTCAAATTGTGTTGTTGTCTTTTTAATATTAATTTTAAAGGGCCAGGTGCAGTGGCTCACGCCTGGAATCCCAGCACTTTGGGAGGCAGAGGCAAGAGGATCACTTGAGTCCAGGAGGTGGAGGCTGCTGGGAGCAGAGCTTGAACCGCTGCACTCCAGCCTGGGCAACAGTGGGAGACCTTGTCTCAAATGAATTTTTTTTTTTTAATTTCAGCAGTTTTTGGTACATTCTGAGTACAAGCCCTTTGCCATGGATCTGCACTGTGAATATTAACTCCCAATCTGTGGCTTGCGTTTTGAGTTTTTTTTTTTTTTTTGAGAGGAGTCTCACTTTGTCACCCAGGCTGGAGTGCAGTGGTGTGATCTCGGCTCACTGCAACCTCCGCCTCCTGGGTTCAAGCGATTCTTCTGCCTCAGCCTCCCGAGTAGCTGGGATTACAGGTGTGCACCACCACACCCAGCTAATTTTCGTATTTCTAGTAGAGACGGAGTTTCGCCATGTTGGCCAGGCTGGTCTTGAACTCCTGACCTTAAATGAATCCTCCCACCTCGGCCTCCCGAAGTGCTGGGATTCCAGGCCTGACCCACCGTGCCTGGCTTGATTTTGTGGGGTTTTTTTGTTTGTTTGTTGTTGTTGTTGTTTTGAGAGAGTCTCGTGTTTTTTTGTTTGTTTGTTTGAGAGAGTCTCATTCTATCACCCAGGCTGGAGTGCAGTGGCATGATGTCAGCTCTCCACAACCTCCACCTCCCAGGTTCAAGCGATTCTCATGACTGAGCCTAACGAATAGCTGGGATTACAGCATCGGCCACCACGCCCGGCTAATTTTTGTATTTTTAGAAGAGACGGGGTTTCGCCATGTTGGCTAGGCTGGTCTCGAACTCCTGACCTCAGGTGATCCACCTGCATTGGCCTCCCAAAGTGCTGGGATTACAGGTGTGAGCCGCCGCGCTCAGTCTGTGTTTTAAGAAATATTTGTCTCCACCAAGATCACACGGATATTCCCCTCTAATTTCCTATGGAAGCTTTGCTGGTTTTCCTCTGGTGGGCAGTTAAGAGCGTGTGTGTGGCGTGAGGCAGGGGTGGCAGCTCATTCCGGGTTATTCCGGTTTCCCCAGCACTGATTGCTGAGAAGCCTCCTCCTTCAGTGTCTGTAAGGCAGCTTTTCTTGCTCTCTGCTTTCAAGATTTTCTCTTTATTTTTAGATTTCAGAGGTTTGACTGAGTTGAGCCTGGGAGTGGTTTTCTCCGTATCGATCCCGGTTTGGGGTGGTTGAGCCTTTTGGATCCATAAATGCTGACTTTCCCGCACATTTGGGAAATCCAGGGCCTTGCTCTGAATTGCTTTTTCTGTCCTATTCTTGCTCCTCAGACTCTGAGGCTCCACCCACATGTGCATTAAACCACTTGAACCTCACAAATGTCTCTGAAACCCTATTTCCCTCCTGCCACTCTCCCACTCCAGGGCTGTCTACTGTCCCTCATGGCCTGACCACTGAGACTCAAATCCATTGCTCAAGGCTCTCGCGCATGCCAGAGTGTGAGGCCGAGACCCCCAGGGACGGCTGCCCTCAGACAGCCCGGCGCCTCCTTCTCCTGGCGGCACTCAGGCCTCCCACCTGCATGCCGCCCACGCCAGCTCCCACCTTCGCCAAACGCTGCTCACTCGCAGCCCCCACGTCAAGAGCCACCCCCCAACACTGGGCATCCGGCCTGAACGTCCGGGGTCTCCCCATCCCAGGCTCACCTGGCCTGGCTCTTGTCTCTGGTTACTGACATCTCACTGGGTCTGAGAGCAGGGGCTGCTTCTCACTTCTCGAGCCTGACACTCAGGTCCCGGCCAGCACGTCCTGGGCTCACGTGGGATGCTGGACCTCCCAGGAAGGTGCATCCTCCTTCCTGGCATCCCCAGACTGGGTGACTCCAGAGTCCTCTTTACAATGCAGCCTCAGCCCACCCAGATACGGCGGGCTCTGATGGCCAGTGGGGGTGAGGACAGCCAGGACCCTTGGACCTGTGGGCAGGGGCTGGACCGGGCTCTCCACCGCCTTGGCCCCTCTGCCGCCCTGGCCCCTCCTGAGGCCTGTTGGGCCGATCAAGGGGGCCAACAGACCCTGCCCCACTGGCCCAAGCCTGCAGATGCTCAGGGACCCTCCCAGGTGTCACCCAGTATGCCTGCCCAAGAACAAGAGGTGCCGCTGTTGATCTGCAAGCCATTCCACATCCCCGAGCAGCCCGATGGAGGGGGGCCCTTTCTGCTGTCCTTATCTCAGTAATAAAGCCACAGAAGAGGCTATAAATCCAGGAAAATTAAAGCTTCAGCATCTCCCGGGGAGAAATCTGTGTCGCCTGCAGCTGCTTTCTGACCAGGGGAGGGGCAGGAGCTGGAGGAAGGTCAAGGGAGGCAGGGCGGGTGGGGGGGGGGGTTCCTGAAGAGGACATCCTGTCATCGTCCCCAGGGCCTCCACACTGACCCCTGGGACTGGCCAGGGGTCCACCCCCACCCATCATCCACAAGGCCTGTCCAGCAAGCATTGCCTGTTCCCCAAGCGCCCAGCCTGTGCCTGGGACGGGGGCTCAGGACCCAAATGGAGGGCCAAGGGGTTGAACCTCCAGCACAGGCCCAAGGCTCAGCCCCGGGCTGGGCCCCCGGCTACACCCAGCACAGGCCCAGGTGTGCAGGTGCCCCCATACCCTCCTGAGACCCTGGCAGTGGGCAGGCTCATCCCAGAGCAAGCTCCACTTCAAGGTCCTCCTTCAAGTGGGCCCTGTACTCACCGTGGCCACTGCAGCTGGACCCTTGGCAGAGCCCACCCGTCCCTGCTGCCCCTGAGTCCTCACGCTCTGAAAGCATCCCCTGCAGGCCTGAACCCCCTGGTTCCACCAGCCCATCCCTCTGAGCTAAGGCCGTGCCTCCCTGGGGCTGGGCGGGGCTGTACGGGGCTGGGGGCAGCCTGCAGGCTGCTGAGATCTGCAGCCTTACTTTCCAACCCCAGCCCTGCGCCACGGCACTCACACTCCCAGATGACCCCGAAAGCACCTGCCGCCCCGTCCCATCCTCTTCCTCAGAACCCCTGCTCTCTGCTGTCAGTGGCAGGAGAGGGCCTGAGAAATTCATTCATGCTGCAACAGCCATGGCTGCTGCAGCGTGGTACACGGCCCCTCCTAGAAGGATGTGGCTTTTGAAAGGAAGAACCTAAGCCTGGGCAACGTATTGAGACCCGTCTCTACAAAAATGGAGAAAATTACTGAGTGTGGCGGGCGCCTGTGGTCCTCAGGAGCTACTCAGGAGGCTGAGGTGGGAGGATCACTTGAGCCCAGGAGGTCGAGGCTGCAGTGAACCGTGACTGCACCACTGGACTCCAGCCTGGATGACAGAACAAGAGCCTGACTTTAAAAAAAGAAAAAGGCGGCCGGGCGCGGTGGCTCACACCTGTAATCCCAGCACTTTGGGAGGCCAAGGTGGGCGGATCACGAGGTCAGGAGATCGAGACCATCCTGGCTAACACAGTGAAACCCCGTCTCTACTAAAAATACAAAAAATTAGCCGGGCATGGTGGCAGGTGCCTGTCGTCCCAGCTACTCGGGAGGCTGAGGCGGGAGAATGGCATGAACCCGGGAGGTGGAGCTTGCAGTGAGCCGAGATCATGCCACTGTACTCCAGCCTTGGCAACACAGCAAGACTCCGTCTTAAAAAAAAAAAAAAAAGAAAGAAAGAAGAAGAAAAGAAAGAAGAGCCCAGGTCGGCCACACTTAATACTTAACCTAAAGGAATGACGTACTAATGGTGGGGCGAGGGGAGTCTTCCCAATGCCAGCACAGCATGGCAGGAGTCCCGCCCTCCAGGCAAGAACGGAACACCCGCTGGCCCTCCAGGGGCCACAAGCTGGTGGCTCCACGGTGGTGTGGGCGTGATTGACTTAGCAAGGAGCATCCTGTGTGTCCCGCAGGCAGCTCTGCAGCCCACGAAGATAGAGACCAGATATACGAGGGGTCCGTGCACCCCAGGCGGCGGCCGGCTCGCTGAGCGAGGGGCCCTGCCAGCTCCACGACAGATGCTCGCCCCCCTCACTGCCACTGCTGCTGCTAGAACACTTAGATCCGCAAAAAGTTGCTGTTTTCTTTTACCTTCACCTCTGACAACAATTAGAAACTGATTTAGGGCCAGATACACCAGCTCGCACCTGTAATCCCAGCACTTTGGGAGGCTTAGGCGGGTGGATCACCTGAGGTTAGGAGTTTGAGACCAGCCTGGCCAACATGGTGAAACCCCATCTCTACTAAAAATACAAAAAAAAAAAAAAAAAAGGTATCTGGGTGTGGTGGCAGTGCTTGTAATCCCAGCGGCTGGGGAGGCTGAGGCAGGAGAATCACTGTGAACCTGGGAGGCGGAGGTTGTAGTGAGCCAAGATCGTGCCACTGCCCTCCAGCCTGGGTGACAGAGCAAGACTTCGTCTCAAAAAAAAGAAAACAAAAGCAAAAAACAAGAAATTAAAAAATGAAGCTGATTTACTAGCGCTAGAGGGAAGGAACAACAGCCTCTGTCCTCCCCTTGCTGTCTGAAGCCCAAAGGGAATGAGGGGGGAAATTATCAGGGCGCTTGATGCAGCCACGCAGCATGGAGGGGTGAACACGCTCGTCATCCTAGCTGGAGCAAGGGCTTGGCAGCTGTGCACATGCGCCAAAGCTCATCGAACTGCACGCTTTACACACGTGCGGCTTGTTGTGTCTCACAACATGGCACTGTTTCAAAGAATGCACGAGAATGGACAGACTCTGTGCAGTGAATCTGCAGGGTGGACTAGTCCTCAGCCCCGAAGAGGAAGTGCTGACCTACACTCCCAGGATGCACCTTGAAGCACCACGTCCAGAGAAAGAGGCCGGCCTTGCACACATCGCAGCCAGGCAGGGAGACAGGAGGCCAAGGCGGTTAGACAGCCAGGCGGGGAGACGGGAGGCCGGCCTTGCACACATCACAGCCAGGCAGGGAGACAGGAGGCCAGCCTTGCACACATCGCAGCCAGGCGGGGAGATGGGAGGCCAGCCTTGCACACATCGTAGCCAGGCGGGCAGACAGCCAGGCAGGGAGACGGGCGGCCCCCATTTCCCTGGGGTAGAGCAAGGCTGGTTTTGGAGGCTTGCAGGCATCCTCCAGGGCCTGGATGAGAGGAATCACCAGAGTCACTTGGGCTCAGACACCCCCACCCAGGATGGCCTGGACCTCATCCCACATGGGTGACGGGGGCCAAGGCCATCAGAGTGTGGCCCAGGCCCCAGCCGGGCCTGGGGTACAGGAAGGGTGACTCACCCAGAGAAGACCCCTGTGCCCTGGAGTCCACTGAGTGAAGCCACACGGCTGGACTGCCTTGCACCTGCCATCGGTCCGCACACCCCATCCTGCGCCAGCCTCCAGGACACAATGGCTTCCAGGAAGCGCCGGGGAGGGGAGAGAAAAGACTCGCAACAATGGCCCCGGCCGGCCTGTTCTGCCCTGTCCCGCCCCAGCCTGCCACGAGACCCTGCCGAGTCCCCTCTGAGGCCGCCACTGGCACCCCAAGTGGCCAAGGCCCCCGGAGACCCTTAAGGGCTGGGAACCCCAAGGCTCCCGAGGCTGGGGCTGCAGAGTCTCGGCCCCACGGCCAGTACCACGGCCCCCACTTCTGGGCCGGAATGGAAGGAACAGGCCTTCTCTTCAAGGCTCCCAGAGTGACCTGTCGTCACCCTCACACCTGAGGTGCTGCTGTGGCCAGCTCTGGCCCAGGTGGCCTCGTTGTCCCTGTGTGTCCTAGCTGTGGGAAGCGGGAGCAGAGAGAAGGTGTCTGTCCTGCCAGCTTCCTGCTGTCCGGTGCCGCCTCCCGGGGAACGAAGGTGCTGATCCGGGGTGCCGGCCATGTGGGGGTGCACAGGCTTGGGCAGGCAGCTGGGCAGGGACAGCCAGAGTGGTGTCTGGCGCTCAGGGCCGGACTACAGCTCTGGTGGGCTGATTGCCTGGCCTGGCAGCACCCTGCTGTCAGCCCTCCCTCCCTGAATGCGGTCAGCTGCCTGCGACATGGCCTGGCCGGCAAGCCCAGGAAGCCGGTATGAAGTGGAATCAGCAGAGCATTAAACAAGGTACAAATGATTTGCAATAAATTATATAAATGCTGTCGGAGCTGTCGGGTCGCGGCCTCCAGAGCCCGTGAGGTCTCCTCGGGCAGCCCGGGGGCACAGGCGTCCGGCACCCCCATGGCCATCCCCGGGGCAGCTACGCGGCCTTTGTGGATGCCAACCTTTGTCACAGCCAGGAGGGGGCCTCCCTCGGGAGGGGCTGTTTAAATATTGGCAGTTGACGACTTAACTCAGTTAACCGTAAAGATGAAAAACCTCCCGGGTGAGTACAAAAGGAGCAGGAGTCAGAGTGCCTGGCTGCACAGCTGGGGCCAAGCCTCTCTCTGCAGCCACTGCGTGCGGGGCCGGCCCCTCCACTGGCCACCTGGGGATCGTAGCTGGCTCCTGTCCAGTTCTCCCAGGTGACGCAAGCTGCGGTGTGGGGGCCGCCCCCCGTGCCTGACCCCGGCCCCTCCGCACAGGCCCCCGCCCCGGGTCTGGCTCAGCTGGTTCCTCAGATGTCCCTGGGCGGCCTGGCACCTTCTCTGAGGAGCCCCCGGGTGAAATTCCCCCAAAAACACACACTCTAGGCCCACGCGTGGTCATCTGTGGTTCCAAGGGCCTCGCCTGGCCGAGCCGAGAGCTGGGGCACCCGGCACCTGAGGGTTGGAGGGGTGACGGACCCGGGGCTGCCTGCAGACCCACGTTTCAGGGGCTCCTCTTGTGTGGATCTCCTTGGAGCTCCCGGGGCTGGGCCTGGGCTGGGGTAGGGCGAGGTGGGGGTGTTGAGGGTGGTCTGGTGGCCAGACCTGGGATCTGGGGGACCTGCTGCATTACCTCTTGAGGACTCCCTAAGAAAGGACCCCGTGACTCTGCACCAGCTCAGCCCTTCCTGCAAGCAGAGGGGCTGTGCAGAGCTGGGGGCTGGTGAGGGAACCAAGCAGGGGAGAGGGGCACCCATGTCTGCTTTGCGCCTTCCACGGCCCCTTGAAGTCTGTCTGGAAGCACCCGGCCTGGGCTCACCCCATCCTGTCACTTTCCCTCCCAGGTCAACCCCTCCTCCTTCCCACTCCACAGTGATCCGGGGGATTCAGCAGCTCAGGCAGAGTTGGGTGCTGCCAGGCACGTGCCCTCTGCCCACCCCCACACACCCCAGACTCAGCTCCCTGCCCCCCATGCCCTCGGAGGAGGCTTCCCTGACACATTTGGGTCCAGGAGACTGAACCAGACGTGTCCACCCCGGCCTCAAGGCCTTGGCCCAGGCCAGAGGCAGCCCCACCCCTAGGGCCTCCGAGATCCTGCGGACCCCAAGGGACAGGCTGAAGGCTCTGCTCCCCCAGCCCAGCTCCATCCTGGGTTCTGTCTCCTCCCATGAGGCCACGCCCTCTGGCTCCGCCCCCACAGGGAGCTGTTAAAAATGGCCTCCCTCTTTCTGAGCCTTTGTCACGTGCGGGCTCCCATCCTTCATGACTGCTTTCACAGCCTGAGGCGGAGCTCACACACGGACGGACGGCTCACCCACTTATGGGTGAGTTTTCAGTGCACCCAGCGGTGCAGCCGTCTCTGCAGGTCTCGCTCTGTCGCCCAGGCTGGAGTGCAGTGGCACAATCTCCACTCACTGCAGCCTCGACCCCTCAGAGTCAAGTGATCCTCCTACCTCAGCCTCTCGAGTAGCTGAGATCACAGGCACCACCACCACACCTGGCTAATTTTATTTCATTTTTTTTTTTTTTTTTTTTGTAGAGACGGGGTTGGGTCTCAGTATGTTGCCCAGGCTGGTCTCAAATTCTTGGGCTCAAATGATCTTCCTGCCTGGCCCCCATAAAAGCTTGGATTGCAGCTTTTATGGTGGTGTCAACTGTCACCGCCCTAAAATAAACCCCTTTCTGTGTTAGTCTGTTTCGTGTTGTTGTAAAGGAATGCTTGGGACTGGGTGATCTCTAAAGAAAAGAAGTTGATTTGGCTCACGGTCCTACAGGCTGTATAGGAAGTACAGCGCAGGTATCTGCTTCTGGGGAGGCCTCAGGAAGCTTCCAATCATGGCAGAAAGGAAGGAGAACCCAAAAGTCACATGGAGGGAGAGGGTGCCAGGGAGAGGAGGAGGTGCCAGCTGCTGTGTGAACTACTGGAGCAAGAAAGCACTCATCATCACTGGACAGCAGCAAGCCACTCCTGAGGAATCCGCCCCTGGTGCAGACACCTCCCACCAGGCCCACTTCCAACCCTGGAAGTCACGTTTCAACATGAGATTTGGAGGGGGGGCCACACATCCAAACCAAACAAACCCTCTGCTTGCTAGACGTCTCCCCTCCCCCACCCCCCCTCCCCCAGCCCTTGGCAGCCACCCCTCTTTGTTCTATGGATTTACCTGTGCTGAAAATCTCATCTAATGATCCTATGATGTTTGTCATTTTGTGTCTGGCTTATTTCACTTGGTGTGATGTCTTCAATGTTCATCCACGTGTGTCAGAATGTCATTTTTTTTGAGACAGAATGTTGCTCTGTTGCCCAGGCTGGAGCGCAACGGCGTGATCTCTACTCACTGCAAGCCCCACCTCCCGGGTTCAAGCGATTCTCCTGCCTCAACCTTCTGAGTAGCTGGGACTACAGGCGCCCACCACCATGCCCGGCTAATTTTTGTATTTTTAGTAGAGACAGAGTTTCTCCGTGTTGATCATGTTGATCAGGCCGGTCTCAAACTCCCAACCTCCTGATCTGCCTGCCTCAGCCTCCCAAAGTGCTGGGATTACAGGTGTGAGCCACCGCGCCCGGCTGTGTCATTCCTTTTCATGGCTGAATAATATTCCACCATATGAAGAGGCCACATTTTATCTGCTTATCTGTGGGATACTTGGGATGTCTACACCTTTGGCTTTTGTGAACGATGCTGCTGTGGACACCCGAGTCCACAGTTCTGTGTGGACACACATTTTCATTCCTCTTGGGCACACCCGGAACAGAAATTGCCAGGTTGCATGGTAATTCCATATTTAATCATTTGAGGAACTGCCTGTTCATGATCACTTTTTATTTGATGAAGCATTGATTTTCCAGAGAAGGAAATTTAAGGCTCAGAGAGGGTAAGACACATGTCCAAGGCCACACAGCCAGGAAGTGGTGGAGCTGGCATTTGAACCCAGGCCGTGCGTCTGCAGAGCCAGAGAAAGGCCCGGAGCTTCCCTCCCCAGGTCCCCAGGCGGCCTGCGGGCCCCTCCACAGCCCAGTGATCCTTCAAGCACTCCCAAGCCCAGCCTCCGCCTGCAGCCCCTCCACAGCCTGTCCAGGGCAGGGAAGGGCCACCTCACAGGCCACGGCCTCTTCCGCGCAGTGCCTGGGGGCCGGTCTTGGGGACAGTGGCGTGGTGCCCCTGCCTCTCCCGTCTTCCACACAGACAACTGCGAAGGTGAGAAGGGTGAGCGGCGTCTAGACGGCGCTGTCCACCCAGCGGCAATAAAATCGGATGTTTCCGCACACAGCACCGTCACAGGCTATCACCGTTTAACACGGCAACTCTTAAAATCATTGCTGCTGCGTCTAAACCGTCCTGAGCTCACAGCTGAGCCCAGGAAAGGGCTTGGGGTGCGCGCCAGCCGGCAGCCACCAGGCTCCCCATCCCACAGTGTGGGGTCATGCTTCCCGCCCAGCACGGTCTCGAGGGTGGTGGATCCCAAAATTCCTTGGGATGCCAGCGCAGTCCCTTCAGCCACCCAGTCAGCAGGTATTTATTGGCACCTACTGGATGCTAGGCAGGAGCAAAGGACACTCACCTGCTCCCCACTCCAGGGTCTCGTGTCTCTGACTCCATGGCAGGACAAAGGTGAGAGCCCGCCATGCTTCGGGGCGACCTACCGGGCTCCGTCCTGCCCTTGAGTCTGCGGCTCAATGGGGCCCCACCGAGGCTGCTCCCAGGGAAGAAGCATTCTGGCCAGGCAGGGCCCGAGCCTGTGTCAGTGAGAGGCCCTGTTGCCTGCCCTGGAGGCCGATCCCTGCAGGGGCCAGTCTAGGCAGGGACGCCCCTCTTGTCTGCATATTCCCGGGGCCTGGCTTCCTGGCCGCGTGGGCAGCCTCCTTGGTGGCGGTGACCTGGGTCCCCGGCTCACAGGCCACACGTAGCAGCAGAACCCAGAGCTGGCTGGGAGAAGGGGTCTCACTGGACACCAGGCAGTGACCGCCACGGCTGGCTCTCCAGGCTTTGCCAGGAGAGGACTCTGTCCACCAGCCCTTGGTCCAGATTCTGGCAGACCAGCCACGGGCCCCACTGCTACAGGGAGCTGAGGACCAGTCAGGGCGTGCCTGTCCCATCGCTGCCATGCCGGGCCCCACTGCCGACGTCCTCCTTCCCCTGGGCAGCGTGGGGGATGCTGAAATCCGTGGGAGACCCCGAGAAGCCCACCCCACCTTCTTGGGTTCCGCCACATGATGGCTGAGCTAGGAGGTCACTTGTACTCTCTCCCCGCAGCTCTTTGTCAAAGAAAAGCATTGCCCTTAAAAACAACCCCGGCCAAAAAAAGAAAAAAGGAAACAGCGAAAACCAGAAGCAAATTTTCCAGAGACCTGGAGGATTAGAAACAATACATCTGAACGTTCTGGAGTTGAATTAAACCATCTCAATGCCGGTTTCCAACCGTCCTGGGCTTCTCTCTGACGCTCAGCGAAGGGCGCGCATCACGGCATCACCGCTCTCAGGACGATTTCCCGTCTCGTCTCACTGGACCGTCTGCCGTTTATGTCCTTTCTCGGTGGAGGCCCTCACGTCGCGTTGAGGTGGTCCCCGCTCCGGCTGCGTGAACGCGGCCTCAGCTGCCTCATCTTCCGGCAGATGGATGTTCAGAGCAGGGAGCATCCATGTTCCAGGCGTGCGGGCACCTGTCCCGCCGGACGTGGAGCGTGCAAGTCAGTGGGCAGCAGCCCAGGGGACACAGAGCCCCCAAGGACAAGGTGGGCACGCCATCCGATGGGCTGGAGTGAACGGAAAGCGGTGGGAGGCAGCCTCCGTCCCAGACCTTGAGCTGGAAAATGCCCGCCCGGGTGCTGGAGAGGCTCCAACTGGTCTGCAAATTGTCCGTGGGATGCCTGGCGACTGCACGCTTTCTCAGATTACAGACACTTTCTTTAAAAAAAATCTGTGGGCCGGGCGCGGTGACTTACGCCTGTAATCCCCATACTTTCAGAGTCTGAGGCAGGCGGATCACGAGGTCAGGAGTTCAAGACCAGCCTGGCCAACATGGCAAAACCCCGTCTCTTCTAAAAATATGAAAATTAGCTGGGCATGGTAATTACATGCCTGTAATCCCAGCTACACGGGAGGCTGAGGCAGGAGAATCGCTTGAACTGACACCAGGAGGCGGAGTTTGCAGTGAGCCGAGATCACGCCACTACACTCCAGCCTGTGATACAGAGCGAAACTATGTCTCAAAAAAAAAAAAAAAAAAAAGTCTGTTATAGAAGTCCGTGGTCTTTTTCCCTTCTGCCGACATCTGGAGGACAGAGTGTGGCCGGGAGGGCAACAGCTGCTGTGTTCAGAATTCCAAGATGCTTCCCAGGCGCCCTCTGGGTCTTCCCGCTCCCCGGCTCCCTCCGGCCTGCCACAGGGCCTTTGCATGGGCTGCCGTTGCTGCTGGAAAGAGCCTCTGCTCCTCTTCCGGCTGCCGGCTTGTCCTCACAGAGGCCCCGCCCTCGTCTATCTGGGCGCCCCCTGGCACTTAGTTTGGAAACTGTTTTCTCCTCCCCATAAGACGGAAGCTGCAGGCATGAGAACCGGGTCTGTCTGGTCACAGCCAAGGCACCTCCACCCTCCAACCGGGCCCCGCGCACTGTCCACCCTCAACTACCATTTGTCCAGCAAATCAACGACAGCCCCCAGCTAGAATCTGGAGCTTCAGTCTGTGGCTTTGCCTTAGCTTTAATTAATTAATTAATTAACTTATTATTTTTTTGAGGCAGAGTCCACTCTGTCACCCAGGCTGGAGTGCAGTGGCGTGATCTCGGCTCACTGCAACCTCTGCCTCCTGGGTTCAAGTGATTCTCCTCCCTCAGCATCCCGAGTAGCGGGGATTACAGGCATATGTCACCATGCCTGGCTAATTTTTGTATTTTAGTAGAGACGGGATTTCACCATGTTGGTCAGGCTGGTCTCGAACTCCTGACCTCAAGTGATCCACACACCTCGGCCTCCCAAAGTGCTGGGATTACAGGCGTGAGCCACTGCACCTGGCCCACCCTAACTTTTAACGAGCAGGGTGTTGATAAAAAGATCAGAGGTTCCAAGTGCCCTCTGGACCGGACTCCGATTCAGCGTTTGTGTCTCCCCACCTGCTCCAGCCTCCCTCCACGGATGTGTCCAAAGCACGGGGCTCTCCTAGGTCCTGCTCCTCTGTGGCTGGAACCTTAATTGGACCTTTGAAGGCCTAATTCACCAGCTGTGGCCCTCCATCGCTGAGTAGTTGCATTAAAATAGACTGAATGTTTTCCTTTTCTTGAAAGTTCCCGTATACAGGAGGAGGTGCTGCTGAAAGGACCTGTACCCCAGCCAGGCCCCCACACTCCTGCCTTCCAGTTCCTCGGCCCACCCCAGGTGCTGTGTGTCCTTCCGGGCCCCAGCTGGGCAGGGCCTCTTCTTCACCCTGCACGATGTGGCCCACCCGGGGGAGGTCCTGCTTCTCTGCTGCTCACCCGCAGGTGGGAAGCCACAGCCGCCCCACAGCCTCTCCGGGTCTGGGGTCTCAGGGTGCGCCCTGGAGCAGGGCCTCTTTGTCTGGAGGGAGAAGGGGTCTCTCCCACTACCAGGGGCCCCTTGTTGGCGGGCGTGCTGAGGTGCACACCTGGGAGCTCAAGCTCCCTGGTGCACAAAGCAGTGGTCCCAGAAGCAAAACCACCCTTCCAGCCTGGAGGGGTGCCCTGGGGGGAGTCAGGAGCCTGGGCACCTGCCCCCACCTGCTGGCACCTCGAGGTGCGGCCAGCCCTCCCTGGGACAAGGGCCTGGCCATCCCCAATGTCTGAAGGGTCCACCCCTTCCCGACCAAACCACTTGCTCTGAGGGTCCAGGGGAAGGCCCTTCTGCTGGCCTGGCTGAAGGAGCAGCTGCTGGCAGGGGGAAGGGGCCTGCACTTCTCCTCGGGGGCCCCTGGGTGAGTCTCGCTGAGGCAGCGGGGTTGGAGGATGCAGGAGCACCAGGCTGCCGTCCCCAGGGTCCCCCAGATCCCCACGCGGGAGGGGACCGGAGACGAGGACAAGTTCGCGGAAACTGCCCGTGCGTGTCGGGGAGAGATGCGAGTGCAGGAGCGCCCAGCCGTAAAGCACACCCCCGCCCGCCCCCGCGCCCCATCACACACGCGCGCGCGGGCACACCCGGGACACACACGCGGCGGGGAAGGGGCACGCAGCCTCTCGCCTTCCACGCCCGCCCGGTCCCCGCCCCTCCGCCGACCCGGGCCCGCGTCGTAGTGGGGGTGGGGGTGGGGGCGGCGGCGGCGCGCGCGGCAGCGCGAAGGGGGAGGGGGAGCCGGAGCGGGAGGGGGAGGGGCGCGGCATCGGCGGCTCGGCCGCCCCCGCAGTTGGGGGCAGGGAAGGACGTAGGTGCTCCCCCTCCCACCCCGCCGGAGCCTCCCGCGAGCGCCCCCTGGTGCACCCCACGCCCGGCATTGTTGGGGAGCACGAAAAGCGGGGAGCCCAGTGCGGGGGCGTGGAGGGGGCGCGGGCGGGGTCCAACTTCCCGCACCCGGGGGGGGGCGGGGCGCCGGGCGGCGACAGGGAGGGGTCGCTCGGGCGCGCGCGTCTCGGGCCGGGGGCGGATCCTCCCCAGTACCCCCCCGCCCGCCCCGCCCCCGGCCCCGCCCCGGCCACGCTGGCCCCGCCCCGGTCGCGCCGGCCCCGCCCCGCCCCGCCCCCCGCCGCTCAGCCCGAAGTTTCCTGCGCCGCGCGCGGACGGGCTCGAGGCTCGCTCGCTGCCTCACCGGTCCCCGGCCCGCGCCCCGCGCCCCGCGCCCCGCGCCCCGGCCTCACCCGTCCGCTCAGCGGCCTCCACGCCGCGCCGAGGCCGCCGCCGTCGCCTCCGCCGGGCGAGCCGGAGCCGGAGTCGAGCCGCGGCCGGGAGCCGGGCGGGCTGGGGACGCGGGCCGGGGGCGGAGGCGCTGGGGGCCGGGGCCGGGGCCGGGGGCGGAGGCGCTGGGGGCCGGGGCCGGGGCCGGGCGCCGAGCGGGGTCCGCGGTGACCGCGCCGCCCGGGCGATGCCCGCGGGGACGCCGCCGGCCAGCAGAGCGAGGTGAGACGCGGCGAGGACGCGCGCCCGGGACCCTCTTCAACTTGCGCGAAGCGGGCCGGGGAGCCCCTCGGGGTGGGGGTGGGGCCGCTGGAGGGAGGGAGGGGGCGGGCGGGGGCGGGGGGCGCGTTTGTCTCTAATAAGAAAAGACAAAGACATCCCGGCGGCCGCGGCTGTTCCCGCAGCTCCGCGCCGCGGGAGGCAGGGCGGGGGCGTCGCCACCGGCCCCGGGTCACCCCCTGTCCTCTGCAGGTGCTGCCGGCCGCCACCATGACCGAGGGCGCACGGGCCGCCGACGAGGTCCGGGTGCCCCTGGGCGCGCCGCCCCCTGGCCCTGCGGCGTTGGTGGGGGCGTCCCCGGAGAGCCCCGGGGCGCCGGGACGCGAGGCGGAGCGGGGGTCCGAGCTCGGCGTGTCACCCTCCGAGAGCCCGGCGGCCGAGCGCGGCGCGGAGCTGGGTGCCGACGAGGAGCAGCGCGTCCCGTACCCGGCCTTGGCGGCCACGGTCTTCTTCTGCCTCGGTCAGACCACGCGGCCGCGCAGCTGGTGCCTCCGGCTGGTCTGCAACCCATATCCTTCCCGGCCGGCGGGGGGCGGGGGGCGGGGGGCGTGGGGAGGGTGGGGGCCCGGGGCGCGGGACTCCCTCGGCATGCGCCCCCGCGCGCCCCTGTTGGTGGGACCTGGCGTGGGCCGGGCGCGCGGGGGTGCAGGGCAGGGGCTGGAGGACCGCGCTCTAATTTCTGAGAGTGGCGGGCTTGGGGGGCCACCGGGCGCCTCCGGACTCCCTTCCCCAGGGCCGGCTCCGGACGGAGAAGGTGGAAGCGAAGCGGTGAGGCCCCCGCGGGCTTGGAGGGGAGAGGAGTCGGGGAGGGAGGGAAGGTCCTAACTCCTCGCGGCCCCAAGGGTGTTGGCCAGGACGGGAATTTCCCCCTTGCCCACCCCTCACTGTCTGAAGGTCCTGCCCGAGGCAGGCCCCTCGCGGGGGAGGGGGAGGCCAGAGGAGCTGGAGTCAGGGGCGCAAAGTTTTCAGCCGGCGCCTGGTGGTTCCGAGTGCGTGGGGAGACCCGTGGGGCCTGTGAGCGCCGCCAGGGCCTTTTCCGTGGAGAGAGGCGGTGACGTTGGTTGTGAACTCGCTTTTTCTGGCTGAACTCGGTGGCGGGGCTGACTTAAGTCATGCGCAGCTGAAGGGTAGGGGGCAGGGAGGCAATTGGCACTGCCAAGGGGGAGTCTCATCTCCCCAGCCCCTTCCCTGGCTGGAGAGGAAGAGGCAGCCTCTTCTACTCTCGGCCAGAGCGGCACAGACTGCAGAGAAGGTTCCAGAACAGAGTTGGGTCAGGGCCAGGGGCATTTGTGGGATGTACACGGAGGTCCAGGGGGCCCCCCAGCAGGTGGCCTTGGGGGCGGGTCTCCGCGTGCCCTGAGAAGGGCCTTGCGTGGTGCCTGTGTCAGGGCCGGGTCTCCCCACCGGCCCTTCTGAGCCGGCAGCTGGGGTGGCCAGGCCGTGGCTTCTGCTCCGGGCCTGGGGACGGGTGGAGAGACCCTGCCCGCAGACGTCCCCCGTCGGAGGTGGGGAGACAGGCTGGCAGCAGGAGCGGCCTGTGTACACTTCCCTACCTTGTGTGTTTAACTGTACAAATATTAAACACGAAAGAGGAATCTGTACAAAAAAAGTCATAAAGCCCGTGTTTCTCCTTTCTCAAATCCAAACATCGAGTGAGTCAGACTCATCTCTGCTTGTAGAGGAAGAGGAGGCTGCTGTGGTCCCGGGGGCAGCCGGCCCCGGCCAGAGGGCTGCCTCGGAGCCCCACACCCGCTGCCCGGGCGGCCTAGGCCTCTGTAGCCTCAGGGTGGTGTCTGCGAGTAGGTGGGTGTCCCCGGGAGCCGAGGTGCAGGCCCGGCCTTGAAGAGCGGTTGTAGGTTTGTCTCCTCTCTAGAACCAAGGCGGGAGGTGGTCATGCCCCTTTGTTCTGGTAGGAGGTGACTGGGTGTGGGGTTAGTCCGGCGGTGCCAGCAGGCCATGGGGAAGGGTCTGGAAGGGACTGCATGGGTTGGAATGGGAGGCTGGCCCCGAGCCAAGGCCTGCGTTCCTTGTTTCCCAACGTGTGCAGACCGGAGAAGGGAAAGAGTTGAGCAAGCCTGGACTCTCTCCTCACAGCCCCGGGCCTGGCTGCCCCATCCCCAAGCAGGGCATGGACTCTCTTCACAGCCCCGGGCCTGGCTGTCCTGTCCCCTCTCGGCTGAGAGAGTTTTGGAGCCTGGCCCCGGTGTTCTGGGCTGGCTGTGTGTCTCAGGACTTCCAAGGAGGTTGTTTGCGTTGCTGTGTGCAGGGAAGGTGTTGGCTGGGTGGCCTCATGCAGGTGGGATGAGCTCTCCAGGGGGAGAGGAGGGCTGGGGCCAGCGGCATCACGTGACCCAAGCGCTGTCCCCCGGTGTCCTGAGGAGCTGTCCTTTTGGGCTTTGTGACCTGACAGGAGTATGCTCTGGTAGCCCGAGAGGGACTTGGGTGCTGTCCTGGTCTCGGGGGCTGGATGGTGCTCTCAGCCTGGGAAGAACAGAGCATGCCCCATCCCTGGTGTCCCCAGGGCTCTCTGGGCTGGGAGAGAATGGGTGGTCGGCCTCCTGCCCTTCGATGGCATCCCTTGCTTGGAGCACTGGGTCTGCCTGCGGCACGGCAGGACCCCCCACCCTCCTCGCCGCCAGCACCTCTGGCACGCTTTGGCTCTCCCAGCTCCAAACGCAGTGATGGGGGGTGTCCCCACTCCAGGAGACATGGGAAGCAGAGCTTAGACCCCAAGCTTGGTTCATTCTTGGCCCCGTGGAAACGCCCGTCGGTCAGGTGGAGTGGGCTTGTGGAGGCCCCGGCTGCATGGGGGTGGGTGTGACCACCAGCAGATGCCTGGCCTGTAGCGAGGGTGTGTGTCCTGGCGTCAGAGAGAACCTAAAATAAGCTGGCAGGCCTGGACAGGTGGGGGGATTGGCTGAGCCGGGGAAGCCCATGTGGGCCATGGCTGAGGCTTTCCAGAGCGCTTCAGATTCCTGGGAGTTGGGAGGGGGAGGCTTTGCAGGAGGCGGCAGGGGCGGTGGGCGACTGGTGTGGCTGGGGTGTGTCCCGTAGCAAGAGGGTGCTTCCTGGGCCTCAGCCTCCCCTCCCTCCGCAGGGCCCCGCATCCCTCCTGAAGAGGGTGAACTCTGAGAGGGAGGGATAATCGGATTTGCTCAGGGAACCCACACTCAGTAAAGTGACTCCATGCTCCCGGGGGTTGGCAGAGCCCCAGCTGCTGTCCGCCGGGCCCAGCCTGAGCCGGGGTTCAGTCAGCACAGGAACCTGGGGGAGGGCCCGCGTTTATCCCTGAACCTCTCCTGAACCCCGGGGTAGACGCTCAGCACCAGGGAGCACATGCGTGCTGGCTCCATCTCCAGGGTGACTCCATCCCAGGCAAAGGAGCCTCCAAGGACGCCCTTATCCTTATTGATTGGTTTCTTAAAAATATAATTGTCTTAGAACTTTTGGGGCGAGCGCTGCTTCTCCTCCACAGGTTTATTTATAGAGAAAGGTGGGTGGGATCTGTGTGTTGTCGCCCGGCTGGGTTATGTGCTGCCCGGACTCCCGGGGTTCCTGACTCCGCGTTCGCCTGCGACACAGCTGCCGCCGTCCCGGCACACGGACGGGGCGGGGCCCCCGGGAATGCTTGGAGGCCAGGAAGGGGGACCCTGCTTCGGTCCCTGCGAGAGCGAGGGAGGCGGGCTGTGGGTGTGTAGGGACCAGAAGGTGACCAAGGGGTGCTTGGGGGCTGGGGGTTGGCAGGACCCCCTGGGAGGCGTCTCCCGGGGCCCAGGCTCCAAACACCCCGTGTCACGGAGCTCTGAGATGGGGAAGGATATATCAAGGTCATCGGGATGCTGAAGGACAGAGCTGGGTGAGCCCATCCTGGCTCTGAGGGCCACGTGTTTGGCAGAGCGCTGCCTGGGTGGGGACGAGCTGCGGGAGCCTGAGACAGCCCTTCATGGCATCTCTGAACACTCGGCGCTGGGGCTGTCACGCTGCTCCGCGGGCGTCCCCCGGGAGTGTGAGAGGGCACCCGTCTGGAAAGGGCCAGTCCCGCCTGCGCCCGCCTCCCCGGGCTCCACGTGCCCCGCAGGCCTCTCGTGGGCAGGACGGGGCTGGTCGTCCCCTACTGACCTTGCATCGTGGGGACCCTCTTGAACACTTTGTCTTAGCAGCGTCCGGACATCCGAACTGGTCTCAGAGGGGCTGCCTCAGTGGTCGGAAGTCACAGGCCCAGGAGGGCCCAAAGCTGTCCCTTGACCCCTGGGCCTGAACTCCAAGCTGGGGGTCACTCAGCAGGGTGGGGCTTGGCAGAGTCTCCGTTACAGACTGGACGTCCCGTCCCTTCTGCCTGGGTGGACCAGGGTGTGAACTCGGCCGTTGCGCCCGACCCACGGCCCGGCTTCTCTCGGCCGTGCTAGGGCGCGTGTCTCCCGGAGACCCTGGGCTGCCCGTGCCTTGCCCGTGGCGCCCTTGCCCGTGGCACCCTTGCCCGTGGCGCCCTTGCCCGCATTCTGACGGGAAGGAGAGTTGCAGGGATGGATCCATTAGTCTCTGAAGCCACCGACTGGCATTGCAGTGTTCCTGGGACAGGTGTGGGTTCCCACTGAGCCCTACGGCCTACCCACGAGAGGGCTGGATGTGTCCCTGCCTCCTGGGCTAGTACAGGGTGGGAGAGGCTGCCTCCCCACCCCCACAGCTGATCCTGCAAGGAAGCAGAGACACAGATGGGGCTGAGACTGGGAGCGTTGCAGGGCTCAGGGGGAGGGGCCTTCCCACTCACCAAGAGCTGGGGGAGCCGTGGGGGCAGCTCATCCTTCCTGGGGCGATGGGAAGAGAGGCCCCCGGGGGTGACGACAGGGTAGGGGGTCCGCCGAGCGCCTGGGGGCAGCTCATCCTTCCCGGGGTGATGGGAAGAGAGGCCCCCGGGGATGATGGCAGGGTAGGGGTCTGCCGAGCGCCTGTCGTAGTCATTCCCTCCCCTTCATGGAAGCATCAGGGCCGCACGCCCCGTGGGACGTCATCTTGTTCCCGCCAGGAAGTGGGCGTGACGCCAGCAGGCTGAGCTCACCCTCCGGGTCGGGGCTACCCCGATGGACTCGGGACTCAGGCCCCGCTGGGGAGGAGGGAGGAGATGGAGCCCAGAGCAGGCCGGGCCCTGGCAGGGACCGTGCGCCTCCCAGACCCGCTTCTGCGGCCGGGGCTGCCGGGCATGTGACCTTGGTGCTCTTGGGAACGAGTTTGCCGAGAGAGCTCTAGTTCCACAACCGCTCCTGCCCCGCCGCACCCCCGGCCCCGCAGGGCGCCACTCAGCCCGCACCCCCGGCCCCACAGGGCCCCGCTCAGCCCGCACCCCTGGCCCCGCAGGGCCCCCGCTCAGCCCGCACCCCTGGCCCCGCAGAGCCCCCCCGCTCAGCCCGCACCGCTGGGACCGGGCAGGGGTCTCGGGTTTCACCGTCCGTCTGTCGCCCGGATCCTTCATCGCTGGGATCGTCCTTGGCACTGACTGACCTCAGGGCCCCTGTTCGCCTGCCTGAGGCACTTCAGGGTGGAGGGAGTCCCTGAGCACAGCCTTCAGGCCCTGATGGGGGGACTTGGGGAGCCGTGCAGAGTGGGGAGAGCCTCTGAACGCCTTGGCAGACGTCTTCATGGCCAGTTCCCCGCAGAGTGCCCGGGTGTCCGTATCCCGGGGTAGAACGAGGCTGGCCTGAGCCCTGTGACCGAGGCATGGTCGGGGCCCCTCGGACGGTGGGGTGGGCCCGACAGGGGCAGAGTCCATGAGCCCGGTGGGCACAGGAGCCTGTGCGGGAGGAGGCGTTCGGACTGAGACCTGGATGGGGTGTGCCGAGGGAAGAACGTCCAGGCAGGGGGACAGTGCAGGCCTTGAGGTGGGGGGATGTCTGTATAGCAGATGAGAGGGAGGGTGAGGGGCAGGGTGGGCCGTGGGGAGGAGGTCTGGGCGCGTGGCGGTGGCACACCGGTGTGATGACCCAGTTCCCGAGCCTGCCCTCGGGAGCTTGAGGGCTGTGAGGAGGCAGAGTGCGGGTGGGGACAGCAGGTGGTGGGCTGGCCTGGGGGCCCAGGGCTCAGCTTGCCTCCAACTGGCGTCACAACTGCTCCTTAGGGAGGGGAGGCCTGGGGGCCGGGCTTAGCAGGAAGTCGATGAGAGAGACGGGGCTGGAAGGGCAGGTGAGGGCCGCACAGGGACAGAGGCTGGGAGTGGGGAGCACTGGTGTCCCACACACTCAGGCCCAGAGGGCGTGGCTGCTGCCAGCCCCTGAAGGAAGCTCTTGGACTCGTGGGCAACACGCTCCAAGCACCCGAACTTCATTCTTGCCGGGGCCAGCTGCGGGCACCCTCCCTGGCCTGGTGGAACGCTCAGGGGTGGTTCTGCATACTCCCCTCACCTCCCCCAAGGGCTGAGAGCCGAGGGCGATGCGGCCCCACCAGGCCGGGCTCCTGGAGCTGCAGAAGAGACGTCCCGTTCCGGGGTCAGGACAGGAGGAATGCGGGGGAGGGGCCAGCCTGTCAAACACTCCGGGGATGGATCCACAGCAGCTCTGCTGGCTGAGTCCAAGCCACGGTCGCACAGTCAAGGTCAGGCGAGGAACGCGTTACCTTTGTTTATGCAGATGTCGGCCAGGCCGTCCGTCCAGCCGCCTGTGCCGAGCCCGCTGTGGGAAGGGCGGGGACTGTCCCTGCCTGTCCTCGTCAGTGGGCATTCCCCTCCCTGGCACGGAAGAGGAGTCTCTCCTCAGTGGCTCATGTTGGCGTAACTTGGAACAACTCTAAGTCACGCGGGCCCAGGTTGAATTTCCAGGGTGGAGATTAAGGAGCGACCACTCACCCTGGGCAGATACAAGGGGTGAAGTCAGCCGGTCGCGCCCTGAGCAGTGATGGACGGCCGCCTCGGTCAGAGATGGTGGGGGCGGGGCTCGGGGAAGGAGCTCTGCTGGCTCTCAGCCCCTGCCCGGCTCAGGAGAGCTGGCAGCAGGTCTGGGCACCGTCCCCAGAGCACTGTGCCCGCCGAGGATGACAGATGGGGACGGAGTAGCAGCTTGCCGTGGTGCAGGGGGTGTGCCGCCACGTGGCCGCTGGTGTCCCTGGCCTCCGTGCACACTCCTCGCGGGGCGGAGGTGGGCCCGGGCTGACGGGAGAAGCGGGCCGTTGGCGGGGCCGTGAGAGCCCCCGGGTTTGATGAGCCGGACGGTTGATGAATGTGCTCCACGAGGCCTCCTTTGTCCTCTTGCTGCCGCCCGGTCGCTTGCCGGGAGCGGGAGCTGTGGGCAGAGAGATCCTTGGGTGGGTGTGGCCGCCGCCTGCGTTTGGAGGCCCCGTGCAGCGTCAACCCGGGACGCCAGAGCACCCCATCCTCGGGTGCGCGGCCGGCGAGGACCGAGGCATCAGCCCAGTGCGGCCCCCCCCCAGCCTCGGTGCAGCCCTGGGCTCTTTGCCCAAGTTGAGAGCAGGGCTGGCAGGGAGAGGATCCGGAGGCCCCCACGCTGCCTCGGGGTGAAGAGGCTCCTCTGACCCCCAAGGTGTGTAGACCTGACACAGTTGCACCCCCAGCCCTGCTTTGATGTCTGCAGAACTGGCTCCTGCAGAAAAGGCCTTGAGCGAGACCTCAGCGTCTGCTGGCCCTGCTGGACTCGTCTGACCCTGGGCTGCTGGTGGTGTGGGTGCTTCTGCCGTTGGCGACTGATGGGAGCGAAGCTGTTCCTTTGTGGATGGACCGTTAGGTGACACGGGATGTTGGCATTAATGAACGCTGTCAACTGAGCCGGTGGCAGAGGTGGGGGCAAGCCCTCGCCTCTGTTGACCGCCAGGCCGCCCTGTGTTCTCACCCCTTCTCCCCTCCCCAGCTGTCTGCACCTGGGCAGAGCCCCCTGGCCGGAGGTGGTTGTCTCTGGGCCCCTCACTGGCCTGAGGACTGAGGTGGGGATACCTTGAGGCCTTTTTTTGGGCAAGGTGGTCTTTAGTAGCCCCAGATGTTAAAGACTCAGCCTCAACTGGGTGGAGCCTCCTGGGATTCTGGGGTCTCCATGGCCACAGGAGGGGGGCTAGCGACCCCTGCCAGCCTGGGCAGTGCCTCCACGTGGGCCTCAGTTTCCCTGTCACACCACTTTGGTCTGTCATCTCGGTCACTGATGGAGTGAGGCTCCCAGCAGGCGGGTGAGAGAAGGGGCCAGATGCGGTCCCGGGAGATAGGCTGTCAGCCCCGTCCAGTCGGTGGGTGGCCAGTGCGGCGGCTGATGGGGGACAGACCGCTGGCCAGGCCCCACGCCAGCCCTGTCCCCATCTGTGAGCAGCACCCGGACCTCCTGGGTCCCCTTGCCGCAGCCTGCCTGTGGGGTGGGTCCGTGGGGTGGGCCTGGTCGGACGCGTTAATGGAGCTGCAGGCAAGGCTCGGGGCAGATCTTTCTAGAAGGCAGCAGAGCCATCACGGTGGGTCAGGCTGTGTCCCGTGAAGTCTGAAGTGGACTGGCAGAGGTGGGCACTGAGGTCCCTGCTCCGGACCCTGTCGGGGTCGTGTCACCTCCTGGGCGTTGGTTTTCTCATCTGTGAAATGGGCCTGCTGCCCTCCTGGCCTCTGGGTGTGTGGCGGGGACTCCTCGTCCCCACTCAGTCCCATGGGTGATGCAGGACATGGGATCCTGTCAGCCCCATGACCCCTCGCCCTGGGCCTCTGGCCTCCAGAGCCCCAAGAGGCCATTGCTGTCTGAGGCCCCTACCTGTGGCACTCTGTTACAGCTGCCTCCTGCCAGGGTGCCCCCACCTGCCCTCACAGCTGCGAGCAGGGGTGCAGGTGCCTGGGGGAGGCCCCCAGCACCTGCTTGGCCCTTTCCCCACCTCACCTGTGGGCCCCCCCGGAGGGAGAAAAATGGCCCATGAGCAGGAGGTGCTTGACGCAGTAACAGGAGTCAGCCCCTTTCAGGATGAATCGCGATTGGTCGCCCACTGTTGTCAGGCTCCTCCGATGAGGAGCAGCCCCCAGAGAGAGAGGACGCTTAGCCGTGAAGTGGGTCATTCGGAGCCTCGGTTGGCACGGGGGCTGGTGCTGCAGTTGTGTCTCTGTGCCCTGGTTAGAAGCTGCCCCGCACGGCCAGCTCCTGCGGACACCTGGAGTGGGGGGGGGGGGTCCATCCTAGGAGGAGCCGAGCGTCTTGGGACCCTGTGAAGGGGTCTGGGGGCCGCACTTGGCTCTGGTGAGCAGGGAACAAGATGGATGAGACCCGGGCCCCACTGACGCTGGGAGGACAGTGTCCAAGCTGGGGGACCATCCGCCAGGGCTGTGGCGTGAAGGCCGAGGGAGTATGAGCAGGGGGTGGGATAGTCCCAGGTGGCTGGAAACAGCTGTGGTCAGGTGGGCGAGCAGAGGTCAGTGGCCCCAGGTCCCTGGAACGCCTCTTCTCACGGCCACTCCACGGGTGCCTGGCCCTGCGGCCACGCGGAGCTATCCTTGGCTCCAGCCTCAAAGGCTGTGGGGGCACAGTGGCCGGTGCTCTGCCTGCCTGGACCTTGGGCTCGTCTGACTCTGTGTTTGCTGTGTGTCCCTCACTCGTCACCCAGCCTCTCTGTTCTGGGCAGGTGAGGCAGCCTGCAGAAAGGTGTAGGTGTGGGCCAGTCTGCCCTGGGGAGCCGATCCTGGGTCCGGAGAGGCGACAGCCACCTCCCCCAGCTCGGCCATGGACCTTGAGGCTTGAGACTGTGCCCTGGTGCCCGTCTGCAGGGCAGTGGGGGTGGCCTCGGCCCAGCAGGGCCAGGTGGGTGTCGGGCGTTGAGTGGGGCCCAGTTGGAGCAGGGCCTGGGAGGCCGGCGCCGGGGTACGGTGTGGAGCTACGAGTCTCCCCATGGCACCTCGTGCTCCCGGGAGGGGGTGCTGGTCTGGCCTGGGAGTGTCCAGTGAGCTGCCGGCCTGTGCCCAGCCCCCTCTGAAGCCGCAGCCACACACAGCCCGGCCTGCCTCAGAGGGGAAACCCGTGTCCAGATGGCCAGAGAGCAGCCACGACCTGCCGGGAAGGTGTGGAGGGGCGAGGGTCTCTCTCAGGGCCACACACACGGTCCCTGCCCTGGTCTTTGCGGGCAGCCGCCAGCCCTGGCTGTGGTCTGATGAGTCAGCCTGCATTAGCGCCTCATTGAAATGGATGGGAACTTGTCCCGGGCTGCTGGGGGAAGCTGGCCGCTGTGTCTGAGGATGGCTTAGGGTACTGCCTTGGCTGGTAGCTGGGACCACGCTTGCCCAAGCCCACTGGGCCACGGGCTCTTGTGCCAGTGCTGACCTCACACTTGGGTGCCAGGGTGAGAGGCCCCGGGATGCCACCTCCTCTCCCTGGGAAGCCTGGTCGTTGTGATGAGAAGCTGGGCTATGTGGCGGCCACCTCGAAGGCCAGGTCTGGGGACCCTCCCGCTTGTGACTCAGCGGCTCAGCTTCTTGGTTAGTGAAGAGGGGAGAGGCCGTGTCTGGCTCAGCCGCCCCTGCCCCAGCCGAGGAGCAGCCGATGGGTGCGGCCTGTTGGTGCTGCTGGGGTGTGAGACTGCCTGGCCGCCGGCCGGGTATGGAGGCCGGCACAGGTGTGGGGGCACTTTTGCCTCTCCCAGAAGCCACAGAAGCAAGGGCCCTGGGCCTGAGTCCCTGACACAGAAAACCCAGGATGCCCGTTCAGTTATGTTTGGATTTCAGTTAAGTAAGAATGTCTTAGGGTGAGGGGTGTCCATGCATGTTTGAGACGGGCGGCAGTGTCGTCAGTTGCAGGGGTGCAGTCCAAGGCCCCAGGAATACCCGAAGCCTCAGATCTGATGAACCCTGTCCTGTACGTACTGTTTTTTCTTTTCTTTTTTGAGACAAGGTCTCACCCTGTCGCCCAGGCTGAGTGCAGTGGTGCAGTCACCCCTCACTGCCACCTCGATCTCCTGGTTCAGGTGACCCTCCTGCCTCAGCCTCCCCAGGTGCCAGGATTACAGGTGTGAGCCACCACGCCGGGCCTCATACTCTGTTCTCTCAGCCTGATAACTGAGATGGCTGCTAAGTGGCCATCAGGTGGGCAGTGGCCTGCAGCGTGGGCACAGGGGCGATTTGGACCCCGGGCGGTGCCGAGCGTGGCTACACCAGGCTCACTGCTGCACAGAATGGGGCACAGTTAAAACCTGGGAGTGAGGCCTTTCCGTCGGAGACCCTTCGGATCTCCCTTCTGTGAGATCTTGGCCCTCAAGCCCCGCAGAGGGGCCTCCTGGGGTTCTGTCGGTGGAGCTGGGGTCTGGTGGTGCTGCCCTCACTGGCCGGGCTCCGGATATGCTGCTTGGGGTGGAGGGCGGCTGTCCACAGCCCTGGGGTCTGGAGGAGGTGTGGGTGAGCCCGTGGCCCCGTTTGGGTTTTTGGGGGTGGGTCGAGTCGCCCCTTTTGCTGGTCCCTGGCTTGGCAGATGTGTGTTTTCTCCTTGGGTGCAGCAGGTGGGGCCCCTCGGTCCAGCATGGGCTGACCTCAGGGTGATTTGTCTCCGTGGGGTTCTGGGGCGTGAAGGACACCTGTGCAGGGGTGGGAACAGTGGCGCTCACCTGACCGGGGCAAGGAGGGGGCTGATGGGGCAGGAGGAGCGGAGAAGGTGCTGGCATGTCTGGGCCCGGGAGTGGGTGGGGGTGCGGCAGGCACCAGCTGACCACCGTGGCGCGATTGCTGGGGAGACGGGGGGAAGAGCAGAGAGCACACGAGGCACAGGCCCCATTGGAGGAACATTCTAGAAGCCAGATGTAGCGTCACAGGAATGGCTTCAGCGGGCCTGGGGGCAAAGGCTCAGAATCGGCAGACCCAGACCCCAGTTGGTGTGTTTGAAAGCTGAGCCTGCTGGTCCTCCCGGGCCACGCTCTTTCGTGACAGCACAGAGTTTTTATTTTCTAACCTTCCGTGGAAATCTGGGTCACTCAAATAAGGAGGATGAGGCCTATGGTCTCAGGGAGCCGCGTGGGCCGAGCCCCCGTCCTGCGCACTCACAGCCGGGGAGCTCCAGGTGGAGAGAGAGGCGCCTGGGCCCCCCTCCCCACCTGGCCTCCGGTGCATCTGGGCATGGGAATTCAGGCAGCACAAGCCGGCCCGGAGCTGAGGCACCCTCCCTTTTCCCCGCCAGGCACAGCTGCGTCCCCCCGAGGCCATTGCCAGGTGGCTGCACGCTGGGGTCACCCCTCCTGAGGATGTAGAGGGGCTGCCTCCCTGCCCCCACCCCGGCTCACAGTGCGGGTGGCTCCCGGCTCTCCTGAGTTGTGCTGGCCACCTCACGTTCCCCACCAGATGAACCCATCAGCCCATGGTTTCCTTTCTCCCCAGGAGGTTTGGGGCTGGGAGCTGGTTCCTCTGCTCCCCTTGGGAGAGGGGTGGGTCCTCTGGCCCCTGCTTGGGTGGTGTGTGGGGCCCGGCCCGGCCGTGTGGGGCAAGAGTGGTGGGCACACCGGCCCGTGCATCTTTTAATTGTGGTGGCTCTTTCTGGGCTGAGGTCCCTTCTCGGTCCTCCTCGTCCTGTTGGCACCGTAGGGGGACACATTCCCATTTGTGACTTGGAATTGGGTGACTCTGAGAGCTGACGCCGAGATTTCTTGTTTGTGTTTTCTCACTCAGACTCAGAGGATGGTGAGGCCTGGGGAAGGGGCAGGCAGGCCTGAGAGGACAGTGGGTGTTGGGGTGAGGGTGCCTCTTGCCCCTGGGGGCAGGCAGAGTGTCCACGAGCAAATCCTTTGCGTCCGGAGTGGGGTCTTCACTGGCTGCTCCATTTGTCTGCGTGGGGAGCGGGAGACAGGAGCTCCCTGTGGCTCAGACCCTGCTCAGCTCCGTGGCTCCAGGCCAAGTAACGGTGCCCTGAATCCCGGCCCCTGCCTTCCTCTCAGCCCTGCAGAGGAGGCCGCGCAGCGTACAAGGCCCTCTGGCCAGCCCGGCACCAACTCATTCCTGTTGTTGGTCTTTTCCCAGTTTTATTGAGAGGTAATTTATCCACCACCTAACTCGCCAATGAAGGGTCCAATTCGGTCGTTCTCCCTGTATCCTCGCGGTGGTGCAGCCCCAGCAGCGATGGGTTCCAGAATGCTTTCCTCGCCCCGAGAGGAAACCCTGCAGTCAGCTGTCTCGGCGTCTCCCGCTGGCCTTTTCCGTCTCCGAGGTTGGCCTGTTCTGGACGTTCCCTGTATATGGGATCCCACGTGGTGTGGACTCCTGCACCGGCTTCTCTCGAGCTTTGTGCGGGCCGGTCGTCCATCCTCCCCGCAGAGCCCTGACCCTTCCACGGTTAGATGCGCCCTCATGTAGACGGGCTGCGGTGTTTATCTCTTCACCGCTGGTGGATGTCTGGGCCGTTTCACCCTTTGCTGCTGTTCATGGCGCTGCCGGGCCGTCCCTGCTCCAGGTTCGGGGGAAACCCTGGCTTCGTGTCTCTTGGACGTAAATCTGGGAGCAAAATTGCTGGGTCAGGCGGAAACAGTGTTGAGTCCTCGGAGGAATGGCCAGGCTGTTTTCCAAAGCGGTGCCCACCTGTTGACCCACCTCTCGCCCCCAGCTTTTGGGTCCCTGAGTGGTGGTTCAGCAGCAGTGAGTGCTGACAACCACACCCAGCCGGAGTCCAGGGCTGTGGGAGTGGACACGGCCCTTCCTTTCCTCGCCGACCCTTTGGGGCGTCTCCCATCGGGAAATGGCAGCCCCTGACCTGCCCCGTGGGGATGAAACGGGCTCTTTGCGGGGGGCCTGTGGGGTATGGGCCTCCTGTCAGCAGCCCGTCCCGGTGGGTGGGGCTTGCCGGCCGCCCGCGAATGTCAGGAACCTTGGATTCCTGACACACGGGTGCGGGGGCGATATCGGCGCGGAGCGGGCGGGGTGGCGCCCGGGCCGCGGGTGGGAGAATCTGGCGTGTGTGTTTGCACGGCATCCATCCCTCCATCCGTCCTCTGGAGAATTTCAACACCCACACTTGGAATAAAAAAAAAAATTATTAATGAGCTTGGTGCGGTTGCCATGGGAACCTGTTGCTAATGAATCTCTGGGGTTTCCTGTTACCTTTGCCAAGTCGAGGAAGGCTGGAGCCACACTCCTCACCGCGGCGGTGCCACTAATGGGGTTGCCGTGGCAACGCCTGTCACTAATCCCCAGCTGCTCCTGGTTGACCGGCCCGGCCTGTGTTACATAAAGCGGTTTGGCCCATGCAAGCCGGCTCCTGGCTAGGGACCCCGAGACCCCTCCTTTGCTTCCTGAAAGGAGCCCACCCCTCCTTCAGGGACACACCCAGACACGGGAAACGGGACACCTGGAGCTGTGGCGCTGGTGTGTGCTTAGAAAGTGCACCTGCGAGGTTGGGGCGTGGCCTGGCCGTCCGTCCGCGGGGCCCGGGCTGCCCATGGCAGCAGGTGCTCAGTAAGCACTCGCCCCACCAGTGCGTGGAGCACGTGGGGCCTCAGGAGCCAGGCCTGTTCCCCGGGGCTGCCTGGAGGCGGCCGCTTGTCCCCAAGGCCTGGTGACCGCACCTCTGTCTGCCCTAGGCCTTCGAGTTGGGGGACATTTTGTAAGGAGCCGCTGTGCCTAGGCCAGAGATGTTTTCGGAAGGGGTGCCTGTACCCCGAGAGGTGGACCAGAATTCCCCTGGGGCACGGTGGCGGGAGACCAGGGCGGCCTCTGGTGCCCCCGCCCCCTCCAGTTGGGGCGGTTGATGTGGGATCCCCCCCCCCAAGTGACAGTTTCTGCCCAGCTCACCCCGATGAGCCCACCATGTCCAGTCTGTTTGGACGCTGGCCATCCAGCAACCCCCATCTCCTCCCTCCTAGGGCCTGAGGCCTGCAGTTCCCAAAGCAGGAAGGTCTGAAGCTGGTAGAGTCCATGCAGTCCGACCACCCACCCCGGGGCGTGGTTCTAGGATGGGGCCAACGATGTGGGGAGGCTCCTGGGCAGGCGGGGAGGCTGCTGGACTTGTGATTGTGGCTCCTGCTTGGGCTGCTCTGGGGGACCCTCCAGCTTCCCTGCCGGGTGCCCAGGTCACCCCAGAGCTGGGGAGATGCACCCTGGAGGCAGGGAGGGCTCCCTGGAGGTGGTGACAGGTGGGGTCGTGGTGGGGAGGTTGATGATCCAGTGTGTCTGGTGGTCCTCAGTGTCCCCCGAGCCCCTCATGCATCGTGCTCGGCCGAGTTGGCCCTGTGTCAGGAGCCTGCTGGGCCCCACTCATTGCCCTCCAGACCCTTCCAGAGTCCCAGGGCACCATGCCCCACTCTGGGTGCCTTGTCCTAGGGGGATCATGGCGCCCCCCAGCCTTGCCCTCCAGGCCTCTCCTGGAGCCTGAGGCCCGAGGAGGGGTGAGGCTGTCTGCATCGGGTACTCCCTCCTCCTCAGCCCGCTCCCCACTTTAGGGGCCGCAGGGGGTGCCCCGCTCTGAAGTACCCTGGCCTGTGAGCCTCTAGGAGGTGGGCTGGGGCCGCCCCCTGCCCGCCTGGGGTGAGTCTGCCCACAGTGGAGTCTTAGGGTGATGCCAGGGCGTTCTCTGCCAGGGTTACGAGTGCGTGGGCTCGGGTGCTCCATAAGCATGCAGCCTTGGCAACAGGAGATGGAGGGAGGAAAGGTTCTGGACTGTTCCAGATACCAGAACGCTGGGTGTGCATCCCAGAGCCTGCCTGGCAGCGGCCAGTCTTCCTGCGGCGGGGTGGGGGTGGGGGTGGGGGTGGGGCTTGCTGGGGGTCTTAGCCTGGAACGTGGACGTGGACGTGGACGGGCTTCCTTTGCCGCTATGTTCACTGTGGGCGGCACCGTCGCTGGTGGCCGAATCTGCCCCAAACAGCACTTGGTGAAGGGCTGGCATCAGATGATGCATGGGCTGGCAGAACCCCCGACCTGCCCTCCCACCCTCTGACACAGGTGTCGTGGACTGGGCTGGTGGGTTGGGCCCCGAGAGGGTGGCAGGGGCATTCGCCTTGGTCCTCGCCAGCATGCCCGCGGCCCCCGCGACGTTCCCCCAAGAAGCAGCAGCAGGGCTTGGCGGGCACAGCGCGTGTCTCGGGTTCCCCGTGGGCAGCGACCCCAAGCTCCAGCCTCTCCCACCGAGAGACACTTCAGAGCTGTGCGGGCCGTGCTTTCGCCTCCGCCCATCAGCCGGCTCCCGGGCTCCCGGTGCTTCCCTCGGAGATCAGGGAGGCCCCAGCCCACTTGTCTGGGTCGGCCACAGGCCGCTGGGGGCAGCTGACACCACTGTGGCTGTGGGAGCTTCAGGCCAGCCGGCTGGTGCTTGTTCCCAGGAACGTTTGTCCGTCTGCCTCCCAGGCCTGGTCCCTGGCCCCTGGCCCCAGGGTGAGCAGGGCCCATCTAGAGCCCAGGACCGGCTTCCCCGTGAGGCCGGACATGGGCGTGTGCGACCGCCCAGCACTGCAGTCACGCTGGGAAGCTCGGGTTTGGAGCTGGGCGGCTGGGGTGTTTTTCTGAGCGTTTGAAATATGGCCTGCCCACGGGTCGGGATCAAGGATGTTTTAATTCCTAATTTAGACTGTTTATGTGCAGGGCTCAAGTCCCGGTGGGAAGAGACAGTGTGGGCTGAGCCCCCCTCCCCCGCTCGCCTCTCCAGGGCGGCCTCCCGGCTTACAGCGAGCTCCCAGCAGCTGGGGGGTGCAGGGTCTGCCTGCAGGTGTGCCAGGGGAGGGGCCTGACCTCTGCACCCTGACCCCAGCCCACCCGGGTGTGTCCCAACTGCAGGGTTACCGAGGCTCAGCCCACCCTGTTCCCACTCAGTGCAGAGCCTTCTTTGTGAGGGGCGGGCCCCTCCCCACGCCTTCGGGCCTTTCCCTGGGTTGGGGAGCTGAGGTCGCACCATGGCTATGGGGCAGCAGGGCTCCCTGGGACGGAGCCAGCGGGACAGGGCCCGAGGAATCCGGGGTAACACTGGGCAGAAGCAGCTGTCAGCATGGTTTCCCGTAAAAGAGACTGGGAGAGAGACAGAGGCAGGGGAGGGGAGCGGGTGGACGGGAGGAGATGGACCGTGAACAGTGAAAGACGTACCCCGACACCGGCCTGCGGACCCCCACAAGCCCAGTGGCCGTCAGCCTTGGGATTTTGGGGTTTTCCAACTTTAATCAGGGAATGTCTGTCTCCCCTGCATGAGTGATCTGTGGAGCCTGGTCGGCATCCTGATTGTCATGCCGACCGAGTTTGTGGGGCCCTCCTCGTGCCCCCACGATCTGGACAGGGATTTCGGGGTGAGGGAAGCTGGGCTGGGTTGGGCCCCCCCACCGCCGTGTGCAGGAGGAAGAGGCCAGGAGACCAGGGCATGATGGGGCAGCTCCCCACTGCACCCCTTCTTTCCTGTGGGCTGTGCAGGTTTTCTTTTTGTTTTGGGTGCTGGCCCCGGTCCTGTGGGTCAGGGTTCAAGGCGCCAACCCCGCATTGTCTGCTTGGCTCAGTGGTTCCCGTGTGGAGGGTTGGGGTGCCTGGTCTGGGGGCCTTCTGCTCCCCAGGGGGACAGGTACAGCCAGGTGTCAGGACAGGGCAGATCCTCTCTCTAGCTCTCCCCCCAACCACTGCACCCATAGCCCGTCCCTCCCTCTTCCTGCACACCCTTGGCTCCCTGTCCCACTCCACGGCCAGGCCTTTGTCCCTGCTGAGCCCCTCCCCTCCCCTAGTGCCTTCCCACCCGCACCCCTGGGGTGCTCTCTGGGGAGCCCTGGAAGTCCCTGCCCTGCCCAGCTGTCTGCTCACCCCCGCGCCGCCCAGGATCACCTCCTCGTGGGGAGGTCTCTCGGGCAGCCTGCTCTGTGGGGCCCTCCTGGGCGGGCTGGGCGTCTGGGGGGATCGTGGGGCTTTGGGGCTGTCAGCAGCCCAGGGGGGTAAGAGGACGAGGCCCAGATGGGCCAGTGGCCCTGGGGACAGGCTTTCCTTAGAAAGTCACTGGGTTCCCGGGCAGAGAACCCCCGCAGCCCACTTTTTGGCCCTGGGCTCTGACCACAGAGTCTGCAGAGCCTGGAGCCCGGAGGAGGCCCGCGGGAAGCTTCTGGAAACAAAGGTCGAATGGAGATGGGGGTCAGGGTGGGTTTTATTTTCCAGGCATTAAACTCCCTTGGCTGCCGCAGAAAACCAGAGGCGCCTCAGGCGGCTTTTGTCCCTCGGAGCTGTGGGGTTCCCTCATTTCCAGTTTGCCAAGGCCGCCTGGGGGCTGCCTCCGTCCTTCCCGCCTCCTGGGCCGTGCCTCGGCCCACAGAGACCACCACCCTCCCTCCCTCCTGGAGTCCCTGGAGCTCTGGGCAGCCTCCCACCGTCCACAACTTTGCCACCCTCTCAGGCTGGGCAGACACTACCCCCAACTCGGCTCCGTCTCCGAGCGCCAGCTGGGTCTGAGGCGTCTGTTCTGGGCTCTTCTCGCCCACAGACGAGAGGGTCAGGGCAGAGCCCAAGGCCAGGGAGCAGTGTCCACGGGTGGGGGCATGTTCACAGGCCAGGCGGGCGCCAGGACGGACGCTGGGGTCCAAGTGCGGCATGGGGTTCGCGTGGGCCCCCCGCCAGGTGCTGTGGAGTCCGAGTGGGTCGGCTCAAGGTCCTGGGGTCCCCAGCAGCCTTCACTGAACTCTGAAGCCAGCCTGCAGGTGTCAGACGTCACCGGGATGATGCTGGGGTGGACGGGGCCCCGGGCCGCAGGGCGTGGGCCGCACACGGTGGGTGTCAGGGGCGAGAGTGGCTGCGTGCCTCGATCCGGCTGGCCCAGGGCGAGTCTGCCTTTCCTGCCTGACCCCGCCCCTGGAGCTTGGCAGGGAGTTGGGGCTGGGGCTCCCCCCACAGTGCATCACCGCAGCCTTGCCTGTTGAGTAGAAAGGAGCTCGGGGAGCCAGGCCGTGCCATCCCCAATGTTCCAGGCTCTACCTGGGCCCCTCTCACGCCGTCCCTAGGCTGCCCCCAGGCGTCCTCCCCTCTTAGACGGTGGCAGCGCGGCTGCCCTCACCCTGCCCTGGGCCTGGCCCGCCTCCGTCTGGGGTGGTCGTGGGGTCCCCAGCAGGACACGTAAGTACCTGTGTGTTGTCCCGAGCATCACCCGCTCTGTGGAGGGAACCCCGAGGCGTGGGAGCAGTGGGTAGTCTGCACTCCACACCGCTGGATCCTAGCAGGAGCTCCCGGCTTCTGTAATTAAACGATTTATTATTAAAGCAGCCGCTTTCCCATAACCGGCTTCCTGTAGCCACAGGGGCAGAGCCACCCGCATGGGTGTGGGGCAGGGAGGTGCATGGGGTGAGCTGGGGCACCCTTCTCCCCGGGGCACCCAGGGGCGGAGTGGGCTGCTGCTGCCTGGGTGCCCCCGAGGGCTCCTGTCCAGGCCCAGGGCTGTGGGCTGGGAGGACTCACGGCTTTGCTCCTCCGAGGCGGGGCAGGGGCTGTGATCAGGGCCAGGACAGCCCCGTGGGGACTCTCGCAGTCACTGGCCCTAAGCCTTGTTGGTCCTCGGCAGCTGGCCCCAGGGACACCAGGTCCCTGCAGGTGGGTGCTGCCTGGGAGGGAGGGGAGGGGTGGGGCCAGAGTCCCAGGGCCGCAGACCTGCCCTGGGTGTGGCGTGGAGAGCCCTCTGTGTGGCCATGGGCCTGGGGAGCTGGGAAGCCCAAGTGTCCTTGTGGATATTGGGGTGTCGAGGTGTGGGGCAAGTTGGAGGTCCTAGCGTGTTTAAGCAGCTGACGGGCGCGAGGTGGAGGTGTCCAAAAGGCCGAGGCTGGAAGGGGGCAGTAGATGGGGTGCTGGTGGCCAGGCAGGGAGGAAAGGGGTGCGGAGCTTTGCAGGGGTTTGGGTGGGTGGCATCGGGAGGCCCAGCAGGCAAAAGGTGGCCAGAGCCCTGGGGTAGTGGGATGCCCTTCCGGAGTGTGGGATGAGGCGTGCTCCCCCACAACCTCCAGAACAGCGGCTGCGCCTCCAGGCCTCGGGCCCCTTCACGCTGGTGCGGACGGACGAAGCCCAAAGCCTCTGCTCCTGGGTTCTCTCTCTCGCTATTTACTTTTTTAGTATTTAACATGAAAAATTTTAAAAAATTGTTTACTAACTTAACCACAATAATAAGCCCTTTGTGTGTTAACATAACACGTCCTTTTATGGAAAAGGTTATATTTCTCAAAACGTTAAAAACTCAGTGAGAAGAGGGGCTGTGTTTTGCAGTTTTGCAAGACCCTCTGCCTGGCCTGGTGGAAGCATCCGGGAACGCCCGTCGGAGGGGTGAGGGAAGGAGGGTGGGGCTCCCCGGCCGCCGTGCTGAGAACCACTGGTCTAAACCAGCAGGCTCACCCCGGGAGAATTCCCCTACTCCTGAAAGGCTGTGGGTGTTGACCTGTGCACACAGTGGGGCCTCACACCACATGGGAGTTGTGGACATTAACCTGTGCACACAGTGGGACCTCACGTCACGTGGGGCTGTGGACATTTACCTGTGCACACAGTGGGGCCTCACACCACATGGGAGTTGTGGACATTAACCTGTGCACACAGTGGGACCTCACGTCACGTGGGGCTGTGGGCATTGACCTGCGTGCACAGTAGGGCCTCACATCATGCGGGCCTGTGGAAGTTGACCTGTGCATACAGTGGGCCTCCTGATACGGGGAGCTGTCACCTAGCTGGCCTCACAGTCCATGCAGCTCTGAGACCCACCACAGAGCCGTGGCCCCTCAGATGAGGGGACTGAAGCAGAGAGTCTCCAAGGAAGGGCAGAGGTCCTGGCGGCCTCAGTTTGCTCCTCCCTCTCATGGCACCCGGCTGAAGTCTCCTGTGGGGCTCCTGGGTTCAAGGCCACCCCATGGCCACGGGCCAGCTGCCTTTCTCTCATTTCTCCTGGAGCGCACCCTTGGTGGGAGCTAGACCCCAGAGCCCAG
The DNA here is from genome assembly GCF_000001405.40 of Homo sapiens. NCBI lineage: Eukaryota > Metazoa > Chordata > Mammalia > Primates > Hominidae > Homo > Homo sapiens. The sequence goes on from NC_000016.10 coordinate 1,174,342, forward strand.
GATATGGAGGTAACTAATGTTTCACAGCAGCCAAGCATGAATTTAGCCCATTGCTGCCAGGATGGGGGGCTCCATCTCGGGGTGCTGGCATGAGGCTTTCAACAGCTGCGGTCAGCACAGCCCACCTGGCCCAGCCTGGACTCTGCAGGGTGGCAGCTGGGGTGTGGCCATGGGGAGGGAGGGAGGGAAGGAAGGATGGGGTCACTGTAGCTCTCGAAGGGAAGCCCCTGCCACGCTCAGGGCTGTCTGGGCCCCTCCCCAAGCAGGGGCAGAGGTACCTTCCAGAACACAGCAGAACAGCGTGTGTCCAGCCCCCAGCTGGGAGAGGAGAGGCGCCCAATGTTAGTTTAAAAAAAAATGACTCAGACAGTTCACAGAGCCTTCCTTTTCCTGCTGGCTTCCAAGAATTCCGATCTGACTTAATGGATCGAGTCGTTGGTGGATCGATTCAGACATGGACGAGAGCCAGGATGGCCGAGTTGGCGTGGCCCTGGCCTCGAGGCTCCCCGGGGCCCAGGTCTGCAGCCAGCTGGCGGTGGGCAGGCAGGGGGCCGGCGGGAGGCCCCCACCCGCACCTTCACCCCCAACCCCCACGTCCACCCCCCCACCCCCCACCTCCACCCCCACCAGCCGGGCCTGGCCATGGCTCCGTGGTGGGTCTCAGGGCTGCATGGACTGTGAGGCCAGCTAGGTGGTGGCTCCGTGTATCAGGAGTCCTACTCTACGCACAGGTCAACTTCCACAGGCCCGCGTGATGTGAGGCCCCACTGCGCGCGCAGGCCAACGCCCACTGCCCCACGTAATGCCCTACTGTGCGCGCGGGCCAACGCCCACTGCCCCACGTGACGTGAGGCCCTACTGTGCGCACAGGTTAATGTCCACAGCCCTTATGTGGTGTGAGGCTCTACTGTGTGTGTAGGTGTGCCTACCAAGGGAAGCCCTCCTGCATGTGGGGTCCCCTGCTGGGTTCTGGGGAGCCCCGGGAGGGCCACTCACCTTCCCCGCAGGTCCCTTTGGTAGTTTTGCATTATACAGGCTGGTTGTGGGGCAGGGCTTTGAGGGGGTTGACAGGAGACAGGGTCTGGGGCCCTCAGGACTCCCCACTGCTGTGTCGTCGCTCCTGCTGGGCCCTGGCCTGGGCTGGATGCACCCCTGCCCCTCCACCCTGTAGCCTCCAGCTCCTAAGCACCACCCACTCTAGGTCCCCGTCTGCTCGCCGTGTCCCGAGCTTGTCCTTCACTGTTGCCGTGCCCACTGCTGACAGCTGGCCCCGTCCATTTACTCTCATGTCCGAGAATCTGAAGCGGTCCCTGACACACACTAGTTACTCCGCAGATGCCGGAGGGAGGAGGAGGAGACCAGATCTCCTTCCTAGAGGAAGATCCTGGGAGTGGGTTTTGAGGGCTGCGTAGGAGTGTTCCCAGGCTGGGCAGGTAGGTGGGCAGTGGGCGTTGCAGGCCGCGGGCGAGTTGGGCTGGGCTTGGGATGGTGCGTTGAGGGGCGTGTGCCAGTGGCCCCTGCCCGTCTCGGGCAGACCTTGGGCTGCCATTCCTCCTGCCCGGACCCCCAGTGCAGGCTCTGCAACAGCCTGGAGTTTGACCCCAGTTCCTCCGTCTGGACCTGGCCTGGGGGCTGCCATGCTCCCAGGACATCCTGGTGGCTGCTGGGTCCCAACCCCGTTCGTGGAGGCGCCTCCCACTCCCATCGCCCAGTCACAGGACACACCGTGTCTAGCGGGCTCTGATCTTTACACCTCATCGCAGATTGGCTTGCATAATGGCTCAGCTGGGTTCTAGACTTTGGGAATTTCAGCCTAACCCATTAAACATAAACGCTGTGTGGTTACAGATGCTGTGTGGTTAGAGATGTTTGTGCTGGAGCTGCCCTGACTGTCGGTTCTGAGCTTGGAGCTCTAATTAGTGCCCGACGGGGCATCTCACCCACCACGGGAGGGCAGGGGCGAGGCGCAGCAGCAATGTCTCGGAGCTCCCCTGCCCATCCTTGGGTCCAGCTGTGAGGACAGCCAGGCATGGGTCTGGGAGGGCTGTCCCCGCAGAGTGGGGTCGGCCGCTCCTACTCTCGGCAGCACCAGGGTCTCTGCATGGACCCCAGCTGCCGTCTCTTTCTGCAGGTGGGCATGGCAATGACCTGTGGCTCGGGCTGAGGAGGCCTGGGGCCAGTACTTCCCCCCATGCTCAGAGGTGACGGGCCTGGGCTGCTGTGGGGATTCCGAGAATGGAATCTGGGTCTCAGGTGACCCCCCAACCAAGGGGTTCCGGGTTTGTCTGCACAGGCCCCGGGACCAGCCACTGTAGCAGTGAGCAGGGGGCTGATGGGGGTCCGGGGGCCGGCTGGGCACCAAGTCTCTGTGACCCACAGGGGATGCTCATGAAGCTCAGTTTATCAGCCCAGAAAATGATGGTGCTGGGAGGGGAGCGGGGCCGCCCCGCCGGGGAGCTGCCTCTGTCCTGCCTCCCCTCGGCCCTTCCCCCGCGTCTCTTCACCCCAGGGGACGGGGAGGGGGTCCTAAGGATGATGTGGCTTTCTGAGGGCTGAGTGTCTGCTACGGCTGCTGTGAGGATGTTCCGTGGACAGGGTGGCCTGGGTTTGGCTTAGGTGGGGGCAGAGTCCCCAGGCTGGGAGGAGGCGCTGGAAAAGGCCTGGGCAGCCTCACTCCCTCCCCCCAGGAGCTTCCCCCAGGCCCTCCGCACCTTCTCTGAACCCTACACTGAACCCCAAAGGTCACTGACTTCACAGGCTGCCACCTTCAGGTGTCTGTCCTGGGCGGCCCTTTTTGTCATTCCACTGACATTTACAAAGGACATCTCGGACTCTCGGACCCTTGGATTTCTAAGTGACACAGGCTGGATGGAGTTTGACTCCACCAGGGGCTGCTGTCCCCCAGGCCTCTCCCAGGGCCGATCCCCTCCAGGGCCGGGTCCCCTGCTGCCCGGGCCTCAGCCCCGGCTCTGACATTTACACACTGCAGCCGCCGGCACCCTCGGAGACAGCCTGAAGTTCAGGGCCGAGGGCCCTCCTCATGGTACGGTGCGGGGACGGCGTCTGACCGAGGCCCACCCTGCCGTCGCCCCGGAGTCCCCCAAGCTGGCACAGCTAGCGGCTCACGGTCACACGTCTGTCATAGGTTTGAGGGCTGAATTCTGACCGGGGCAGAGAGTGGAACGAGCTCCAAGTGAGAAATGGGGTGTTGGGGTGGAAGGGAAGGGGCCCCCCAGGACAGGCTTGGGAGGGGGCGTCCTAGTGTGCTTGGGCTGTGACAGAAATTCTGAGGACGTGGTGGCCGGGGACAGAGGGAGTGTGTTTCTCGGTTCTGGAGGCTGGACGTCCCAGGGAAGGGCTGGGCAGGATGGGGCTCCACGGGGGCCACTTCTGGGTGCAGACGCCTGCTTCTGCCTGTGTCCTCACCTGGTGGGAGGTGGAGGGGTCTCTCGGGGTCCTTGTTACAAGGGCATTAACCCCATTCCTGAGGGCTCCGCCGCTCCTGACCTCACCTCATCCCAGTCACCTCCCAAAGGCCCCACTGGGTCTCAGCGTCTGAACTCCATGGGGACACAAACTCTCCGTCCCCAGCAGGTGCCCGGGCTGCGGGCACCGCCCTTTCTCCCTGGGACCCCCGGGGTCTCTCCCGCCCCCTCTCCCTGAGGCCTCCCCCACTCCCTCTCCCTGGGGACCCCATGGTCCCTCCCCCACCCCGGAACCCCCCCCCCCATGGACTCTCCTGCCCCCTCTCCCTGGGGCCTCCCCCGCCCCCTCTCCCTGGGGACCCCATGGTCACTCCCCCACCCCGGAAACCGCCCCCCCATGGACTCTCCCGCCCCCTCTCCATGGGGCACCTCATGGTCCCTCCCGGCTCTGCCTGGGATCCCCCAACGGGCTCTCCTGCCCCGGCTCCTTGGATCCCTCCATGGTCCCTCCCGCCCCCTCTTTCTGGACCCTCCCCCACGGCCTCCCCAGCCGCCTCATTTACGGGCTTCTTCTGGTGCCCCCATATTCATATCTCAGAGTCCTAACCCACCCCCGAGTCCCCATATTCATATCTCAGAGTCCTAACCCACCCCCCCAAGTGCCTCAGAATGTGACTGTATTTGGAGATAAGGGCCCTTTCGAAGGGGGTTAGGACTAGGTGAGGCCACAGGAGGACACAGATGCAGAGGGGTGACAGTGGCGTCTACAGGCCAAGGACAGCAGCCGCAGGAGGAGCCGGCCCTGCCCACAGCATGGTCTCGGACTCCAGCCTCCAGGCTGTGGGAGAGTGAGCGTCTGTTGCTTCAGCCGCCGCCATCCAGCAGACCAGCATCCAGCCCCAAAGGGGCCACACTGTCCCTCGGGTCCCTCCCTGACCCCTGGCCAAACCTGGCTCACCCCCGGCCAGGAGCTCCTGGGCAGGTTGGGCCCAGATGCCCCTGCCCCTGTCTCCTCCAAGCTCCAGAAGTCGGGGTTGGGGTGAAGAGATGTGGCGGAGTGGCCGGGGCAGGCAGGTGTGGCTGCCAGGGCAGAGGAAGGACCGAACGGTGGCATCTCCCCAGCAGGGTGGCCCCGCGCCCTTGCCAGCCCCGGAGGACCAGATGGTGGCATCTCCCCAGCAGGCTGGCCCCGTGCCCCTCCCAGCCCCACCATTTTCCTCGGGATAAACTGAGGCTCTGTGACCTCTGTCAGGTCACAGAGACCCTGTTGGGTGGTGAATGGGTGACCCGTGGACACCAGGCTGTGGCGGGTGTAGGGTTCAGCCCTCCCTGCACACTGTTACTCAGACCTGCCTGGGAAGCAAAACCACAGCAGAGCCACCCCTGGCTGGGCCTGGCCGTCGTCTCCCCAGGAGTGAGAGCTGTGCTTTTATCTGACGCGCCTCCCGGGACTGGTGGAAGGGGTGTGTGGCGGCCCTGTGGGTGGGGTTTGGCCTCAGGGGCTCCTGGGTAGGGTGAGTTGGGGGTCCCTGACCTCAGTCACCAGGCTGTGGTGGACGGAAACCCTGGCTGACCAGGCATCGGGGATTGGGGGCCCCCCCATGGACTCTCCTGCCCCCGCGAGGTTGGGGAGGTGGGAGAGCCGACCGAGCCGCTGCTGAGTGGCTGTTCCGTCCTCCTCATTTATTTATTGATGTGTGTGTGTGTCGTTGTTGTTGCTGGTGTGATCTCGGCTCACCCCAATCTCCGCCTCCCGGGTTCAAGCGATTCTCCTGCCTCAGCCTCCTGAATAGCTGGGATTACAGGCGCCCGCCACCATGCCTGGCTAATTTTTGTATTGTTAGTAGAGACGGGATTTTATCATGTTGGCCAGGCTGGTCTTGAACTCCTGACCTCAAGTGATCCACCCGCCTCAGCCTCCCAAAGTGTTGGGATGACAGGTGTGAGCCACCACGCCCGGCCTCTTTTTTTTTTTTTTTTTTTTTTGAGATGGAGTCTTGCTCTGTCGCCCAGGTTGGAGTGCAGTGGCGTGATCTCCGCTCACTGCAACCTCTGCCTCACGTGTTCAAGCGATTCTCCTGCCTCAGCCTCCCACGTAGCTGGGATTACAGGCATGTGCCACCACGCCCAGCTAATTGTTTTGTATTTTTAGTAGAGACGGGGTTTCACCATCTTGGCCAGGCTGGTGTTGAACTCCTGACCTCATGATCCACCTGCCTCGGCCTCCAAAAGTGCTGGGATAACAGGCGTGAGCCACCATGCCCGGCCCGGCCTTGTTTTTTAATATACATCTGGTTGCCGGGTGATACTGAGGGGGCCGGGCTCTGCAGGCACAGGGCTGAGGGGCGTCGTGTGGATGGACGGCCAGCCCGTTGGGTGCCCTGGCTGGGTCCCTGTCCCTGCACACCGGGTCAGCCGGCTCCTGGGTGCACAGGCAGGTGGTGTGCGTCCGCATTGCAGAACACGGGGCGTTGCAGGCCGGAGCTGGGTTTTCACACAGATTGAGACCAGGCGTCGCCCACAGAGCATAATGTGAGGCGAGAGGGACTCGGGCTGCTGTGGGCTGGGGAGGACGGTCCCATAGCTGGGGGCAGAGCAGGGCAGGCTGGGTGAGGAGGGGGCACCCCAGGTGTCTGAACCCCAGGTCTGTGGAGGCCCGAGGTCTGAAGGGAAATCCCCAGTGGTGGGACTGGAGGTGCCGTGGAGGGTGGGCCTGTGTCCTGGTGTCCCTGGCGTCCCCATACCCCCTCCGAGGCACAGCCACAGTCTCTGGGTCCTGAGCAGGGGCTGCAGTCACAGCCAGGCCGTGGGGGGGCCAGGGAGGAGGGGCTGCTCTCCATAGTGTGTCGGGTGGGGAGTGGCCCACCTGGCCTTGGCTTTCCCGGGGCAGGTAGGGAGGGGCCTGGGCAGGGCGGGGCAGGGAGGGATGAGGTGCAGACTGGGGAGAGTGCAGGGTGTGCAGCGGGGGCTGGGATGCCGCCGAATAGGGGCCTGTGGCTCCCACAGGGAGGCCCCTTAGGTGAAGAGGACCAGAGTGAGGTCAGCCCTGGTCCACAGCCACCCCGCCCTGGACTCCCCGGGCCAGCACCCGACCTGGCCGCCAGCGTGCTGAGGACAGACCTGCTGGGCCGCGTTGGCAGGGGCTCACCCCGTCTTCCCGCAGGAAAGCGCCTTGGCGGGACTGCTTCCGCCAGCTTCCCGGCCAGACCCAAGGGTGGAGCTCCAGGCCACGTTCCCATGGAGGGAGCGCCTGGTCCCCTGGGGTGGTCTCTAATTTGGGCCACGGCAGCTGTGCAGTGGCGCTCAGGCAGTTATTTCTGGCCTGGAGAATTCCAGCTCGGAGCAGGCCCCACAGGCCCGTCCCAGGGGCAGGCGGCCGTCTTCCCCAAGGTCCCCTCCTGGCTGGGTTTCTGCTGCCCACGCCTTTCCCTTCCAAGCCTGGGGGCCCGCAGCACCCTCATATGGGGACCAAGATGGGCAAGGGTGAGGCCAGAGGAGAGGAGCTCTCACCCGGCATGGCCGGCCCCTCCACCTCCCACTCCACTGCCAGGACAAAGCCAGCCTGACCAGGTGGCCCTGACCGGGGACAGCTGCCGAGCCCCCGGCAACGGTGGGAGCTGAGCCAGCGCTTTGACGCCCGCGTCGGCCAGGAGAGTCTGGGGGTCTGCTCCAGTTCCGGCAGAACATCCTGGGTGGTCGTGCCCCCGAGGTCCTTGCCGGTGTGGCTGCACGCTGCCACCAAGTGGCTGGCAGGGCCTCAAGCTTCCCGCAGGCACGGAGAGGAGGGCTGGGATCAGGCACTTTTCCACTCAATTATGCCTTGAAAAGTTCCCAAATCAAGCTCTTTATTAGAGATAAATAGGTATATTAGGTCTCTTTCTAATTAGCATGGCTTTTAAAATTGTGCGCAGTTAGAGGGAGCTGTCCGCGTGTGCTCCAGCTCCGTGGTGGTGCTGCGAGCCAACCTCTCCTTTCATTCCTGGAGGTGGGGGACCCGCCCTCATCTCAGGCCTGAAGAGGGCTGTGTGTGAGTTCTCCACTTGTGTGTGGGGTGAGCCCGGCCCATGCACACAGCTACACACACATCACACACCCACACCCGGACACGCGCCTCAGGTCCCCACACTGCCCTTACACACATGCGCCCCTCACACATGCATGTCCCCTTTGCACACACGCCCCCTCGCACACGCATGCCCCCTCGCACACGCATGCACACAGGCTCACTCTGCTGCCTGTCCCTGGCTGCTGTGTGCTTCCGGCCCTCCCTGTCTCCCCACACAGATGGACACAACGCTCCCCAGGGTGAGAAGTGGCCGCCCAGGTGAGCCTGGTGTTTCCCCGGGCTGTGGCAGGGGCAGGAGCAGGGTCCGTGCCTGAGACAGCGCAGGTGATGTGATTGTTTTGGCCCCTCCGGTGGGTGGCAGGTGGGAGGCTCTGCGGGGTGGAGGAGGCGGGCCTCAGCCCACCTGGGTGCAGCCTGGCGGACATAGAGGCGGAGGCCAGGGCCGCTCTCTGTGGGGCCAGAGTCTCCCGAGGCCATTGCTCAGGGAGGAGCTCTGTTGAGATGGAATGTTCCGGCAGCCGGGAGTGAGCCGTCCACTCATGCATCAGTGATTTCAATCCCCCAGGTGGTGGCCTGTGGTGGGTGTGGGCTCCCCGCACCCCTGCGCTGGGGGCGGTGCTCTCCCACGGGCAGCCCAGCCCCCGTGCCCTCCTGTGACCCGCGGCGCCGGCTGGAGACAAACACTCCATGTTTGGCTGCTGCCCGGGCTCCCCACCCCCAACTGCCCGTGTGAGTCACGCAAGTCCAGGCGGCTGGCTCCGGCCACGTTCCCCTGGCCAGGCCCCTGGGGAGAGGGGCTCCCACATCGGGGGCCTGGCTGGGGTGAAAGCTCTGGGCAGGCTGCACATTGAGACTCAGAGCAGACTGGGGGTTGGCTGGGAGAGGCCAGGGTTGAGGACCAGGACAGAGGCCAGGAGAGCTCGCAGCCCCCCGACGAGGCTGTCAGTCACTGTGGCGGGGACCCCCACCCTGGCCCTCCTCTGACGTTGCCCAGACCCTCTGTTCCCTGCCTGGGATGGGGTGCAGGTGACCTCTCTGGAGCTGAGTCCTGAGTCCTGGGCCCAACCTGAGAGCTCCCCAGGTCAGGAGTCGGCCACAGGGTCCATGGGCACTGCAGGTTCTCAGGAGGGCAAGCCCACCTGTCCCATCTCTGGACAACTGGGTTTCCAGGGCTGGTACAGGTACCTGTGAAGGAGGTCTGGGCCCCACCCACCACCCCCGCCCCCACCCTCTGTGACCCGACACCCCCAGCAGCAGGGACTGGGGTGGGACACGGTGGGGCCCCAGGTGGCGGTTTCCAGGAAGTTCTGTGTCAGGCATGGAGCCCTGGAACCCGGTACCCTCCACCCCCGTGCGGCTGTGGGAATCCTGGGGCTGCCCTCGGGATCTGGCCTCTGGGACCCCTGACGGGTTCTATTGCGTCTGATGGCGCCGCGTTCCCCCAGTTTTCCCCCAGCACAGAGGGGTTCTTAGGACCTCACCCCTTCCTGAGTTAAAACCCTGCGGTGGCTTCTCCCGAGGAAGGAGACGGGCGTGGGGGCCGCCCTCAGCGTGGAGCCGGGAATCCCTCCTGGCCCCTCCCCCCAGCCCTGACCGGGCTTCCTCCTCCCTTGTCTCCATGGCAGCGGCCTCCGGGGAAGGAAGAGAAACCTCCTTCAGTCAGCGCATCCCCGGCAACCCTGATCCTGGATCGTGTGGCTGCCTTGCCCTCCCCCTTCCCACCCAGTTCCCTCCCGCTAAGAGGCCCCGCTGGAGAACAGGACACGTGCCTGTCGTGGCATTGGGGTCGGGGGTCCGGGGGAGGCGCCGCACTCAGGGCAGGCTCTGGAGCTCCCCGGGCACCGTCCCGTCCTGCAGGTTTGATGTACTTTCTGTCATCTACCCTGTGAGGCTGGGGGGCGGCCCTGGGGGGAGCGTGCAAGAGCACATGCGTATACACGGGTGAGCACGTGACCTGGCGTGTTGCTCCCCCAGTGGGGTCTGTCCCGTCCCACCTGCTGGGAGACTCCAAAGTCTGCAAACATCTGGCTCCAGAATTTCGCCACTGCAGAGGGAGACTGAATTAATTCCCTCCTGGATCGGTTAATTAACGACAGGTGCCCTGGAGCCGTGTCCATGCCGCCTGGGGAAGGTGCGTCTGCCTCGGCAGCTGTGGCTGCCCCGGTGCTTCATCGGATGCCAGGGACAGAAGAGTCAAGGCCAGCCGGGCTGTGCCTGGCCCATCAGGCCTAGGTGGAGCTGGTAGGGGAGATGGGACACCAGCCCATTGCACAGGGTGTAGGCGGGACTGCTCTAGACCCCAGGGCATCACTCCTGCCCACAGGGGGCTTCCGGTGCTTCAGGAATGGTCAGGCCCAGCCTGCCGCATGCATGGGGCCCCTCCCCGAGCCCTGAGACCAGGGAGCAGACCCTGGCCAAAGCTTCCCCTGCAGCAAGCACTGAGTCCTTGAAAGCTTTGGGCCTTACTGCCCGAGGCAGAGGCCAGAGGCCGGACTGTGGAGGCCGGCAAGCGTGGGACCGAGGCTCAGGGGTGAATGGGGCCAGCAGCCCCAGAGGACTCCAGGCGGCTTGGCCTGGGCACCTGCACACAGCAGCTGTCCTGTCTTTGAGAGGCATCCGTGGGGAGGGCTCATCACCTGCCGGCCTGGGCTGCTCGTTTCCCGGCCCTCACCCTCATCCTCTGTGAGCCTGGGAGGAGGCACGGATGCCGCATCAGCCTCCAGGCATCCCTGCCCTCTCGTAGGCATCCAGGCCCCCTGGTGGAAGGCAGGTCTCAAGGGGCTGGAGGGTGCCAGGAGTTGTCACGTGGCCGGGTGGGTCTGGGGCATGTGAGGGCCTTCTGCTCAGCGAGAGTGGAGGCCACGTGGCAGGAGGAGGAGACACCCCCACCAACCTATGCCTGCCCATGTGCCGGGTCTCAATTCCTGGTCCAAAGGGCGCCTTCAGTGGCGACTGCAGACAGGTGCGGGGCTCCAGCGAAGGGAAGCTGCCATTTAAAGGCAAAGCTGGGAACGCAGGCTGTGGTGATGACTGAAGTGAGGTTCACGTACCATGGGATTAGCCATTTTTTTTTTACTTGTTTATGTGACGACCAGCGGATTTTAAAGCGCACGGGTTAGCGACCTTCGTGTTGTTGAACCATCACCTCTGCCTAGTTCTGGAATGTTTCCCTCACTCCAGAAGGAAACCGCATCCCCATCAGCCCTCGCTGCCCAGCCCTGGTGGTCTCTACCCCGCTTTGTCTCTGGGTTTGCCTGTGCGGGACTTTCCGTGTGACATGTGGTCCTTCTGTGCCCAGTTCTTCCCAGCATCATGTTCCCGGGTTCACCTGTGTTGTGGCGTGTGGAGCTTTCTTCCTTTTCATGGCTGAGTAATATTCCAGCGTGTGACCAGACCACGTTCCGTTTGTTCACGGGTCTGTTGGTGAACACCAGGGCTGTTTCCATCACAGGCCATCGGGGTCAGTGCCGCTGTGGACACGTGTGGGCCCGTCTGTCGTGAGTGCCCGTTTCCTTTGTCCCTGGTGTAGGCAGGATTGGCGTTCATAGCCTCACCCACCGGTTATCCGGAGCTTAGACGTGCCCGGGTGGCAGCTGGACTCCTGGACGGTGTCTGTGGGTCCTGCCAGCGGCAGCCAGACTCCCACATGGACGCTGCCATCTGCAGAGTCCCCCCCCCCGCCGAGTCTGCTTTTCTGGGGAACCCTGGAGATGCTCAGAAAGCCTAGTGGGGCACGGGGGTCCATGGCGGGTGAGTAGACGGTCAGCGTGCGTAGGGGCCGGAGGCGGGGTACGTGGGGGGCGGGCGAGTAGACGGTCGGCATGCATAGGGGCCGGAGGCGGGGTGTGTACGGGGCGGGTGAGTAGACGGTCGGCGTGCGTAGGGGCCGGAGGCGGGGTGTGTACGTGGGCAGGTGAGTAGACGGTCGGCGTGCGTAGGGGCCGGAGGCGGGGTGTGTATGGGGCGGGTGAGTAGACGGTCGGCGTGCGTAGGGGCCGGAGGCGGGGCTGTGTACGGGGCGGGTGAGTAGACGGCGTAGGGGCCGGAGGCGGGGTGTGTACGGGGCGGGTGAGTAGACGGCGTAGGGGCCGGAGGCGGGGTGTGTACGGGGCGGGTGAGTAGACGGCGTGCGTAGGGGCCGGAGGCGGGGTGTGTACGGGGCAGGTGAGTAGACGGCGTGCGTAGGGGCCGGAGGCGGGGTGTGTACGGGGCGGGTGAGTAGACGGCGTAGGGGCCGGAGGCGGGGTGTGTACGGGGCAGGTGAGTAGACGGCGTGCGTAGGGGCCGGAGGCGGGGTGTGTACGGGGCGGGTGACTAGACGGTCGGCGTGCGTAGGGGCCGGAGGCGGGGTGTGTGCAGGGCCAGGGTGTACCGTGCTGGTCCTCCCAGGGCTGCTTGGGGAGAGCCTGTTTCCTTAGTGGTGTTTTGAATAAGAATGCGCGGCTCCCTCGAGGTGTCCCAGTGGGGCTGTTCAGAAGCTGGGCCCAGGGAGCCCTGAAGGCAGGGGTCCAGCCTGCCGTGACCGCACAGGCCCAGATTCCTGGACGTTTCGCTTTCGTAATTGCACACGCAGGGCCTGGATTCGCCGTGCAGAAAGCCGGACGATGCCGCGGCGTGGGGTGAACGTCAAAGGGTCACTGTGGACTCTGCCCACGTCCTGAGTGCCCTCGTCTTGTCCCTCTCCACGGCGTTCTCATCCTCCGGCGATTCCCTGGGAACGTCTCTGTACCTCTGCACACGTGCCCACACACATGCCCCTCGAGATGGCCTGCACTGTGGCTTCTGTCGTGAATGTGGTCACGTGTCCTCCGTGACTCGCTCCTCCTGCCCCGTGTGCCCTGGACCTGGCTCGGTCCCGATGCCCGTGGCACCACCGCCTCCTCAACGGGTGGCCACGTAATGCTTCCTGGCCGGTGAATGTGCCACGGCAGTGGAGATATTCTGCCCTTCTAGCTCTTCTGTATACAAGCAGTGCGCCCTGGTTCTCAGGGCCGTGACCACCACCATGACCGGCAGACTTCAGGGCGGTCCGTCCCACTCCCGTGGCCTCGAGGGTCCTTTGGAGCTGCCGCGGTTCTGAGTGGGGGTGGACACGGACACAGGGCTGGTTCCCGGGGATCTCCTGTACCACCCACTGACTCCCAGGGTCTGCGGCTGGCCCGGCCCCTCCTGGGTCTCTTGATGTGGGACCAAAGCTGTTGCTTCCTCTGCGGCAGAGGCGATGGAGTCCCTCAGAGCCCGCGACCGTCCCCTCCGCACTGCGGGCTGATAGCGCCTGTGGGAATGGGCTTCCCCGGTGAATACACATAGGTCGTCTTCTTGAGCAAATTGGAAAAGTAAGGTTGAGCGTTCCTGAGAATGAGGGGCCGGGAGGGGAGGAGGCGGCCAGCGCCGCGTGGGGCCGTGGGCAGAGCGGACAGGGAGGGAGCGGCCTCAGCCTTGGCACCCTCTACCCAGGGCAGGGAGGGGTTTGCCCAGCCAGGGGTGGGTACAGAGAGGGGAGCACGTGGCTAAGAGTCCTGGTTGCCTGTGACCTCAGCTGCAGTCTGTGCCCTGCAAGGCATGGGGTCCTGAGTGGGGGGCTGTGGCCCACCTTGCTCTGGGCTTCTCCTTCCTGCTGTGGGTGCCTTTCCCGCCCACACCCCTGCCCCTGGCTCAGGCCGCTTGTGCCCAGCTGTTGCAGATTTGGCCTAATGGGGCTCAGCTGGCTGAGCAGATTGCTCTAGGGGACAGCGGGTGGGGCAGGAACGGCCCAGCCTCCCGATCCTCCCAGCTGCAGAGCTCTGCCACCCCGGCACTGATGTCAGGATGCAGCCGAGCAGGGAGCCCTGCTGGGATCCCTGGAGGCCACAGCCCTGCTTGGGGGCCACTCTGACCATAGAGGAGGAGCCAGGCAGCAGCCGCACCTGGAGACGTCCATCCCTTCGCTGGGCTAGCGCTGCTACAGTCCCCTCCCTGGTGGTCTGAGGAGCTGAGGCTGGCCTGTGGCTTTGATGCCTTAACTATCTCTTGAGGAGGGGCACACAGCCCCGCCTCCGTCCCTCTGTAGAAACATCTGTCCTGACCTTCCTTCGGCAAACGTGGAGGTCTTGGTGTGGTGAGAACGTGTCCTCCAGGGCCAGCAGGAGCCAGGCCGAGCCGTGTCAGTCAGGAGAGTAGATGGAGGGGCTTGTTTTGCAGGAAGGTCTGCATAAAACCTGTCAGCGCCAGAAAGATGAAATAGCCCTTTTGTACAGATGGGGAAGCTGAGGCTTAGAAAGGGGGAGGCACAGGTGGAGGTAGAATTGGGGTCAGGCTCTTGCCCCATGGCCCTGGCCTGAGGATTAGTCACGGGGCAGGGTCGGGGAGGCCCTGGCCCCAGGATACGTGAGCCAGCGGGTCTGGGCGGTCCTGGGAGCTGATGTTACCTGGGATGTTAGCTGATGTTTCGGGTTGGGGTTGTCCAGGACCACCCTTTGGGCCACGCTGGTCCCACAGCACACGGGCTTCTGAGGAACCCCTGTCCCTACCCAGGACCCTGGAGACCGCTGGCTCTGGGGAGAGGGGTCCCACAGCACCTCAGGGCTCAGTCGGCACTGTTTGGGGGTCTGGCAGCCCCGACACTGGCTGAGCCGCCCTGAGACTGGCTCCTGGCCCCAAGAATCCCAGGTCTCCAGCATCTTCGGCGCAGAGATAGCAGCTGCCAGGGTTCCCGCCACTCGCAGACACTCCCCCTCACCCAGCCGCGGGAATGCAGGCCTTGCTGCCCCCCACACAACAGTCAGTGGCTCTGGGGCTGCCCACGCCCGCGCCCAGGGGCCGGGAGAAAACGGCGCCTTCAGAGCTATGCGCTTTCAAGCTGGGAAGAGCAGTTTGGGAGTCTTTTTCCTCCTCGACTACCCCCAGATGAGAAAACGGGGGTCAGTGGAGCAGCTCCACTGAAGCTCTGTGTTTCCGGCCAGGAGGCCGCTTCCTCGCCCCCTCCTGGATGTGTCCCCCCACACCTAACCCCGGCCCTCCCAGCCCTGGTACATCCAGGACAGGCCCAGGCGAGGCTGCTGATTCAGCACCATGGACAGCAGCCGCTGCAGCACTGCCCGCCCTGCGTCCACACCTCCTGGCCCGCCAGGGGCTGGCATCTGCGGTGCACTGGAGCTGGGCCCCTTGGAGGGCCCCCCCAGGTCCTGAGAGCTGAGGGGCTTCTGTGGACCTTGGTGTGAGCCACCATGGCCACAGGCGGTGCCCATGTGGGAAGGGGAGCGCTTACTGCCGCAGAAAGGAGGCTGGGGGGCTGCCTTTGTTCCAGGGTCCCGAGGGAAGTGGCGGTGTGCAACAGGAAGCCTGTAGGGGTGAGAAAAGCTGTTCTCCTCCCGGAGACTGAGGAGCTGGTGTCCCTGAAGCGTCCTGGGCGGGACTGGTTTTCTTCATGGGTGCCAGCTGGGGAGGCCCAGCCCCTGGCAGGGCTTCAGGAGTAGGAAGGGGGCTTAGCACCTGCCCAGCCCCTCAGAAGTGCACAGGCTTGGAGATGTGAGGAAGGGGAGGTGGCCAGGCTGTGCTGGACCTGGCAGGTGCCCTGAAGAGTGTCCTTTTTTTTTTTTTTTTTTTTTTTTTTTTTTTTTTTTTGATATGGGGTCTTGCTCCGTCACCCAGCCTGGAGTGCAGTGGCACGATCGTGGCTCACTGTAGCTTCCACCTCCTGGGGTCAAGCGATCCTCCCACTTCAGCCTCCCCGAGTAGCTGCCACCGCACCCCAAAATTTAATTTTTTTGTTAAATATTTGTTAAATATTTTGTAGCAATGGGGTCTCACTGTGTTGCCCAGGCTGGTCTCAGACTCCTGGGTTCCAAATGATCCTCCTGCCTCAGCCTCCCAAAGTGCTGGGATTATGGGTGTGAACCACCGGGCCCAGCCTGAGAGCACTGATTATAGAGTGTGGGGCTGAGGGACAGGATGGGTACTGTGCCTGAGGAGTATTTCAACAGACAGGGCCCCACCACCGAGGGGGTCTTCAGCCCTGTTCCCCTGTTCAGGCCTCTCTCTGGGGGGTTTTCATCGTTACGAGCCCCTGGCTCGTGAGCCCAGTCCAGTGGGGGCTGCCTGGGGAACATGTCATCCAGGCCAGACTCCAGGGGCTGGAGAAGGACAATGTGGTCCCCACAACCTTGGTCTGTCAGAAAAGAGGAGAATCACTGAGGTCCTGGGGCTTGGTCCAGGGAGATGAAGGAGGGAGGGTGAGTGGGTGCATTGCTGCTGGTTGGGCCTCAGGGTCTGGTGGAGGCTCCCTGCCTGAGGGAGACCCCGTAGCCAAGACCACCTCACTGCGCCACTGCCCGGCCCTTCCCTGGCTGGGTTCCCTGACCGTTCTGCCGCCCTGCAGCCAGCAGGCCCCCTCCCAGGGCTGTTCCCGGCTACGTTGGCCTGCTTCTCCGACCCGCAGTGGAAATTGATTCTAATTTATAGAAGTTGATTTGAAATCTAAAGGAATTTTTAATTAAAACCCAGAAAATCCATCTGTATGATTAAGCCTCCAGAAGTCACCAGGCTCCGTGCGACACAGCCGGCAGACACTGCCTGTCCTCAGCTGCCCACAGAAGTGTGACACATGAGGGCCAGCCTGCTCAGCCCAGAGCTGCCCGAGCCCCTGCTGGCCTGTGCGGGATGTGGGACCTCGGCTGACTGCTCCCCTCTCTAGGCAGAGCCCCAGGGGGGCACTGGGACCTGGTACATCTGGCAGTCCCTCTCCAGGGCAGGGAGGGCTGGTGGCTGGGGTGTGACCCGGTTGGGAGGCGCGCAATACGCCTGCCTGTCACGTCCTCTGTCGTGAGAGGCCTCCTTGGGGCCCCCCAGACCCTGCTATACCACCGTCCCCTCCAGAGCTGCCCCACAGGCACAGGGGTGGGGTCCTTGCCATTGGAGGAGCTCTCTGGGATTGTGGGGCTAATTTTGGGTGGGTGCTGGGGGAAGGGGAGGCAGAGGATCTACGATGGGTAGGGGCCCTGCAGACCCAAGAGCTGGGACCCGTCAGGCTGGCCTGGCTGTGTGGCCTCAGGCACACTCGGGGTCTCTCTGACCCAGCAGGCTGGCCTGGCTGTGTGGCCTCAGGCACACTCGGGGTTTCGCTGACCCAGCATGCTGGCCTGGTTGTGTGGCCTCAGGCACACTCGGGGTTTCGGTGACCCAGCAGGCTGCCCTGGCTGTGTGGCCTCAGGCACACTCGGGGTCTCTGACCCAGCAGGCTGGCCTGGCTGTGTGGCCTCAGGCACACTCGGGGTCTCTCTGACTCAGCAGGCTGGCCTGGCTGTGTGGCCTCAGGCACACTCGGGGTCTCTCTGACTCAGCAGGCTGGCCTGGCTGTGTGGCCTCAGGCACACTCGGGGTCTCTCTTACTCAGCAGGCTGGCCTGGCTGTGTGGCCTCAGGCACACTCGGGGTCTCTGACCCAGCAGGCTGGCCTGGCTGTGTGGCCTCAGGCACACTCGGGGTCTCTCTTACTCAGCAGGCTGGCCTGGCTGTGTGGCCTCCGGCACACTCGGGGTCTCTGACCCAGCAGGCTGGCCTGGCTGTGTGGCCTCAGGCACACTCGGGGTTTCGGTGACCCAGCAGGCTGGCCTGGCTGTGTGGCCTCAGGCACACTCAGGGTTTTGGTGACCCAGCAGGCTGGCCTGGCTGTGTGGCCTCAGGCACACTTGGGGTCTCTGACCCAGTAGGCTGGCCTGGCTGTGTGGCCTCAGGCACACTCGGGGTCTCTGACCCAGCAGGCTGGCCTGGCTGTGTGGCCTCAGGCACACTCGGGGTTTCGGTGACCCAGCAGGCTGGCCTGGTTGTGTGGCCTCAGGCACACTCAGGGTTTTGGTGACCCAGCAGGCTGGCCTGGCTGTGTGGCCTCAGGCACACTCGGGGTCTCTGACCCAGTAGGCTGGCCTGGCTGTGTGGCCTCAGGCACACTCGGGGTCTCTGACCCAGCAGGCTGGCCTGGCTGTGTGGCCTCAGGCACACTCGGGGTTTCGGTGACCCAGCAGGCTGGCCTGGTTGTGTGGCCTCAGGCACACTCAGGGTTTTGGTGACCCAGCAGGCTGGCCTGGCTGTGTGACCTCAGGCACACTCGGGGTCTCTGCGAGCCGTCACCTGTGCAGCACCGCAGGTCCGGGAGATTTGGGGTTCCATTGTCGCCAGGCTTAGCTCGGGAGGCCGTCTGCAGCTGGCGTGCCTGCAGGCCCAACCTTGCCCCTCTATGGTCTTCTGCTGTGTGTGTGATTTTGGCGGAGGGGGATGCACCTGGATGGGAGGGGCTCACTGGAGCCACACCCCTGCTTGGAAAAGACAGCACCCCATCCCCCACTAAACCAGACGGTCCGAGAGGTCGGGGAGGGGCACCCAGGCCCCCTCCTGGCTTCCCTCGCTGCCAGTCACAAAGGCTTGGGGTGGGTCTCAGTGGCATGGCAGAGGGGGCAAAGGTGTCCAGGTAGGACCCTGGCCTGGGGACCCCTAGTCAGCTGTCTTTGAGGAGTTGCTAGGCACTGGGTGCCACCCACCCCTGCCAGCCCCTCTGCCGTGGGCAGCTTTCATGGTGACTGGCACTGATGGGCCCTGGGCTCTGACACCATCCACTCCACTCTGCTGGCTGGACAGTCTTAGAGATGGCTGGTCAGGGGTGCTGGCCCCTTCCCTTCTGTCCCCATTGGGCCCTCCGCCTCAGGGTCTGGGCCGGGTCCAGAAGTCAGCATTCCCCTCAGTGCCAGGAAGGCCATGCCGTAGCTTTAGCTCAAAGTCCTGAGCTGGCTAGGGTGGCAGGAACTGCCAGGGTCAGGCAAGTGGCTGGGGGCCAGCTGGGGTACAGGGAGGGTGTGAAAGGCCTTGTGTCCAGGTAGCCCCCTAGCCTAGGGCACCCTCTGCTCCAGCCTGGACATTTCTGGGGGGTCTCCGGGGTGATCTGAGAGCAAACATGGGGCAGGCCTGGGAGAAATCGGGCAATGGCTGGAGACATCTGGAGGCGGGTCTCAGCCCTCAGTCCTGGAGTCCAGGGGTGGCTGGAAATTGCCTGCTTTGGTAGTGGAATGTGTGTGTGCTGGTTGGGAGCCGGCCCAACTTGAAGGAGAGTGTGGAGAGAGGAGACAGAAAGGCGGTCCGAGGCACCCACAGGACAAGCAGTCCCACCACCCCCCATTGGGTAGATGGGTAAACTGAGGCCTGGGATGCCCTGTGCCCAGGGAGAGGCAGTGCCACCTACAAGACCCCTGGCTCAGCCAGGCTGGGGTAGAGTGCCGTGGGGGCTCAGGTCAGGGAGCACCGTTCCCCACACCTGCCTGCTGTGTCCTGTTTGGGCCGGGTGTCTTTGAGCTCCTCCCCGCCAGCCTGTTCCGTTTACCCAAGAAAACCCCTCCCCTCGGGAAATGATGGCCCTCAGAGATGCACAAAGACAGTCCCCAGCCACCCCCGCAGAAAGGTGCTATTTGCGGCAGTTAGGGGACAAAGGTGCCCGAGGCTGGGGGCGGAGCCGCCATCCACCATCGCTCCCTTGCACTAGTGCCGGGTCAGGAGGCTGGGAGAGGCCAAGGGGCCTGGCACGGCTTCCACAGCAGGGCCTCGGCTCCTGCCCCCACCACCTTGACCAAGGCACGCAAACCCCACCCCCACCTCGTCCAGCAAGGACTGTGCTCTGAGGCTTGCCGTGAAGGCGCTCACACACTCTGGCCGCTGGGGTCGCAGTGGGTGCGTCATCGGTAGGCGGCAGTGCGTGCTGTGGCCTTGCCCACCTATGGGACAGCGCGTGGCTGTGCCAGCATGCCAGCTGCCTTGGCGGGAGGCTGATTTCGGCTTTCTTGCAGCAGTGTTACAGCAGAGGCGCCTGTTACCGCTGAACCCATTAAGTGTAATTACCGCACTCTTGGTGGGAATATGTAATTACATTGGTGGCCTGGAGCCGTGGCACTGGCATCAAATGCTGACCTGCTAGGAGGCTGGGCCCTGGCTTGGTGGGAGGGAGGGTTCCAGGATGAGCTGCTGGGGTCCCTGGGGGAGGGGCTCCAGGCTGGAGTGACAGGTGGGGGCAGGGAAGGCCCTCGTCACCAAGCCTGTTCCCCTCCTACCGTGGCAGCTGCCCTTCCTGTGATCCCTGAGAGTTTGAGACACTCAGACCCTGACCCCAGTGCTGCACGCAGCACCCAGGACCTCCGCTGTAGTGAGCGTGGCCCGTGTTGGGCAGGGGGCGCTGCTGCCACCATCATCCGGGTCCCAAGCAGGCCTGCCAGGGGTGAGGGGGAGCCGTGGGCGCTGAGGCCTGTGGTCTGCGCCAGGTGGGTGCTGGGAAGGGCGGCCCCCGAGAGTCAAGCACAGGCCCAAGTCCAGAGCCAGGGGTGGGGGCGGCCACCGGGCTGCCCCTGAATCAGCTGTGAGAGGATGCCCAGCTCTGTCTCCTCCTCGGTTCCCACGTGTTGGTGACGGCAGGGACTGTCAGAGCTGGTGCCTGACTTCCCAAGGCTGTTCGCTGACAAGTTGGTGCTTTCCAAATGCCGGCTTCTACCTTAAGGAAGGTCCCTCCTGGGTCCACAGTCAGCTGACGGATTGCCTCTCCCTCCTTCCTCTGGTTCCCTGGTCAGGGTGGGGCCGCGCAGCCCTGGGACAGGGGCCCTGGAAAGTCTGCCCCGAGTTGTGCCACCGTCCAGGCCTGGAGGGTGGGACGGGGAGTCCTGTCCGGTGGGTTGCATGGCGGTGCCCCGACATTCCCCCTGCCCTGGGGCCCTCCCAGTTGCACAGGGTGCCCTGCCTACAGCCCCCCAGCGCGGGAGCCCTATGCAACCTGGGCCCCATGTGGGCAGCTAGGCCCTGGGAGTCTGAGTGGCCCTCACTGGGGCCTCACTACCGATGCGGCCAGCCCACCGAGGGCTCCTGCACCCCGCTTTCCTGAT
This sequence comes from Homo sapiens, assembly GCF_000001405.40. Classification (NCBI taxonomy): domain Eukaryota; kingdom Metazoa; phylum Chordata; class Mammalia; order Primates; family Hominidae; genus Homo; species Homo sapiens. The sequence continues at coordinate 1,194,716 of NC_000016.10, forward strand.
GAGCCAACGCCGAGGGCCAGGGGGCCGGGCCTGGGACCCTCACGGAGCAGAGCCCGGCCAGGCGCAGGCCCCAGGCGCCACCTGGTGGCTGCTTTCAGGAGGGGCGGCCGTCGGTCCCGAGTCCCCCACCCCATCCTGGACACCCCCACGCGCGCACACCCGTGGCGGGGCTCCGGCTGACCGGGTGGGCATTTGGAGGGCCCCATGGGAGCGGGTCCCGGGCCGCGCCGGTGTGCTCCTTAACCCGCGGCGACACATGGTTCGAGCACGTGAGCATGCTGGTAATCATGCTCAACTGCGTGACCCTGGGCATGTTCCGGCCCTGTGAGGACGTTGAGTGCGGCTCCGAGCGCTGCAACATCCTGGAGGTGAGGGGCGTGGGTCGGGGTGGGGAAGGAGCGTGGGTCGCTACGAGGTTTATGGTTCAAGGCGGAGTGGGGCGGGGGCGGGGCAAGGTTCAAGGTGGGGCGTGGAGTGGGTCAGGGTCGGGGATCAGGGCGAGGTTCACGGCGGGGCGCGAGGTGGGGCTGGGGGTGGGGCAGGGCGAGAGGCGAGGTTCAAGGCGAGGCAGGGCTCAGTTCCTGGGGCTCAGGGCGGGGCAGGGGCGGGGCGAGGGGTGTGGCAAGACTGGGGGCCGGGCTCTTGCGGGGCTGGGGTTGGGGGTTGTGGGCTGAGCTGAGCTGTTCCACGGGCCCTCCTGATGCCTCCTCCCGCAGGCCTTTGACGCCTTCATTTTCGCCTTTTTTGCGGTGGAGATGGTCATCAAGATGGTGGCCTTGGGGCTGTTCGGGCAGAAGTGTTACCTGGGTGACACGTGGAACAGGCTGGATTTCTTCATCGTCGTGGCGGGGTAGGCCCCGCCTGGGAGAGGCCACAGCGCTGGCGAAGGGGCCCCGCCCACCCCACAGGGATCCCTGTGTCCCACCTGTAAAGAAAAATGGGAGGTGTGTTCTAGAGGGATCCAGGTAGAGCCAGGGACCCTGTCTGGGACTCCGGAGACCCTCCCTCCTGGGCACAGGTGAGGGAGGTGGCCTCCTGATGTGACCAAGCGTTGTGCTCCTGCTACCTCGGGGCCCTTCCTGGCCAGTACAAGGTCCTCCGGGTGCCGGGCTGGCCGGTTCTATGCCTGCCCACCCTACTTTGCACCCCAGCCCCACCCTGGACCACCTGGGCTCCTTGTTGAGCTGCTCCCCCTCGGCCCCGCCCCCAGCATGATGGAGTACTCGTTGGACGGACACAACGTGAGCCTCTCGGCTATCAGGACCGTGCGGGTGCTGCGGCCCCTCCGCGCCATCAACCGCGTGCCTAGTAAGTGACCGGCCCCGACTGGGCTTGAGATCAACAGGCTTGCGTGTCCGCCAGCCCTGCAGAGCTCTCAAAAGGGCCCCCAGGAGCACAGGACTGGGAAATGAAGGTTACCAGGCACTCCGGCCCCAGCCCAGACCCCAGCAGTGGGGTGGCCCCTGCCGCTATCCGTGGGCCTTGCATGTCAGGGGAGAATCAAGCTGCGGTGTGGTGGGCAGTCAGCATTCACAGGGTACCTGGCTCCCACACAGCCGAGTGACAGGGGCCACTCCGAACCTCCGGTTCCTTCTCTGCATGGCATCTGGGGCAAGGCTGGAGGCCGAGCAGATCCCTGGTGGCTTTGCTGTCTGGCGCATCCTGGTGTGGCTCGTGGTGGAGACACTCTTGTGGGTGTGGCTCAGCTCACCTGGGGGCTCTGTGAAGCCCCGCCTTCACACCCACACAAGTGAGGGGAGAGCCTGACACCTGTCCTGAGGACACCTCGCTCTCCCCACCCGCCACTGCTTCTGGCCCCTACTCTCCTGCCAGGATCCCCACCTAAGGAAAGGGGAAGTTGGCTGGCCAGGGCTGGGCCTCCGTGTCCCCTGCTGAGCAGCTGATTTTCTAGAAGGAAGGCTGGAAATCCTTCAGGATTTGGCCAGCAGGTGTGAGGAGGGGGCCTGGTGGAGAGGAGCTGCTGTGTGTCTGCTGTGCGCTGGGTGTGAGGGGAGGCGGAGGAAGAGCTTCCAGGAAGTCATATGCCTGCTTGTTTGGGAAACATCCTGTCAAATCCGGGCCACCCACCTGCATCAGGGGATGGGGTGGGATCGTTCTTTAAGCACTCAGGGCTACATTCAACTGCTCTGGTTCCTGGGGGTCGGCGCGGCCCCCACGAGGCCGTACCAGGCGCGAGTGCATACTGCGTGTAGATGTGGCCCCGTGTGTGCACGTGCGGGTGTAACACAGCCTTTCTGGCTGCCTGACCTGGGTCCTGGTGGCCTTGGCACTCAGGGCTTGACCTGCAGCAACCCCCCAAAGTCACAGACCCCCAAGGCTAGGCACTCCTTCCCATGGGGCCTCTGGCTTCCCGAAGGGCAGGTGGGTCATCCTCGTGCCGCTGGTCCCTGAGCCTGCCTTCCACCTGCCTGCCTTGGCTCTACTGTGTGGCTCAGATAGGGCTTGAATACTGTGTGACTCTGAGCAACTAGCTGAGCCTGAACCTCAGTTTCTCCTGGAATAGTGCAGTACAGGAGTAACCATGACCCCAAGGGTGGCTGAGCGTGCGGTGAGGGGACGCGTGTGTGGCTCTTGGCCCTTTGCCCGGCACCCACTGTACGTTCAGTCTGCACGCCGGCCTGGCCCCACCTGTTGAAGCGTGAAGCAACCCAGCACACACAGCCCCTTCCTTCCATGGATGTTTACTTTTCAGGTTAAATTGCCAGAGTGGCCCTAATTGTCGCCAGCAGCCTGGCCTCCTGGGGATCTGCTCCTGTCTCTAGGAGAGAACTAGGGAACTCTTCCAGACTGGATAATACGCTTCTCATAATGAGGACACGCTCAGGGCTGCATCCTGTTCTGTTGGCTAGGGGTCCACTCTGACCTCTGGGTCATCTGTGATCTTTGAGGCGGTTGCGGTCTGGCCAGGGCAGTGCTCACTGATTGTCTGCTCCGGTCGGCTCTTTTGACACTTCAGTGCTCCTCCTGGCTCTGACTCACCCTTGTGACCTGAGGGGCCCGTTTTGCCATTGATACCCCTGGGTGCTGGGTGAGAACTCAGCGTCCCCAGGTTCCTGGCCCAGGGCTTTACCTGCTGCCTTAGCCTGGCCCTTGATTAAATTTGAGGGAAAGGACGTCTTGGGGGAGCAGGCCCAGGATGGAGCGAGGGGCGCGTGGGGCTTGGCTGACCCACTTGCTGGATTAATCTGGAGTTCACGTAGCCCATAGCACCCAGGACCGATGGCTTCAGTGCTACCTCCTGAAAAGCCGCTGCCGGTCCTCCCCACCGCCTCCAGCAGCCTCTCTCTGAGATGGGGCTCTGTTCTGGCAGGATTCTCACTGGGAATCAGACAAAGTTTTCAGGATCCCAGACCTGCTGCAGAGACCCCCAGGAGGCAGCCCACCACCTGAGGTTCTGGGGCTCCCAAGGCTCCTGCTGCCTTGGTGGCAACTTCAGGGTGTCGCCAGACAAGCCTCGAGGGCCACTGGGCTCCGCCTGGTCATCCCGAGCCCGAGATGCCACGTGGTCAGACCTGCCGCAGCCAGTTCCCTGCCTCGGCCAGTCCCCTGCCTCCACTCCTGCCCCTCCACACCCCAGCCCTCCAAAAGCAGCAGACCTGCTGCCCTGGGATGGTTGGAGGTGGAGACCTGGCGCCCCGCTGGATGCACGTCAGACCCCAGGGTGTCAGTGTCCCTGGAGGCCGGTGGTGGTAGGAGGGGAGTCCCGATCACACTAGGGGTGCGGGAAAATCACCAGGGGGTGGCCCGAGTCAGTGTGCAGTGGGCGTGGACACCCACTGTGAACAGTGGACGGGGCTCGGGGGTCCCGGGAGGGGCTGCAGCCCCGAGGACACTCCTGCAGGGCTTAGCAGTGCCAATCCTGGCCCTGCTGCCCACAGGCATGCGGATCCTGGTCACTCTGCTGCTGGATACGCTGCCCATGCTCGGGAACGTCCTTCTGCTGTGCTTCTTCGTCTTCTTCATTTTCGGCATCGTTGGCGTCCAGCTCTGGGCTGGCCTCCTGCGGAACCGCTGCTTCCTGGACAGTGCCTTTGTCAGGTGCCCAGGCCCCACCCCCGTGAGGCCCCTGCCCAGATGGCCCTGCCCACCATGCAGATAACGCACCATGTGGCTCCACCGCCCCACGTGGCTCTGCCCACCGTGCAGTCACCCGCCCCGCCACTGCTGTCCCCGTCATGGCTCCGTCCACCATGCTGTCTCCCGCCCCCACCCCCCATCATGGCTCCGCCCAGCTGGCAGTCACCGCCCCACATGGCTCCGCCCACGGTGCAGTCGCTGCACATATGCCCCACCCCCCACCATGGCTCCGCCCACCGCGCAGTCGCTGCACATATGCCCCACCCCCCACCATGGCTCTGCCCACCACGCAGTCGCTGCACATATGCCCCACCCCCATCATGGCTCCGCCCACCGTGCGGTCGCTGCACATATGCCCCACCCCCATCATGGCTCCACCCACCGTGCGGTCGCTGCACATATGCCCCACCCCCATCATGGCTCCGCCCACCGTGCAGTCGCTGCACATATGCCCCACCCCCCACCATGGCTCCGCCCACCGCGCAGTCGCTGCACATATGCCCCACCCCCATCATGGCTCCGCCCACCGTGCGGTCGCTGCACATATGCCCCACCCCCATCATGGCTCCGCCCACGGTGCGGTCGCTGCACATATGCCCCACCCCCATCATGGCTCCGCCCACCGTGCGGTCGCTGCATATATGCCCCACCCCCATCATGGCTCCACCCACCGTGCGGTCATTGCACATATGTCCCACCCCCAGTGCTGCCACCTCTCAGCCCCCAAGACAGGTTAGTCCCAACACTTCATCCCCTCCCCACACCCCAGAGTCCGTCACACCTTACCCCAGGGTCTCCCCTCGGCCCTTGCTCTGCAGTCTCTCCTCAGCCCTCACCCCGGGGTCCCCTCAACCCTCACCCCGGGTTCTCCCCTCAATTCTCACCCCCGAGTCTCCCCTCAGCCTTCACCCCAGGGTCCCCTGAGCCCACACCCCGGGGTTCCCTGCCCTCAGCCCTCACCCCTGGATCCTCTCAGCCCTCACCCCAGGGCTGCCTCCTTTCCCTCACCCCAGGCTTCCCTCCCCTCGTCCCTTGCCCTTTGCCCCTCATCCGCTTCCAGGAGTTGCTGAGGTCTGAGCCTGGGTTTCTGGCTCTTGGGTCTCCCTCCCTGTTTGTCTGTGCTGTTCTTTGTTGATTTCTCTGTCCATCCCTGTTCTTTGTGTGTTTGTCTCTGTGGACTTGGGCTGAGGAGAGTGTGGTTTCTGCAGCACCACTGTGTTCTTGACCCTGGTCCTGGCTGTGTCCCCTGATCCGGGTCTTGACCCTCAGTCCTATCATGCCCCCTGACCCTAACCGTGCCTCCCTAACCATGATTAGTCCACTGGCCCTGACCCTGATCACGTCCCTGACCTTGATCACGTCCCTGATCACAATCGTGCCCCCGACTCTGACCGTCCCTGACCCTGATTGTACCTTTTGGCCCTGGCTGTGCCCATCCCCAGGAACAACAACCTGACCTTCCTGCGGCCGTACTACCAGACGGAGGAGGGCGAGGAGAACCCGTTCATCTGCTCCTCACGCCGAGACAACGGCATGCAGAAGTGCTCGCACATCCCCGGCCGCCGCGAGCTGCGCATGCCCTGCACCCTGGGCTGGGAGGCCTACACGCAGCCGCAGGCCGAGGGGGTGGGCGCTGCACGCAACGCCTGCATCAACTGGAACCAGTACTACAACGTGTGCCGCTCGGGTGACTCCAACCCCCACAACGGTGCCATCAACTTCGACAACATCGGCTACGCCTGGATTGCCATCTTCCAGGTGGGCGGCAAGATGGTGGGACGGGGACCCTGGGGCACGGCAGGGGAGCGGGTGCAGGACTCGCCCCCCCCAGCCCAGACCCCAGGGGCACGGGGAGGAGGAGGAGGGGTCGTGCGGGCCCAAGTCAAGCCACTGCCCCCCCAGGTGATCACGCTGGAAGGCTGGGTGGACATCATGTACTACGTCATGGACGCCCACTCATTCTACAACTTCATCTATTTCATCCTGCTCATCATCGTGAGTGTGGGCGGCAGTGTTCGCCATGATGGGCCCTGGTGTTAGCTGGCTGGGGGTGGGGTGGGGTACCTGGGTGGTCATAGGGGCTCCTGTCTGTCTTCCAGCTGAAGGGAGCACACAGGGGAGGGAGGCAGAGCTTGCGGGGGTGGGGAGGTGTGGCTGGGGACCCCAAGAGGCCATGGCATCACCTAGACAGGGTCCAGGCCTGTGGGTGCTGGCTCAGGGCTGAAGAGCCAGGAACACCCTGGGGAGTGCATAGCCTCCCAGCACCGCTTTCCACGGGCGTGTGTGGCCCCAGGTGTGCTCCTTAGCTGGTCCTCTCATAGGCCCCAGTGGGTCCTGGCAGAGTTGGGTTAATCAGGCCGCAGACGTCTGTGGGGTCCTAGGTATACCTAGAGCCACCCTGCGGGGACCTAGTAGGTAACAGAAGCAGACAGACGTCCCCAGCTTGTTCTGAGAGAGCAAGCGAAGCGAACGATTAGAGACTTGCTGCACGCTGGTCCATGCTAAGGAGGAAACGCACCTGGGGTGCTGGGGAGGGGAGAGTGGCCACCGTTGAGAGGGTCATCTCAAGGCCAGATCTGCAGGTAAAGGAGGGGCCGAGCCACATGGAGAAGCAGGAAAGAGGGTTCCAGGTCTTTTGTCCAGATAGGCACAAAGCAGCTACTGTATGCCGTCTGCTCCAGACGTGGGGGCTCAGCACTGAACACCGCAGCAGCCTGCCCATAGCAGGGCACCTCGCCCACTGTGCCTGTGACGCGGCCCCCACTCGAACAGGCAGCGCACAGTAGGGCTCAGTGGCGAATCAGAGACTCGCTCACTCACTGCCACTTACCCGCCCGCCCCCGTCACAGGTGGGCTCCTTCTTCATGATCAACCTGTGCCTGGTGGTGATTGCCACGCAGTTCTCGGAGACGAAGCAGCGGGAGAGTCAGCTGATGCGGGAGCAGCGGGCACGCCACCTGTCCAACGACAGCACGCTGGCCAGCTTCTCCGAGCCTGGCAGCTGCTACGAAGAGCTGCTGAAGTACGTGGGCCACATATTCCGCAAGGTCAAGCGGCGCAGCTTGCGCCTCTACGCCCGCTGGCAGAGCCGCTGGCGCAAGAAGGTGGACCCCAGTGCTGTGCAAGGCCAGGGTCCCGGGCACCGCCAGCGCCGGGCAGGCAGGCACACAGCCTCGGTGCACCACCTGGTCTACCACCACCATCACCACCACCACCACCACTACCATTTCAGCCATGGCAGCCCCCGCAGGCCCGGCCCCGAGCCAGGCGCCTGCGACACCAGGCTGGTCCGAGCTGGCGCGCCCCCCTCGCCACCTTCCCCAGGCCGCGGACCCCCCGACGCAGAGTCTGTGCACAGCATCTACCATGCCGACTGCCACATAGAGGGGCCGCAGGAGAGGGCCCGGGTGGCACATGCCGCAGCCACTGCCGCTGCCAGCCTCAGACTGGCCACAGGGCTGGGCACCATGAACTACCCCACGATCCTGCCCTCAGGGGTGGGCAGCGGCAAAGGCAGCACCAGCCCCGGACCCAAGGGGAAGTGGGCCGGTGGACCGCCAGGCACCGGGGGGCACGGCCCGTTGAGCTTGAACAGCCCTGATCCCTACGAGAAGATCCCGCATGTGGTCGGGGAGCATGGTGAGGACCCAGCCCCACCCCACGGAGGAGGCGGTGGGACCTAGGCAGGGCGGGCAGGGTCTCCGGTGTGTCATTCCCACACCCATTGTGGGCACTCTGATGAGCCCAGCTTTGACTTGTGAAACAGACCAGCTATGCCTCTGGAGCCCATAAGAAGGGGAAAGAGGCAGGTCCCGCCCCTGACAGCGCCAAAGCAAGCTCCCGGTGGCCCACAGCTCATGGCAGGAGTGGTAGCCGCGGAGGTGGGATTTTGAATCTGACAAGGCTTGTCAGACCCTCCTGGGGCAGCATCCCATTGCCCCTGCCTGGCCCCGAGAGGGACCGTATGCTTGTGTCCACAGCCTGGACGCTTCCCTGGAGGACGTGCAGCGTCCTTCGTGGCCATTGAGGCTGGCCCCCCTTCTAGGTGGGGACGCTGAGTGGGGGAGTGTGGGGGAGGCACCGTCGCAGAGTCACCGAGAGTCAGGAAGAGAGGCTGGCGTGGGGTTCTCCTATGCGGGGCCTGGGCCTCTGTCCACCAGGTGAATGGGAGACTCCAGGGCCCCCAGATGGTAGGGTTCCACACGGGCCTGGGGGCCCTTCCTGGTTCTGTACACAGATGTAGAGACGCAGGCGGGGGTGTGTCCCCCGTGGTGGGGAGAGGTGCGAGCGAGGGTGCCGAGGGTGCCGGGATGCTGTGTGCCCTCATGCGCTGGTACCCAGGGCGTGCAGACGAGTGTCGGGCGCATGCTCCTAGCCCTTGAATTGTGGGAGTCCAGCCGCTGTGTGTTATAAGAGGCACACGGGCTCCAAAGACAGCACGAAAACATCACAGGACGGCTCGATGGTCATTTTCATGTCAGTTTCGTGTTGGAGTAACCATGGTTTGCTCGCATCGAGTCAAACAGAATCCCGTAGCTAACTTCGCCTGTGTGCTGTGGCTGCTGGGAAGTGGCTGCTGTTATATTTCTGTGGATGGCACAGCCCAAGGCAGGCAAACGTCTCTGCACCTAAGTGTGTCCCTGCCCCAGTACGTGAGCAGGAATGCGGCTGTGGGGGTTGGGTGTGTGTGCCCAGGTGTGTGCCCAAATGTATGGTTTTTCTGATGTTTGTGGCTGCTGTACCCACGAACTAGTGGGTTTAGAACAGCGGAAAATCACTCAGCTCTGGAGGCCAGTGCTCCAAAATCCAGGCCTTGCAGGGTTGCTTCCTCTGGAGGCTCTAGGGGAGAACTCTCCTCGCCTCTCCTAAGTTCTGGCGGTTTTGCAAGTCCCCGGCTTGTCGACACGTCCCTGCGGTCTCTCTGTCTTCACATGGCTCTTTGGTTTCTTCTTATTGGAACAGTCGTGGCTCAGGGCCCTCCCTACTCCGGGATAGCTTCATTCCTCATTGTAACCCATGACACCTGCAAAGATCCTGCTTTCTGTGAAGTCCAGTCACAGGTTCTGGAGGTTGGACTCTGGATGGATCTTTCTGGGGGGGACACATTCACCCCACCGCTCCTGTGTGTGAGGGTTCCCGGGCCCTTGTGGCAGCACCACTGAGTGGGCCTGCCCCTGTCTGTGCCCTCTCCCGCAGGACTGGGCCAGGCCCCTGGCCATCTGTCGGGCCTCAGTGTGCCCTGCCCCCTGCCCAGCCCCCCAGCGGGCACACTGACCTGTGAGCTGAAGAGCTGCCCGTACTGCACCCGTGCCCTGGAGGACCCGGAGGGTGAGCTCAGCGGCTCGGAAAGTGGAGACTCAGATGGCCGTGGCGTCTATGAATTCACGCAGGACGTCCGGCACGGTGACCGCTGGGACCCCACGCGACCACCCCGTGCGACGGACACACCAGGCCCAGGCCCAGGCAGCCCCCAGCGGCGGGCACAGCAGAGGGCAGCCCCGGGCGAGCCAGGCTGGATGGGCCGCCTCTGGGTTACCTTCAGCGGCAAGCTGCGCCGCATCGTGGACAGCAAGTACTTCAGCCGTGGCATCATGATGGCCATCCTTGTCAACACGCTGAGCATGGGCGTGGAGTACCATGAGCAGGTGCGGGCTGGCCTGGCCACGGGGTGGGCTCCCTGTCAGGCTTGCAGGGCCTGGGGAGTCTCAGGAGGCTTCCAGCAGCCCCGATGCCTGACCTGATGGTAGGACGGTCAGGCAGGGCTCTAGAAAGCCGGGGATGGTGAGGATAGGAGACCAGGTGTGCCGAGCCTCCACTGGAGGGGATCTCCTTGGATTCCTGGCCTCCTCTCTAGACGGCAGCTGATTAGGCTCCTTTTGAGATGCTGCTGCAGCCCTCTTGACCCTTTGGGTCTTGATGCAGCCAAACCTGCTCCCAGATCAGTGCCGGGGAGGGGTGGGAGCCGTGGGTGGGGCCCCAGATCAGTGCCGGGGAGGGGTGGGAGCCGCGGGTGGGGCCCCAGATCAGTGCCGGGGAGGGGTGGGAGCCGCGGGTGGGGGCCCAGATCAGTGCCGGGGAGGGGTGGGAGCCGCGGGTGGGGCCCCAGATCAGTGCCGGGGAGGGGTGGGAGCCGCGGGTGGGGGCCCCGATCAGTGCCGGGGAGGGGTGGGAGCCGCGGGTGGGGCCCCAGATCAGTGCCGGGGAGGGGTGGGAGCCACGGGTGGGGGCCCCAGATCAGTGCCGGTGAGGGGTGGGAGCCGCGGGTGCGGCCTCCTGAACTGTCCCCACCTCTGCCTGCAGCCCGAGGAGCTGACTAATGCTCTGGAGATCAGCAACATCGTGTTCACCAGCATGTTTGCCCTGGAGATGCTGCTGAAGCTGCTGGCCTGCGGCCCTCTGGGCTACATCCGGAACCCGTACAACATCTTCGACGGCATCATCGTGGTCATCAGGTGGGTCCCCACCCTCTCCCCAGGAAGAGGGGCCCGGGAAGCTCCACTCTCTGGCAGAAATCCCACCTGCAGAGCAAAACCCAGAGCACAGGAGGAAGTACGACGATAGCTCTTTATGACAGGCCGTGGGAAGCAGGTGCTTGGTGACCCCAGTGGCCCAAGGGACCGTCCTGGGCAGAGTCCCCTCCCCAGACGCTATGCTTCCCTGCAGGCACTACGGGGTGCGCACCTGTTAGGTCAGCTGCGTCTCAGATGTTTCTAGAAACTAGCGGAGCTGTTTCCTGCAGGAACAAAGCAGGTGTGGGGTGGCCTCAGGGCCGAGCGAGAAAGACCAGCTTAAAAGGCTGAATCCTGCTTGCTGCTGGAGGAGCATTTGCTACAAGAAAATTAAACCAGAAAGGATTGGGAAAATTTGAGGGGAAACGCCCCCGGTCTTCCCCTAGGAGGACGCTCATCCCTCAAGAGTAGAGAGGGGTGCAGGGTCTCCCATCCTGGGGCGGGGAGGGAGTGAGCAGAACGGACAAGCCAGGTCTGGCTGTGGAAGGCCCAGGATAGGAGAGCGCCCTCGGCGAAGGAGCTTCCCTGCCCTGGCCAGAGCCAGGCTTCTTTCCCAGGGGGCACTGGGGGCCGGGTAGCCCCCGGGGCCATCAGCGGATAAGCGGCTTTTGAGGTGCTTCCGCAGCTGTTCATGCACCTTGATGCAGCCATACCCTCTCCCATCTGTGGGATGCAGCACAGGCCGCTGTGGCTCCCTGGCTGGTGACCCTGCTTCCAGTGGGACGAGGGCCTGGGGTCAGGGATCGTGGCCCCGCTGACCCTCGCCCCCACCTGTCCGCAGCGTCTGGGAGATCGTGGGGCAGGCGGACGGTGGCTTGTCTGTGCTGCGCACCTTCCGGCTGCTGCGTGTGCTGAAGCTGGTGCGCTTTCTGCCAGCCCTGCGGCGCCAGCTCGTGGTGCTGGTGAAGACCATGGACAACGTGGCTACCTTCTGCACGCTGCTCATGCTCTTCATTTTCATCTTCAGGTGGGCGCAACCCCCCTCCCGGCCCGCCCAGTGTCTCACCCCAGGGCAGCTGGGAGGCAAAGGCCCAGGGCACCCCCCGAAGGAGAAGGAGCCCTCCCACCAGCAGCCCCAGAGCATCTGCAGACACTCGGCCTCTGCTGCCTTCATTTGAGAAGCACTGATTGGGCCCCTACTGTGTGCCACGTGTTAGACATGCAGGGAGTCAGATGGCAGGGGTCAGAGATGGGCCGCCAGGTGGACAAGCTGGGGATTTACTCAAGAGCAGAATACCGGGGGTGGGGGCAGGCACCAGGCTCCAACTGGGGTGTTCTGAGCGCCTGCTGTGTGCCCGTCTAGCCTGGAGCTCAGGGTCAGGGTCGGCTGGAGGCTAGGCAGCCAGGCAGGCCGGGCTTTCACAGTCCAGAGAGGCTGAATGAGGCAGGTGTCCCAGGTTCCAGTTGCCACCCAAATCCAGAGTGGCTTCCCTCTGTCTGTCCCGCCTCTGGTCTTGGTTCTCTCGCCTGTGGAATGGACACTACTGAGTTGTAGGGCAGGAAGTCCCTTTTAAGCTAGAGAGCTCGGGCGCCCAGGGAGGGTAGGAGGCCAGGAGAGCCAAGACGGGCAGAGCCAGTCCTGCCCCTCCCTCCTCCCACCCCCCTCCCGCTCCCCCACCTTCTTCCGCTCAGCACACCCCTGCCTCCACCCTCAACACGCCCCTGCCCCCACCCTCAGCATCCTGGGCATGCACCTTTTCGGCTGCAAGTTCAGCCTGAAGACAGACACCGGAGACACCGTGCCTGACAGGAAGAACTTCGACTCCCTGCTGTGGGCCATCGTCACCGTGTTCCAGGTAGTGCCCGGGGTCCCCGCAGCAGTGTTGGGTGCTGAGTGTGGTCCCCAGAGAGGTGGAGGTGCCGTCCTGCGCATCCATAGCTGCCTCTGCCCCAAGGACTTGCCGGCATTTCGGGGCTGGGGTGACCACCCCAGGCCCCCTGCTATCCCCCAGATCCTGACCCAGGAGGACTGGAACGTGGTCCTGTACAACGGCATGGCCTCCACCTCCTCCTGGGCCGCCCTCTACTTCGTGGCCCTCATGACCTTCGGCAACTATGTGCTCTTCAACCTGCTGGTGGCCATCCTCGTGGAGGGCTTCCAGGCGGAGGTGAGGGGGCAGGGAGAGGGGCTGCCAGGAGGAGGGCGATGAGAAGAGAGACGGGCTTCAGGTCGAGGGGAGGGGTGTGGGGGGCCTGCCAAGAGGTGAGGGATAGAGAAGGGAAGCTGGCTGCCATGAGGAGAGGGGAGGCCAGGAGCCCAGCGGAGTGGGCAGGGGTCGGTCGGGAGAGGCAGATTCCTCACCTACCTGCCCACCCTGGCAGTGACATCATCCTCTGGGCCCTTCTGTCCACACCCCACCTCCCAGGCCAGCCCAGACTTCTGTCCGGCATGAAGGGTCCCCACTCACGGGGCCCCTCATGCCTGCCTTGTGCTTTGTTGGGTTTAGGGCGATGCCAACAGATCCGACACGGACGAGGACAAGACGTCGGTCCACTTCGAGGAGGACTTCCACAAGCTCAGAGAACTCCAGACCACAGGTGCGTGTGGTCGGTGGGTGGTCCGGGTTCTGGCGGGTGGAGTACGCTGGGCTGGCCGGGCAGGGCCCCCATAAGGCAATCCCTAGGTTGGGGGATTCCTGGTCCTGGGAGCCTGGCAGCTCTAGGGGCCCATTCCTCCCTCTGTCCCGCAGAGCTGAAGATGTGTTCCCTGGCCGTGACCCCCAACGGGCACCTGGAGGGACGAGGCAGCCTGTCCCCTCCCCTCATCATGTGCACAGCTGCCACGCCCATGCCTACCCCCAAGAGCTCACCATTCCTGGATGCAGCCCCCAGCCTCCCAGACTCTCGGCGTGGCAGCAGCAGCTCCGGGGACCCGCCACTGGGAGACCAGAAGCCTCCGGTAGGGACCATCTCCTGCCCCAGCTCTCAGGCCCCTTCAGGTTTTCCCTGCCTGGCTCCTTATGGCCTTCCCTGAAGATGAGTGAGGGCCGCACCCCCCACACCCTTGAAGTCCCAGCCTGTGCAGAGACTGAGAAAGAGTGTTCTGGTTTCCGGAAATGGAAGCTGTGGCTGCTGTTGTGTGAGGCCGGTGTGAAGGGGCAGACGCGGAAGCTCTGTGCGCCCAACAGTCTAGCAGAGTGCACAGCGCACAGCACAGAAAGACCGAAGCAAGCAGGGGCAGAAGCGTGCCCGGCAAGCAGACGGCAGGCCAGGCGGGGGTTCCGCTGCCACCAGAAGCAGCCCGATTCCCTTTACGGCCAGGGCATCTCTCTGGGTCCAGGGGGACTGGAGGGGAGCAGTTTTGAAACGAACTCCAGGCAGTACCACCCACAACAGACACGGAGGATGGGAGTGAGCCAGACGCCCTAGCAGGGGAGGAAGCGGGGCAGCTGTGAGGCAGAGCCGCAGGCCCAGTGTGCTCCTGGGGACACGGGGGCCACCCACACTTTGTCTGGTCCTGGGCTGGTTCTGGCCCCTGACCCAGCAGAGCCCAGGGCATCACCCCCGCGAGGCGGACACCCTGACCCTCATGAGCTACGCCTGTGGCTGGCTCGGTGTCCCCCTAAAATCACAGCCTCCACCGTGCCTCCCTGGCGGGGCTATGCATTAAATGATCCACGTGTGGCTTGCACACAGTGGGTGCTCCGTAATGACAGCGGTCGGTGCTAATAGTGATGCCACCAGGTCACTGACTCCCGCCACCCCCCAGGCCAGCCTCCGAAGTTCTCCCTGTGCCCCCTGGGGCCCCAGTGGCGCCTGGAGCAGCCGGCGCTCCAGCTGGAGCAGCCTGGGCCGTGCCCCCAGCCTCAAGCGCCGCGGCCAGTGTGGGGAACGTGAGTCCCTGCTGTCTGGCGAGGGCAAGGGCAGCACCGACGACGAAGCTGAGGACGGCAGGGCCGCGCCCGGGCCCCGTGCCACCCCACTGCGGCGGGCCGAGTCCCTGGACCCACGGCCCCTGCGGCCGGCCGCCCTCCCGCCTACCAAGTGCCGCGATCGCGACGGGCAGGTGGTGGCCCTGCCCAGCGACTTCTTCCTGCGCATCGACAGCCACCGTGAGGATGCAGCCGAGCTTGACGACGACTCGGAGGACGTGAGTGCGTGGCCCTGGGCCCACCGCCGACTCGCCTTCGTCTGTCTGGGGCAGGTTCCCTCAAGTGGGGTTTGAGATGGGATTCAGGGCGTGTTGTTGACTGAGGGGATTCAGAAGGGGAGAGAAGCAGGCCAGGCCAGGGAGGAATCCAGCAGTGTTCAGGGATTCAGCCACAGATGATCCCAGAGTCCCCCCTCTGCCGTCTAGGGGCTGTGAGCTAAACGCTCCACGCACGGCCTGCATACGGGGGCTGGGCTCTGCGCCGTGGGTCAGCCACTGGCCGAGAGCTGCTGCCGAGGCAGGGCCAGGCATCCGCTAGGCTCTCAGGCTTCCGTGGGTCAAGGACCACTCCCAGAGTCAGGGACCCAAGAGCACCCGCTCACCTGGCCCCGTGGACTCCAGCACGGGTCACTCTGCCGTCACCAGCGTAGGGAAGGGGGAGGCTCCACGGTATGGGCCCCAGAGGCCAGAAAGCCAGAGCCCAAAGGCCAGCGGGTGAGGAGTGAGGATGGAGAAGGCTGAGAAGGTGCTGGGAGGGGTGGCCGAGCTGAGCACAGAGGGCCCTGATGGGGGGCCGGGCAGGCAGGCGCAGGCTCTGAGAAGCCGCCGCCTCATCCCACAGAGCTGCTGCCTCCGCCTGCATAAAGTGCTGGAGCCCTACAAGCCCCAGTGGTGCCGGAGCCGCGAGGCCTGGGCCCTCTACCTCTTCTCCCCACAGAACCGGTGAGGCGGCCGGGTCAGGAGGCTGCATGGCTAGTTCCACCCCACGGGACCCCCGCCCCCAGGTCCCTCCTGGGTGGGGCTAGCACATGGTGGATATTTCCGAGTGGGCACCCCTTCTCACACCGCAGGGACCGGGGCTGAAGTGGAGGCGTGGCCAGGGCTGTCCTGCAACCCCCATCCACTCTGCCATCCACGCCGCCCCGCCCCACCTCTCACCCGCCCCCGCCCACCCAGGTTCCGCGTCTCCTGCCAGAAGGTCATCACACACAAGATGTTTGATCACGTGGTCCTCGTCTTCATCTTCCTCAACTGCGTCACCATCGCCCTGGAGAGGCCTGACATTGATCCCGGCAGCACCGTGAGTCAGCCAACCCCATCGTCCCGGGCCACCACGACCCCCAGGGAGGGGTGGAGTGGACACAGCCCCCCACCGTCCTCTCCCGGCAGGAGCGGGTCTTCCTCAGCGTCTCCAATTACATCTTCACGGCCATCTTCGTGGCGGAGATGATGGTGAAGGTACCGCGGGGCCCGGGGACTGCCCTTGTTCCCAGGTCCCCGTTCTGCCCTCATCCCCACCCCCACCCAGCAGCGCGCCAGCTCCCCAGACCCCCCACGCCTGAGCCTGAGCTCAGTGCCATTGGCCCTCCGCAGGTGGTGGCCCTGGGGCTGCTGTCCGGCGAGCACGCCTACCTGCAGAGCAGCTGGAACCTGCTGGATGGGCTGCTGGTGCTGGTGTCCCTGGTGGACATTGTCGTGGCCATGGCCTCGGCTGGTGGCGCCAAGATCCTGGGTGTTCTGCGCGTGCTGCGTCTGCTGCGGACCCTGCGGCCTCTGAGGTGGGGGGCTCCCCGTGGGCTCCCGGGGCAACCTGGAAGCACAGTCCCCTGACGCCACTGCCCATTACTCCTCCCGCAGTCCTGGGCTGTTCGCAGGCCGCCCACTCGGCCCCACCTTGGGACCTTTGCTGAGCTCTGCCGGCGCCTGGCAGCTGCTGCCATAGATGACTGCAGTGTATCCTTCACTCCCCTCCAGGGTCATCAGCCGGGCCCCGGGCCTCAAGCTGGTGGTGGAGACGCTGATATCATCACTCAGGCCCATTGGGAACATCGTCCTCATCTGCTGCGCCTTCTTCATCATTTTTGGCATTTTGGGTGTGCAGGTGTGTGGCCCCCACGTGCCCGGGGGTCTGCCCCGTCGCAGACAGGGTCTGCCTTCCCAGCGTGGCTCCCAGCAGCGCCGCTGCGGGACGGGGAGGGACAGCTCGGGCCTCACTCGCGCCCCAGGAAGTCCGGTGTGGGGTGGGGCACAGGCCAGGCCCTCCGCGGTGACCGTCGCACCCCGTCAGCTCTTCAAAGGGAAGTTCTACTACTGCGAGGGCCCCGACACCAGGAACATCTCCACCAAGGCACAGTGCCGGGCCGCCCACTACCGCTGGGTGCGACGCAAGTACAACTTCGACAACCTGGGCCAGGTGGGCTGGGCGGCCGGGCGGGAGCTGGGGGTCTCCAGGACACCCTGGAGCGAGAGGGCCGGCGACCCCAGCTCTAACCCTCGCCAGTGACCCTGGCTCTGGCCCTCAGGCCCTGATGTCGCTGTTCGTGCTGTCATCCAAGGATGGATGGGTGAACATCATGTACGACGGGCTGGATGCCGTGGGTGTCGACCAGCAGGTGCGCACAGGCGGGTCGAGCTGGGTCACCTCAGGGTCTCCCGCGAGCGGCTGCCTTGGCCTCTGGGGACTCGGGGGGCCATCCTGGGTAGGGCCCCTGGCGGGGCAGGCGGGCGGGGACCCACCGCCTCTGTGCCACAGCCTGTGCAGAACCACAACCCCTGGATGCTGCTGTACTTCATCTCCTTCCTGCTCATCGTCAGCTTCTTCGTGCTCAACATGTTCGTGGGCGTCGTGGTCGAGAACTTCCACAAGTGCCGGCAGCACCAGGAGGCGGAGGAGGCGCGGCGGCGAGAGGAGAAGCGGCTGCGGCGCCTAGAGAGGAGGCGCAGGAGTAAGGCGCTCCCGGTGGCGGTGGCGGTGGCGGGTCGGTACCTGTGTGCCCACCGGGCCCTCCAGCCCCTCCACTCCCGCCCCGGCCTCCCCGAATGGCTCTGCACGCCACCCGCCTTGCCTGGGCCTGCATGGGGGCTGGGCCTTGGAGGGGCTGGCCCGAGAGGGCCGTCGGGGAGCCCGCCATGGCAGGAGAGGAGGAGACACCCCCAACCCCATCCCCAGCGCCCAAGAGGCAGGTTCCCCACCGAGTCCTCACTCCACGAGGAGCCAGCACAGCCCCCGAGACACGGGGGCTGAGGGAGAGCAGGGAGGGCTCCAGGCCCGAGTGCGCCACGCCCTCGGCCCTCAGACCATCTCCTTGTCTTTCCAGGCACTTTCCCCAGCCCAGGTACCGGCCCTGTCCCGCATGCCTCAGGCCCCGCTTCTGCGGCCGCTGCTCGGGGAAGGGCGGGCATCCCAGGCCTGCTGGGGTCCTCCGCAGGGTGGGCACAGGCAGCCGGAGGTGCTGGGCGTGTGGCGTGAGGAGGGGCTGCGCTCGCCCGCCAGTGTCCGGGCTGCTGTGTGCGTGCACGCGTGCGGCTCTGCCCGGCTCACAGTCTGCCTGCATCTCCGCCGTGCGCCGGGACACCCAGAGCAACGAGGGGCCGCCCACACCCCTGCAGGCTTGTGGCTGTCCTGTGTCCTTGCTGGTCCAGCCTGACTGGCCGCGGGCCCTCTCCGGCTGCCCGGGCTGCGCTGAGTGCTTCAGTGACTGCATGCCGGCCGCAGAGCATGAGGGTCGGGTGGCGGGTGGATCCTGCTCTTCCAGGCCCTGGGCCAGCAGTCCCCACCCGTGTGTGGTTCTGTGGCCGAGGCAGGTCCTGGGGTGTGGTGGCAGCTCACGCCTTCACCCGCGGGAGCTCCTCCTCGTACGTGGAGGGGCCCTGGAGGCTGAGCATTCAGTGCACACCTGCCTGGGGGACACACGCAGATGGCGGGCGCCGACTTCAGATGGTCTGGAGTCCGGCAGACCCTAGACCACAGCCCATGGCCCCTTGGAGGATGGGGAGGGGAGGTACTTGGGCTGGTGGCCAGAGGAGGGCAGGTTACACTCTCGTCTCTGCTCCAGTGAGGCCTTGTGGGCCCAGACCCAGAGATGGAGTGGGGCTGCCCTGCCCAGCCCTTCATCAGTGTCTCAGCCTGAGGCCAGGCAAGGAGTAGACCACAGAGGCCCAGCCACGTGCTGCGCCAACTTGGGAGCTCCAGGGGGGCGGGCCCTGCCAGGCACCCAGTTGGGATGTGGGGGAGCCATCTCAGCTTCATACCCACTCCTGGGGGCTGCCTGGCGCAACCGCGTTGCTGAGGAGGAGGTTAGTCAGTGGCCTGCCCCGAAGGCCTGCTCCAGCCCAGGCCTCCTGGCCTAGCCAGCTCCCCAGGGAGCTGCATCTCACCTAGAACAGGGTCCTTTTCCTGAGAGAGTCCCCCTTCTCCAGTCTTATGTGAGCCCTGCCATGAGGCAGGGCCAGCCCCATCTTCACATGAGCCGTGGGCCCCCAACTTCTACCCTACACTTGGCCACCTAGGAGGAGAATGGAGTCTGCAGGAGCCAGGAGCGCCGGGCGGCCCTCCTGCCCGGCGCTCATGGCCGCCCTCCCCGCAGAGGCCCAGCGCCGGCCCTACTATGCCGACTACTCGCCCACGCGCCGCTCCATTCACTCGCTGTGCACCAGCCACTATCTCGACCTCTTCATCACCTTCATCATCTGTGTCAACGTCATCACCATGTCCATGGAGCACTATAACCAACCCAAGGTGGGTGCGAGGGGGCCGCGAGGGGCCCAGGGGCTGGGGCACCCCCAGTGGGGCAGCCAACACAGTGGGCACAACCCTGGACCGGCGCTCCGCTGAGCCCTCGCTGGGGTTTGCGTGGGGATGTGGGGTTTTGTGTGAACACGGGTCTTTTAATGTTGATTGAAACTCCCCTCCCCCTGTCCTTGGGGCCCCTCCCCAACCTGGCCGTGAGTGTCCCACCCAAGGAGGGGCTGGCGGGAGGTGAGTGTCCCACCCAAGGAGGGGCTGGCAGGACGTGAGCATCCGACCCATGGGGAGGGGCGGGAGCCAGGCAGGCCTGAGGTGGAGTTTTTCTTTATTCGGGTCCCCCTGCATCCTCTCCTTTCCTCAGCGGAAGGACTTCGTCCTCCCAGCCTTTTAGAAGAAGGAGGTAGCCTCTGGGTAGCAGTAAGCTTTTGAGGCTGAACAGACTCAGCTCTATGGAAAGCGTTTTGTGTGGAGCCGAGGATGGCCGTGGCCAGAGGCCAGGAGCCTGGGCTGGGAGGGGCAGGATCTTCCCTCTCCGGAGGTTCGTCCTCAGAGGGTGAGGGGCTCCCAGGTCCATCTGGGCAGTACCTCCCAGCCCAGCCCAGGCTGCATACCGTCGGTGCTCAGAGTTGGGCCCTGTGAGCCCATGTCCCCATGTCCCCGAGGTGCTCAAGTCAGTAGAAGACAGGGTGGGAGGTCAGGACACTGCCATCGGGGTGCACAGACGGCTGCAGGGTGTGAAATGGGCTGGGGGCTCAGGGTGGCTTCCTGGAGACAGTGGCATTCAGCTGGTCTTGTGGATGCTGGGAGGGTACCTTTCACTCATTCACCTGATCAGACACTTACGGAGCACTTCCTGTATGCTGGGCTGGAGGAGGGCCGAAGAGGCTCCCGGTGCCCAGGGAGGAGCTACTGAGCTGACCTGGGAGCCTCCAGGGCCGGCCAGCGGGGGCACTCGGGCGTGCAGAGTGGGAGCCAGGGGGAAGAGGGGTGGCCCCAGCCCCACCTCAGCCAGCCCGACCCTCCACCCCCAGTCGCTGGACGAGGCCCTCAAGTACTGCAACTACGTCTTCACCATCGTGTTTGTCTTCGAGGCTGCACTGAAGCTGGTAGCATTTGGGTTCCGTCGGTTCTTCAAGGACAGGTGTGTGTGGTGGGGCCGTCTTGGGTTCTGGGGGCCCCTCAGGGCTCTGGGGGCTGGGGGCAGGTGAGGCCGCAGGCTTTCCCACGGAGGTCTGCAGAAGCAACGCTGCTGAGCCGAGGCGGGGACCCCAGACGTGTGCGCTGAGCCTCCGGCCACACAGGTGGAACCAGCTGGACCTGGCCATCGTGCTGCTGTCACTCATGGGCATCACGCTGGAGGAGATAGAGATGAGCGCCGCGCTGCCCATCAACCCCACCATCATCCGCATCATGCGCGTGCTTCGCATTGCCCGTGGTAGGTGCCCGCGTGCCCGCCAGGTTCTCTCTGCGGGTGGAGGGTGGGGGCTCAGCCATGGGTGGGAGTGAGGGGCGGGGCGGCCAGGGTCCCCGCGCAGCAGGGAGGGTCCGCCCAGCCCTGCTGACGCTCAGCTCCCGGCCCTAGTGCTGAAGCTGCTGAAGATGGCTACGGGCATGCGCGCCCTGCTGGACACTGTGGTGCAAGCTCTCCCCCAGGTAGGTGGAGCCCGCGCCATCCTCAGCGCAGGCCCCCGGAAGACGGGGTTGCAGGGAGCGCCTCGCCGTCCCCCTCTCCCCCTCACTCGTTTCTCTGGTCCCTCGGTTGTGTGGTGGCTGAAGCTGCGTCCCTGCTGTGTGCAGTGCATGGCTTGGCTGGGCTGGCAGAGGTGGATCCAGCCGCTGCCCTCTGGCCTCAATCCTCTGGGCAAGACTCATAACCGGGGCCCCCTCCCCGGTGCACTTCCAGAGGCGGGGGCCGTGGAGAGCCAGAGGGATGCAGGCAGAGGGCAGCAGGTGGCCAAGGTGGGTGTGTGTGGGCACAGGAATACACCCAGGATGCAGGCGTCGGCTGCGGGCCCGGGGCCCCCTCGGAGCCCACATGGGCCCAGCCTCCCTGCTTCCTGTGCCCCTGGCCCCTGCCCAGATCCTTTCTGTCCTCCAAGGCCAAGAGACCCAACACGTTGTCCCGTCCGTAGCCTCTAGTCCACCTATCCAACCCCCGTGTGTCCGTCCATCCACCAGCCCAGCCATGTTCCCAGCCACCCCCAACCCCCACGGCTGCCTATGCACCCGGCACCTCCTCCTGTTCCCACCCATTTCCTGTCCCTGCGCCATCTGTCACTTGCCCCCTGCCTGTCTTCTGCCTCCCACCTCAGCTGTCCCCACTCACCCTGTCCTCAGCGGCGTGCCTAGCTTCGTCCAAGTAACACTCCCGAGGGCCAGGTACCACTCCACCAGGTGCTCAGCTGTGCAGAGAAGGGGCGTGGCGTAGGACAGGCCTGGCCAGCCTTGGAGGGTGCGCCGCCCAGCGGGGCAGTGTGTGCAAATGCTGGGGCTGGTGGGTGGCTCACAAGAGAGCCGTGGCAGGGGAGGGGTGAGGCCCAGGCCCACCTGCCGGGACCCCTCAGTCAGCTGCGTGCTGGCCTGGGCCCCGCCATGGGATCTCTGAGGTAGCCGCTGAACAGGGCGGGCCAGAGCCCCCAGGAAGAGCATGCTAGGCCTTGGGGAACCTGCTGGGCAGAGTGTGGAGTGGGCTCTGGGCCAGAGGCTGATGCTCAGGGGCAGGGCAGAGGAAGAGAGAAGCCAGTGCGGGCCAGCACAGAGGGGTGGGCTCTGTCTACCTGGTGAGGTCATGGTGCCCCGAGAGGGGCATGGGGCTGAGGAACAGGGGTCCCCGCCCAGCTCTGGGAACTTGCTTCCACTTGGCCGGGCCCGGAGCACCTGGAAGAAGGTGGGCAGGTGGGGTCTGGTGGCCGAGGCGCCGAGTGCCCTGCAGGGTGGGCTGAGGCCTCCCTGCCCGCCCGTCTGACCCAGCTCTGCTTCTCTCTTGTGTAGGTGGGGAACCTGGGCCTTCTTTTCATGCTCCTGTTTTTTATCTATGCTGCGCTGGGAGTGGAGCTGTTCGGGAGGCTGGGTGAGTGGCTCCTGCGCCCTCCTCCTGGCACACATGGGGTCCTGACAGGCGCCCCTGTGCCCATCCACTCACACGCAGGCACATGCTTGCAAATAGCGTGGGGCCTGATCAGGGCCACACGCCTCCTGGGCGTCCTCACCCGGCCCTGCTTCCGGAGCCTTTTCTGCACGAGGCCGAGTCTCGTGTTGACGCAGAGGCATGTGCCCAGGCTTGTGACACGTGTGCGGACGTGCACACAGCAACACAGACACAGGGATGCCTGCCACACGTGAGGGGAAGCAAGAACACCTAGAGACGTGCACACACAGACATCTGGAAACACACGCCATGCCCAACGTCACATGGTCCCAGGAGACAAATGTTGGCTGTCTCCCCTTACCTGGTGGCCGTAGCCTCCTGAGGCCCCCACCCAGGCCTCAGCCTCGGCCCAGGCTGGGCGGGGCAGGTGGGGACCCTCCTTAGACGGCCCAGCCCTGCCCCTGCCGGGTTCCACTTCAGGCAGCCCAGTCCCTGCAGGGCCCTCCCCCGGGCCCTGTCCCGACGGTGGGTGTGGCGTTGCCACAGTCCAGTGTCTGTCCACCAGGTAAGCTTGATTTTGGTCAGCCGGCGCCTACTCATCCCCCGCCACGCGCAGTCACAGACACACACAATAATGATTCTTCCATGGCAGCCGCCAGGCCTGATGAGCCCCAGCCCAGGTGCGGCAGCAGGGGCCTCGGCCCAGGGGCTCCGACCTCACACCCAGGGTCACCCTCTGCCAGGCAGGGCGAACCGCCAGGGCCTCGTCATCCACATCCTCCGGGCTATCCTGCCTCTGGGCTCCCCAAGGGGCATGTGGAGGCTGGGTGCATGTCCCGCCTCCACCCGGAGCGGGCTCGGCTGACCGGGCGGGGTCTCCCTCCCCGCAGAGTGCAGTGAAGACAACCCCTGCGAGGGCCTGAGCAGGCACGCCACCTTCAGCAACTTCGGCATGGCCTTCCTCACGCTGTTCCGCGTGTCCACGGGGGACAACTGGAACGGGATCATGAAGGTACCCGCCGCGGCCATGCCTCTGGCACCTGGCAGCCCCAGCGGTTTTTCAGGCTCTCCCAGGAACGGGTCGGATCCGTCCTTGCAGGGCAGGGGGAAGGGGACGGCACTGCCAGGGTGGCACCCGCGGGTGGGTGTGGACCCCGGCCCACAGCTGTCCCCCACCGCAGGACACGCTGCGCGAGTGCTCCCGTGAGGACAAGCACTGCCTGAGCTACCTGCCGGCCCTGTCGCCCGTCTACTTCGTGACCTTCGTGCTGGTGGCCCAGTTCGTGCTGGTGAACGTGGTGGTGGCCGTGCTCATGAAGCACCTGGAGGAGAGCAACAAGGAGGCACGGGAGGATGCGGAGCTGGACGCCGAGATCGAGCTGGAGATGGCGCAGGGCCCCGGGAGTGCACGCCGGGTGGACGCGGACAGGCCTCCCTTGCCCCAGGAGAGTCCGGGCGCCAGGGACGCCCCAAACCTGGTTGCACGCAAGGTGTCCGTGTCCAGGATGCTCTCGCTGCCCAACGACAGCTACATGTTCAGGCCCGTGGTGCCTGCCTCGGCGCCCCACCCCCGCCCGCTGCAGGAGGTGGAGATGGAGACCTATGGGGCCGGCACCCCCTTGGGTATGGTAGCCAGCAGGAAGATATGGGCTGGGTGGGAAGCAGGACAGGGAGGAAGATGGGGGCAGGTGGGAGGGAGGATGGGGTCAGGCCAGAGCAGGGCAAGAGGAAGGATGGGCGGGAAGGAGGATGGGGGCAGGCAGGAGGGAGGATGGAGGCCAGATTGAGGAGGCTGGGTGTGGGCAGGTGAGAGAGAGGACGGGTCGGGCTGGGGCTGGCCAGGAAGGAGGATGGTGGCAGGTTGGGGGAGGACGGGGGTGGGTGGCAGCTGGGCAGGAAGGCAGGGGCAGAGCTGCCAGCTTAGATTCTTCCCTGCCCCAGGCTCCGTTGCCTCTGTGCACTCTCCGCCCGCAGAGTCCTGTGCCTCCCTCCAGATCCCATTGGCTGTGTCGTCCCCAGCCAGGAGCGGCGAGCCCCTCCACGCCCTGTCCCCTCGGGGCACAGCCCGCTCCCCCAGTCTCAGCCGGCTGCTCTGCAGACAGGTAGGAGAAGCCGTTGGCCTGCAGCAGAGGCTGGCGGGGATGGGGGGCTTGCAGGGATGCCTCGTCTCATCTGAAGGACCAGCAGACGAGGACAAGGCAGGAGGAGGGTCGCACTGGGTCCTTGGGGCTCCGAAGGTTTCTGCCTGCTGCTTGGTGGATCTTGGAGCATTGGGCCCAGGTGCGTCTTCAGGCCTGTGAGCCTGTGGCTACAGAGCTCTTGGCTACAGGGACCTGAGTCTTCTTGGACCCACAGCTTCAGGCCCCACGGTGGGCAGACAGCGGTTTCTCAGGTCCCGTGGTGGGCAGACAGCAGTTTCCCAGGGCCCACGGCGGGCAGATGGCAGTTTCTCAGGCCCCATGTGGGCATGGGTCCCGTGGTGGGCAGACAGCGGCTTTTTCAGTCCTGGCTTGTGTTCAGATGTCCCAGCCTTGCCCACCTGCAGCCTCAGCTCCTCTTCCTGCCCTTTCCTACCTCTTGCTGCCCAGTACAAGACGCCTGTACCGCACAGGAGCAGTTAGGAGAGCCCCATCCTGGGGGTGCCCAGCTGGGCTGCTGATGTCCAGGGGTGGGGAGGTGGCCTCAGCCTCAGCTCTGTGCCCCTGGGGGCCATGGCATCTCTGCCCACAGAGCAGCGGGTACAGGCTTTCCCCGGGAGCCTCACAGGTCAGGAGTGAGACTAGGACGTCCACACCAGCGGCTTCCAGCCCCATCTCGAGGGTCAGGAGCCACCCAGGGGACCTGCCCAGTTTGGCCTCTCCAGTACCTGGATGGTGAGGGGTCTCCGAGCCCTGGCCACTGACAGGGCTCTCCCAGGGCCCCGCCCCTCACTTTGACTCTACGCCCCCACAGGAGGCTGTGCACACCGATTCCTTGGAAGGGAAGATTGACAGCCCTAGGGACACCCTGGATCCTGCAGAGCCTGGTGAGAAAACCCCGGTGAGGCCGGTGACCCAGGGGGGCTCCCTGCAGTCCCCACCACGCTCCCCACGGCCCGCCAGCGTCCGCACTCGTAAGCATACCTTCGGACAGCGCTGCGTCTCCAGCCGGCCGGCGGCCCCAGGCGGAGAGGAGGCCGAGGCCTCGGACCCAGCCGACGAGGAGGTCAGCCACATCACCAGCTCCGCCTGCCCCTGGCAGCCCACAGCCGAGCCCCATGGCCCCGAAGCCTCTCCGGTGGCCGGCGGCGAGCGGGACCTGCGCAGGCTCTACAGCGTGGATGCTCAGGGCTTCCTGGACAAGCCGGGCCGGGCAGACGAGCAGTGGCGGCCCTCGGCGGAGCTGGGCAGCGGGGAGCCTGGGGAGGCGAAGGCCTGGGGCCCTGAGGCCGAGCCCGCTCTGGGTGCGCGCAGAAAGAAGAAGATGAGCCCCCCCTGCATCTCGGTGGAACCCCCTGCGGAGGACGAGGGCTCTGCGCGGCCCTCCGCGGCAGAGGGCGGCAGCACCACACTGAGGCGCAGGACCCCGTCCTGTGAGGCCACGCCTCACAGGGACTCCCTGGAGCCCACAGAGGGCTCAGGCGCCGGGGGGGACCCTGCAGCCAAGGGGGAGCGCTGGGGCCAGGCCTCCTGCCGGGCTGAGCACCTGACCGTCCCCAGCTTTGCCTTTGAGCCGCTGGACCTCGGGGTCCCCAGTGGAGACCCTTTCTTGGACGGTAGCCACAGTGTGACCCCAGAATCCAGAGCTTCCTCTTCAGGGGCCATAGTGCCCCTGGAACCCCCAGAATCAGAGCCTCCCATGCCCGTCGGTGACCCCCCAGAGAAGAGGCGGGGGCTGTACCTCACAGTCCCCCAGTGTCCTCTGGAGAAACCAGGGTCCCCCTCAGCCACCCCTGCCCCAGGGGGTGGTGCAGATGACCCCGTGTAGCTCGGGGCTTGGTGCCGCCCACGGCTTTGGCCCTGGGGTCTGGGGGCCCCGCTGGGGTGGAGGCCCAGGCAGAACCCTGCATGGACCCTGACTTGGGTCCCGTCGTGAGCAGAAAGGCCCGGGGAGGATGACGGCCCAGGCCCTGGTTCTCTGCCCAGCGAAGCAGGAGTAGCTGCCGGGCCCCACGAGCCTCCGTCCGTTCTGGTTCGGGTTTCTCCGAGTTTTG
Organism: Homo sapiens; assembly: GCF_000001405.40. Classification (NCBI taxonomy): domain Eukaryota; kingdom Metazoa; phylum Chordata; class Mammalia; order Primates; family Hominidae; genus Homo; species Homo sapiens. The sequence goes on from NC_000016.10 coordinate 1,221,221, forward strand.
CTACCAGCCGAGGCTGTGCGGGCAACTGGGTCAGCCTCCCGTCAGGAGAGAAGCCGCGTCTGTGGGACGAAGACCGGGCACCCGCCAGAGAGGGGAAGGTACCAGGTTGCGTCCTTTCAGGCCCCGCGTTGTTACAGGACACTCGCTGGGGGCCCTGTGCCCTTGCCGGCGGCAGGTTGCAGCCACCGCGGCCCAATGTCACCTTCACTCACAGTCTGAGTTCTTGTCCGCCTGTCACGCCCTCACCACCCTCCCCTTCCAGCCACCACCCTTTCCGTTCCGCTCGGGCCTTCCCAGAAGCGTCCTGTGACTCTGGGAGAGGTGACACCTCACTAAGGGGCCGACCCCATGGAGTAACGCGCCCGGCCCCGATGCGAATCAGGCCTCCCCTACATCTGGGGGCGTTGGCCGCGAGATTCCCATTGACACCTTTGTTTCGTGTGCTTTTAAATTCAGGTTAAATGTTGCAATAATCTGATGCAGAAGACTCAGCTTCTCAAGGGAGAGGGAGGGGGCGGAGCGGAATAAATAGTAACTTATTTAAGAAATGCACTTGGATTCCTGCCATCAGTCAGGGGCGGGGAAGGGAGTACCATCCGCAGATGGGTGCAGCAGGCACTTGGCCAGCAGGACACAGGAGACTAGCAGAAGGAAGAGGCCGGGGAGGAAGAAGCCAGCCAGGAGGGGGAGCCTGGGGTACCCAGACTCTGAGCCCCCTGATGCTGTGATGTGGCGGCGGATCCAGTTCACGTAGGCAGGGACACGAGTGTAGACTCCCGGCCTGTTGGGGCGGCCGCAGCCCTCACCCCAGCTCACAGTGCCAGCCTGCACCCAGGCACCGTTCACCTGGCAGACCAGAGGCCCCCCGGAGTCGTCCTGAGGACAGAGAAGGCGAGCATTGGGAGCCGAGAAGATGGGGAGCCCCTCCCTGGGCTTCAGCCGCCCCCATCCTCTGTCACGGCCTGGCAGGCTCACCTGGCAGGCATCCCCGGGGCCCCGGGCACACAGCATGTCGGGCTGAAGGATGCTGCCCCCGGGGCCGGGATAGTCCCGGCGGCAGGTCTCTGTGTCCACCACGGAGACTTTCACCTCCCGCAGGCTGTACGGGGGTGGCAGAGGCTCTGGGGTGGGGGGAACAGGCTTCAGAGAAGGTTGGGGCACCAGGCCCTGCACTGGGGGGATGGGAGACCTTGCCAGACACAAGTCCCATGCCACCACGACCCTCGTCACGGCACGTGGGTTGTGATCTGACGTTTGGCTGCTGCTTTGGATCCACACGACAGGCTTTGAAAAGGGACAGCCGATAGGGGCGGCCTTGGCTGGGTGTGGAAGCCACCAGGAGCAGGTGGTAGCATCAGCATCCCTCAAGCCAGCTCTCTTCCTGCCGCCCTTGCCTTCCTCCATCCCAGCATCCCCACGGGGGCTCCTCACCTCCCTCCCGCGTATAGCCCCAGCCGGTCACCCAGCACCGGATCCCAGGGCAGAAGTCATCTGAGGCCTCCGGGAGGCAGACGGGCAGGATCCGGCTGGAGAGGGTCACGGGGACACTGAGCTCCACCAGGGCGATGTCCCCGCTGGTCCCCGGCTGTCCTGAGGGGCTGGAGTGCAGGATGATCTGCCTCACGGTGGAGAAGTGGGGAGACAGAGTGATCTCCAGTTCCCCCAGGTGCACCTGGTAGTCGGATGAGTTCAGGGACCTGGGAGGGAAGGTGGCTGGGTGAGAGGGGCCAGCTGCGGAGGCTGGAGGTCAGTGTCGGCCCCGCCCAGACCCTACCCTTGCAGGCATCCGAAGCCCAGCTCTTCCCTCCTAGGCTTGGGACGCAGAAAGCCTGGGCAGTGGCCTCACCCTGCAGGGCCCAAGGACCACGGCAGCACCTTGGGGTTCCTGCCAGCCCCTGGAAAAGCCAGCAGCATGCCCGACACCAGCAGGGGCTGGTCAGGAGGCAGATTGCAAGCTCAGCTCCACGTGAAGAGACCGAGGGGAGGGAAGGAGGGAGGGAGCTGTCCATCCCTAGAGGTGAGCAAAGAGCTGCAGAACCTCACAGAAGGTGGGCAACCAGCTCCTCCCTTTCCATTGGAAGGAAGTAGGCTCAGAGTTCCCAAGCCTCGGAGTGAGTCAAGACCAAGTGGAGGCCTCTGCGCTGGCGCATGCCCCACTGGGGCCTGGACATTGAGACTGCCCCTGCCCACCCGGACACTCACCCGGAGAAGCAGTGGGCAGCTGTGAGCACCCACTGGGGGCTGAGCAGTGACCCGCCGCACACGTGCACCCTCCGCAGGCGGAGGCTGGCCTGCCATGGCCATGCGCCGGCCGGGGCAGCGTGACCCCCCACGATCCGGCCGCCTGCATCCGAAACCTGCGGCCGGCCACACCCTAAGTCGAAGGAGGAAGGGGTGCCTGGTGGGGATCCCAAGAAACCCACTGCACTTCCTCCATGAAGCCTTCCCTGACCACACCTCCCTGCCTTCTTGGGGACTTTGCTCTTCAGCTCTCTCGTCTGCCAGACTCTCCCCAGAAGCATCGTGGGTGCAGCAGAAATGACGTCTCAGGAGCAGTGAGCGCGCCTGGGGCTCAGGTCGTCCTTTCTAAGCACCATGCTCCACAAACTAACCAGGGCTCCCGGAGGCGGTGGAAAGGCTGCAGAGGGCCCCTAGGCGGCTAGAAAGGGGCTCAGAACGGTGGAGCCCCCGAGAAGGCCCGGGGTGCTGGGGGTGGCTGCCTAGTGGGCCCCGGTTTTCCTTCAGGGGTGGTGGAGATATTCGAAGCTGGATAAAATTCGGGGGGCGGGGGGCAGACAGCACTGTCCAAGGTGCTCGGGGCCTCTGAATTGGACGCTTGATAATGTAACTTTATCTTCTGTAAACTTCACCTCAGTAAGTTAAGAAGAAATTAAGAGGAAGTCAGCTGGAGACCCACTGGCCACACCTGGGTCTGCCTGAGCTGGATAATTGTGCTGGTGATGGAGTGTGGCCACTGGGCTGAATGGAAGGGAAGCTGGGATGTAGACAGACAGAGATGTTTATAGATAGGCAGCGGGTGTGGGGTGGGGCACCGGCTCTCCCACACGGCAAAGCCCCCAGCTGGTTCCAGGGCCACGGTGGGGACGCTGTGGGGAGAAAGTTCGAGGAGGGCCAGGTTGTTTCATGGCCTCAGAGCATCTCCCAAGGTACAGACTGACTACAGTGGTGGTGGGGGAGACAGCCCTGCAGCACACCCCGACCAGCCCCACTCAACCGAGAGATGCGAGCAGAAACCACGGCGACAAACTATGACCTCCCCGGGCCCCCATTGGGACCCCAGGGAAGGAGAGGGTCACCGAGGCCCTCCTGCCAGGCCTTGCCTGCACCCTCCCCCACACCCCACACCTGTCAGAGACGTACCTGGCTGCAAAGTCCTGAGGGACACACCTGTGGGAAAGACGAAGGGCCCAGGATGGAGGGGGCTGCCAAGGAGAGGGGTGTGCGGGCTCCAGAGGCCCCTGCCAGGCCTCAGGGCGGCACTGGGGTGGGGCCTGGTCCTGAGCAGAGGGGCCCGGCCTGGTGAGGCTGGGTCAACTGCTGTCTCACTGGCCCAGGGCTGGGTGGGACAAGCCACAGGCCATAAACGGCAGCTGGAGGCCGGGAGCTTGGCCTCAGGCCTGGGCCTCCTCCCCGCCCTCCAGGTCCTGCTCAGGAAAGAAATCACCAGTGTTCTAGGGCCTGGGACTCCTGGCACCCCCAACTCCCACCCGCACCCCCAACTACCACCCGCCCTGCCAACTCCTGCACCCCCAACTCCCACCCGCACATCCCTCCTGCCTCTCCCCAGCACGGACAGCTGGGCCTCCAGCCAGGGGTGCAGTCTCTTCAGAGGAGACACGGGGCCCCACAGGGTGGGGACTCAGCATGTTTCTCCGTCTCAGACCAGCCCCCAGTTTCACCCCCATCAGGGGTCCAGGCAGGAAGCAGATGCCCCCCCATCCCCACACCCAGGCCAGGTCACCCACCGGGCACAGCCAGGAGCAGCAGGAGGCCACAGGCCCCAAGGGCCATGGTGTCTGCCCACTGTAGGGAGAAGGAGGGCCAGCCTGACCCTTGGACCTGCTGGGCGTGGGGGATAGGGGTGGCCACACACCTGCTGTCAGGCAGGGCGGGAGGACGGAGGAGGAGGCCGGAGCTCCACAGACGGCCCCACCTGTTCCTTCTGCACCTCAGAGAAGGGTCGTCACCTCCATTTATCCCTGTGTGGACGCCACAGCCCTGGCACCAAGTGGCCGGCTCCGTCAAGGGAAAGCGGGGAAGGACAGAAGGCAAAAGTACTTCTCACCTTGTCTCTGCTCCGGGGCCAGGGCTGAGGGAGGGGTGAGTGTTCCTCTGAGTGCCGCCCCCTCCAAAAATTACTCCCTGGTTCCCTCGGGGCACGCCACCCCCTCTCCTTCATCCTCTGGGAGCCCAGTCCTGGGGGTTCTTCAGGAGGGTCCCAACTCAAGGCCCAGCAGCCCTTTGGAGACAGCTCAGGCCCTCGTGACAACCACTCTTTGAGAAGTCCCTGTCCCCACGTCCGGCAGCAGGTCCTGTGCTCGTGCGGCAGATCAGATGGGCACCACTTCACGGCCCAGCCTGGGTTGGCCCTTCCTAACCGTCCTGGCTGCCCCAGCCTGATGACTCAGCTGATTAGGGGCCCTGGGCAGCGCCCGGGACTTTCCTGCCGCCCTCCCCAGATCCAAATCACAGGCCAGGCTGGAGGGTCCAGCTGAGACCTTCTAGGTCAGGGATCCCCTCTTTGATGTGGGGAAACTCAGCCACGGGTTGGGGGGAGTTGCCTGACCACCCACCAGGATGTGGCCTCCCAGGCACAGACGTGGCCGCCTGCACGCCAGCACGTGGGGTAGCCAAGGCTCAGAACTGGAGGTTCAGTGTTTTTCCTGGTGACCAATAAGGACAACACCAGCATGCGGGGCCAGCAGTGCACCCACGGCCGGGCACCCTCCTCCCTCACGGCAGCCGCACACCTGGAGGGGGCGCCTCAGGGGAGGCAGGACAGTCCCACCCCACACAAGGGAGCGGGGTCTGAGCCACGAGTCCCCGGCCCAGGGTGCCCCTAACAGGGCGATGTCACCCAGTGGGGAGGGAGCCTGAGGGGCAGGGTCTTCATGGAACCAGGTCCTCTAGTCCTGACCTCTAGGGCTGTCCCCAGGTCCCCACAGGTGGGGACTTCAGGGCCCTCACCTGTCCCAACTCAATTCACCTGCAGCACTGGGGACCCCGTCTTTCTGCCTGTGCCCCAGCACGCCACTCCCCGCAGAGTGCTCCACACGACCCAGATTGCAGGCCTGCTGGGGAGGAAGAAGCTTCAGGCACCATCCCCTGAGCCCCAGCAGTCCTGTGACATGGTGCCGTTCACCCCCACCATTGGACAGGAGAGCCAACTGAGGAACCGGGAGGGGGGCCTGGCCCTGGTGATTGCCCCCAGCTTGGTGGGGTCTCCTGTTGTCCAGGACCCTGGGAGACCTGGGATTGCTTCTGTCTGCGGTGGCCTGGCCACCTGGGTGCCGTCCCCTCGGTGGGAACCCTGTCCCCCCCACTCGCCCTCCGCCTCACACCCCCCTGTGACGGGGAACCAGGGCCTCCTGCCGGCAGCCACGTGGGTGACCTTGGAGCAGGTGCCCCCGTCCCAGTCAAAACGCAGGTGGCTGCAGCCCTGGCCAGCAGCCTGCCTGCCACGTCCTGAGAGACCCTTCCTGCTGAAGCTGACGCTCACATCTGCCAGTGTCACTGGGCTGAGCTTCACTGAGCTTCCCAGGGATCTTAGATCTAATTTGGGAAGCTCTGGGGCTGGAGCCCGCCCTCCCCCTCCACCCAGTGACCGGCCCCTGCTGTCCACCTTTCCTTACACCGGCAGCCCTGTCCTGAGGGGCCGTCTTGCTTCCCTTCGGGGTCTCATCCCTCCGACTCCCACCCCGCAAAACCTCCAGTGGGCGTGTGGAAGTGCTTCTAGGGGCTCAGTGTTCCCTGGGGGTCACCCCGTGCTGTCTCTGTGATCCCTAGAAGGTGGGATGGGCCAGAGGGAGGAAGAAGGGCCCGAGTTCCAGGTCCATCTTCATTAACAAGACGCTGGGCCTGCAGAACAGGAGCCGAGGGATGGGCCTTCAGGGGCTGCAGAGGCAGAGGTCACGTGGGGCTGGAGAGGGCACTGGGAGTTGAGTCCACCCCTTGTGAGGACAGAGGTCATTTGCAGAGATTCGGGAGACTAAATGCACATCTCTGCATCTAACAGTTGGAAGGAAAGAGTGAATGTTTCTTTAGAGAGTTGTTTTCAACCAGAACAGCCCCGCATTTCATTCCTGAGTGTAATCATGTTCAAATATAAAATGCAAACAAGAGCCCGGGATAAAATGCAACACTCGCCAGACGCAGAGGGCTCACCTATTGATGTAGAGAAAGACCTCAAAATGAATTTGAAAATGTCAAACTCAGGCCGGGTGCGGTGGCTCACGCCTGTCATCCCAGCACTTTGGGAGGCCGAGGCGGGCGGATCACTTGAGGTCAGGAGTTCGAGACCAGACTGGCCAACATGGCGAAACCCCATCTCTACTGAAAATACAAAAATTAACTGGGCGTGGTGGCTCACTCCTGTGGCCCAGCTATATGGGAGGCCAAGATGGGAGGATCGCTTGAGCCCAGGAGTTAAGGCTGCAGTGAGCCCTGATCACACCACTGCACTTCAGCCTGGATGACACAGCGAGATCCCGTCTCAAAGCAAACAACTAGGCAAAGCACAAGCAGTGGACGGAGGGGCCGGGAGAAGAGCTCGTGGGAAGCGTGGGGTAGGGGCTCGTGATGGGCAGCCCTGGGGCTCCCGGTGACCATTCTCTGTCTTGACCCGGTTGCAGGGACCTGGCTGTCCTTTATAATCAACTGAGTTGCCCGAGTGGCTCTGTGTGACCCGAATGCTGGATGCATCGTGTGGGGAGAAGCCAGCCTCGGGGACCAGGGCTGCCCAGGAGGCCCCGTCCCACGGTGACTGGCTGTGCCTTGAGGGCTAGGACCTCACACTGTGGCAGGTGTCCTCAGCACACCTGGACCCCTTCTCTCCCAGTGACATCCACAACCAGAAACACAGCGATGCACACCAGTGATTTCCATGCACTTTAATGAGGTCCAGCACTCAGGAGGATTAGCGCCCACCACCAGCTGCCTGGGCAGGGGAGGGCCGGAGGGCCCGGTGCAGGCGTCAGGCTTAGGACAGGGAAGGGGGCTCAGGATGGGGAAGGGTCCTCAGGACAGGGGAAGGGGCTCAGAAGAGAGCAGGGGGCTTAGGACAGGAAGGGGCACTCAGGACGGGGCAGGGAAGGTGTGGGGGGCAGTCGCCACCTGGGTAGGAAGCAGTGGTGTTTTGAACAGGAGGGGCTGGCTCTCCAGTGACCCAGGTGGACACCCCAGGCCTGACTCACGGCTTTTTGGGGACATAGTGGTGGATCCAGTCCAAGTAGTAGGTGACACGGGTGTAGATGCCAGGCCGGTTGGGCTGGGCACAGCCCTCGCCCCAGCTGACCACGCCCGCCTGCAGCCAGGTGCCATTCACCTTGCACACCAGGGGCCCTCCGGAGTCGCCCTGGGAAGGTCAGAGGTCAGCGCTCGCCGAACAGGCCTGGGAGTGGGGGTTGGGGGGCGGGGGGCGGGGGACAGGCGGGGCCCACCTGGCATGAGTCCCTCCGGGTGTTCCCGGCACACAGCATGTCGTCACGGACGATGCGGACGTCGTCTCCCGTGTAGGCGCCAAGGTGGTATTTTGCGTCACAAATGTGGTTTTCCATTATGGGGACCTTCACCTGCTTCAGAGGAAATGGCGGTGGGAGGCGCTCTGCAGGTGGGGAAGAGGGTGCAGCCTCAGGAGGGGGCCGGGCAACCCCCACCTGGAGCCCAGAGGGAGCCCAGGGGCTGGGCTGTGGCTAAGACCCTGGCCCCACCTCCACTGTCCCCAGACCCACCATCATTGTCCACATCGCCCCAGCCAGTGACCCAGCACGGCATCCCCGGGGGGAAGGTCTCTGAGGCAGGGGGCAGGGTGACCGTGTGGACGTGGCTGGAGACGTTCACCGGCTCCTCCAGCTCCAGCAGGGCGATGTCCGCTCCGATCTGGGCGGTGTAGAACTGTGGGTGCACGATGATCCTGCTGACCGGCAGCAGCTGGTCCTGGTAGTAGAGGTGCTGCTCCCGCAGTTGCACCCTGAGGGCGGCCAGATCCTTGACGTCCCTGGGCAGCGGAGGATCCCACTCAGGGCCCTGGGCAGCCCCCAGGAGCACCCGGGAGCCAGGGCTCACATCCAGCCCTTCCCCACCCTTCCAGGCCCCGGGAGACTCACGGTCCCACGCAGTGCGCTGCGGTCAGCACCCACTGGGGGTGGATGAGGGAGCCCCCGCAGAAGTGCATCCAGTATCGGTCGCGGACTCTCAGGCTCACCTGCCAGGGCCACTTGCTCCTGGGGGCCTCCTGACCCCCAACGATGCCCACTCGCTGCAGGGCCTGGCCTGGGGCTGGGGCAGGTGCCAGGTCAGGACCAGGAAGCAGCCCCAGGCCTGGGCCCAGCCCTTCCCTGTGTGGGGGCCAGCCCGACCTCCCCAGAACCCACCCAGGCCCTGACCTGTGGAATGTGGTGAGGGGCAGGGTGGACCCCGGCTGGGACTCACCAGGGGCCGCGTAGGCGCGGCTCGCCAGGACGGGCAGCGCCAGCAGCAGCAGATTCAGCATCTGGGGAGCAAGGAGGAGCATCGTGGGCCTGGCCGGGCCTCACAGGGCAGGGCTGGGGGCTACAGATTGTGGGGTGAAGAATGGAGCTGGGACGGGGGGACCGGGGTGGGTCCAGGCCTGCAGGCCTGGGTCTTGGTGCTCTGAGTCTGAGGCTGGGCCACTCTGCTCCAGGTGACGCTGATGTCAGGGTCTCTGAGAGTGGGGACTTACCCTGGCCGCTCCCTGTTCCTTCTACCCAGTGGGCTCTCCCCTCCCCATTTATGCTTCCAGATCAGGAGGGGGCGGAGGAGGGGCGCTGGGTCCTCCCATCCAGACTCGGAGGAAGTGGATGACTCAGACCCAGGGCCCCCGTGTAACACGTGCCCCCGCCACCCCGATGCCCTCTGTGTGTGGGGCTGCCAGGCAGGCCCCGCTGAGGGCTGAGCACTGGAGACTGGCAGCTCCACCTGTCAGCTGGTGGATCCCAGCACTAGAACCCACCACCTTCCCGCTGGTGGGATCTGCTCCTGCCCCTGTCTCGGTGCCAGGAGGCCTTCAGGCATTGCTGCACCCAGGTGGCCTGGCTGTCCCAGGCTACAAGACCCATCGCTCCTGAAACCTGTTTCCCCAAGAGGGACACGGGGTGAGGAACTCATGTCCATGGGCCACCCTCCAAGAGACGGGAAGGTGCCCACGGGGTGGGGACATGACGGGTGACACCCCTCTTACGGACTCCGAATCCACGGGGGTGGCGCCAGCCCTCCTCGACTCACTTGGTGGGAGGCTCACATGAGACCCCTTTGTCAGATGGGGAAACAGCCTTGAGAGGGGACAGCACCAAGTGTCCTCAGCCAGGAAGGGGCCCTGCTCCCCACCCGCCGTATGAGACCCAAGTCCTCCTACGAGTCCTCAATGTCCACCTCTGGGGCTGTCCGTGCAGGACCCCTGGTCTGCAGGTGCCTCCTTATCATGGGATCTGAGCTTCATCGGCAGAGGGAAGGGCAGACAGGAGTGCAGGTGCAACCCCAGGAGACCCAGCCCAGCTCCCCATGGACTCACCCCCAACCCCAGCCCAGCTCCCCATGGACTCACCCCCAGCCCCAGCCCAGCTCCCCATGGACTCACCCCCAGCCCCAGCCCAGCTGCCCATGGACTAGTCCCAGCCCCAGCCCCAGCTCCCCATGGACTCACCCCCAGCCCCAGCCCAGCTCCCCATGGACTCACCCCCAGCCCCAGCCCAGCTCCCCATGGACTAGTCGCAGCCCCCGGCCCCAGCTCCCCATGGTCTCACCCCCAGCTCCAGACCCAGCTCCCCATGGACTAGTCCCAGCCCCAGCCCAGCTCCCCATGGTCTCACCCCCAGCCCCAGCCCAGCTCCCCATGGACTAGTCCCATCCCCCGGCCCCAGCTCCCCATGGTCTCACCCCCAGCCCCAGCCCAGCTCCCCATGGTCTCACCCCCAGCCCCAGCCCAGCTCCCCATGGACTCACCCCCAGCCCCAGCCCAGCTCCCCATGGACTAGTCCCAGCCCCCGGCCCCAGCTCCCCATGGTCTCACCCCCAGCCCCAGCCCAGCTCCCCATGGTCTCACCCCCGGCCCCAGCTCCCTGTGGACTTGCCCCCGGCCCCAGCTCCCTGTGCTCTCCATCCCATTCAGCGCTGACACTGTCCCTGCAGGTCCGTCCACCCCACCTCCTGACTCCCCTGGGCCTGTTGGTCACTGGGGCCTCCAGCCCACCTCCTCCGCTTCTGAGCCCCAGGACCCCCTGCCTGCCCCCCGACCCCCAACACAGGGCCACTCCAGGGCTCCTCCTGCCCCCACCCTGCCTGGGACCAGCCTGGTTTGGGGCTGACTCTGCACTGCGGGGCCATATGCATCTGGACTCCTTCCGGGCTGCACCCCCCGGGGGACAGGCAGGGGTGGCCCAGACCGCTCCTGCTCATGACCCTGCTTCTCCTCCATTCTCTGGACAAACTCCCCAGAGGCCTCCACCTGCCCCGTCCTGGTTCCATGAATGAGGCCCACAAGATGGGACCTTCAGGAGCCCAGGAGGTGAGGGGATGGGGTGACGGGGGACACCAGGGATGAGGGTGTGGCAGGGACACGGGAGACACCAGGGCTGACGGTGAAGAAGAGACTCAGGGGACACCAGGGCTGGGAGAACCCAGGGACACACGGGGACACCGGGGCTGTGGTGTGCAGAGGGCTCTGGGACCCCCGAGTCAGGGGCTCTGGGGCCGCTCCTCCTAGGAATGCTCCGATTGGGTCAGGCCTGGGAGGCGGACCAATCAGCACCATGGGGATGCGAGAGCCTTGATTGGCTAACACTGGGCCAATCAGGGCGCGTCCTGGGCACCCCGCCCCGATCCCCGGCCGCTCCCCTGGGGCTGCTGCAGGGCTGGGGTCCCAGGCCATTGACAGACACTGGGCAAGAGGCCACGTGGGGCAGTGTCCCCGAGAGAAGGGTGGGGAGTCGGGTGAGACGACAGTGGCCGCGCCCAGACTCAGGGCAGCGATGGGAAACTCAGCCCCAGGAGCTTGCTGGGCTGGGGAGACGCACCTGGCGCGTGCAGAGGCCCCGGCAGCCATGACTCACGAGGCGGAGAACTGCACGGAGAGCTCCGGGCATCCGCAGGGGGTTCCCCCCGGCGTCCTCGGCCGAGTGCCGGAGATGCAGAGAGACGTGGGAGCCGCGTCGGAAACGAGAACCACCAGATGAGAGGGGCGGAGTCCGGGAGTGCGCGCGGGGCTGGGGATATCGCGTGTTCCCAGCAGCTGAGTGGAGAAACCTTGTCAGAGGCAGGCACTGGAGAGTCCTCGGAAGGGTATGGAAGGGTACGAGGGGAGAAAGTAATCCCGAAACCAAAGGCTTCTCCGGACCCACCCTCACAAAGCTGAAAAGCAAAGCCCAGACGGATCCAAATGATTGCAAGTGACTTAACTGCCTGTGAGAACACATCTCAAAACGATGTCAAGGAATAGAACACAACCCAGCACGCAACAAAACACTCCAGAGAGTACTCACGAGATCCGGGGGCTAGTCAAGAACGAGCGGGTGGCCGGGCGCGGTGGCTCACGCCTGTCATCCCAGCACTTTGGGAGGCCGAGGTGGCAGATCGTGAGGTCAGGAGAACGAGACCAGCCTGGCCCACATGGTGAAACCCCGTCTCTACTAAAAATATAAAAATTAGCCGGGCGTGGTGGCACGTGCCTGTAATCCCAGCTACTCGGGAGGCTGAGGCAGGAGAATCGCTTGAACCAGGGAGTCAGAGGATGCAGTGAGCCGAGATCGTGCCACTGCACTCCAGTCTGGCAACAAAGCAATACCGTGTCTAAAAAAAAAAAAAAAAAAAAAAAAAAAAAAAAAGCAGGCATGAAAAAGGATGACCTCCCGATAAAAAAAATCAATCATGTTCGGGCGTGGTGGTTCACGCCTGTAATCCTAGCACTTTGGGAGGCCGAGGCGGCTGGGTCACCTGAGGTCAGGAGTTCAAGACCAGCCTGGCCAACGTGATGAAACCCCATCTCTACTAAAAATACAAAAATTAGCTGGGCGCGGTGGCTCACGCCTGTAATCCTAGCACTTCGGGAGGCCAAGGCGGGTGGATCACCTGAGGTCAGGAGTTCGAGACCCCCCTGGCTAACACAGTGAAACCCTGTCTCTACTAAAAATACAAAAAATTAGCCGGGCGTGGTGGCGGGCACCTGTAGTCCCAGCTACTCGGGAGGCTGAGGCAGGAGAATGGCGTGAACCCGGGAGGCGGAGCTTGCCGTGATCCGAGATGGCGCCACTGCACTCCAGCCTGGGCAATGAAGGAGACTCCGTCTCAAAAAAAAAAAAAAAAAAAAAAAAAAGAAATGTGAAAGGAAGTTCTGCAGGAAGAAGATGATAAGAGATGAACATCTAGACCTAGACTAAGGGAAGATAAACTCTGGAAATGGAAACAGCTGTGACTGTGTAAGACAGTTTTCTCTCTCAAAAAATATTTGAAAGAGAATTGGCAGTTTGAAGCAACAACAGCAAAGCGAGTGCAGGTATCGTGTGGTTTATGGAATACACAAGGGTGCGGCGTGTGCTACAGTAACAGAAGGATCCGGGGAGACTAAAAGCAGGCTGTTGCAAGTTGAAATTGCACGTGAAGTTGTGGTGTTTTGGAATTAATGCACTTTATTTTTTAGAGCAGTTTTAAGTTTACAGACAACTGGGCAGATAGTACAGATCGTATCCCCCCACACACACATCCCCACACACAGAGTTTCCTGTTATGAACATTTTGCATTACTGTGGGTGCATTGTTACAGCTGATGAACAATATTGATACATTATTACTAACGAACTCCCACAGTTTACATGAGGGTTCACTCTGTCTGTTGTACATTCTGTGGGTCGTGGCAAGTGCACAAGTCATGTGTCCACCATTACCGTATTATGCGGAATACATCCCCTGCCCTCAAAATCTCGTGCTCCACTGCCTCTCCCTCTCCCCATCCCCTGGAAACCACGGATATTTTCATTGTCTCTGAAGTTTTGACTTATCCACTATCAACGATACACTATTAACTTTTTCCGACTAGCTTCTTTCACTGAGTAGTAGGCAGTTATGGCCCCTGTATGTCTTTTCAAGGCTTGATAGCTCCTTGCTTTTATTTATTTATTTATTTATTTATTTATTTATTTATTTATTTATTTTGAGACAGAGTCTCGCTCTGTCTCCTAGGCTGGAGTGCAGTGGTGTGATCTCGGCTCACTGCAAGCTGCGCCTCCCGGGTTCACGCCATTCTCCTGCCTCAGCCTCCGAGTAGCTGGGACTACAGGCACCTGCCACCATGCCCAGCTGTTGTTTTTTTTTTTTTTTTTTAGAGATGGGTTTTCACTGTGTTAGCCAGGATGGTCTCAATCTCCTGACCACATGGTCCGCCCGCCTCAGCCTCCCAAAGTGCTGGGATTACAGGCATGAGACACCGCACCCGGCCAGCTCATTGCTTTTTGTCTCTGAATGATATTCCATTGTCTGGATGTACCACAGTTGTTCTACCCATTCGCCTTTTGAAGGACACTTTGGTTCCTTCAACTTTTTGGCAATTATGGGTAAAGATGCTATCAACATCATGTGCAGGTTTTTGTGTGGGCATAAGTTTTCAACTCCTTGGGTAAGTAAATACCTAGAAGCACAATTGCTAGATCATATAGTAAGAGTATGTTTAGCTTTGTAAGAAACTGCCAAACTGTCTTCCAAAGTGGCTGCGCCATTCTGCCTTCTCATCAGCAGTGGATGAGAGTTCCCGTTGCTCCACCTCCTTGTCAGCACTTGGTATTGTCTGTCTTGGGGACTTTAGTCATCCTAACGGGTGTGTAGTGGTATCTCATTGTTATTTTAATTTAATTAATAACGTTTGATGCTGAGCATCTTTTCAGGTGCTTATTTGACATCTCTATATCTTCTTTGGTGAAGTGTCTGTTCAGATCTTTTGCCTACTTTTTTTTTTCTTTTTAATTCTTTCAATCTCTTTGTTAGATTTATCTGATGCCCACTTTTTAATTGTGTTGCTTGTTTTCTTTTTCCTTTTTCTTTTTTTTTTTTTTTTGAGACGGAGTCTCACTCCGTCACCAGGCTGGAGAGCAGTGGCGTGAGCTTGGCTCACCACAACCTCCGACTCCCTGGTTCAGGTGATTCTCTTGCCTCAGCCTCCCAAGTAGCTGGGATAACAGGCGTGTGTCACCACACCCAGCTAATTTTTATATTTTTAGTAGAGACGGGGTTTCACCATGTGGGCCAGGATGGTCTCGATCTCCTGACCTCGTGATCCTCCCACCCTGGCCTCCCACAGTGCTGGGATGACAGGTGTGAGCCACCACACCCGGCCAGGTTGCTTGTGCTGGGATGACAGGTGTGACTCCCTGCCCGGCCGGGTTGCTTGTTCTCTTTAATGTTGACTTTAAGGGTTCTTGGTATATTTTGGATAATCATCCTTTATCAGATATGAGTTTTGCAGAGATATTCTCCCAGTCTGTGGCTTGTCTTTTCATTCTCTTAACAATGTCTCTTGTAAAGCAGAGTTTAAAAAAAATTTTTTTTTGAGATGGGGTCTTGCTCTGTTGCTCAGGCTGGAATGCAGGGGTGCAATCCTAGCTCGCTGAAGCTTCAACCTCCCAGGCTCAAGCGATCCTCCCACCTCAGCCTCCCGAGTAGCCACCGGTCTGTCCGGTTTGGGGGCAGTGCTTTGTCCCGTGAGCTCGGTTCTCAGAAGGCTGTTCAGCTGCGTTTCAGTTGGCCCAGCGTTTCCGATGTGGTTGTGAGGTTGGCTTCCAGTCCCTTCGTATGTCCGAGTGGGAACTGAATGTATAGATATATTTTTTTATTGAGAGCAAATTAAATAAACAGAATGCACAGACCTGAAATGTCCAGTCCAATGAATTGTGATGATTGCCAAACCTGTGTAACCATGGCCCAAAGCAAGACGTATCACCCTAGGGTGTCTACTCCCCGCCCCTTCAGGCAGGTGACCGAGAGGTGAGGAAACCTCTAGGGTGATGAAAATGGCCCGTGCTCCTGTCTCTCCACCTACGTAGGGCTTTGAAATCTCCTCCCAGCAATGTTTGTACTTTTTGGTGTAGAGATCTTGCATGCCTTCCCTTAAATGTATTCCTGGTGTTTGATTTTTTTATTCTGTAGCAAAGGGTATGGATGTTCGCGTTTATCGTCCAATATTCATGGCTGGCGTTTAGAAACACAGTAATCCTTTTGCATATTGGTTTTGTATGTCACAGCCCTGCTAAGTCCATTACTCCAGGGTCCATTATTCCTGGATTTTCTACGCAGCGATCACCGACTTTTCTCTCCCTCCGGAGCGCTGCACTTCCCCGCGTCTCCAGCAGAGGGGGCCCCTGACCATGCAAAGCGGAGCCCGGGCGCGGCCGAGGCAGGCGCTGGGAGGAAGGCGGGGCGTTTGCGGGAGGGCGGGGCGGGGGCGGGGAGGGGGCAGGGCAGGTGCGGGGAGGGGCGAGGAAGGGGCGGAGAGGAGTCAGCTGCCCCGCCCAGCCCACCTGCCCGCTGGGTCGGGTCTCAGAGCCCTGGAGCTTCCAGGGCTGGGATAGGCCTTGCGTGTGACCGTAGCAGGTCACGGCGCCCTCTCTGCCTCAGTTTCCCCACGGGGAGAAGAGGCTGCACTGGGGTGCGAGCCGGGGCTGTGCAGGCCTGGAGCGGGGTCTGCCTCCAGGCCTAGGCTGTGGCCATCGCCCTCCACTCCTCTGGGAGGAGGGAGCTGGAGGGGCTCATGCAGGTCAGGGGCCAAGGGTCAGAGGTCGGGGGAGGAAGAGCCACTGCGGCTGGCCCAGAGGTCACTTAGCCACCAGATGCAGGAGACAGCCAAGAGGAGGACGAGTTGGAGGAGGAGGAAGAAGTCCCCTGGGAGGGGGCCTGGGGAGCCGCCTGAGCCCCCGATGCTGGGATGCGGCGGTGGGGCCGGCTCACCCAGGCAGAGAGGAGGGTGTAGACCCCTGGCCAGCGCCCGCAGCTGTAGCTCTTGACCCAGCTCATGACGCCAACCTGCCCTCAGGAACCATGCGCCTGGCAGACCAGAGGCCCTCCCGAGTCACCCTGAGGGCAGAGAAGGCAAGGACTAGGAGGTGGGGGGTCCCGTTTCTGGGCTCCGGCACCCCCACGCTCCGTGGCCAGCCTGGCTCATCAGGTTGCTCTCGTCGGGGAACCGCAGAGTGAAGCCGCAGGGAGAACCCACTTCACACCCACCGAAACGGCCAGAAGCTTTTTAAACAGTCAAGCTCTGCTCACATCTCCACCCCACCCCTTCCCTTTCCCTCCAATAGATTCTGTCCTAAAGCCTAGCATGGGGCAGGTCCCAGGGTGGACCTGGGGCGCCACAGCCACACTGGCCCAGAGTGGGGGGCACACGGGGGATTGATGAGATCAGTGAATTGGGGGTGGAACCAGCTCCCCGCTGCTGGAGAAGGCAGCCCGATGGGAGAGGAGAAACGCAGAGTAAGCCCTGTGGGGTGGAATCACAGCTGAGGCACTGTGAGAGCTCATGGTTTTCATTATAGATATGGCCGTGTAGATGTGCACGTGGGAGTGTGTGTGTGTCAGTGTGTGAGTGTGCCTGTGTGTGAGTGTGCATGTGTTATGTGTGTGCATGGGTGAGTGTGAATGTGTGTGCATGTGTGTTCGTGTTTGCATATGAACATTCGTGTGTGCATATGTGCATGTGAGTGCACAGATGTGCATGTGTGAGTGCATGTGTGTGTGCATCAGGTACATGCATGTGTGTGCATATGTGTGCGTGTGTGCATGTGAACATTCGTGTGTGTGCATATGTGCATGAGTGTGCACACATGTGCGTGCATGTGAGTGCATTGTGAGTGTGCATGGATCAAGTGTGTGCAGGTGTGTGCATGTGTGAGTGTGCATCTGTGTGCACGTGTGAGTGCATGGATCAAGTGCGTGCACGCATGTGCATGTGTGTGAGTGCATGGATCAAGTTTGTGCATGCGTGTGCTCTGTCCCCTGAGGAGGGCTGTGAGCAGTAACACCCAAGAGCGATGGGCAATCCCTTCACCTACATCGTGGTCTCTAAATACCGTTTGCCACCGACAGGAGCTGGGCCTCCTGGAGGACTGCCTGGCGCAGAGGCGGATATGAGAGGAGCCCAGAAGAATCTTGTAGGAGGAAAAGTTCAAAGATGGAGACATGTCAGACGACACAGAAGCCAGCTCGCAGGAGCTCCCAGTGTCCGCATCAGGATGAGTTTGCATATTAGAAAAATGATTGGGAAAAAGAAAGAAATTAAAATAATTGAATAAAACAGGGGACCATGAGTCTATTCAGTTATAAATAAGCAAATGAATACATAGTCTGATGAGAACTTGGCTAGTTACAGGGTCTCAAGGAATCTTTATTCTGCGTCTTCATTCTGAACTGGATGGAACCTTCCTGAGCGCAGAGTCCTTTCCACTGTGAATTATGGGTTTGTTATCGTTTTTGTTCGTTGCTGGTTGTACGTGACGGGAGTTCAGCTTTTTGCTGCGGGACGGCAGAGATAGGATGCGGGGCTTCCTGAGAGGCGCCGGGGCAGGGCCGCACAGGTCCATCCACCTCCCCTGGGACCCCAGCCCTGCAGCAGCCCCAGGGGAGCGGCCGGGGATCGGGGCGGGGTGCCCAGGACGCGCCCTGATTGGCCCAGTGTTAGCCAATCAAAGCTCTCGCATCCCCATGGTGCTGATTGGTCCGCCTCCCAGGCCTGACCCAATCGGAGCATTCCTAGGAGGAGCGGCCCCAGAGCCCCTGACTCGGGGGTCCCAGAGCCCTCTGCACACCACAGCCCCGGTGTCCCCGTGTGTCCCTGGGTTCTCCCAGCCCTGGTGTCCCCTGAGTCTCTTCTTCACCGTCAGCCCTGGTGTCTCCCGTGTCCCTGCCACACCCTCATCCCTGGTGTCCCCCGTCACCCCATCCCCTCACCTCCTGGGCTCCTGAAGGTCCCATCTTGTGGGCCTCATTCATGGAACCAGGACGGGGCAGGTGGAGGCCTCTGGGGAGTTTGTCCAGAGAATGGAGGAGAAGCAGGGTCATGAGCAGGAGCGGTCTGGGCCACCCCTGCCTGTCCCCCGGGGGGTGCAGCCCGGAAGGAGTCCAGATGGATATGGCCCCGCAGTGCAGAGTCAGCCCCAAACCAGGCTGGTCCCAGGCAGGGTGGGGGCAGGAGGAGCCCCGGAGTGGCCCTGTGTTGGGGGTCGGGGGGCAGGCAGGGGGTCCTGGGGCTCAGAAGCGGAGGAGGTGGGCTGGAGGCCCCAGTGACCAACAGGCCCAGGGGAGTCGGGAGGTGGGGTGGACGGACCTGCAGGGACAGTGTCAGCGCTGAATGGGATGGAGAGCACAGGGAGCTGGGGCCGGGGATGAGACCATGGGGAGCTGGGGCTGGGGCTGGGACTAGTCCATGGGGAGCTGGGGCTGAAGTTGGGGGTGAGTCCATGGGGAGCTGGGCTGGGCCTCCTGGGGTTGCACCTGCACTCCTCTCTGCTCTTCCCTCTGCGTATGAAGCTCAGATCCCATGATAAGGAGGCACCTGCAGACCAGGGGACCTGCACGGACAGCCCCAGAGGTGGACATTGAGGACTCGTAGGAGGACTTGGGTCTCATACGGCGGGTGGGGAGCAGGGCCCCTTCCTGGCTGAGGACACTTGGTGCTGTCCCCTCTCAAGGCTGTTTCCCCATCTGACAAAGGGGTCTCACGTGAGCCCCCAACCAAGTGAGTCGAGGAGGGCTGGCCCCACCCCCGTGGATTCGGAGTCCGTAGGAGGGGTGTCACCCGTCATGTCCCCACCCCGTGGGCACCTTCCCGTCTCTTGGAGCGTGGCCCATGGACATGAGTTCCTCACCCGTGTCCCTCTTGGGGAAACAGGTTTCAGGAGCGACGGGTCTTGTAGCCTGGGGCAGCCAGGCCACCTGGGTGCAGCAATGCCTGAAGGCCTCCTGGCACCGAGACAGGGGCAGGAGCAGATCCCACCAGCGGGAAGGTGGTGGGTTCCAGTGCTGGGATCCACCAGCTGACAGGTGGAGCTGCCAGTCTCCAGTGCTCAGCCCTCAGCGGGGCCTGCCTGGCAGCCCCACACACAGAGGGCATCGGGGTGGCGGGGGCACGTGTTACACGGGGGCCCTGGGTCTGAGTCATCCACTTCCTCCGAGTCTGGATGGGAGGACCCAGCGCCCCTCCTCCGCCCCCTCCTGATCTGGAAGGATAAATGGGGAGGGGAGAGCCCACTGGGTAGAAGGAACAGGGAGCGGCCAGGGTAAGTCCCCACTCTCAGAGACCCTGACATCAGCGTCACCTGGAGCAGAGTGGCCCAGCCTCAGACTCAGAGCACCAAGACCCAGGCCCGCAGGCCTGGACCCACCCCGGTCCCCCCGTCCCAGCTCCATTCTTCACCCCACAATCTGTAGCCCCCAGCCCTGCCCTGTGAGGCCCGGCCAGGCCCACGATGCTCCTCCTTGCTCCCCAGATGCTGAATCTGCTGCTGCTGGCGCTGCCCGTCCTGGCGAGCCGCGCCTACGCGGCCCCTGGTGAGTCCCAGCCGGGGTCCACCCTGCCCCTCACCACATTCCACAGGTCAGGGCCTGGGTGGGTTCTGGGGAGGTCGGGCTGGCCCCCACACAGGGAAGGGCTGGGCCCAGGCCTGGGGCTGCTTCCTGGTCCTGACCTGGCACCTGCCCCAGCCCCAGGCCAGGCCCTGCAGCGAGTGGGCATCGTCGGGGGTCAGGAGGCCCCCAGGAGCAAGTGGCCCTGGCAGGTGAGCCTGAGAGTCCACGGCCCATACTGGATGCACTTCTGCGGGGGCTCCCTCATCCACCCCCAGTGGGTGCTGACCGCAGCGCACTGCGTGGGACCGTGAGTCTCCCGGGGCCTGGAGGGGTGGGGAAGGGCTGGATGTGAGCCCTGGCTCCCGGGTGCTCCTGGGGGCTGCCCAGGGCCCTGAGTGGGATCCTCCGCTGCCCAGGGACGTCAAGGATCTGGCCGCCCTCAGGGTGCAACTGCGGGAGCAGCACCTCTACTACCAGGACCAGCTGCTGCCGGTCAGCAGGATCATCGTGCACCCACAGTTCTACACCGCCCAGATCGGAGCGGACATCGCCCTGCTGGAGCTGGAGGAGCCGGTGAACGTCTCCAGCCACGTCCACACGGTCACCCTGCCCCCTGCCTCAGAGACCTTCCCCCCGGGGATGCCGTGCTGGGTCACTGGCTGGGGCGATGTGGACAATGATGGTGGGTCTGGGGACAGTGGAGGTGGGGCCAGGGTCTTAGCCACAGCCCAGCCCCTGGGCTCCCTCTGGGCTCCAGGTGGGGGTTGCCCGGCCCCCTCCTGAGGCTGCACCCTCTTCCCCACCTGCAGAGCGCCTCCCACCGCCATTTCCTCTGAAGCAGGTGAAGGTCCCCATAATGGAAAACCACATTTGTGACGCAAAATACCACCTTGGCGCCTACACGGGAGACGACGTCCGCATCGTCCGTGACGACATGCTGTGTGCCGGGAACACCCGGAGGGACTCATGCCAGGTGGGCCCCGCCTGTCCCCCGCCCCCCGCCCCCCAACCCCCACTCCCAGGCCTGTTCGGCGAGCGCTGACCTCTGACCTTCCCAGGGCGACTCCGGAGGGCCCCTGGTGTGCAAGGTGAATGGCACCTGGCTGCAGGCGGGCGTGGTCAGCTGGGGCGAGGGCTGTGCCCAGCCCAACCGGCCTGGCATCTACACCCGTGTCACCTACTACTTGGACTGGATCCACCACTATGTCCCCAAAAAGCCGTGAGTCAGGCCTGGGTTGGCCACCTGGGTCACTGGAGGACCAACCCCTGCTGTCCAAAACACCACTGCTTCCTACCCAGGTGGCGACTGCCCCCCACACCTTCCCTGCCCCGTCCTGAGTGCCCCTTCCTGTCCTAAGCCCCCTGCTCTCTTCTGAGCCCCTTCCCCTGTCCTGAGGACCCTTCCCTATCCTGAGCCCCCTTCCCTGTCCTAAGCCTGACGCCTGCACCGGGCCCTCCAGCCCTCCCCTGCCCAGATAGCTGGTGGTGGGCGCTAATCCTCCTGAGTGCTGGACCTCATTAAAGTGCATGGAAATCACTGGTGTGCATCGCTGTGTTTCTGGTTGTGGATGTCACTGGGAGAGAAGGGGTCCAGGTGTGCTGAGGACACCTGCCACAGTGTGAGGTCCTAGCCCTCAAGGCACAGCCAGTCACCGTGGGACGGGGCCTCCTGGGCAGCCCTGGTCCCCGAGGCTGGCTTCTCCCCACACGATGCATCCAGCATTCGGGTCACACAGAGCCACTCGGGCAACTCAGTTGATTATAAAGGACAGCCAGGTCCCTGCAACCGGGTCAAGACAGAGAATGGTCGCCGGGAGCCCCAGGGCTGCCCATCATGAGCCCCTACCCCACGCTTCCCACGAGCTCTTCTCCCGGCCCCTCTGTCCACTGCTTGTGCTTTGCCTAGTTGTTTGCTTTGAGACGGGATCTCGCTGTGTCATCCAGGCTGAAGTGCAGTGGTGTGATCAGGGCTCACTGCAGCCTTAACTCCTGGGCTCAAGCGATCCTCCCATCTTGGCCTCCCATATAGCTGGGCCACAGGCGTGAGCCACCACGCCCAGTTAATTTTTGTATTTTCAGTAGAGATGGGGTTTCGCCATGTTGGCCAGTCTGGTCTCGAACTCCTGACCTCAAGTGATCCGCCCGCCTCGGCCTCCCAAAGTGCTGGGATGACAGGCGTGAGCCACCGCACCCGGCCTGAGTTTGACATTTTCAAATTCATTTTGAGGTCTTTCTCTACATCAATAGGTGAGCCCTCTGCGTCTGGCGAGTGTTGCATTTTATCCCGGGCTCTTGTTTGCATTTTTTATTTGAACATGATTACACCCAGGAATGAAATGCGGGGCTGTTCTGGTTGAAAACAACTCTCTAAAGAAACATTCACTCTTTCCTTCCAACTGTCAGATGCAGAGATGTGCATTTAGTCTCTCCAATCTCTGCAAATGACCTCTGTCCTCACAAGGGGTGGACTCGACTCCCAGCGCCCTCTCCAGCCCCACGTGACCTCTGCCTCTGCAGCCCCTGAAGGCCCATCCCTCGGCTCCTGTTCTGCAGGCCCAGCGTCTTGTCTATGAAGATGGACCTGGAACTCGGGCCCTCCTTCCTCCCTCTGGCCCATCCCACCTTCTAGGGATCACAGAGACAGCACGGGGTGACCCCCAGGGAACACTGAGCCCCTAGAAGCACTTCCACACGCCCACTGGAGGTTTTGCGGGGTGGGAGTCGGAGGGATGAGACCCCGAAGGGAAGCAAGACGGCCCCTCAGGACAGGGCTGCCGGTGTAAGGAAAGGTGGACAGCAGGGGCCGGTCACTGGGTGGAGGGGGAGGGCGGGCTCCAGCCCCAGAGCTTCCCAAATTAGATCTAAGATCCCTGGGAAGCTCAGTGAAGCTCAGCGCAGTGACACTGGCAGATGTGAGCGTCAGCTTCAGCAGGAAGGGTCTCTCAGGACGTGACAGGCAGGCTGCTGGCCAGGGCTGCAGCCACCTGCGTTTTGACTGGGACGGGGACACCTGATCCAAGGTCACCCACGTGGCTGCCGGCAGGAGGCCCTGGTTCCCCGTCACAGGGGGGTGTGAGGGGGAGGGCGAGTGGTGGCGACAGGGTTCCCACCGAGAGGACAGTGCCCAGGTGGCCAGGCCACCGTGGACAGAAGCAATCCCAGGTCTCCCAGGGTCCTGGACAACAGGAGACCCCACCAAGCTGGGGGCAATCACCAGGGCCAGGCCCCCCTCCCGGTTCCTCAGTTGGCTCTCCTGTCCAATGGTGGGGGGGAACGGCACCATGTCACAGGACTGCTGGGGCTCAGGGGATGGTGCCTGGAGCTTCTTCCTCCCCAGCAGGCCTGCAATCTGGGTCGTGTGGAGCACTCTGCGGGGAGTGGCGTGCTGGGGCACAGGCAGAAAGACGGGGTCCCCAGTGCTGCAGGTGAATTGAGTTGGGACAGGTGAGGGCCCTGAAGTCCCCGCCTGTGGGGACCTGGGGACAGCCCTAGAGGTCAGGACTAGAGGACCTGGTTCCATGAAGACCCTGCCCCTCAGGCTCCCTCCCCACTGGTGACATCGCCCTGTGAGGGGCACCCTGGGCCGGAGACTTGTGACTCAGACCTCGCTCCCTTATGTGGGGTGGGACTGTCCTGCCTCCCCTGAGGCGCCCCCTCCAGGTGTGCGGCTGCCGTGAGGGAGGAGGGTGTCCGGCCGTGGGTGCACTGCTGGCCCCGCATGCTGGTGTTGTCCTTATTGGTCACCAGGAAAAACACTGAACCTCCAGTTCTGAGCCTTGGCTACCCCACGTGCTGGCGTGCAGACAGCCACGTCTGTGCCCGGGAGGCCACATCCTGGTGGGTGGTCAGGCAACTCCCCCCCACCAGTGCCTCAGTTTCCCCACATCAAAGAGGGATCCCTGACCTAGAGGGTCTCAGCCGGACCCTCCAGCCTGGCCTGTGATTTGGATCTGGGGAGGGCGGCAGGAAAGTCCTGGGCGCTGCCCAGGGCCCCTAATCAGCTGAGTCATCAGGCTGGGGCAGCCAGGACGGTTAGGAAGGGCCAACCCAGGCTGGGCCGTGAAGCGGTGCCCATCTGATCTGCCGCGCGACCACAGGACCTGCTGCCGGATGTGGGGACAGGGACTTCTCAAAGGGTGGTTGTCACGAGGGCCTGAGCTGTCTCCAAAGGGCTGCTGGGCCTGGAAGTATTTCTGTGTCTTTTTATTTAAAATACACTTATTATTTTAGGACAGGTTTAGATTTATGGAAAAGTTTCGAAGATAGTATAACAGAGCTACCCGCATGCCCCGGGCCCGCTTCCCATTCTTCCTCAGGAAAGGCTCATTGGCCATAACGGACGAACCAGCAGGATTCGTTACATTAACTGAAGCCCGGAGCTTACTTGGGTTTCCTTACTCTCCTTAACCTCCCGTTCCTGTCCCAGGACCTCACCCCGGATCCTCCTGTCTCCTCCGGCTCCTCTTGGCTGTGACCGTTTCTCTGGCTTCCCTTGCTTTTGACCATGTTGAGGAGGGTTGGTCAGCGATTTTGTAGAGTGCCAATCAATGGGGATTTGTCTGACGTTGTTCTCATGCTTGGCCTGAGGCCGTGGGTTTTAAAAGGAAGGGCACGGAGGTAAAGTGCCTTCCCGCCCGTGTGGTGGGGTCGCGTGGGGTTGCATGGCGTCGCGAGCCGTCAACCTGATTTACCCCCAGCTCAGGCGTAGCTGGTTCCTCACCGTGCAGCCCCTCCCTGCCAGCCTCAGTACCACAGTGCCCGTGGAGGTGGGGTCGCCAGCCATCAACCTGATTTACCCCTGCCTCAGGCGTAGCTGGTTCCTCACCGTGCAGCCCCTCCCTGCTGGCCTCAGTGCTTCAGTGTTTGGAAGGAAGTTCCCCTGAACAGCCAGGTGGGGGTTGGGGGTTCCACTGTGCCCTGCCTCCATGAGAGGGGAGGGCTGTGACATTATTTTGAATTCTGCGTGGAGATTTGTCTCTTCTCCCCACTTATTTACTTATTCAACTATTTATTTATATCAGCATTGACTCATGGATTTTTTTCTCTATCTTATTTTATTTATTTTTTGAGACAGAGTCTCACATTGTTGAGGCTGGAGTACAGTGGCACCATCTCAGCTCACTGCAACCTCTGCCTCCCGGGTTCAAGCGATTCTCCTGTCTCAGCTTCCTGAGTAACTGGGATTACAGGTGCCTGCGACCATGCCCGGCTAATTTTTGTATTTTTAATAGAGATAGGGTTTCACCCTGTTGGCCAGGTTGGTCTCGAACTCCTGACCTCAAATGATCCGCCTGCCTCAGCCTACAAAGTGCTGGGATTACAGGTGTGACGCCGGCCGGCTCATGGATATTTATCTTATACTTTGGTTATAATCCAGTAACATTTTATTTATTTGTTTAGAGACAGGGTCTCACTCTGTTGCCCAGGCTAGAGGGCAGTGGAGTGATCTCGGCTCACTGCAACCTCCACCTTCTGGACTCAAGCAATCCCCCTGCCTCAGTCCCCCAAGTAGCTGGGAGTAGAGGCATGAGCCAACACACCCAGCTAATTTTTGTATTTTTTATAGAGATGCGGTCTCACCACGTTGGCCAGGCTGGTCTTGAACTCCTGACCTCAGGTGACCCACCCGCCTCAGCCTCCCAAAGTGCTGAGATTACAGGCATCGGCCACTGTGCCCAGCCATAATCCAGTAAGATTTTATTTTTATTTTTCTAAGAGACAGGGTCTCACTCTGTCACCCAGGCTGGAGTGCAGTGGCG
This sequence comes from Homo sapiens, assembly GCF_000001405.40. Lineage (NCBI taxonomy): Eukaryota > Metazoa > Chordata > Mammalia > Primates > Hominidae > Homo > Homo sapiens. The sequence continues at coordinate 1,246,777 of NC_000016.10, forward strand.
CAATCTCGGCTCACTGCAGCTTCAACCTCTTGGGCGAGAGGATTGCTTGAGCCCAGGGGGCCAAGGCTACAGTGAGCCCTTGACTCACAGCCAAGGCTGCAGTGAGTAAGACCCTGTCAAAAAAAAAAAAAGGAAGGAAGGAAGGAAAGAAGGAAGGAGGGAGGGAAAGAAAGAAGGAAGGAAGGAAGGAGAGAAAGAGAAAGGAAGGAAGGAAGGAAGGAAGGAAGGAAGGAAGGAAGGAAGGAAGGAAGGGAGAGGGGGTTATCCCGTAGCTCTGCCGTATAGCCAGTCAGCCCTGAAGTAGCTGTGGGCATCCTACTGACATGTAATTCTCAATCGCCAAATCCAAGTCCATCAGCTCTCCCAAAAATGTCCTTGGATGGAAAATGTCCTGCCTAGGATCAGGAGGCACGCTGGGCTCTGGAACGGGTCCTCGGTCTTTCCTCAGCTCCTCTGACCCTGAGACCCTTGAAGATTTCGGGCCATCGTTTTGTGGAGCGCTCCTCAAGCCGGGCTGATATTTTTTCACGATTAGATTGAGGGGATACCCGTTTGGCAGGAGCATCACAGGCCCGGCTCTGAGGTCCGCCTCCTGTCAAGGGCGTGCACGACCGACTTCTCCAGTTGCTGGGACATCCACTCTCATCTCTTGAGCAAGGGGCATCTGCCCGGCTTCTCCCCGGGAAGCCACTCCTTCCCCTTAGTGATGACTGCGTGTTTTGTGGGGAGATTCCTTGACACCCTGTAACTAGCCAAGTTCTCATCAGACTATGTATTCATTTGCTTATTTATAACTGTATAGACTCATGGTCCCCTGTTTTATTCAGTTATTTTAATTTCTTTCTTTTTCCCAATCATTTTATAATGTGCAAACTCGCTCTGATGCGGACACTGGGAGCTCCTGCGAGCTGGCTTCTGTGTCATCTGACATGTCTCCGTCTCTGAACTTTTCCTCCTACAAGATTCTTCTGGGCTCCTCTCATATCCGCCTCTGCGCCAGGCAGTCCTCCAGGAGGCCCAGCTCCTATCGATAGCAAACGGTATTTAGAGACCACGATCTAGGTGAAGGGATTGCCCATCGCTCTTGGGTGTTACTGCTCACAGCCCTCCTCAGGGGACAGAGCACACGCATGCACACACTTGATCCGTGCACTCACACACATGCACATGCATGCACACACTTGATCCATGCACTCACACGTGCACACAGATGCACACTCACACATGCACACACCTGTACACACTTGATCCATGCACACTCACAATGCACTCACATGCACACACACTCACATATACATGCACATGCACACACACGAATGTTCACATGCACACACGGACACACATGCACACTCACACATGTACACATGTGTGTGCACACACGCACACATATGCACACATGCATATACCTGATGCACACACACATGCACACACACGCACATCTGTGCACTCACATGCACATATGCACACACGGATGTACACATGCACACATTCACACACACACATGCACACACACATGCACACACACGCACATCTGTGCACTCACATGCACATATGCACACACGGATGTTCACATGCACACACGAACACATGCACACATTCACACACACACATGCACACTCACACAGGCACACTCACACACTGACACACACACACTCCCACGTGCACATCTACACGGCCATATCTATAATGAAAACCATGAGCTCTCACAGTGCCTCAGCTGTGATTCCACCCCACAGGGCTTACTCTGCGTTTCTCTTCTCCCATCGGGCTGCCTTCTCCAGCAGCGGGGAGCTGGTTCCACCCCCAATTCACTGATCTCATCAATCCCCCGTGTGCCCCCCACTCTGGGCCAGTGTGGCTGTGGCGCCCCAGGTCCACCCTGGGACCTGCCCCATGCTAGGCTTTAGGACAGAATCTATTGGAGGGAAAGGGAAGGGGTGGGGTGGAGATGTGAGCAGAGCTTGACTGTTTAAAAAGCTTCTGGCCGTTTCGGTGGGTGTGAAGTGGGTTCTCCCTGCGGCTTCACTCTGCGGTTCCCCGACGAGAGCAACCTGATGAGCCAGGCTGGCCACGGAGCGTGGGGGTGCCGGAGCCCAGAAACGGGACCCCCCACCTCCTAGTCCTTGCCTTCTCTGCCCTCAGGGTGACTCGGGAGGGCCTCTGGTCTGCCAGGCGCATGGTTCCTGAGGGCAGGTTGGCGTCATGAGCTGGGTCAAGAGCTACAGCTGCGGGCGCTGGCCAGGGGTCTACACCCTCCTCTCTGCCTGGGTGAGCCGGCCCCACCGCCGCATCCCAGCATCGGGGGCTCAGGCGGCTCCCCAGGCCCCCTCCCGGGGGACTTCTTCCTCCTCCTCCAACTCGTCCTCCTCTTGGCTGTCTCCTGCATCTGGTGGCTAAGTGACCTCTGGGCCAGCCGCAGTGGCTCTTCCTCCCCCGACCTCTGACCCTTGGCCCCTGACCTGCATGAGCCCCTCCAGCTCCCTCCTCCCAGAGGGGTGGAGGGCGATGGCCACAGCCTAGGCCTGGAGGCAGACCCCGCTCCAGGCCTGCACAGCCCCGGCTCGCACCCCAGTGCAGCCTCTTCTCCCCGTGGGGAAACTGAGGCAGAGAGGGCGCCGTGACCTGCTACGGTCACACGCAAGGCCTATCCCAGCCCTGGAAGCTCCAGGGCTCTGAGACCCGACCCAGCGGGCAGGTGGGCTGGGCGGGGCAGCTGACTCCTCTCCGCCCCTTCCTCGCCCCTCCCCGCACCTGCCCTGCCCCCTCCCCGCCCCCGCCCCGCCCTCCCGCAAACGCCCCGCCTTCCTCCCAGCGCCTGCCTCGGCCGCGCCCGGGCTCCGCTTTGCATGGTCAGGGGCCCCCTCTGCTGGAGACGCGGGGAAGTGCAGCGCTCCGGAGGGAGAGAAAAGTCGGTGATCGCTGCGTAGAAAATCCAGGAATAATGGACCCTGGAGTAATGGACTTAGCAGGGCTGTGACATACAAAACCAATATGCAAAAGGATTACTGTGTTTCTAAACGCCAGCCATGAATATTGGACGATAAACGCGAACATCCATACCCTTTGCTACAGAATAAAAAAATCAAACACCAGGAATACATTTAAGGGAAGGCATGCAAGATCTCTACACCAAAAAGTACAAACATTGCTGGGAGGAGATTTCAAAGCCCTACGTAGGTGGAGAGACAGGAGCACGGGCCATTTTCATCACCCTAGAGGTTTCCTCACCTCTCGGTCACCTGCCTGAAGGGGCGGGGAGTAGACACCCTAGGGTGATACGTCTTGCTTTGGGCCATGGTTACACAGGTTTGGCAATCATCACAATTCATTGGACTGGACATTTCAGGTCTGTGCATTCTGTTTATTTAATTTGCTCTCAATAAAAAAATATATCTATACATTCAGTTCCCACTCGGACATACGAAGGGACTGGAAGCCAACCTCACAACCACATCGGAAACGCTGGGCCAACTGAAACGCAGCTGAACAGCCTTCTGAGAACCGAGCTCACGGGACAAAGCACTGCCCCCAAACCGGACAGACCGGTGGCTACTCGGGAGGCTGAGGTGGGAGGATCGCTTGAGCCTGGGAGGTTGAAGCTTCAGCGAGCTAGGATTGCACCCCTGCATTCCAGCCTGGGCAACAGAGCAAGACCCCATCTCAAAAAAAATTTTTTTTAAAACTCTGCTTTACAAGAGACATTGTTAAGAGAATGAAAAGACAAGCCACAGACTGGGAGAATATCTCTGCAAAACTCATATCTGATAAAGGATGATTATCCAAAATATACCAAGAACCCTTAAAGTCAACATTAAAGAGAACAAGCAACCCGGCCGGGCAGGGAGTCACACCTGTCATCCCAGCACAAGCAACCTGGCCGGGTGTGGTGGCTCACACCTGTCGTCCCAGCACTGTGGGAGGCCAGGGTGGGAGGATCACGAGGTCAGGAGATCGAGACCATCCTGGCCCACATGGTGAAACCCCGTCTCTACTAAAAATATAAAAATTAGCTGGGTGTGGTGACACACGCCTGTTATCCCAGCTACTTGGGAGGCTGAGGCAAGAGAATCACCTGAACCAGGGAGTCGGAGGTTGTGGTGAGCCAAGCTCACGCCACTGCTCTCCAGCCTGGTGACGGAGTGAGACTCCGTCTCAAAAAAAAAAAAAAAAGAAAAAGGAAAAAGAAAACAAGCAACACAATTAAAAAGTGGGCATCAGATAAATCTAACAAAGAGATTGAAAGAATTAAAAAGAAAAAAAAAGTGGGCAAAAGATCTGAACAGACACTTCACCAAAGAAGATACAGAGATGTCAAATAAGCACCTGAAAAGATGCTCAGCATCAAACGTTATTAATTAAATTAAAATAACAATGAGATACCACTACACACCCGTTAGGATGACTAAAGTCCCCAAGACAGACAATACCAAGTGCTGACAAGGAGGTGGAGCAACGGGAACTCTCATCCACTGCTGATGAGAAGGCAGAATGGCGCAGCCACTTTGGAAGACAGTTTGGCAGTTTCTTACAAAGCTAAACATACTCTTACTATATGATCTAGCAATTGTGCTTCTAGGTATTTACTTACCCAAGGAGTTGAAAACTTATGCCCACACAAAAACCTGCACATGATGTTGATAGCATCTTTACCCATAATTGCCAAAAAGTTGAAGGAACCAAAGTGTCCTTCAAAAGGCGAATGGGTAGAACAACTGTGGTACATCCAGACAATGGAATATCATTCAGAGACAAAAAGCAATGAGCTGGCCGGGTGCGGTGTCTCATGCCGGTAATCCCAGCACTTTGGGAGGCTGAGGCGGGCGGACCATGTGGTCAGGAGATTGAGACCATCCTGGCTAACACAGTGAAAACCCATCTCTAAAAAAAAAAAAAAAAAAAAACAGCTGGGCATGGTGGCAGGTGCCTGTAGTCCCAGCTACTCGGAGGCTGAGGCAGGAGAATGGCGTGAACCCGGGAGGCGCAGCTTGCAGTGAGCCGAGATCACACCACTGCACTCCAGCCTAGGAGACAGAGCGAGACTCCGTCTCAAAATAAATAAATAAATAAATAAATAAATAAATAAATAAATAAAAGCAAGGAGCTATCAAGCCTTGAAAAGACATACAGGGGCCATAACTGCCTACTACTCAGTGAAAGAAGCTAGTCGGAAAAAGTTAATAGTGTATCGTTGATAGTGGATAAGTCAAAACTTCAGAGACAATGAAAATATCCGTGGTTTCCAGGGGATGGGGAGAGGGAGAGGCAGTGGAGCACGAGATTTTGAGGGCAGGGGATGTATTCCGCATAATACGGTAATGGTGGACACATGACTTGTGCACTTGCCACGACCCACAGAATGTACAACAGACAGAGTGAACCCTCATGTAAACTGTGGGAGTTCGTTAGTAATAATGTATCAATATTGTTCATCAGCTGTAACAATGCACCCACAGTAATGCAAAATGTTCATAACAGGAAACTCTGTGTGTGGGGATGTGTGTGTGGGGGGATACGATCTGTACTATCTGCCCAGTTGTCTGTAAACTTAAAACTGCTCTAAAAAATAAAGTGCATTAATTCCAAAACACCACAACTTCACGTGCAATTTCAACTTGCAACAGCCTGCTTTTAGTCTCCCCGGATCCTTCTGTTACTGTAGCACACGCCGCACCCTTGTGTATTCCATAAACCACACGATACCTGCACTCGCTTTGCTGTTGTTGCTTCAAACTGCCAATTCTCTTTCAAATATTTTTTGAGAGAGAAAACTGTCTTACACAGTCACAGCTGTTTCCATTTCCAGAGCTTATCTTCCCTTAGTCTAGGTCTAGATGTTCATCTCTTATCATCTTCTTCCTGCAGAACTTCCTTTCACATTTCTTTTTTTTTTTTTTTTTGAGACGGAGTCTCCTTCATTGCCCAGGCTGGAGTGCAGTGGCGCCATCTCGGATCACTGCAAGCTCCGCCTCCCGGGTTCACGCCATTCTCCTGCCTCAGCCTCCCGAGTAGCTGGGACTACAGGTGCCCGCCACCACGCCCGGCTAATTTTTTGTATTTTTAGTAGAGACAGGGTTTCACTGTGTTAGCCAGGGGGGTCTCGAACTCCTGACCTCAGGTGATCCACCCGCCTTGGCCTCCCGAAGTGCTGGGATTACAGGCGTGAGCCACCGCGCCCAGCTAATTTTTGTATTTTTAGTAGAGATGGGGTTTCATCACGTTGGCCAGGCTGGTCTTGAACTCCTGACCTCAGGTGATCCAGCCGCCTCGGCCTCCCAAAGTGCTAGGATTACAGGCGTGAACCACCACGCCCGAACATGATTGATTTTTTTTATTGGGAGGTCATCCTTTTTCATGCCTGCTTTTTTTTTTTTTTTTAAGACACGGTATTGCTCTGTCACCAGACTGGAGTGCAGTGGCACGATCTCGGCTCACTGCATCCTCTGACTCCCTGGTTCAAGCGATTCTCCTGCCTCAGCCTCCCGAGTAGCTGGGATTACAGGCACGTGCCACCACGCCCGGCTAATTTTTATATTTTTAGTAGAGACGGGGTTTCACCATGTGGGCCAGGCTGGTCTCGTTCTCCTGACCTCACGATCTGCCACCTCGGCCTCCCAAAGTGCTGGGATGACAGGCGTGAGCCACCGTGCCCGGCCACCCGCTCGTTCTTGACTAGCCCCCGGATCTCGTGAGTACTCTCTGGAGTGTTTTGTTGCGTGCTGGGTTGTGTTCTATTCCTTGACATCGTTTTGAGATGTGTTCTCACAGGCAGTTAAGTCACTTGCAATCATTTGGATCCGTCTGCGCTTTGCTTTTCAGCTTTGTGAGGGTGGGTCCGGAGAAGCCTTTGGTTTCGGGATTACTTTCTCCCCTCGTACCCTTCCATACCCTTCCGAGGACTCTCCAGTGCCTGCCTCTGACAAGGTTTCTCCACTCAGCTGCTGGGAACACGCGATATCCCCAGCCCCGCGCGCACTCCCGGACTCCGCCCCTCTCATCTGGTGGTTCTCGTTTCCGACGCGGCTCCCACGTCTCTCTGCATCTCCGGCACTCGGCCGAGGACGCCGGGGGGAACCCCCTGCGGATGCCCGGAGCTCTCCGTGCAGTTCTCCGCCTCGTGAGTCATGGCTGCCGGGGCCTCTGCACGCGCCAGGTGCGTCTCCCCAGCCCAGCAAGCTCCTGGGGCTGAGTTTCCCATCGCTGCCCTGAGTCTGGGCGCGGCCACTGTCGTCTCACCCGACTCCCCACCCTTCTCTCGGGGACACTGCCCCACGTGGCCTCTTGCCCAGTGTCTGTCAATGGCCTGGGACCCCAGCCCTGCAGCAGCCCCAGGGGAGCGGCCGGGGATCGGGGCGGGGTGCCCAGGACGCGCCCTGATTGGCCCAGTGTTAGCCAATCAAGGCTCTCGCATCCCCATGGTGCTGATTGGTCCGCCTCCCAGGCCTGACCCAATCGGAGCATTCCTAGGAGGAGCGGCCCCAGAGCCCCTGACTCGGGGGTCCCAGAGCCCTCTGCACACCACAGCCCCGGTGTCCCCGTGTGTCCCTGGGTTCTCCCAGCCCTGGTGTCCCCTGAGTCTCTTCTTCACCGTCAGCCCTGGTGTCTCCCGTGTCCCTGCCACACCCTCATCCCTGGTGTCCCCCGTCACCCCATCCCCTCACCTCCTGGGCTCCTGAAGGTCCCATCTTGTGGGCCTCATTCATGGAACCAGGACGGGGCAGGTGGAGGCCTCTGGGGAGTTTGTCCAGAGAATGGAGGAGAAGCAGGGTCATGAGCAGGAGCGGTCTGGGCCACCCCTGCCTGTCCCCCGGGGGGTGCAGCCCGGAAGGAGTCCAGATGGATATGGCCCCGCAGTGCAGAGTCAGCCTCAAACCAGGCTGGTCCCAGGCAGGGTGGGGGCAGGAGGAGCCCCGGAGTGGCCCTGTGTTGGGGGTCGGGGGGCAGGCAGGGGGTCCTGGGGCTCAGAAGCAGAGGAGGTGGGCTGGAGGCCCCAGTGACCAACAGGCCCAGGTGAGTCAGGAGGTGGGGTGGACGGAGCTGCAGGGACAGTGTCAGCGCTGAATGGGATGGAGAGCACAGGGAGCTGGGGCCGGGGGTGAGACCAAGGGGAGCTGGGCTGGGGCTGGGGGTGAGTCCATGGGGAGCTGGGGCCGGGGGCTGGGACTAGTCCATGGGGAGCTGGGCTGGGGCTGGGGGTGAGACCATGGGGAGCTGGGCTGGGGCTGGGACTAGTCCATGGGGAGCTGGGCTGGGGCTGGGACTAGTTCATGGGGAGCTGGGCTGGGGCTGGGGGTGAGTCCATGGGGAGCTGGGCTGGGGCTGGGGGTGAGTCCATGGGGAGCTGGACTGGGGCTGTGGGTGAGTCCATGGGGAGCTGGGGCTGGGGCTGGGACTACTCCATGGGGAGCTGGGGCTGGGGCTGGGACTAGTCCATGGGGAGCTGGGCTGGGGCTGTGGGTGAGTCCATGGGGAGCTGGGCTGGGGCTGGGGGTGAGTCCATGGGGAGCTGGGCTGGGTCTCCTGGGGTTGCACCTGCACTCCTGTCTGCCCTTCCCTCTGCGGATGAAGCTCAGATCCCATGATAAGAAGGCACCTGCAGACCAGGGGACCTGCACGGACAGCCCCAGAGGTGGACATTGAGGAATCGTTGGAGGACTTGGGTCTCATACGGGAGGTGGGGAGCAGGGCCCCTTCCTGGCTGAGGACACTTGGTGCTGTCCCCTCTCAAGGCTGTTTCCCCATCTGACAAAGGGGTCTCATGTGAGCCCCCAACCAAGTGAGTCGAGGAGGGCTGGCCCCACCCCCGTGGATTCGGAGTCCGTAGGAGGGGTGTCACCCGTCATGTCCCCACCCCGTGGGCACCTTCCCGTCTCTTGGAGGGTGGCCCATGGACATGAGTTCCTCACCCCGTGTCCCTCTTGGGGAAACAGGTTTCAGGAGCGACGGGTCTTGTAGCCTGGGGCAGCCAGGCCACCTGGGTGCAGCTATGCCTGAAGGCCTCCTGGCACCGAGACAGGGGCAGGAGCAGATCCCACCAGCGGGAAGGTGGTGGGTTCCAGTGCTGGGATCCACCAGCTGACAGGTGGAGCTGCGAGCCTCCAGTGCTCAGCCCTCGGCGGGGCCTGCCTGGCAGCCCCACACACAGAGGGCATCGGGGTGGCGGGGGCATGTGTTACACGGGGGCCCTGGGTCTGAGTCATCCACTTCCTCCGAGTCTGGATGGGAGGACCCAGCGCCCCTCCTCCGCCCCCTCCTGATCTGGAAGCATAAATGGGGAGGGGAGAGCCCGCTGGGTAGAAGGAACAGGGAGTGGCCAGGGTAAGTCCCTACTCTCAGAGACCCTGACATCAGCGTCACCTGGAGCAGAGTGGCCCAGCCTCAGACTCAGAGCACCAAGACCCAGGCCCGCAGGCCTGGACCCACCCCGGTCCCCCCGTCCCAGCTCCATTCTTCACCCCACAATCTGTAGCCCCCAGCCCTGCCCTGTGAGGCCCGGCCAGGCCCACGATGCTCCTCCTTGCTCCCCAGATGCTGAGCCTGCTGCTGCTGGCGCTGCCCGTCCTGGCGAGCCCGGCCTACGTGGCCCCTGGTGAGTCCCAGCCGGGGTCCACCCTGCCCCTCACCACATTCCACAGATCAGGGCCTGGGTGGGTTCTGGGGAGGCCGGGCTGGCCCCCACACAGGGAAGGGCTGGTCCCAGGCGTGGGGCGGCTTCTTGGTCCTGACCTGGCACCTGCCCCAGCCCCAGGCCAGGCCCTGCAGCAAACGGGCATTGTTGGGGGGCAGGAGGCCCCCAGGAGCAAGTGGCCCTGGCAGGTGAGCCTGAGAGTCCGCGGCCCATACTGGATGCACTTCTGCGGGGGCTCCCTCATCCACCCCCAGTGGGTGCTAACCGCGGCGCACTGCGTGGAACCGTGAGTCTCCTGGGGCCTGGAGGGGTGGGCAAGGGCTGGATGTGAGCCCTGGCTCCCGGGTGCTCCTGGGGGCTGCCCAGGGCCCTGAGTGGGATCCTCCGCTGCCCAGGGACATCAAGGATCTGGCCGCCCTCAGGGTGCAACTGCGGGAGCAGCACCTCTACTACCAGGACCAGCTGCTGCCGGTCAGCAGGATCATCGTGCACCCACAGTTCTACATCATCCAGACCGGGGCGGACATCGCCCTGCTGGAGCTGGAGGAGCCCGTGAACATCTCCAGCCACATCCACACGGTCACGCTGCCCCCTGCCTCGGAGACCTTCCCCCCGGGGATGCCGTGCTGGGTCACTGGCTGGGGCGACGTGGACAATAATGGTGGGTGTTGGGGACAGCGGGAGGCCGGGCCAGGTGGGCACCAAGTCACAGCCACAGGCCAGTCCGTGGGGTGACAGGGTCCCTCAGGGCGGCTCAGGGAGGGGGACTGTGGAGGCCAGGATGGATGGAGCAGGCGGTGGCGAGAGGCAGCAGGTGCCCTGAGCAGAGACGGTGAGTCCAAAGGGCCTGGGCGTCCCCCACCCCAGGGGTTTGGAGAGTCCCTTAGCACCTCCGTGCCTCGGTTTCCCCTTGCCTGAAAGGGTGCATCAAAAGTTTGTACGTCACGGACTTGCTATGTGGAGAGAGAAATCACACGGGGGTCTTGCTGGAAGGAGAGAGACCGGTGCTGGGATGAGACCTGCCTGCCCTCCATCCCTGTGCTACAGACAAGGCAGGGGCCTGGGAATCGGGGTCGTGGCAGTGCTGTGGGGGGCTGGACGAAGCTCACTGTGGCCCTCCACGAGGCACATTTTCACTTCTAGAAGGTCTTGTCCCCATTTTATCCACAATTCAGAGCAAAGCTTTGGGGTACAGCCTGAGCGGCAACCCTGGGCTGTGACCTCTGGGTCACTCAGAAGGGGCCTGAGCCACTGTCCCGCTATTCCGCCCCACACAGCGGGGAAGCTGAGCCCAGCGCCCTGTGTTCCCCTCGGCTAGGGCCAACCGTGGACCATGGGCCTAGCCCAGACGAAAGTCAGCTGAGCCCAGGGGGAGACACGGGTCGGGCTCTGCACCCCCGTGCCATGGAGCCCAGCTTGGCAACCTCCAGGGCCCTCCCCTCCCTTCCCCAGATGGGGCTTAAATGAGGCCAGGGACCCAGGACCAGCCTCAGCGGAGGGGCCTGGACTGCATTCACCGCCCCTTCCCCGGGGCTGCAGGCACAGAACAGCACTGGGCCCATGGTGCCATCTCCCCTGCCCGTGACTCTGCCACCAAGTCCACGAAGCAGCACCCAGCCGGCCCCAGACCCGGCTCCACGCCCCCCTCCGCCCCCAGTGCACCTGCCGCCGCCATACCCGCTGAAGGAGGTGGAAGTCCCCGTAGTGGAAAACCACCTTTGCAACGCGGAATATCACACCGGCCTCCATACGGGCCACAGCTTTCAAATCGTCCGCGATGACATGCTGTGTGCGGGGAGCGAAAATCACGACTCCTGCCAGGTGGGCCCTCGCGTCCCCCACCCCAATCCCCGGAGCCTGGCCAGCGAGCGCATCCCTCATCCTGACCCCCGAAGCCTGGCCAGCGAGCACTGACCTCTGACCTTCCCAGGGTGACTCTGGAGGGCCCCTGGTCTGCAAGGTGAATGGCACCTAACTGCAGGCGGGCGTGGTCAGCTGGGAGGAGAGCTGTGCCCAGCCCAACCGGCCTGGCATCTACACCCGTGTCACCTACTACTTGGACTGGATCCACCACTATGTCCCCAAGAAGCCCTGAGCCAGGCCTGGGGTGTCCACCCGGGTCACTGGAGGGCCAGCCCCTCCTGTCCAAACCACCACTGCTTCCTACCCAGGTGGTGACTGCCCCCCACACCTTCCCCCATCCTGAGTCCCCTCTCCCATCCTGAGCCCTGTCCCCTGTCCTGAGCCCCCTCCCCTTTCTTGATCCCCTCCCCCATCCTGAGCCCCTCCCCCACCCTGAGCCCCTTCCCCTTTCTTGAGCCCCCTCCCCCACCCTGAGCCCCCTCCCCTTTCTTGAGTCCCTCCTCCATCCTGAGCCCCCTCCCCTTTCTTGAGTCCCTCCTCCATCCTGAGCCCCCTCCCCTTTCTTGAGCCCCTCCTCCATCCTGAGCCCCCTCCTCCATCCTGCCCCCTCCTCCATCCTGAGCCTCCTCCCCAACCCTGAATCCGCCCCTCCCGGCCCCTCCGGCCCTCCCCTGCCCAGGCAGCTGGTGGTGGACGCCCATCCTCTCTAGTGCTGACTCTCATTAAAGTGCATGATGGAAAGCAGGTGTGGCCGTCACTGTGTTTCTGGTCGTGGGTGTCACGGGGGAGGAAGGGTCTAGGCATGTCTCGGGGCAGCTGCAGGAGCTGCGGGGTCCTGGACCCCGAGGCACAACTAGTCACTGTGGGGTGGGGCCTCCTCAGCTGCCCTGGTCGGCGAGTGGGGGCACAGGTGGCTCCCGGTTTGGAGGAGGAGCAATTAATTTCGGTCTCCTCCCGGCAGCGGGAGGTGATTTCTCCGTCAAACACGGAAGCCTGCCGTGGCCGCACTGAGGGTGTGAGTGCTCGGCTTCCCGTCTGGGTCTTGGTGTCCTGTGAGTCGCACAGATCAGGGGCTGCAAGGGAGGGACTCTGAACGCTGCCAGGGCAGAGCAGGGTCCAGCGGGGTCCGGCTGGGCGGGGACGTGGCTCGGAGGACTTGGGAATGGCACTGATCACTGCCCGCTGCCTGTCTTAGAAAGCCCAGGGAGCCAGGGCAGTGTGGGAGACCCAGGAGCCCCCTGGGAGGTGGCGGGGTGCAGCTGGACCCTGGACCCCCGCCGAGAGCGCCCTGGGACGCGGGCTGTGGTCACGTCCCCTGAGGCCCTGGGCTGTGTCCAGCAGGTCTCACCCTGGGTTTAGAGCAGCCGGCAACCTGGCCTGGGGCTCCCCGCTTTCTCCCAGGAAGGGAAGCATGAGGAGTGTCAGAGGCAGCCAGCTCCCCGGGAAAGAAAGGGCAGTGCCCTACCCGTCCACACCCCGGGAGTCTTTCCCCCACTGCCTTGAAGTGCAGTGACTCCCCCAGCTGGGGCGCCCCAACTGCTCTGCTCTGCCCCACTCTGGAAAGACCAGGGGCGTGGGAGAAAGTATAAACCCAGATGTGGTTTCTGCGCGGAGGCTCAGAGCCTGGGTTTGCCCTGAAGCCCTTGCCCTGTGGGGATCCTCCCGACCCTCATCCCCGGGAGTGACAGGCAGGGCGGGCGAGGGCAGGTGGGAGGGTGAAGGCCAGTCCCCGAGCC